>NC_000016.10:79505682-80130682 GCF_000001405.40 Homo sapiens | reverse complement strand
TGCCAGTGGTTGTAATGGTTCAGTGATTGTAACTGGATCAGACTGAATATTTGGGATCCAATCCATGGAATGGAAATTGACCTAAAGCAGTCAGAGTCTGGTCTTTTGGTTAAATCCAGACTTAGTTCTTTTTTATAAGCATCATATTTTTCAGTAGGATCACAAGGCCACCTTCAACTATCATTTGTTGTCATTTGTGTCTTGATTTACACGAATCTTCTTTGATAAACTCTGTTGTATAATAGCCATTGTCATATCCACAGACATGATGATAATGTGCTATGTGATCATAAGTACTATTTTTCCAGTCCCCCAAATTCCTGTGACATTTATTACATTGCTTTTAATAATAAAATGGCAACCCAAACAGAGGCAACTCTTTGTGGATGGATCTGGGAAGAGAGAAGCTTCCTTTACATTGTAACACCCAAAAAAGAGACGCCTTCCCTATCTGATCTACTGCTACATCTCCTAGCACCAAGACAAGAATGGCTTATACCCGGCACTCAATTAGTATCTGTTAAATGAATGAATGATTGTATTTAGTTAGGTGAAGGCTAAGGGAAATTTGGCCCTTGTTTTACTTTCACAGGGCAGGACAAGTTAGCAGTAACAGCTTGCTGCCCTGAATGTAAACCCAGCTATCTGGCATCAGCTATCTGCTCAAATGGCTTCAAAGGGACTTTGTTGCCAGTTAAAGGTAGTGAGAGACTCTCCAAGGCAGGAGGTCAAAACTGCAGCACTCTCGGGACACATTGTGTTCTCAGATCACATTCGGAAAGGCAAAAAGTGTGAAGAACAATTACACATAAGGTGTCAGGCTGTGTGCTGCACCCTTTACTTGTGTGATCTTTAAAAGAAGTGCCCAAAGTGATTCTGCAATGTTCGTGATTCTGTCTCCTATGTTACAGGTGGGAAAACTAAGGCTCAGAGTCAGGGCCACCACAAACCTAGATAGTGACTTTGTACAAATGAGACCGTGGTAGACAGTTCTGTGACTTGGTGACTGGGGGCATAGGCAAGATTTCAGCCTTCACTTCGCCCCTCAGCTGGGCAACTTTTTGCAGTGAGCAACCTATACAACTGGTAATCTTGTTCAGAAAAACGAAGAAACTTACCCAAGGCCACAAATTATAACAAGGTTTAACTGACTCTGAATTTCACATTCTTCCTGTTTTGACAAACTATCTAATGGTAAGTTGATACAATTAATGCTGTCCTTATACTGAGAATATTCAGTGACATGAACTCTTAAGACTTTTAAAGATTGGATGTAAGAAAATACAACAGATTTTTCCAAATTCAGTTCTGAGTGCCTCCAACTGAGAGCCTCTTTATTTTTGCATATTATGGTCAACTTTAAGTTTAACTTAAGCTCCGCAACCATGCCCACCCGACCCTGGCCTCCCCACCTCCCTACCTCCCCATGTCCCAACTTCTGAAGCCAAGTTCACAATTCCCTTGCTTTGTGTCACAGACAGGGCTCTGAAATGTTGGCAATGGTATCAGTGAAAGTCATAGCATTAGGAGAATTGAAAGAAACTGATTTTCTTTCAGTAGCTCAAATAGCCGGCGCTTTCCAAAAATATCTGCAGCTTTGTCTAACGCAGATTTATAACTCGACTCCTAATAAAGCTTTATTTCCCCCAAGTTGTGGTGTTTAAAATTCACATGATGTAATGCCGTTAACTAATGTTGCAATTTATTACTATTTAAGGCATTATGCAGGGGAAACATAGAAGGATAGCTTAAGGGGAGGGATTCAGAATGATATTAAGTATGAATCAAAGCACAATAAAGTAATAATTAGCTGGATTTTCTGACCTAGGTTGGAGGTAAATTTTCCCTGAGCCTTACCCACCTCCTCATTAATTGGTGACATTGTATCCCTCTGACCATCCCCTCTATTTCTGCCTCATTGATATTTGGGTGCATGATTAAGTACTTGTGCCTTCAGGATTTCTGGCTAAAGCGGTATATATTCAGAGAGGATACCATGCATCTATGGGATTAATAAATGGGCATGTGTCTGACAAACTAGCTGGTATAAAACACATCTAAGGTATATACATCCAACATAAATGTGGATGTATGTTCACCGAAAGACATGCAGTACAATGTCCACAGCGGCAATCTTTGTAATAGCTCAAATAAGAAAACTACACAAGTGCCTATCAATAGTAGAAAGTGCCTCGCTTGCCTCTCATTCTTGATATCCACTAGTTGTAGCTGATTCCAAACTCTAACAACTGAGCCCTACCCCAGTCCTGCTTCCCTAGGGTGCTCATAGGTGCTTCCTGCCTTGACCCACATGGCTTATGAATGCCAGAGAACACAGTGCCTTTCTGAGCCTCTGGTCAACTGGCTGAGCTGCAGAAGTCAATTCTGGTTGTACATGAAGTAGCAGATATTTTTCTACCCCAAGCCCATGGGAATAAAAGGAAGGAGAAACATCTTGCTTTGAGGCTATTGTGTAAAATGAGATGATACAAGTGAAGTCCTTGGAATAAAGTAACCACGTGATATTATCTTGGTTATTGCTTTTATAAGCTTCTAAAAGAGAAGAATGGATATACTAAAAAAAAAAAAAAAAAATTCCTACTTCTTGGTATTTCCTTAAAGGTCAAAGGAAAATCCATTCCTTTCCTATCTTCAATGGCCCCTAATGCTTATAGAATACCTTCCTTGGTCATTTCAAGCCCAACAAGATTTGCTGCCTACATTTTTTTGTTTTTTTGTTTTTGTTTGTTTTGTTTTTTTGTTTTTTTCCTAGATGATGAATTGGCAGACTATGGCCTGGGGGCCCCTACCTGGTTTTCTTAAAAAAAAAAAAAAAAAAAAAAGTGTTACTAGAATCCAGCAACAGTGCCCATTGCTTTATATATCACCTGTGGCTGCTTTTGCACTTCAACAGCAGTGAAGTGGTTGTGATTACAATATTTATTATCTGCTTATTTATAGGAAATGTTTGCTGACCCTTTCTACCCTCATCTTCTTTCACCCAAAGAAGGTTTGCTCCAGCCCTGCTGGGTCGGTGATTCCCTCCTGCTTCCACCTCTTCCCTCACAGGGTTCCTTCCACCTGGAGTGCCCTTTCCTCTGTGCCTTTTCTTTGATGCCTTATTCATTCTTCAAAGCTCAGATCAAATTTCTCTGCCAAGTAACAGCCTGTTTTTTTTCAACATCCATGGCGGGAGATCCTCTTAACCTGTAAATGTGGTTCATGTATTTCTTAAATTATAAGCCATATCGTTTTGCAGTTTTCCAGAAAATAGCTGAAAATATCTGTTACCCCTACTGGATACCCCTTTCTACTTTGACAGAGGCAAGAGTAGGTCTGGTTCATAGAGTATTGGACACAGAATAGGTATAGGCACAAGTTTGCTGCACGAAAATGCCAGCTAGGGTCATTTTCCTGCCCTTCCTCATCCGCTCTCTTCACCCCAGCCTAACTAGGGTGACTATCTCATTTGCCTGGGATGGAAGGATTTCCTAGAGTGTAGGACATCCAGTCCCAAAACCAAGCAAGTTGGAATTAGGTGGTCATGCTAAATATAACCTTCCCCAGATGATCTACTTAGCAAGCCTCAGAGTTCTCAAAGCTAACCAGTCCTCCAGTACCTCCGTGAGCTGGCTGAGTCTTTGGAGGCTCAATCCCCTGACAACTCCACTCACCTAGTTATTTTAAGTTAGACCAAAATAATTAAAGACCTCAAAGACCAATTATGTGTAAAGGGGCCCCTCTTCTTATCCATCACGTAACTTGTTTTCCACTCCTTGCTCATCTTTTTTTTAATAATTGGAACCAAAAAGCAAAATAATAATAATCGTGTTTCAGATGAAAAGAGATGAGAGAAACAGATGCAGGAGAGGATAATTTGAATTATCTTGGGCATCAACTGGGATTTCACAAACAAGAGCCTTCAAATAAACTGCCAACAATAAAGGAGTGGAATGGAACCTGGGATTCCTGTGTAGGAAGCAACTGATGAGGGGTGGGAATGGCAACCCACCTCTGGTGCTACTTCCCCTTTGCAGGTTACAGGGCTGGGCTGGTTTGACATTTTGTGCTGAAGTCTTTAGAGTGAATTTGTTAGGAGTAAGTGCCCCAGTTTTGCAATACACTGACATGCAGTGCATTTCTGACTTAGTAGCCATATGATCCCGAGCAAACCCCTTAAGTCTTGGGTCTCAGACCACCTCACAGAGCTCAAGGCTGAGACAAATGAGCATTAGAAAATGTCTAGGATGGCGTGGAATGGAAATTGATTTCTTGGAATCTAATATAAGACCAATCTCATTGCAACCAACTGTTCTCATTCTACTGTGGATATAAAATCAGTGTCCTTCTTGCACTTAGCCAGGGAAAATTTGAGATTAGAAATCAGTGTTGTTATATGCCCCTTCATGACAACTCACCAGGTTATCGGAGGCCTTCTTATTGGGACAGATGTTTGCTTTGCACCCAGTGTGTGGCAGGCTGTCAGTCCATCTAACTCAATTCCCATTGCATATTGCTATTCCAGAGATTTCAAGTTCCATGGTAAAGAACCATCAGTATCATTGAATGTGTCTGGGTCACCTGGTTTAAAATTCAGTACACATTCCATAATGCTGTTTGGATGAAGAGTCCCCTGAATTAGTTGAATTAAGGGTGACGCTACAGCTTATGTTTTAGTATTCTCTCTGGGTTGTGTAGGCGGCCTGGGTGGATTGGCAGGACACAGGAACTCCAGGGATGTCCTCTCTGGGAACATGCCGAGGGAGTTTTAACAGGGCCAGGCAGCCTGAAGCAGAGCCAGTGGAACACTCAGACTGTCTCCCCTAGCCCTGCCCGCTGTGACCTCCTCCCACATGAGGACCAAACTTTGTCTGATACAGAGCAAGCTGTACTGGGGAAGAATGCATTCTTGGATTCATCGTGTTTGGAAGTTTTTGTGGTCCTTTTCCCCACTTGCTCTTTTGGCTTTCCTTTGTTTGATTGGTCTCCTGGGAAAAGACAGTTGTCCAAGTGAGTTTTGTATAAAGTCTGAGTCCCTGTCCCACTTTGCTCGGCATGAGGAGGCCACATTTTACTTATTAGGCCCTTAAGTGAAAAAACCACCAAGAGCTTGGCAAATGTTGTTGTGTCTAAGACACAGAGCACCTCCCAAATTTCAGCAATGAGTTTTACTGTGGGAAGCTGGGTCTTTAAAACTCATCATGTCTTTTGTTTAAGTGATAAGCAAACCCCTGAAGTTCCTTGAAAATCATGTTCAGAATGGCAGTGACCACCAATACAATGGCTCCCACCATCATTAGGGTTGGCACTTACTCATTTTTGGAGGTATGTGGGGACTTCTCTGCAAGGTTAGGACCATGTATGTTTAGATATAGTCTAAAAGGCAACATGGTAGTTTCCTCTTGAGCACTGAATGTGGAAGTTATTTGGGGTCAGAGACAACAGGGTATGGGAATGGGAAAGTATGACCCAGTTTGGGCCTACCCTTAACTCCATGTGAAAGACCCCTGCCAAAATATCTCCAACCTTGGGTGGAGGCAGGACTGGCTTCAGGGGTGTGTGTGATCTGTGCAGGTGCATGGGACCTTGCGTTGAAAGGCCCCACCTGTGGTTTAAGACTGTTTTCACCCTCTTGAAATTCTTAATAATTTTTGAAGAGCCCTGAATTTTTATTTTGCACTGGTCCTCACAAACTATGTAGCTAGTCCTAAATGGAGGAGAAAATTAATTTCTTTCAAATTTAGTATTGCTGGGTGACTTGTTCATGAAGAGAACCAGGAGTAAACATGCCGATGTGGAAAGATTGGAGTAAATATCCCAGCGGATCGTTCAATATTTCCTTATTTATCAAACTCTTTCTGAACATCTGCTGTGAGCCAGACATTTTGTTATGTGCTGAAGACAGAAAACTCCCCCAACTGTGAGACACACGGCTTTGCCCCACATACCAGCTGTATGGACTTTTCAATGTACTTAATTGATCTGAGTGTCCATTTTCTCATCTGTAAAATGGGAAGAATACGGTCCATCTCACAGGGTTGTTGTAAGGATTAAATAAGAATATGGACAGAAAGTGCGCAGCTTACAGTTTAGTAGCTTGCGAATGTCCAATAACCATACTCCTCTATCATCATCTTCATATTTATTATTGTATAATAATGTGTGGATAACAGACTTATAAGACAGTGAGAACTTCTCATCCTACCTGGTGAAAAGGGGTTGAAAGGATCTAGGAGAGGACATTTCCTTTGAATTGAATCCTAAAGAATGATGAAGCATTAGCTCGTTGGGTGGTATTTATTTCTGAATATTTTGGAGGATTTCCCCACAATGGTCTCATTATGGATGGTCTAGCTATAGATTTTTCACTGGATTTGAAAAATTCAGGGATATTCGCCTGGTAGCAACCAGAGGAAGTACGTACATTATGATTATGATAGTATGCATATGCGGAGCCTGCTGGATATCAATTGAATTCACTCCTTAAGTTCTCAAGCTAGACTATCACAAAGTCTAAAACATCCTGTACAGTCTTCTCTGTGGAAAGACAATGGACATTGGCTGCAGATCTTATCCACACATTGCTTTGATCATGTGATTGTCATTAGCATGTGGTGGCCAAGTGTCTTCATTCTTGGCACTGGGCACTGTAGATAGGAAGAATGTGCTCAAAGATGGCATCGTCAGCGACCCCCTTAGTGTCAGGGTAATGGGAGCCCCCATAGTCGGCTAACCCAGGCCTGGACATCCACCGCTCATCCTTTCCCTTGAAATTTAAGCCCTGAGTAAAAGCAAATGCTCTGAGCCCTATCTTATTGCAGGGGTGAATCTTGGAGCACGTTAACACTCTAGTTTGTTTGTTCATTTGTTTCAGAATCTAAGAGTACGGATTTATGGGAAAGCCTATGAAAATAGTGGGCTCACGGGAGGTGGGAATGAAGGAGCAGGAAGACACCAGAAAACAAGATAAATTAGGAAGTGTGTTGGGGGTTCAGATGCTGGGTTCAGAATGCCATGCCTTTATGAACAGTTTGATAGCCTTGCTTTTTGCTCCTTTTTCTTTTCTCTCTTACCTTCCCCTTCTATCTCCCTCCTTTCTCTCCCTCTCTTACTCTCTTTTTTCCTTCTTTTCTTTTGCTTATTAATTCAGATGCAATGAATACCTCTATGTGTCTGTAATGACTTTGCAATGTGTCAACTAGGTCAAGCTGAACTCCATCTCCCAGAGTCCTTTCTTTGTTATGTTTTTGATTAGGGTAGGCCACAGGGGAGATTCTAGGGATATGTGGAGGGTGAAAGGCAAGCGTCTGCCACTTTGTAGTTCACACATATTATCACTGATCTGCTGACTCACCTCTCTGGCATAAAGCAGCATCTGGGCCTTGCATTACTGTATCTCATCCCTGGTCCTCCTTCAGTTTCTCCAACTCCTAGGTCAGGAATGTGTTTAGCTCTGTGACAGAGGGCCCTAGCTATTGAGTCCCTGTCCTAGAAGAGGACATCCATCTAAAAAACATGGCCAAAGAAAAAAGCAGAGGTAGATATTTGTGGGGTCGTAACCAGAGAGAGGAAGAGGTGATTGCATGGAGCCAGCTCTGTAGACACTCAAAGCATTGGCTTGGTCTCTGATTTATGAAGGCTCAGGAAAGATGACCTCGTGCAGGACTTTCTACCACCATTTCAAGATGTCACCAACAGACTCAGTGACCTGCTGACCTTCCTATATCCCAGATAATCAACTTTTAGTAGAAATAGCAGATTCCTTCCTTGAAGTGTACAGATCAATCTAAAGCCTCTGTCTTCTTAGAAAACTAACAATTCTAATTCTTGTGATATGGAACAATGGTCACTCCTGGGACTTTTAAAAGAGCTAGAAGACAACTACATAAATGATGAGTAGGACAAGTTTTAGAAGGCATAGGAGCAGTGTTGCAAAATGGTTAAGACCAGGCTCTGCAACAGAAGGTCTCTTGATATTTGAGGCTTGAATTTTAGGGCTGGATGTTCATGAGCTGGTTGAGTTCATATCCTACTCCTTGACTCATGAACATCCAGCAATAAAAATTCAAGCCTCAGATATAAAGAGATCCTCTGCTTTCAGAGATCCTCTACAGATGTACAGCTCCTTGACTACAGTGACTTCTAGCTCCCTGTTCTGGGCATCGGGCAACAGGAGTGACTGGATTGGTAGAGACTAGATTTTCACTTGAAGTTGTAAAAGTCACACTCCGTAATGAGAAACAACGTGGGGACTAGATCGGCCGTGATCCAGGAAACCAGCCCAGTTGGTAACACCCTTGTAAAAGAGACTGATAAATAAATAAGCAAGCCATCCAGCTTTTCTTCTCTTCAGCAAATGAGATGAAACAGCTGGCCTTGGAAAGAGGCCCTGTGCTTTGTTAACTGGAAACAGATTAGCAAACTCAATCAGCTGACTGGTTTTCCAGTCTGCGGCCGTCCAACATTTAAAAAAGAGAATTTTTGTTGAACGTCTCTCTGGCAAGGGCCAGGCAACGAATGGCACTAGCCTGGCCTGAATGTTTCGTGCTGGTGGGTAAAAATACTTTAACTTTCCTATGGGTCTTTGACAAAAACCTAAGGGAATTCTATTGAGTGCATGTTGTCAGTATTTTAATCAGCTTCAGCTGTCAAAACTCTTGTAACCCGCCTCTTCTATTTAAAATGTGTCTTCTAGGCATAAAATAATTAAAGGTGCAGGGCCATACAGTAGGCTCAGAGCCATTGCAATATGACAAAACCCTATGGATAAAAGGTATTATTTCAGGAAGTTTTAAACATAAATTTTGTTTTGTCAGAAGGCTGCAGGGTACACATTTTCTATACTGTCAAGCTTGATGGTAACAATATTTATATTTCAAATAAAAAGATTAAATTGCAGTCTTATGTGTTTCTGGTTTTCATCAAATTTTTCTTACTAGTTTATCATCGTGCTGCATCTCGGTATGTCATCATACTTTTTTTTTTTTTTGCTGACAATACTTTTATTTTATTGAAATATTATGTCTTTCACTGTCAATCCCATGGTTAAAATAATGAAGGCAGACAGCCCAGCCACTCAAGTTTGGGTGTTTTACAAACAAACACCTTGCTTTACACCTTGTTGAAGGTTTTGTGAATGCAAAACAACAAAACGACATGAAAGAATAAACATGCTCAGACCCATGTGTTTAGGTGGGTGTTTGAGAAAGCTTTGAGCTTTTCACCTGGAGTCATTTGTGTGCTTTTTCATCCCAGGGTAGAAAAACAAACAAGGCACAGGCAAGGCTGGCAGAGCTGGGGCAATGAGCTTTTGCCTGTGAATGGCTGTGCTGGCCGCCTGTGTCAGAGCTTGTTAGCTGCTGCAGCTCAATGTCTGCAAATGGGACCAGGCAGCCATGGAAGTTTTCTGAGCCACGGGAACAGAGGACTTTCTCAGTTTCTGGGCTAGCACAGTGTCAGCCCTTCAATGTCATAGTTGACAGAGCAGTTTTAGGGCAATGTGAAGAGTGCATTTCTCTCTCACCTGTTGCGATGAAGCTGGGCTGTGGTTGGGGCTCTGGGCATGCTCATTTAGAAATGAAGGGCAAGTCCATGCCTGCAGAGAGTGGCTTCTCTTTCAGAGCTGTTGCTTCCTCTGCTTCCCACTTGCTGAGGGAAAGTCACCTGGTTAATCAGAACTCTTCTCTCCACCCCTGAGTTTATAGTGTGACCTTTTCAAATCAACTAGCCCCAAAGGGAGTACCCTCATCTGAGATGGCAAAGTATGTATGAGCAGTAATGTCTCCCTCCATGACTGTGGCAGACATCACCAATACATTTCAATGCTAACACTCAGCTAGATGCATCCTCAGAATCCCTTTCATCATAATTTCCTAGGCAGCCACAACCAATCAGAGTGGACAGGTCATCTTTGCCTTGCTAGCTCTTTCTGAAGAAGATGGGGGTACTTGGCCAGGGACACCTAGCAGTCTCATGCCAAACGACACTTGTTTTAATGGTGCAGTTTATTGCCCCCAAATAAATCACATTTAACAATACTTTAATTCACATTCTGATCTCATTCGTGGAATCTGCATTTTGCAAGAGGGAAAAATCAAGCCTCAGAGAGCTTAAATAACTTCTCTGAAGGCATACAGTCACCAAGTGACACAGCCTGGACTTGAACCTTGGATTCCTAATTCAATATCCTGATCAAGAGATTTTGAGCATTTTAGTATTCAAAACATAGCGTTTGGTAAAGAGGCAACTATGTAAAGCAGCTAGGAAAGTCCATGGAAAAATACTGCTGATTCCCATTTAGCATGCATGAAGATAGTTCTTTCTAAAATCAGGAAGCATCCCTAGAAAGTTTAGCTGCAGTTATAATTTTTTTATGAAGAGAAGGATGAAGTCTTTATCAGGAACAAAATGGTATTTAAAGATGTATCTTTGTCATCTCATTTCCGTCGTATTGTCTTGGGAGCTCCAACTGAAGTCAAATATTTTTCAGGTTGTTGGTTTGGACTCCTCCTCCCCCCACACAGCCATAATGACATTATTTTCAAAATGTATCTATCATTTAAAAAGTAGCAGCCACCCTGTGCTAAAATAGTAGTTAACATTTACAAACAGGTAGTTTCTCAGGGGCCAGGCACATTGCTCAGGGTTTGGCATGCATTATTGAGTTTGCTTTTCACAACCAATGCTTCATAGGGACTAATCTTACCTTCATTCAAAAGTGAGACTCCTAACAGCCGACAGCATGTGCCCAGGTCTATCCATGTAGATGTGGGAAGCAGGTGAAACTCTGTGTGATGCTAATATTCCTGCTGTCCATTATTGCATTATGTCTTTCACTACAATGCCTCATATTTAAGATGAAGCTCATGTTTTATATTTTGCTTATGAGGAAACTGAGATGTAGAGAGATTAAGAAAATTATCAAAGACTACACGGCTGGGAACTCAGTGGGCAGAGCTGGGCTGAAACCTGGATAGATACCAGATGGTGGTGGGGAGTATGGAATAGAGAAGGAAGAAGGAACCACTGAATATGTGTGGTGGGTGGAAGCAGGCATATGCCCTGCTCTGGAGTGGAAAGTCATGATCAAGTCGGAAGGACCCAGGCCACAAAGATACTTGGTATTTTTAAATGTTATTATACCTATGCTTAGACTGTCAGCACATCTGGAGAACAGAAAGTCACTTGAGACAGGATACCATATGAGTACAGTGGTAAGAGTCTTTTGCCATGCTAATCAGAAAATCCACCCCTTCAGGTTTGTGAATGTTGTACTCCTACTCCCACAAGCCAATTCACCTTGGAAATTAATGTTGGATGTTGCTAATTACTTCCCTGAGGGACACAGAATGTTCAAGAGTACAATGATCGTTCTTCCTTGGAGATTGCTCTTTGTATTTTATCTCCAACATTCCCCTGATACATGCAGCCCCTAAAAGAGCCAAGGGGAATTGGAAGAGCAGGAAAAAATGATAGGAGAATGTGTTAACAAAAGCCTGTTCCAGGAACGCTTTATATAAGAGTATGCATGCAATAATGTCATGTGGAAGGTATTCGGGTATGAGTGAAATAGACAACAAGACAACACAGAAAAGGTATGCAGAAAAACAAAGTAAGAGAGGGAGAAGCAAAGGGAGCTATTTAGGTTATCTCACTGGTTTAAAACAAAACTGTTATATTATGCCTTACAGTCTTCTGGATTGACTAGGGCTGAGCTGGAAGACTCTTCCGCTGATCTCACTTGGGACCTTACATGCAGCACTAATCAGATGGAGGCTTGGGATAGAATTGCCAAGAAGGCTTCACTTACATGTCTAGCACCTTAGCAAGGAGCCTCCCCATGTGGTCTCTCCATCAATGTAGAGAAACTTCTCACAAGGTGACTTATGGCTTTCAAAAGTACAAAAATGAACGCTGCCAGAAGTCATTTCCGCTGTTTTGTATTAGTGAAAGTGAATATAGGAGCAGCCTAGAGGCCATGTGGGAGGCAACCATACCAGGGCACGAATACTAGGAAGGTGAAGTTTACTGAGGGCTGTTTTTGGAGTCTCTCAGTTCAATGGGGACCTTTTTGCTTTTGAGCTAAAACCCATATTCTTTATCATAATTATCAAAGCTTCTCACAATCTAGCCTCAGTCTTCCCAGGGTCAAACTACTATGCTCTTTTAATATATAAAATTATGTCTATAAAGCACTCATTTTACAAAATGTCTTCATTGTTCCTTGCCCCATGTAATCACCTAGTTATCCTGGAAAAGCCAATACTAATGGTCCTTACTGTCTGCCTCTAGCGGAATCAGAATGAATTATTTCATCCCCCAGGCTCTTATAAAACCATAGAAATGAGGAGAAGGTGGAAAAGAAGGTGGAAACAAAGAGTCATTTTTGTGAATTGTGGGCAAGAGGGCAGGTCTGATGGCTTGAACCAACGATCAGATGAACACAGATTTAAGGAATCTGAAAATGTTTTTAAAAAATGTGTACACCCAAGCACACAAAAACACACACACATTGAAGTTAAAATGATACAAGCTTGGACTCAGACGTTATTCTTGTAGGAGGCTTTTTTCTCCATGTCTAAACTACACTGACTACCTGGAAACCTATAGATAATATCACTCCATTTAAATTTTTATTGCTATAGCATTTCTCGGAATACAAACCCTGTCTGCTGTATGCATATCCCATGCCAGCCTGCACATGGCAAGAGAAACTAAAGTATTGGCTAAATCTGAGTCATTCGAGGAGGCATGTTAGATACACATCTCCTTTTATCTTTTTGTCTTAAGGTATTCAGTAGGAAAGATCACATTAAACAAAAGGAAAGGAGGGTGAAGTAGAAAGATACAGAAGGGTTTTATGGAAGCCAAGAGGAAGAAGTGGAAGCCAGGCATAAGAGGAATGGGAGCCAAGACTGGAATATTGCCAATGGAAGTGAAGAAATCACCCCTTCCTGCCATCACATCAGCTTTTGAGTTTAATTCTCTACAGGTCTCTCTCTGCCCTCTTCTCTGTCTCACTGCATGCGGTACAAACATGACTAGACCATTGCAGACTACATTCTCAATGTCCACAGCTTAAGACTCAGTATGCTTACGTCCCAATTTTATTTTCTGAAGCAGGGAAGGATCTTATTAGTCCAGCTAACTACCAAAGATTCTTTCTGGGGCAAGTGATGGTTTTTGGTCCAAATGCACATGACCAATGTAGGAGGGAATAGGGACTTTGCTTGCCACCATGTGGTTTTGGAGGTCCCTTCATGGATCTTATAAGGGAGACATTCTCAGATAAAAGGTTGTGGGATGGATGGGAAGAGATCCAAAAATGCACACTAAGCTTTACAATTATGTTTTGATAGATGAGAAAATAGAAATGCAGAGACTTTATGTCTGTAGAAACTGGCTGACACACCTTGCATTGAACATGAAGACTGTCTTAGTGGGCTACAACCCAGTATCTACTTCAGCACTACTTTCACACAGTTTTCTGATTATTCCCAAATACAATTTTTGTTTCATCATAGAAAAACTATCATTATGACACAAACCACAGCCCCACTGACTTTAGGGTTGACAGATCAATTGAATGCCTAGCATATAACATCAAAAAAGACACTCCCCAAAACTCCTGGAGGGGGCATTGCTAACCTCTGGTGTTTCATAACCTGAAATGCATAAGGATAGAAGTCTATAGAAACATTTTATAAGAAGCAGTTTTCAAACAGGTGATTAATAGACCTGAAATTACTAGCAAAGGAGAGTTTAATTATCAAGAGCCAGAACAGTCATTCTTAAGCTTAAGCAATAATCTGTCATAGGGTGGATTCCAACATTTTCTTCATTTAGGAAAATATAAAAGAGCCCATCATAGTTCACCTCAAAGCATCAAATGACTTTTAAGCCTTCATTGAGAAACTTAAATGTCTATGTTGTGAAAAATAAAAAGGCAAATTCAAAAACAAAACAAAACAATGTGAAATCAATATTCTAATTGTATAAAATCATAGAGTCGGGATTTATTATGTGGATCTAATTTCAAAAAGTAAAGTTAGGAGAGGATTTACTGAAGCACAGAGAAAAGAGGACCACTTCAAAAGCTGTAAGCAAACTCCTTAAAAAGCACAGAAAAAGATACCTAACAGGTCCCCAGAAACAAGTTAATATAGGTGATCTCTAGTCATCTGCCTGTAAGAGAATTGGCTTAAATATTTATTTAATTGCCAGTCATGCTTAAATCAGTTTCCCAGGACTTGACAAAATGGGGAAACATTCTGACATATATTCTTCTGGAATAAAAGCAAAATTAAAAGGACTTAAGTTCAAGGAAAAAGGTGAGTCTGCATTGTCCTAAAGTTATGCTTAAAGGAGGAATTAATCTATTAGGGGCACTCAGTTCTAGAAACAATAATGCCCACAATGTGGAAAATAGAGAAGATTCAGTGTTTGTTTGTTTTGTTTAGTTTTGCTTTTTGAGATGGTATCTTGCTCTGTTGCCCAGGTTAGAGTGCAGTAGTGTGATCTCGGCTCACTGCAACCTCTGCCTCCCGGGTTCAAGTGATTCTCATACCTCAGCCTCCCGAATAGCTGGAATTACAGGCACCCATCACCATACCAGGCTACTTTTTTGTATTCTTAGTAGAGATGGGATTTCATCTCGTTGGTCAGGCTGGTCTCAAACTCCTGACCTCAGGTGATTTGCCTGCTGTGGCCTCTCAAAGTGCTGGGATTATAGGCGTGAGCCACCGTGCCCGGCGAAATTCAGTTTTTTCGGAGGGGTGGGGGAAGAAAATCAACAAGGAAGAATGATGTGGAGAACAGTATGCTCATACCCAACACTACCATGATCTGTTATCGACAATACCAGCAAATTATCCAGGAGGCTGGCTGGTTTGATGATAAGGAAGCTGTCACTTTCCCTGCTGAGATTGACACGCCTCATGACATCGGTATAATTGATGTCTGTTCAATGATACCCAGATCTGTCCCAGAATCTGTGCAGGAACATCTGATAGTTACATCCAACTTAAAAGTGAAATGCTAGGAAGGAGCGTGTCCAGATGGCCACAGATGTTCTCAGATAAAAAAAGAATTTTTAAAAAATTATTAAAAGCTGTTTAACAGATGCCATATTCAACAAAGGGATGGTTCATTGTTCATGCACTGATTTTGGAGAAATATTTGGGCTGTGCTGAACTGAATTGGGAGCAGTGGTTCTCAATACTCTAAGAGTAATTTGCCCTAACCCTGGCATAAGTTTCTGTGTGGTCAATACAGTTTCTACCAGGGAAAGCATAGCTTCCTTCTGGAACATCTGGGATCATTTGTTCAGCAAGAATGACAGTCTCTTCTTTTAGCTTCCATCATGAAGTCACCTCAAAGGAGGCTGAGCACCCCAGGGGTCAGATCTTTGCTCATACTGAAGTCTGCAAGGTACTCATTCCTGATCTAAAATCAAAGATAAATATGGCAGGTGGTAAACATGTCAAGTTGCACCAGAGAAAAATTCAGTATGAACTGTCTCTAGTAGACGCATGAACAAAAGGCTACAGAATGGCCAAGGGGAGAGTGACTGATTACACAGCAGTCAGGAGAGCTGCATACAGGACTTCTACTTAGGATAGAGGTCAGCACACTAAGGCCCATGAGCTGAATGTGACCTGCCACCTGTTCTTGTAAAAAAAATAAATAAATAAACAATAAAAGTTGTATTACAACACAGTCATGCTCCTTCCTTTACGTATTGTCTATGACTACTTTTGCATTACAATAGCAGAAGTGAGTAGTCATGACAGAAACTGTGTAGCCCACAAAACGAAAATATTTACTATCTGGCCCTTTACAGAAAAAAATGTGCTGATGCCTGGTTTAGGAACTCACTTTAGAGTCTCTCTTCTGTTAAGGTGACCTTCTTTCTTCATGGAAACCATAGCAACTTTTCTATCATCTCACTCATGAATTCATTTACTTATTCATCCTTCAACTAATATTTATTAAGTTTCTTTTTTTTCTCCAGTACAGTATTATTATTTGTTTTGGCACTTGCAAAGGTGAATAAAACTTAGTCTGTTATCAAAATGCTTAAGGCATAAGGAGTAAAGTATTTTGTATGCAGTGGATTTGGCTTCATTATCATTGCTTTTGTGGCAACAGTAGTGAATATTAACAACCACAGTATTAATAATTAATGTTTACTGAGCTCTTGCTATACATTACAATCTCAGTGGTAACTGCTTGACTTAGATCATCTCATTCATTCCAAACCCTGAGACCATGAGGTAGCCATTATCCCCGTGACACAGATGGGAACACTGAGGCTTATAAATATTGTGGCGTTTGTCCAAGGTCACATAATCAGAAAGTGATGGATTGCTAAATAAAACCCAGATTCACTGAAAGCAAAGTTCATGCTTTCATAATAGACAGATGTGTGTCTGACCTTCAGTTTCACTCAATATGTATTTTCTCTGTGCCTGATCTTCCCTTGACCTAGCTAGAGACAGGGAACACACAGGAATAATCACTAACCCTGAGGACCATGTGCTTTGGCGTTCTTGATCCTAACCTGAACACAGCATTGCCCTGGCCTCAGGCTCAGAAAGGCTGTGTCTGAGTTCCATCTCCTGAGTAACAAGCCCATGCAATAGCAATGCTTGGAGGACATTCAGCATTCCACAATCAGCTGCTACAACTCCTGAATATTCGTCTTTATCACAAGGAGGAACAGTGAGAAAATAGAATCTAATGACTTACATTTCTTGAATAAAGAACACAAACCCATTTGCTTCCACCTCACATTCTTTTACTCATTACTTTCTTTTAGAAAATGAAATTGGGGAATCCATATAATTATTTAGTGTCTGCTTACTTATTGGTAAACTTTGTTATTATCATACAGTCCCTTGCTCAGAGTGTTGACACTTCATAGCCTCTCCCAATCCTAAAGGAAAGCACCTGAATTTTCATTCTGGTTCCTTTGGATACTAAGGGCACAGAAGTTGCTTAAACAGCAGATAGGGTTTACTTGACAAAGCACTTTTAAACCCAAAAAGGCCCCATCCTCCCCACGAAGCAGATGCCTCTTAAATCAATCTCTGTGGAGTTGAATGGCAGGGTCTGTTACATCACTGTCAGCTTTCTTGCATCCACAGAGGATGAAACCTTCCCCTACCCGCCCCCGCCACCCCATACCTCTGAGATCTCTTCATTTAGAGGAAAGGAACTTAAGGAGAGAATGGACCCTCCATCCAGGAGTCAATGAAGGTCTCTAACAGAGAAGCCAGTCTCTCACAGACATTGTTGGTAGAGCACTCAATGGTACAACACACCCCCTTCCAATAGAAAGTCATTTTATTCCATTTTTAAATTTACATTTTATGTTTCTCATTTTCATAGGTAGCCCGTATCCCTCCAAGCACAGCATCAAAGATGGGTTTAATTTGGTCCTAAGAAAATTGTCTCCCAGCCAGTGATTGTTTCATAAAAGGCATGTGAATCCATCGTGCCACTGGGATACCAGTCACAGTTTGTCGGGGGCTTCCTCCCTCTTCTAGAAATTTCTACAGTTGCACTTTCCCACAAGGTAACCCCTTGACACAGATGGCTACTGAGCACTTGAAACATGGTGAATCCAAATTGACATCATCATCTCTCCAACACTTAGTATGAAAAAGGAATGCAAAATACCTTCTTAACTTTTTTCTTCACGGTTGATCATGTGTTGAAATGCTGGCATTTTACATATGTTGGGTTAAAGAAAATATATTTTAGGAAATTTAATTTCACTAGTTCCTTGTTTACATTTTTAAACATGAGTACTAGAAAACATATAGTGACATCTGAGACTCCTGTTCTTTTTCTACCAACAGAGCTGTTTTCGAGAGTCCCTCTCTTCTGAATATTGTTGTGTGCAGACAGGCCAGGAACTGCTGTGACCATCCTGCTGTCAGACTGAAGCCGGCAAGGGAGGAGGACCAAGTGAGAAGACGGGGCCGGAATCTGAGGTTCACGGAACCTCTGCACTTCCAGTTATGTGTCCCAGTCAACATCCTTACTATTCAAGCACGTTTGCAGTAGGGTTTTCTCTTACCTGCTGTTGAAAGCACTGATACTTGTATATGGCCTAGAGGCCTTATTTCCTGAGAGTTTAGGAAGTGGGTGCACTGAGTTATGGGTTTTAGATTACAATGCGGAAGAGAAAGCCTGGCACCTCCCAAATCTTGTGGCCAAGCTCCATAGGAGCCAGGCAATTAGCTAATGGATTCTGCCTCTTGGAGATGGGATATAAAGGTGCTTCTCAGACCACCAAACAATCAGTGATGCCCTAGAGCTGAGAGCCCCCATTGAGAATAAACTCCTGCAAGGGGACTGTGGCACAAACAGAGCACAAGCCTCCTGGCCTCAGCACCCCCTTTACCCATACCTGGAGGAAAAATGAGGCTTAGTCAACCTGAACAGAGGGCACTAGTATGCTGGTGGCTTCCTTTTCCTTTGCTCCTCCCTGGCAACCCACCCCTCTGCACTCCATTCCCTGCTCTGGAAGGCAGCATTCATCAACAAAATCCTCACTGTCTGGCTCTCAGTTAGGTTCAACCAATGGAAGCATCAGTAAGGAAACAAGAAAAAGAGAGAAGTGTGTGGTTGGGGTGTTTATTCTTCTGGCTCCCTCCCTGCGGGTCAAGAGAAGCTGCTGCTTCTTACTCACCATCACAGCATCCATTATGTGGTTCTCTCCCTCCAGGTGTCATACAACCCCTCCCCCCTTTCCTTGTTCCTTCAGGTCTAACAACAGTAATGGTGCCTCCTTGGTGCTAAACCTTGTGATTTACTTAGACCTTGATCATACCTTTATCAGTAGTCTTTTTATTAAGCCTTCTTCCAATGTTCCAAGTTGATTATGTTTGGAACATTGCAAGATTATGATTATCTCTTTTAGTCTCCTTGACTTTCTTTTGAGCAGATTATAGTACTATGTCACCAAGGTCTCAAAATGCCAGATTCCAAAATGAAGGCTGTCCTCTGAGCAGAGAGTAGGAATGTGACTAGTGGACTAGGACAGGAAGATGAAGGGAGTTGGCTCAAGGAACAAGCCACATGGGGTAGAAGAGGGCAGAGGGACCCGTCCCACTGATGGTGACTTGATTTTCGACCTATCAACATGGAGAGCCAGGGAGTGTAGGTTGCAATGTCCCAATCTTTACTCTTGGCTTGTGATCTGCAACGTCTATCTGCAAATATCAGTGATATATGGGATCTTTAGGCTGCTGCATAGAGTTTCTAGGACCTTGTTCCAAAGATTTTAAACATATAGTGAGTTCATATTGAATGAGATTCCTGGCAATGCCAACTGAGCTGTAATTAGGGAGTGTGTGTTGACTGTTTAGGATTCAGGTCGCTATAGTATGTGATAATATGATGGCCTGATTCAGCTCAGAGCAAAACTGGAAGGTTCAAATAGTTTGATTTAAGCCTGTAGCCCGAGCTACTTGGGAGGCTCAGGCAGGAGGATCACTTGAGCCCGGGAGTTCAAGGCTGTAGTATGCTATGATTGCACCTGTGGATAAGCACTGCACTACAGCCCGGGCCACAAAGTGAGATCCCATCTCCAAAAAACTAAAAAGAGAAAGTTTGATTGTAGCATCCTTACCTACCCCTCTCAACTCCACTATGTTTCTTTCATGCTCACAAACTTTCACCTCTTCTTTCTTTTACCTCTTAAGTTTCCCAATCCTTGATGTCCATTGACACTGTATTTTTCAAATGTTAGTCATTCCTTTATATACCACTTTAAGATTTTTGCCAAATAATCCTAACCAATATTTATTTCTTTAATATATTCTTAAACTGACTTGTTTTTAAAAACTTTACATTACTTAAATGCCTTGTCCCAAATATATGTATGAAATCACAGATTTGATAAGAGTTATAGTTATACTGTTTTTCATATACATACAAATACATAATATCTGTATGTATATCAAAGTATACATACATACACATACATAATATCTGTATGTATATGAAAGTATATGTATGTACATGAAAGTATAGCATACTGTTTCTTTTTCATATACATACAGATACATAATACATAATAATGATAAGAAGAAAATTCTGTACCAACTAAATAATCCCAGGTATTCCTTGTTTTCTGGGTGCCCCAGCTCAAGGTACACAGTTATTAGACAGATTCTAGGGCATATCTCCGTGTGGTGATGGAAATGTTTATATCTGTGCCGTCCAACACAGCAGCCACTAACCACATGTAACTATTCACACCAGAAATGTGGCAAATGCAACCATGGAACTAGATTTTTTAAATGCAATTTTAATTAACATAAATTTAAATTTAACATGTTATGAGAGACAATGATAACGGCAAGCATGCCTCTGGAGTATCTGTGTTTAAAAACACATCATAGTAGAAAAAATGAACCTTGGGCCAGATACTGTGTTACTCCATGAGCATTTTAATAGGTCTATTTTCTTACTTGTTCTTAAGAACCTTGTGAGAGAGATATTACCTCATTCTGGTGGTAGGCACAAGTCAAAGATGGGTGGGAAGAATTTCCAGTGGGTCCTTAAATAAAAAACAATGAAGCCATTCTCTGTTATTTAAACAGAGAGAGAGAGAGAGCTGTAAGTGAGCAAATTGTCAACCCATCCCAACTACATTCAAGATTTAAAAGGTTGACATTTCCTTTTTTCTTCTCTCTTTTTTTAAACACCAGCCCTCCTCATTAACCAGATATCTTTATTCTCTAAATATTTACCACCCAAACAAAATTTACCATTTAATTTGCTGTATAAAATCATTTACTGACTGATAAACCTCATTACTAAGCTCCAACACAGCCCCTTCTACTCCCGACAGTTTTAATTCTTGTAGCAGCAGGCTACTGCGAGAGAAAAACAATCCTGTCAAATTAACGGCGGGGGTCTAAATTATTCAAATACACTAAATCCATGCAGAACCGTTCCCCTGCTCATAATTTTTCTTTGGGAGCCAACAATTAACCGGCAATATTCTAACTTAAACAATGACGGCCATTCTAAAAGAATTCTGGGAACAGAGAATGTTCCACCTTCCCATGTGTCCTTCTGCTCCTGAGGGCACGCAAAGGATGACCTCTGAATGAGTCCCCATAGAAAGAGGAGGTTTTCTCTGCCCAAACACCTCACCTCTTCAGAGCGTAAATCCTCTGTGTCTTTCCTGCCATGCAGGTCAGAGACTGCATTTTGGATATCAAGGTGTGTGTCTGCGTGCGTCTAGCCTCTACAACAGGTGTGTGTCAGCCTGCAATTAGTTAATGGCAGATGCACCTTTCTGCCTGTGGGGGAAAAAGTGCCTCCAGTTTTCTACCTGCAATTGCAACCAAACTAATGACTGAGCTGCTGATTCAGAAAACCAACCCACCTAATTGAGCCTGCAAAATAGAAAAAGAAGAAATCGCAAAATGACCTGAGGTTCAGAACATATGGCAGGAAGCCCTCTCACGTTTGAAAAGAAAATCTTTCCCACCATGTTGGCTCTCAGTCACAATCTGCACACAGGAGGGTCTTGGGTGTTGGTGGGCATTGTTTGTTGGTCTAATTCCCTATGGTTTGCAGCTCCCTAACAGTGACGGATCCCTAAGCATGACACCCAATGTCAGAGTTCTTGAATAGAACAAAAATTAGGAGGTTGAGCTTGACAGTTCATGCATGCACACATTCATTTTTTCATCAAATATTTATTGAGTGTCAACTCTCTGCCAAGCACATGGTACCTAGCATCACAGTGCTAAATGTGGAAACAAAAGTGAAAGAATGATACTTCATAATGGGCTTAGCCTTTTACATCAGGGTTGATCAGAATGTGTGAACCAGAATCACCTCCAAGGTCTGTTAAAAATAAAGATGAATTAGACTCACCTTAGACAGATTGACTCAAAATCTCTGGAGGGAACCCAGGAACCTTCATTCTAACAAGAACCCCCAGGTGGTTCTTAGCACTTCAAAGTTGGGGAGCCTCTGCTTCCATCGGAAAGCATCAAGCAACAATGGCCATAATAGAAATGCTACTATCAATGGGACAGAAAAGATACCTGGGAAAGATTGGTGAGGGATGCAGTGGGCGCCATACCCAGGGTCCTCACTTAGAGCCGGCCTAGAGTTAAAGAGGTGTGGGTGGTGCAGCATGAGCCAGGCCTGTTTGCGTAACTCCAAGGGGCACCTTTCTCACCATAAACAATGGTAGCCCTCCCCAGTGTGTTGATGGGGGCCTTGTTTTTCTGTTATTATTCGTTCACAATTTTGTTTTCTTAAACATTTTATTTTACAGTAGTTTTAGATTTATGAAAAAGTTGCAAGGAAACTACAGATCGTCTCTATACCTTGCACTCATTTTCCGTTTTTAACATTTTGCATTAATGTGGGCCCTTTGTCACAACTGATGAATCAATATTGATACATTATGATTCACTGATCTCTCCACTTTCCTTGGATTTTCTTAGTTCTTAGTATCCTTTTCCCACCTAGGATCTCACATTACATTTAGTCATCATTGTCTCCTTCAGCTCCTGTTGGCTGTGACAGCTTCTCTGACTTTGTTTGTGATGACTTCGAGAGTCTTAAGGAGAAATCATCGGCTATTTTGTAGAATGGCCCTCAAGTGTGGTTTTGGCAGGTGATTTTCTCATGATTGGACTGGGGTTGTGGGTTTTTGGAAGGAAGAATACAGACATAGTCATTTCCATAACATCCATTCACTTCAAAGGTATGTATTAGCAACATGACTTATTTTTATTTATTTTTTATTGTTATATAATAGTTGTATATTATTTGGGAGTACATGTGATAATGTTTTGATACCTGAATACAATGCATAATAATCAAATCAGGGTAACTGGGATATCCATTACCTCAAATGTTTATCTTTGTGTGCGTGTGTGTGTGTGTGTGTGTGTGTGTGTGTGTGTGTGTTGAGAGCACTACAAATACCTTCTAGGTTTTTTAAAACAGACAATAAATTATTGTTAACTATAATTTTCCTACTGTACCATCAAATACTAGAATTTATTTCTTCTCAGTGTATTTTTGTACTCTTTAACCAACTGCTCTTCATCCTCTTTCCCCTCTTCCTTTCCCAGTCTCTGATAACCACCATTCTACTCTCTACCTCTATGAGATTTTTTTTTTTTTTAGCTCCCACATAAGCGTGAGAACATGTGATATTTGTCCTTCCTTGCCTGGCTTATTTCACTTAACATAATGACCTCCAGTTCTATCCATGTTGCTGCAAAATGACAAGATTTCATTCTTTTTTATGGCTAATATGCCATTGTGTATATGCACCATTTTCTTTATTCATTCATCCATTGATGGGCACTTAGCTTGCTTTCATATCTTTGCCATTGTAAATATTGCTGCAGTAAACATGTCAATTTACTTCTCTAAGTCCCACCACACAAGAGAGCACAGGATGCCACAGTGTCTCAGGATATAGATCCTTCATCCAGACTGGGACATGTGGGAAACTTTCTGAAAGGAGGCAGCTTTTTAGCTGAGTCCTGAAGAATTGATGACTGCTTTTAACATGCATCTACTGAGTGTCCTAGTACAGGCTGAACATTAAGAACACAATGCAGAAAAAACAAAAAAAAAGACAAGGCCAATGGTCTCATGGAGACCCCAGTGAAGTGAGGGATTCAGGCATTTAGTAACGTAAATGGCAGTTAATCAGGCGGAGACACTGTGTTTCAGTCCTGAAATTTTGCCTGCAAAGGTTTCCTTCAGTTCTCACATCTCTGCATCCATCAAGCCCCTCTGGGAGGATGCTCTGTAAAGATTTCAAAGCCCCTGGCTTACCTGGAGCTGTGTGCTGATTCCTGTGCATGGAGCACAGTGGAGAGTGGAGGGGATGTGGGTGCCAAGTGGAACAACATCCATTTGATCCTTTTATATGTAAATGTGACTTTAAACAGTATTTTGTAATGACCTGCATTTCTGTTAAGAAATATCTCTTGATGATTTATCTTTCTGCAATTATGACAGCCTAGTGATCTTGTTAATTAATGCCAAGGAGGGTTTTTTAGCACCTCATTAAAGGTTTTCCCTTTCAGGACACTGATGCCGATGCTCTCATACACAGCCAGGGGCAGAGAAAGCCATTTTCTTGTGGGTGGAAACTCATCTTTATTCCTTCTCTTCTTCCTTTTCCTCCCCCTCTTCTTTTGATAATATTTCTTTCCTTATTTTTTGCCTCCTCTTCTTTCTCCTCATCCTGAGTTCTCTTCTAGTCTCCTTTTTATTTTATTCTAAAACATAGTTGCTTCTTGTTCTGAATCATTGTTTCAAATATATCAACTCTCATCAGTGTATTTCATTCTCCTGGAAAGACTTTTTTGTTGTACTACTTAATTCCATGTGTTCTATTCAACAAATTTTGTTTGAGAGTCTTCTGTGTTCCGAGTTCCCTTATTTTCCCTTATATTCCCATATATCCATTATTTCCCTTATATTCTCCGAGTTTGCCTTCATGAAACAATAGTGAACCAGAGTCATGCCTTGCTGGTGGAACTCCTAATTTTGTCCCATAAAAATAACAAATGAATGAATGAATGGAGGGATTCTGTGATCCAATAAATGTGGTTAATGTTGTATATCCTATCCTTGCAGGCTGTCAAATTCTGGCAAATCCTACCCCCCTGCTTGTTTTTGTAAACAAAATCTTCTTGGAACACAGCTACACCTCTTCATTTATATATTGTTTGTGGCTGCTTTTCTGCTGCAATGGCAGGGTTGAGTACTTGCGACAAAGACCATTTGGCCTGCAAAGCCTAAAATATTTACCATCTGGCCCTTTACAGAAAAAGTTCACTGACCCTGCTGTATCCCATCTTTGGACATTCTGGATGCCCATTAAATATTTAAAGAGTGAAATATTCTGCAGTCAGAAAACTTGCTTAATTCTTTCCCACCCATTTCCCCCTCCCTCATATTTGATCATAGAAGCCTCTTTCAATTCACCTTCTTAGATACTGACTTGGGGACATTTTTCTTGGAGGTAATGTTCAGCCTTGAAGATTCTCTTTTCTGACTGATTTTAATTTGGTTTTCTCATCTTCCTGGCTTTGTCTTCTGGCTTGATGTGCAGTAGAACCTAGTGTTTTACCCCCAGATAATACAAACCTGCACCCCGCCCCCGTTTCTTAGCCTCTGTGAAAACATCTTTCTGTTCAGTCATGACAGCAAGGATTCTCCTTGGCTCCTGTCAAACACCATTTCTCTTTCCAGGAGCAATGATGTCCGGAAACCAAGTTACCACGAATGGCAAAGCAAGTTAGACTGGTTTTCTGTTCATGAGTTTCCACTCTTGTCTCAGCTGACTCATCTCAAGGAGAACTCATTTTTGTTGTGATTCATTATTCTGAGCATTTTTTGAAGCCAAGAGTAAACTGGGATGACTTTGAGGATCAGCCAGCCTTAAAGAAAGGGGGCATAGTAATGTAGAGAAATCCCGGAAGGCATAGATTTCCCCTAAGATTCAGAGTGGACCTGGGAGAGCTATGGAAGGGGAGATATTCTCCCTTATCCTGAAAACAGGGAGGTGGTGTGGGGAGAAAACAAACGAACAAACAAAAACACTAGGATTAAAATTTGGTGCTTGGAGAGTAGGGTGAACGTAGAAATAAGTTCCCACGTCACTTTCCAGTTCTATGTAAATGAGGCCTGAAGGGAATGCTGGGAATGAGGTGGGAGGTGGAGGCAGGTATCTTTTCACCAGGGTTAGTGGGGATGTAGTGAATCAACAGATGTCAGCCACAGAAATAAGAGGAAGGTGTTGTCAGAGCCACGCCAATAACTGTAGGTCTAAGGGAACAGATTGAAGTCAAGGGCCAATGCACAAAGCCCACTCTAAGTGTGGCAGGCAGAATTGTAAAAAAATATTTTCCCCAAGTCTTCAAGATTTCCTGCTCTAATCTCCAGGAATATAAATATGCTGGCTATTACTCCCATGATTTTGTTACATTAACATGACAAAAGGGATTTTGCGGATGTAATTAACATTACCAATTCTTTGACTTGAAGATAGGAAGATTAGCAATTTTCTCCAGTTGGTGGCAGGAGAGGAAGTTAGAAAGATTTGACTCACAAGAAGGATTTGATGCACTGCTGCTGACTTTGACAATGGAGGGATTGGAGCACAGCCTCTTGGAGCTGAGAGCGGCTTCCGCTGATGGTAGCCAAGAAATGGAGACCTCCATTCTATATCACAAGGAACTAAATACTGCCAACAACCTAAATGTGCCTGGAAACATGCTCTTCCCCAGAACCTTCAGATGGGAGTCCACCCCGGCAGAGTCTAAAACATTTACTATCAGGCTGCTTCAAAAAATGGTTGCTGACTTCTGATTTAGTCCATTTTGGGGACTTTTGTGGTAGATCAGATCTAGCCAGAAGAAGTTATTTTTCCTAGATCACATATAAATAAATGCAGAGTGGGTATATAAATCCAGATTTCCTGAATCTCAGAGTTAGAAGGGCTCCTGGAAACACCTTGGAAATGTTGCAATAAAGAAAAGAAAGGAGCCCAGGAGCATGAATAAGGGAGAAGCTATGAATGGAAGGGCATGGAAAAAGAAGTCGGCCATGGCACAGATTAGGGGAGACTATGCCAAGGCCAATTTGGAGGAATAGTCAAAGAACACGTGGGCGGGAGGACGCAGATAAGTCGTGAGCTGAGATGGGCAGACAAACCAACCAAGGATTAGAAGTGGAGTGAAGATGGAGATAGCAAAAGTGCAAAAAGCGCATAAAGAGCAACCTCCTCTGGGAAAACCCCATGTAAACTAACACCTGAAATATGAATCCTAGCAGCATGAGAGTAAGTGGGTGGGGGTGGTGGACGGATGGCGGGCTACCGAGTGTTACAGGCACCGAGAAAAGTGGATACAAAGCCCCAAGGAAAGACATGGCATGCAGTGATTGAGAAACAAAAAGAAACTCAGTGTGGATCATTCAGTCTGAACATTTTCTGAATCTGACCTCACTCCAGGTGAGGCAACTCCCCCTGGTCATCCCCAAGCTAAACTTGTAGCTGCGACTTGTCAGCGACATGGATTTGTTTGAGCAAGTCTTCCACATATGGGAAGAAGACACTAACTCATTGTTCTGATTTGTGCTTTAACAAATGAAATGGGGCTGGGCGTGGTAGCTCATGCCTGTAATCCCAGCACTTTAGGAGGCTGAGGCAGGCAGATCACAAGGTCAGGAGTTTGAGACCAGCCTGGCCAACATGGTGAAACCCGTCTCTACTAAAAATATAAAAATTAGCCAGGCATGGTGGCACAGGCCTGTAATCCCAGTTACTCGGGAGGCTAAGGCAGGAGAATCACTTGAACCCAGGAGGCAGAAGTTGCAGTGAGCCAAGATTGTGCCACTGCACCCCAGCCTGGGTGACACAGTGAGACTCAGTCTCAGAAAAAAAAAAAAAAAAAAAAGAAAGAAAGAAAGAAAAAAGAAAACAAAGAAACAGAACAAAACAAAAAATTCCTGATGTTAACCATCTGAAGCCACCAGGTTCTGCTGTGAGCTATATTATTTTGCCTATAATTCAGCCAAAATAATATAGCTTTTTTAGATTAAGGGAATATATTGAAAATAATATTGGAGCCGTTTTAGTTAAACCACATTCATCAGTGTTGTACTGATTGATCTTAGAAATATATAAATAGAATAATAGTGACGAATGGGTGAAGATGTTATTATCTTTTTCTGATAAGTTTGGTTAGAGAGACTTAAAAGAACTAAAGGTCTTAAATTCAATTTTTGGCTCTTCAAAGAGATCCAGCAATTAATATAAACAAGAAACAGAGAAGCTGATTTTCTTTTTGGTGCTATTTGTTGATCTTTTACTCTTCATGTAATATCACTGAGTCTCATTGTTAGTATTCTAGTACTCAACCACTAGATTAAGGAACTGTTCTAAAACTTATATTCACTAATTTTTTGAAATTTTATTGCATATTCTAATTTGAACAGAAACCTAAGACTAGAGTTTCACTTATTACAATGATTCCCCTATAGCAGGAATAAACATGGAATTTAAACGCAATTTTCTTCCCAAAGCTACACTACTTCTTCAGACAAACATTCACCGAATTCACTGAAACGTCAAAAGCAAGCCTGTTATAGAAGCTTATAGCAAAGTCTGACACGTTCTGGAAAATTCTCCAATGGAACAACAGAGAGGGCTCCAAGGCTAAAATTTAAACTATTTTCCTGAAAGTTTAATTTCCATGGCTTGATTTCATAAAAAGCAGTTTTCATCATGGTTTTTAGTTTGCTCCTAATTGAAAGGGAAAATTCTCCCCCTGAGAGATTCTCCCCAGATGGCTGTCTTTGACAGTGATATGTCTCCCTCTTGGCCAGAAGCCACAGAAATGGGTCCCCCTCATGTTAGATCATTAATTGTTCTTCATCAGGTCTACACACACTAAGCTGAGAATCTAGGCAATTATGCAAATAAGTGAAGCAAAAACCAATGCATGTGCTCCAGTAAGCCACGATTCTCATTGACAGTAGCTTTGACTTGACTTGTCCAGATAATTGCTTCAAGTTCCCCACTGCAAAATGTGTGAGCTCCTTCAGAGAGTGTGTGATTTTTTTTTTGATGATGCCACCATCTTCTTAAATAGAAGAGGTGTGGGGAGGGATGGGTAATGATGGTCTTTGTTTAAAACAAAAACAACCTCTGTTAGTTTGGGTTGCCTGAGAAGCTGACCCTGAGGCAAGAATTCAAATGAACATGCACATGGTTTATCCAGGAGGTGATCCCAGAAAACATGAATAGATAGACGATTGGGAAAGTGAAACAGCAAATTACCTCTGTGAGTAAAAAGCTTACTCCTACTGAGGAACTCTGAGAACCAGTGTAGAACTCTGCTTAGAGTTCCCACCTGACAGAGATACACAGATACCCAGCAGTCATTGTTGAGTGCTTTAACTGGGGGCATTAACACTTTAACACTTGGGGCAGAATGGACTCTGACCTACAAAGCTCTTAGGCAAAGAGATGCAAATGCTGGCCTAAGAAGTTTGGCTGGCAGGCCCTACAATGATAAATCCCAAAGTGATATTTATAGGATGCCAACTTTACCCCCAGACTTCAAGCCAAAACCCCTCAATTTTTGTGACCCCTGGTCTGAATCCATTTTTCTTCCATTCTCTGCTTTCAAAATAAAGCTAGATGTTTGGAGATGAACTTGAAGGGTTGTGATTCTCCTGGAGAAGGTAGACATGTACAGAACTTTGTAATCTATTTGCAAAGCTAAAGTTATTTGAGACATTCTGGTTAAAACAGTCACCAAAATGATGTATGAGTCTAGTGACTCCTCTTGGGAAACCAATTCTAAAATGCTACCTATTCTTACTCTCAGATACCATTTTTGTTTTCTGTTTTGAATATTAAAACTGAAAGATCCCATGCACCTGGTCTTTGATTTGTATGTCTTTCAGCAGCCTTTGGCTCAAGGTAATATAATTCTGACTAAACTATTTTCTTTGGGAGGCTACACTTGTAACCAGGCCAAGCCAAATCAACAAGTGTTTATTTAGCACTTGGTATATATCATGGTTACAGAAGGTAAATACTTCTAAACCACTTGCTGTGTTATCTGTTGTAAGACAACCATTTTTTCCCCTCATTTTCTGTGGTATTATTGGCAAATAAGGCAGGAAATGAAAAGAGAGCTAACAATGGACTTGTGGGATGGAAAACATAATTTCTTTCTCAGCATTTTGGTTCACATAATATTCTTAGAAAACTCAAATATATAGAACTCAGGAATTTTCACTAAAAATATTTACCACAGGATTCTTTATTATTTCAATGACAAATTCTTTTAGGAATATGTGAGAATATTAGATTTATCCAAATTTGATGTTGTACAGAAATCTAGGGTAATCTTTTATCTCTAAGGTCTACATGTATACACAAAGACCCAGAAAATAGTTTCTAAGGAAGTAGCCCTTGCATGTCATTCTTATTAGCTTGAAAATAATTTCTCTCATCCTTTGATCCTCTTCTATCATGCTTTGTGTTCTCAGAGCCTTCCCTACCTTCCCTGAACAAGTAAGTTGTGTTTCTGATTCCCTTTGTCAATCTCTATTGTTATTTGTCTATTTTACACCCTGATAAATTCCTCAGAGTGGGGACAGTGTCTTATTCATTATAAAATTCTCCTCCTTCCCCTACTCCTGCCCCTCCCACTTCCCCTTCCTCTCCTTCTCCTTCTGACACAGTCTTGCTCTGTTGCCCAGTCTGCAGTGCAGTGGTGCAACCTTGACTCACCATAACCTCTGCCTCCTGGATTCAAGCAATTCTCATGCCTCAGCCTCCCAAGTAGCTGAAATTACAGATGCATGCCACCATGCCTGGTTAATTTTTGTATTTTTTGTAGAGACAATGTTTTGCCATGTTGGCCAGGCTGCTCTCAAATTTCTGGCCTCAAGTGATCCACCCACCTCAGCCCCCCAAAATGCTGGGATTACAGGCATGAGCCACTGCACCTGGCCTTATTCATTATAAAATTATTATTTTGCTTAAGACAGAGACTGGACATAATGCATAATCACAAATACTTGCTGAGTTGACCTAAGGAAAAGCATTATTCTGATAAAGGATATCTGCAAAAATCAAACTAACAAATAATCCACACCAAAAATTATACTTAATGGTGAAATATTTAAAGCATTCCATTGAAATTGAGAATAAAACAAGAATGTCCCCTATTGTGACTTCTATGTAATGTTGCATCACAGGGTTCAGTAAGTGAAGGAATACAAATTTTAGAAATGCAACAATAAGAAATAAAGGAATGTAACCATCGTTAGCAGACATTAACATTACTGAAAAGTAGAAATCTAAAAGCATCTACAAATAAAATATAAGAACTAAGAACCGAATTTATCAAGGTTGCTAAATACAAAGTCAATGTGCAAAAATCAGTTGTATTTCTATATGCAAATAACTAGAAAATAAAATTAAGACAACGATGGCATTAACAATAGCATCACACACATTAAATTATTAGAAATAGCCTAATGAAAGATGTGTAAGACTTCTACACAGAAAACTATAAAATATCGTTGAAATAAATTGAGGAAGACTTAATAAATGGAGGCATATAGCAATATGTTGATTATTTCCAAAGGTACCTATATGTTCAATGCAGTCTTTATTTAACAATTGACAGGTTTCTATGTGTTAGTAAATCGACAAACTTCTAAAACTTGTGTAGAATTTTCAAGGGCTAAGAGTAGCCAAGACAATCTTGAAGAAGAGAAAAGAAAGTAGTATATGTACACTATCAAATATCAAGAATCATTATAAAGCTACAGTAAATGAGTGTAGTATTGAAGCAAGGTTAGAATAACAAAGTGATGCAAAGAAAAGAGGGTGTCTCAGTTCATCTTGTGTCGCTATGAAGGAATACCTGAGGCTGGGTAATTTATAAAGAAAATACGTTTATTTAGCTCACGGATCTGTAGGCTGTACAGGAAGCATGGGACCAGTGCCTACTTTTGGTGAGGCCCTCAGAAAGCTTCCAATCATGGTGGGAGGGGAAGGAGACTGAGAATGTACAGATCCCATGGAGACAGAGAAACAAGAGACAGCAAGGGGAGGGGTGCTACCCCCTTTAAAAAAACCAGATCTCCCATGAAGTAATAGTGCAAGAACTCACACTTTACCACAGGACCACCCCAAGCTGTTCATGAGGGATCCACCCCCATGATCCAAACACCTCCTATGGGACCCCACTTCCAACATGGGGAATTAAATTCCAACATGAGGTTTGGAAGGGACAAATATCCAAACTATTATCAGGGAGTTCAGAAACATGCACGTGTCACTCACTTTATGGCATAGATGACCCTAGAGTGAAGCGGAAAAAAATGGGCTTTTCAATAAATGATGCCAAGTCAATTAATTTTGTCCACATGGACAAAAACTAAATGTTCAACTGAAAACAAACACAAAAATTAATTTCACATGTAGATCTAAATATAAAATACTAAAATGTCTAGGAGTTAATACAAGTGAGAATCTTGATGAACTTAGGGTTAAAAACAGATTCCTTAAGCTGAATTTAAAAAGCACTAACCCTAAAGGCCAAGATTATAAACTAATATTAAAATTAAGGACTTCTGTTTATATTTTAAATATCCATTAAAAGAATGAAAAGATAAACTATAAAATGGATATTATGTTTGAAATCATCTAACAAAGGATTTATATCACACACATACACACAAATCAATAAAAAGGCAAAGCAATATAAAAATAAATGATATTTAAATGGTTATAAGCAAACGAAAGCCACAGTAAAATATCATTACTCATCCACCAGAAAAGCTAAAATGGAAACAATAACAAGCATTCTCCAGGCTGCAGAGTAATGGAAGCACTCGTGCATTGCTAGTGGGAGTGAAAATCGAAGCAGCCACTTTGGAACATTTTCAGCTTTTACCAAAGTTTACACACACATACTCTGTAACCCAGCAGTTTCACTCCTGGTATATACATACAACAAAATGCATTTATATGTACACTAGAAGTCGCACAAATAACAGTGTTTATAGAAGCATTATTTGTAATCACCAAAAATGAGAGCAGGTCAAGTGTCCCTCAGTGGTAGAATGAATAAATAAATGTTGTGTTAATATAGTGAAATTCTATGTCGCAAAAACTGTATTATGGATGAATTTCACAAACATAATGTTGAGTGAATAAAGCCAGATACAAAAGAGATATATGATATGATTCCATATACATGATGTTCAAAATTAAGCAAATGTTATTTATGTCATCAATAATTGGAATAACGGTTACCTTTGGCTGACTATATAAGGTCATAAGAAGAGTTTCAGTACATCACTGATGTATTTCTGATCTGGATGGTGGTTACATGGATGTGTTCAGTGTGTAAAAGTTCATTAAGTTGTATAGTTACAATGTGTATACATTTCAGTCTGCATGTCATATATTTTTAAAATACCGTAATAAGTGTGAACCTCACTACGTTTGTGCAATGATTTTCAAGACTATGACATTTTGCCTGGATTGCTCTTCCCCTAACTATCCTCCTGGTTAGTGTGGCATTTACAGCCCATGTCTGAAGGTGGTCTTGTGTTTGCCAAGTTTTTTTAAATACAGGAGTACAGAGTGACTGGAGAGGAAATCTGAGAGTTAACAGGAAGCCAGCTCATATAAGATCTTGTAGGCTCTTCTAGTTATCTATTACTCTGTAACAAATCATCCCCAAATTTTATGGCTGAAAACAACATTCTTTATTTTTCTAGCAATCCTACGTTTGGGCAGTGCTCAGCAAGGATGGTTATTGCTGCTGCACATGGCATCAGCTGGAGAAGCTTGATGCCAGGGTTGGAGAATCTGCTTTAAAGATAGCTCTTTTACACAACTGGTAAGGTGGTGTTGGCTGTTGGCTGGGAGCTCAGAAAAGGCTGTATGCTTCTCCTTGGGCATCTTGGACTTTCTCATAATGTGGTGGCTGGGTTCTAAGAGTGAGTGTCCCAAGAGAGCTAGGCAGAAGTACATGACATTTGTATGACCTAGACTCCAAAGTCACATAGTGTCATTTCTACCATACTCCATTGATCAAGGCAGTCACAAAGTCAAACAGAGTTTCAAGAGGATGGAACGCAGACCTTTCTTTTTGAGGGAGTAAGAAGCTTCCAGAAGAGGATATTGGATAGAGCATGTTATTTCAGCCACCATAAAAAATAAAATCTACCATATAGGCCATGGGAGGTCTTTGATTTTTCTCTTCCATTATAGGGTTTTGAGCAGAGAAGTGACATGATCAGAGACCTAAGATACTTTTTGCCTTATTATTTTACCTTATATTTTTGTATAGTCTTTGATACCTCAGAAAAAAATTTGTCCTGAGACTAAAACATATGGGTAATTACATATAGGATTGTGACCCTATGGAAGTAAAATGCCCAGCATATTATAGAAGATTGCCAAATGCTGGGTCCTTTAATAGTCTAACCTGATCGTGTCCAAATGCTAGACCTGGGCAAAACTAAGAGCTGTGGGTAAATTTACCTATGGGCCTCAGAAGTTTTGTACACAGGCATCTGCATGAATGAGGGAAGAGTGTGGAAGAAATCAGTTTTCTTAGGCTGGGTGCTGGCTTTCTGGATAAAGACCCAGGCTGCCCAGAGAAACAACACAGAGGCAGTATCTGTTGGAATGTGTCTTTACTCTTATGGTAGAGAAAATCTTCTCTTTATTTGGAGAGCTTTCCCAGTTCTTACACAGAGGCAGAAAAGTTTTGGATGAGGTGAGTGGAGAGACATAATGCACCTGCTTTCTACCCTATTGGGCTTTAGAGATTTGAGCATTAGATCTGCTCAAATCTGTGAAGGTAAGGTAGATAAGTAGGTCACAAGATGAGAGAAGAGAGAAGCCCAGGGGAAGACTCGGCAAATTGGATGAAATAATCTTTAGGCTACCTTTAAAGGATAATATAGCATCATGGAAAAATTATGGGTTTGGCCATCAAAGATGACTGTATTTGAATCCTACTCACTCTGCTCACTAGTTGTGTGACTATGGGCATGTAATGAAATTGCATTTTAATCTCTTAACAAATAAAAGATGATAATAGCCACCAAAGAGCATTTTGAGGATTAGATGTGATAATACATGCAATACCCTTAGTACAATTACAGTAAACATTCCAAAAATGCTAGGGCCCTAGCTCCCTCTAAATTGCCTCTATTTATTCCTTTTTTTATTCTCTGGATTGGCATAGTTAAGATTTTATATACTTGGCCAGGACTCCTGGATAATTTTTTCTAGAAATGACTTCTCAAGTCCAGAAAAGAAGACTCACTGACGTTCTAACATTTTTTCATGGAATTAAACAAACTTGGGAAGTAGTTTGATTTACTATGAATAGGAAGGATAGTGGAGTGAAGAAAAATGAATTTAACATTTTCTTTGACTTGTAACAACTGTAGCATTAATTTTAAAAACAAAAATAAAAATCTAAAGAGACAGTAGATCTCTGAATCCATAGAAAGTTAAATAATAATAATTTAGTGGATTGCTGATAAACCAGAATTTAGAGATATTTCCTGAATCTAATAATGTCCTATACCTAAGTATATTTCTGAGCCAATGGAGTAATCACTGCCATTGTCAAGAAGCACTTGTCATGCTTTTTAAATGTTCATGAAGTGTAGCTGGGAATGAGGCACACTAGATGGATGATGCCAGTGGAATCAGATTATAAAGGAAGACACAGTAGTTGGCCAGAGCCAGCTCTCCCAGATCATGAGAGTAGATAGTGTGCATTTCATCCTAACTTTCTGTTCACTATCATCAGTCAGCCTTATAGCTTGAAATCAGAAATCATAAGCCATGCTAAGAGTATTTACATCATGGAAATTGGCAAAAGCCACAAGTCAGTCCTTTCTTACTCTCCAAGGCTGGCACACCCCTGGATTGACAGGTCATGAAATAAAACATTTTAACAGCTTCATTAAAAGGTAAAGAAACTGTATTACACACAAAGATTTTGTCTTTATTTTAAATAGACAAATAAAAGGTATGTACTTGAGACTAGAGAAAACTTCAGATTTAGAACTTCTATTTTGAGTTCAGAATGAGTGGAAAGAAAACCAACTAATTTAATTAAAAAGAACTTCATTGTGTTTGAATTCAGTGAAAGGGGGATTTTTAAAAAATTGATTTTTGTTTTAAAGTTCAATAAAATTTTATTAATTTAATTAGTTCCTATCAGTTTTTAAATAAGCTGTGGCTTAGATTAAATTTGCTCACAGACACTCTCTCTCTTTTAAGCCAATCTCCTCTGAGCATATTAATGGATCTGGTCTTATAATTTTGCAGATGGAACACCATGGTGCTTTTAAATCAAGTGAAAGTTTTGGGCCAGGATTTTGAAGTATCTTTTCCATTAGGGTGGGGAATGGGAACGGAACCTACAAACCGGGAAAAAAGAGATTTTGGCAAGAAGCATGAAGGGGATTCTGTTCATGGCAGCTGTTAATTTAAGCCAATTCCACTGGGCATCCTGTTCAGTAAGTTGATTTAAGAGTGGGAGCAGGCATCAGACATGCAGGGTAGTCTGACGCTATGTTCTGTGTGTGGGCATGGGGTGAGCTGGAGGAACGAGGTGCATCGTGCAGCACAATCAGAAAAGAGTCACCTTAGAAGATGAGGGACCTACCAGAGGAACCCTGATGAGTTCAAAGATCTCGTCAGGGCATATTAATACATTCAGAGGAACAAGTAAAGAGAATCAACAAACAGGTAACAAGAATGGAGTTAAATTCTGAGGCATGAGAATCTAAGTGTGATAAAACCTTTTCCCAAATGTTTTCTTCCACATATTACTCCCACATGATGCTTTCCAAAAACAGGGATTTGCAATCTAATAATTTCACAATTTAGGGGAATACTCTAGCTGCTTTTGGAAATACACAGTGGGCATTGGTATATTTAGAGCTCTGATGAGTATTAGAGTTAATAAAGCAATTTATCTTTGCTTAACCAACACCTTTGAGCACAGAATAATTTCTGGCATCACAATCTGCACATTCATGTTCCACAGAGGATCAGTTTAAGACATGGTAGAGTGGGAAGACCTTGGACTTGGGATACAAATACTCCCAGGCCCAAATTTTAACTTCTGCCATATTACAAGCTGAGTGAGTTTGGAGAAGTCACCTCTTTGAGTCTCAATTTCTTTATCCATTAAATCAGGAGAAAATAATACCTTAGCTTGCAGGAGAATCTTTGAGGACTGGAGATAAGGTCTATAAAGAAACCAGCATGGCACAAGGCACATAACAGATGTTTAATACAGGGTTGCCTTGGATCCTCCCTGTACAGAGGCAGGTAAGATTTCAAAAGAGATTTGCCTCACAGGGAAACTGCTGAAATCAAGAAGTGGCAGAGAAGTTTGCAGAATCCAATAACCTGTCATCTCCTCTTGATACTCCTGCTTTCTTGGGGCAAACCTGGGGAGATCACTTCATCATTTTGAGCCTCATTTTCCTCAAGAGAAACTATGTTTGTCGGTGATAGAGTTCAGAGGCTTATTAAATACAATTTGGGGCAGGTAATGTAGGCAAATAGTGCACACAGGGTCAGCCTTCTGAGTTTGTTATAAGCAGTATCTATTGTTGAGCTTCTGTTTTTTCAAGCTATCTGTAAGAAAAGGGTTGTGTCTCCTAGAGGGCTCCAAGATCTGAAATGAGAGGATTAAATGAGATGATGTTTATAAAAACCTCAGCATAGGCCAGGCATGGTGTCTCACTCCTGTAATCCCAGCACTTTGGGAGGCTGAGGTGGGTGGATCACCTGAGGTCAGGAGTTTGAGACCAGCCTGACCAACATGGTGAAACTCTATCTCTACTAAAAATACAAAAAATTAGCAGGGCGTGGTGGCACATGCCTGTAATCCCAGCTACTTGGGAGGCTGAGGCAGGAGAATGGCTTGAACCCGGGGGGCAAATGTTGCAGTCAGCCAAGATTGCTTCATTGCACTTCAGCCTGGGCAACAAGAGCGAAACTCTGTCAAACAAACAAACAAAAACAAAAAGCCTCAGCATAAACAACAGTGCTCTAGAGAGAAGAGAAAGGCCCTTTGCCTTGTAAGAATATCCAGACTTTGCATGGTTTTACTTTGCAGCTTTTCGCCAGGAGCGGAGCTTGCCTGGGGGTTTCTGGAGGGAGTGTACCATGGGATTAGCATCCAAGTAGTCTTTTCCCAGCTCTCCAGTCATTTTTAACACAGCCCTAAACGGGCTGAGTCATGAGTAGAGGATTGGTTCAGATATTCATTTCTGACATATTTGCTGTGCAGTTTACTCATGTCAGGCATTTTGAATTACTGGGAGTAATGAGAGAAAGAAGGTGCAGCCCCTCCCTGACACAGCCAGTGGCTGGGGTGGGGGAACAGATGTACATGCTAACTGATCATTAAACCACAAAGCCATGAATGCTGGGATAATCCACAAAAAGTGCTTAGAATACTGTCTGAGCACATGATAAGGGCTCAATTCATCTTGATTACTATTATGATCAATATAATTATTATTATTAAACACACAGGTTGCAATGGGAACATCAAGGATGGGTGGGTAGATGGGGGATGGCTCATTTTGCCTGGAAGCTCAGAGAAAACTTCACAGAGAGAAGGCGATATTTGAGTCTTGAAAAGATGAGAATATGGCCAAGTTCAGGAGAGGGAAAGTACATCCCAACGGTCAAAGAAATATGTACAAAAGCCTTGATATGAACATCTGACCCATGCTGAGATGTCTGCAGGCATTTTAGCAAGGCTACAATATGAAAGGGGGGTGTGTGTGTGTGTTTTAGTGGCTAAAGATGAAAATGAAAAGATGAGGGGATAAGAATCAGTTTGAGAAGGTGTTTGCTCTTCATTCTGAGGAGTTTGGATTTAAGTCTGATTACAATAGAAACATGGCCCATTTATAAAAATATATACATTGAAATAATAAAAAATCTCTGACCAATTGATTCCAATTCAAGAAGTCTATTCTTTTTTCATTAAGGAGTCTATCCTTATAGAGCAGAATTGTTGTATCAAAATGTTAGACAAAATCTGAATAGAGAGGAATTGTGGAGTAAATGTTGATACAGTTCTATAATACAATTATGTAATTATTAAGATTGATATTAAAGAACAGTATTAAGTAGCTTGGGAAAACTAAACCATGTGGCATCAACTGAAAATGTATAGAAATAAAACTGGCTATTAGAGGACTCTTAATTTTATTACAAACTATATTTGGCTAGACGATTAGAAGGCAATATTCTAAAAGGTTAGAGTCATTACCTGCGGGTGGAGGGATCATGGAAAATTTTTATTTTATTTTTTTGAACTTATTCCAATCAGGGAGAAGAAGGGGAAGGAATCTTGGGCCCCAGTAGAGAAATGAGGTAATCAGCCCACAGATTACAGGCGCCCCCACTGCCCAGGCTTGCTTAGGTAAACAAAGCAGCCAGGAAGCTCGAACTGGGTGGAGCCCACCACAGCTCAAGGAGGCCTGCCTGCCTCTGTAGGCTCCACCTCTGGGGGCAGGGCACAGACAAACAAAAAGACAGCAGTAACCTCTGCAGACTTAAATGTCCCTGTCTGACAGCTTTGAAGAGAGCAGTGGTTCTCCCAGCACGCAGCTGGAGATCTGAGAATGGGCAGACTGCCTCCTCAAGTGGGTCCCTGACCCCTGACCCCCGAGCAGCCTAACTGGGAGTCACCCCCCAGCAGGGGGAACACTGACACCTCACACGGCAGGGTATTCCAACAGACCTGCAGCTGAGGGTCCTGTCTGTTAGAAGGAAAACTAACAAACAGAAAGGACATCCACACCAAAAACCCATCTGTACATCACCATCATCAAAGACCAAAAGTAGATAAAACCACAAAGATGGGGAAAAAACAGAACAGAAAAACTGGAAACTCTAAAACGCACAGTGCCTCTCCTCCTCCAAAGGAATGCAGTTCCTCACCAGCAATGGAACAAAGGTGGATGGAGAAGGACTTTGACGAGCTGAGAGAAGAAGGCTTCAGACGATCAAATTACTCTGAGCTATGGGAGGACATTCAAACCAAAGGCAAAGAAGTTGAAAACTCTGAAAAAAATTTAGAAGAATGTACAACTAGAATAACCAATACAGAGAAGTGCTTAAAGGAGCTGATGGAGCTGAAAACCAAGGCTCGAGAACTACGTGAAGAATGCAGAAGCCTCAGCAGCCGATGTGATCAACTGGAAGAAAGGGTATCAGTGATTGAAGATCAAATGAATGAAATGAAGCGAGAAGGGAAGTTTAGAGAAAAAAGAATAAAAAGAAACGAACAAAGCCTCCAAGAAATATGGGACTATGTGAAAAGACCAAATCTACGTCTGATTGGTGTACCTGAAAGTGATGGGGAGAATGGAACCAAGTTGGAAAACACTCTGCAGGATATTATGCAGGAGAACTTCCCCAATCTAGCAAGGCAGGCCAACGTTCAGATTCAGGAAATACAGAGAACGCCACAAAGATACTCCTCGAGAAGAGCAACTCCAAGACACATAATTGTCAGATTCACCAAAGTTAAAATGAAGGAAAAAATGTTAAGGGCAGCCAGAGAGAAAGGTCGGGTTACCCTCAAAGGGAAGCCCATCAGACTAACAGCGGATCTCTCGGCAGAAACCCTACAAGCCAGAAGAGAGTGGGGGCCAATATTCAGCATTCTTAAAGAAAAGAATTTTCAACCCAGAATTTCATATCCAGCCAAACTAAGCTTCATAAGTGAAGGAGAAATAAAATACTCTACAGACAAGCAAATGCTGAGAGATTTTGTCACCAGCAGGCCTGCCCTAAAAGAGCTCCTGAAGGAAGTGCTAAACATGGAAAGGAACAACTGGTACTAGCCGCTGCAAAATCATGCCAAAATGTAAAGACCATCGAGACTAGGAAGAAACTGCATCAACTAACGAGCAAAATCACCAGCTAACATCATAATGACAGGATCAAATTCACACATAACACTATTAACTTTAAATGTAAATGGACTAAATGCTCCAATTAAAAGACACACACTGGCAAATTGGATAAAGAGTCAAGACCCATCAGTGTGCTTTATTCAGGAAACCCATCGCACGTGCAGAGACACACATAGGCTCAAAATAAAAGGATGGAGGAAGATCTACCAAGCAAATGGAAAACAAAAAAAGGCAGGGGTTGCAATCCTAGTCTCTGATAAAACAGACTTTAAACCAACAAAGATCAAAAGAGACAAAGAAGGCCATTACATAATGGTAAAGGGATCAATTCAACAAGAAGAGCTAACTATCCTAAATATATATGCACCCAATACAGGAGCACCCAGATTCATAAAGCAAGTCCTGAGTGACCTACAAAGAGACTTAGACTCCCACACATTAATAATGGGAGACTTTAACACCCCACTGTCAACATTAGACAGATCAACGAGACAGAAAGTCAACAAGGATACCCAGGAATTGAACTCAGCTCTGCACCAAGCAGACCTAATAGACATCTACAGAACTCTCCACCCCAAATCAACAGAATATACATTTTTTTCAGCACCACACCACACCTATTCCAACATTGACCACATACTTGGAAATAAAGCTCTCCTCAGCAAATGTAAAAGAACAGAAATTATAACAAACTATCTCTCAGACCACAGTGCAATCAAACTAGAACTCAGGATTAAGAATCTCACTCAAAACCGCTCAACTACATGGAAACTGAACAACCTGCTCCTGAATGACTACTGGATACATAACGAAATGAAGGCAGAAATAAAGATGTTCTTTGAAACCAACGAGAACAAAGACACAACATACCAGAATCTCTGGGACACATTCAAAGCAGTGTGTAGAGGGAAATTTATAGCACTAAATGCCACAAGAGAAAGCAGGAAAGATCCAAAATTGACACCCTAACATCACAATTAAAAGAACTAGAAAAGCAAGAGCAAACACATTCAAAAGCTAGCAGAAGGCAAGAAATAACTAAAATCAGAGCAGAACTGAAGGAAATAGAGACACAAAAAACCCTTCAAAAAATTAATGAATCCAGGAGCTGGTTTTTTGAAAGGATCAACAAAAGTGATAGACTGCTAGCAAGACTAATAAAGAAAAAAAGAGAGAAGAATCAAATAGACGCAATAAAAAATGATAAAGGGGATATCACCACTGATCCCACGGAAATACAAACTACCATCAGAGAATACTATAAACACCTCTATGCAAATAAACTAGAAAATCTACAAGAAATGGATAAATTCCTGGACACATACACTCTCCCAAGACTAAACCAGGAAGAAGTTGAATCTCCGAATAGACCAATAACAGGAGCTGAAATTGTGGCAATAATCAATAGTTTACCAACAAAAAGAGTCCAGGACCAGATGGATTCACAGCCGAATTCTATCAGAGGTACAAGGAGGAACTGGTACCATTCCTTCTGAAACTATTACAATCAATAGAAAAAGAGGGAATCCTCCCTAACTCATTTTATGAGGCCAGCATCATTCTGATACCCAAGCCGGGCAGAGACACAACCAAAAAAGAGAATTTTAGACCAATATCCTTGATGAACATTGATGCAAAAATCCTCAATAAAATACTGGCAAAACGAATCCAGCAGCACATCAAAAAGCTTATCCACCACGATCAAGTGGGCTTCATCCCTGGGATGCAAGGCTGGTTCAACATACGCAAATCAATAAATGTAATCCAGCATATAAACAGAGCCAAAGACAAAAACCACATGATTATCTCAATAGATGCAGAAAAAGCCTTTGACAAAATTCAACGACCCTTCATGCTAAAAACTCTCAATAAATTAGGTATTGATGGGACGTATTTCAAAATAATAAGAGCTATCTATGACAAACCCACAGCCAATATCATACTGAATGGGCAAAAACTGGAAGCATTCCCTTTGAAAACTGGCACAAGACAGGGATGCCCTCTCTCAGCACTCCTATTCAACGTAGTGTTGGAAGTTCTGGCCAGGGCAATCAGGCAGGAGAAGGAAATAAAGGGTATTCAACTGGGAAAAGAGGAAGTCAAATTGTCCGTGTTTGCAGATGACATGATTGTATATCTAGAAAACCCCATCGTCTCAGCCCAAAATCTCCTTAAGCCGAAAGGCAACTTCAGCAAAGTCTCAGGATACAAAATCAATGTACAAAAATCACAAGCATTGTTATACACCAATAACAGACAAACAGAGAGCCAAATCATGCATGATTGAACTCCCATTCACCATTGCTTCAAAGAGAATAAAATACCTAGGAATCCAACTTACAAGGGATGTGAAGGACCTCTTCAAGGAGAACTACAAACCACTGCTCAAGGAAATAAAAGAGGATACAAACAAATGGAAGAACATTCCATGCTCATGGGTAGGAAGAATCAATATCGTGAAAATGGCCATACTGCCCAAGGTAACTTACAGATTCAATGCCATCCCCATAAAGCTACCAATGACTTTCTTCACAGAATTGGAAAAAGCTACTTTAAAGTTCATATGGAAACAATAAAGAGCCCGCATCACCAAGGCAATCCTAAGCCAAAAGAACAAAGCTGGAGGCATCACACTACCTGACTTCAAACTATACTACAAGGCTACAGTAACCAAAACAGCATGGTACTGGTACCAAAACAGAGATATAGACAAATGGAACAGAACAGAGCCCTCAGAAATAATGCCATATATCTACAACTATCTGATCTTGGACAAACCTGAGAAAAACAAGCAATGGGGAAAGGATTCCCTATTTAATAAATGGTGCTGGGAAAACTGGCTAGCCATATGTAGAAAGCTGAAACTGGATCCCTTCCTTACACCTTATACAAAAATCAATTCAAGATGGATTAAAGACTTAAACGCTAGACCTAAAGGCATAAAAACCGTAGTAGAAAACCTAGGCATCACCATTCAGGACATAGGCATGGGCAAGGACTTCATGTCCACAACACCAAAAGCAATGGCAACAGAAGCCAAAATTGACAAATGGGATCTAATTAAACTAAAGAGCTTCTGCACAGCAAAAGAAACTACCATCAGAGTGAACAGGCAACCTACAAAATGGGAGAAAATTTTCACAACCTACTCATCTGACAAAGGGCTAATATCCAGAATCTACAATGAACTCAAACAAATTTACAAGAAAAAAACAAACAACCCCATCAAAAAGTGGGCAAAGGACATGAACAGACACTTCTCAAAAGAAGACATTTACACAGCCAAAAAACACATGAAAAAATGCTCATCATCACTGGCCATCAGAGAAATGCAAATCAAAACCACAATGAGATACCACCTCACACCAGTTAGAATGGCAATCATTAAAAAGTCAGGAAACAACAGGTGCTGGAGAGGATGTGGAGAAACAGGAACACTTTTACACTGTTGGTGGGACTGTAAACTAGTTCAACCATTGTGGAAGTCAGTGTGGCGATTCCTCAGGGATCTAGAACTAGAAATACCATTTGAACCAGCCATCCCATTACTGGGTATATACCCAAAGGACTATAAATCATGCTGCTATAAAGACACATGCACACGTATGTTTATTGTGGCATTATTCACAATAGCAAAGACTTGGAACCAACCCAAATGTCCAACAATGATAGACTGGATTAAGAAAATGTGGCACATATACACCATGGAATGCTATGCAGCCATAAAAAATGGAGAGTTCATGTCCTTTGTAGGGACATGGATGAGATTGGAAATCATCATTCTCAGTAAACGATCACAAGAACAAAAAACCAAACACCGCATATTCTCACTCATAGGTGGGAATTGAACAATGAGATCACATGGACACAGGAAGGGGAATATCACACTCTGGGGACTGTGGTGGGGTGGGGGGAGGGGGGAGGGATAGCACTGGGAGATATACCTAATGCTAGATGACGAGTTAGTGGGTGCAGTGCACCAGCATGGCACATGTATACATATGTAACTAACCTGCACAATGTGCACATGTACCCTAAAACTTAAAGTATAAAAAAAAAAAAAAAAGAAAGAAAGAAAGATCATCTAAGATTAACAAACACATAAATCCTAGATGTAGTAATGGAATCTGGGTCAGTCTAGCTTCAGAGCCCATGAGTACAACCAATGGACACTGTCCATTGCAAGAGTTTTTCGTTTGTAACCAACATCAGTCTCTTAACCAGGTATCACTGCATCTATCCTCATCATAACTGGTGAGAGAGTCAGGACCCACAATAAGGTATCCATTTCCGGAATGAAGGCAGTGAGGTACTGAGATCCATTTATTCACTCATCAAATATTTGAGTGTTTGTTGAATGAGTACAGTGGGCAAAATGCCACATTTGGTAATGAGGATGACAATACTTATGGTCTTAGACTAGAACCTGTTAAAGTGTTCCTAAGGCTTGATGACATGTTAAGTGGGACCAGTGTCCTTAGTGCTGGCCTGAGTGCCAAGTTCTGTGTTCCCCTTGGCCATCTGTATGGGAGTCTTGTCATCTAATAGAGAAACCTCTGAACATGCTATGTCTCCTTTGACGGATCCCTTCCTCCTCTGAGCCTCCCTCTCTCACTAAAGAACAATAAGGCTGCATTCAATAATTTCCAAAGTCTTTCCAGTTTTCAGGTATAATTCCGCATCCCACCTTAAAAAAAATATGGTTTCTTATGACACAGAGGGAAAGACTAAATCACACAAATGAAACAATGAGTGAGAAAAGTGACATCACATGTATGAATCAATTTGTATTCAGTTCAAAAACAGGCAAAACTAACCTATGGAGCTAGAAATCAAGATACTCATTACCCTTGGAGCAGAGGGTAACTGTAAGAGTGAAAGAAGGATGCTCCTTTAGGGACCAGATGCATTCTGGGTTTTAATGTGAGTGCTGTTTCCACCTGTATATTCACTTTGATGTTTTGCCAACCTGTATTTTTGCCAATTTGGGCTCTTTTATTTATGTCTTTAAAAATACCTTCATAAAATAAATTCAAACAGAATCTAAAGAGAGTGGTAGGGTAGGAAGTGCTTCTGGCGGCATCAGAAAGAGGTCAGGAGCTCCTGACTTACTTTGTGACCAAGGCAAGTCAACTCACCTTCCCTGAGCTGTGGGAGGTCACTCAGGGCAACCGCCTTATTTTACAGATGAATGCCAGAAGGTCTACGCAATCAGCACTGGGTGGCTTTTCCCACTTCTGAGCTTGGATGGGTAGAGGACAGGCTGTGCCTGCAGCATATACCCTGGAGCCTGGAGGCCTTGGAAGGAGCACACTATCCTGAGTATTCAACAGGTGGCAGTCTTTGCTCAGTGTCAAGATGCTTTGGGTCCGCAGGGCTGCTTTTTAAAGGCAGAATTAGCTAGGACGCTAATCTTGAGGAGAAAGGTTTCTCTATTTCCCGGGGTGGGGGTCTTATCCCAGGAGGTCCCAACTCAAATATTCCTGCTCCTAGCCATTCTATTTAGGGTTCTCAGTTCTTCCAGGAGGAGCCTGAGACAGGAGGCTCCCCAAACCCCATTCTATGGAGCAGTTTGCCCCAGCCATTGAGCCTGCCTCTACTGGGGGTCATGGGCCTCACTCAGGGTCTTCCTTCTTGGGGGTATATCTTTGAAAACAAGAGAGAGAGAATTTTCTGGGAACCTGGGTGAATGCTCCAACAGAGAAGGGAGTGTGAATATTTCATTAAGGTGGCTCGAGGTATTACACAACATTACAAAACCAAGTGTGTTGGCAGGAATCTGACAAGCACATTTAAATGGGTGAAAATAGCAGGAAAAGAGGCCCAGAGTGGGGAAAGACTCAGGGAAGGCCTCTGTAGGGCCCTGAAGGGAGGGACCAGCCCTTTAGGGTCTCCTGCCAGGTCTATGTGAAGTAGCCTCCATCACCATCTGCCCTCACCCCAAGCGCATTCCAAGGTGACGGTGCACTCGGTAATGGCAGGACAGGGGTGACATTCAGCAGCTCACGAACTTCTACCCTCAGACTGGGTAGTTCTGGAGGATGGGGAGTTCTCACGCAATACCTCCTTGGTTTTGACCTCTCAAAAGGGCTGGAAGAGGCTTAAAACTCAGAGCTACTCCAGGAGGCTGCCCTAGAGTCTCAGATGTCTGGATTAAGTGATAGTCGAGGCTGGAAAAATATACTGAGACCTATTTGTTAAGGTTGTTGTGAGGTTGGGGTATACCATGGGGTTCAACGCTTCTCTCTAGTTGATGGACAAGAAGGAACAAAGGCCTCTTTATTTAAAGCATTGAAGATTTTCTCCTCTGTGTCGTATCTCATCATGTTTTCTTCTATAAAACAAGCCTATTTCTGCGGAGATAATGAAAAGAATAATATAAAAACATGCATTGAACTATTATAGGACCAGATACTCTACTAACTTTGCACTTCTTATTTTTTTTATAAAGCACTGAAGTACAAACTATTACTATCCCCATTTTACAGATGAGAACATAGAGGCTTAGAGAGGTTAAATAACTTGCCTAAAGTCATGCTCCTAGTAGATGTCAAAAAGGAATTGAAATCTAGGCCTGTTTGAATCCAGAGCCCACATACTTTATCTTTCTTGGTTGGAGAATGTGTCAAAAACCTCCCTGAATTTTTCAACTCACTCATAATCCAAGGGAGGTGTGGTGGAGGGGAATTCATGGAACAAGACAAAGAGTAAAGACATTGGAACAAGAGAAAACCTGGGTCATTTATAAAGTATGTCTCTTGTTCTGAGCACTTGGGAAAGCAACTTTACTGTGCAGAGCCTCTGTTTTCTCTAGTTGCTGTGAAAATGAATTGAAGAACTATCTGTAATGTGACAAACCTGTTATCTGGCATGAAATAGATATTCAATTAATGTTAAAGCCCTTCTTTTCTTCCAGCTTCCCTGCACCTGACTAGCTAGATCTAATTATCTTACAGGGTTGGTTCCTTCTTCCCAGGAAGAGTTTCCTCAGAGAGACTGCAACTGATGACTCTAAACCAGAGCTATGTAACTGTTGGATGTTCTCTGCCTGCACCTTGAACTCCCATCTCAATACTTAATTACATTGTACTGTACATTGTTTAATTATTTATATTTCCCTCTATGACTGACAACTTGATGTGGCAGAAAATGTGTCTACCTGGTTCACTATGGACTCCCAAACTAGTAGTAGAGAGACTAAAATGTTAGAGTACTAAATAAATATCTGTGGATGGATGGGTGGATGGATGAATAGGTGAATGGATGGATGGAATGATGGATGGATAAATGTATGGATGGAAGGATGAATAAAATGGAAGGATAGGTTAATGAACGGGTGGATGAATGGATGAGGAGGCCGGGGATGGAAAGACAGATGGATAGATGAATGGATGGAGAAATGAATGGATGGACTGATGAATGAATGGATGGATGGGTGGAAGTATGGATGAAATGGATTGATAGATAAATGGACAAATGGATAGACAGCTGGATAGATGAATGGATGGAAAAATGGATGGATGGGTGGTTAGATGAATGGATGAAATAGATTGATCACTGGATATAAAGGATGGTCTGCTTAAGTATCTCAATTTATAACATTGTGTCTATCTCACATGTATACACACCGGTGTTTTGGGGAATGTTGTCTGTTTACTATTAATTCCTTGGCTTTTATCATTGTAGGGATGCTTTTCCTAGGCAGAAGCAACACCCAAGGCTCTCTCTGCCTAAACAGATAAGAGCCATTCTCCAGTCCAAACCCACAAACAAAAGCATTTTCTAGATGTTTTTCTTCACATACTTCTAGGAAAAAAAAATCTCGCTGACAAGAGAGGATGCCAAACTCAATCACTCATTACAATGACTGTCCTCCACTCAGGAAGAGGGGCTGCTGACTTTTGAAAACTTAGATTTTTTTTTTTACAGTGTTGATAGGAAAGAGGGGAACTGATAGCCACTGATAACCAGGCTGTTAATTGCTCTGCTTATCAGAAGACGGTCTTTCATTGCCATGTGTATATGGGGAGCAGGTCGTTCAAAAGGCAAAGCAGTATGTGTGTGAGCAATGATCCTGTGGCTTGGCAGTGACAGGGTCCTAGGGGAGAGGCCAGGGTTCAGGGAGGAGTGAGGGAGGGCAGGGCCAGTGGAATACTCTCAGGTTAATCTGTTCTTACCAACGGCACGTTTCTCCAATACACATACTCCACGTACTTGAACTTAATAACCTTGGAAAGCACAGTAGTAGCTTAAATCTGTTGGGCTGTAAGCAGATTCCAGTGTTCTTGATTCAGCTTGACCAGAGATAAATCCTGGTGGGTCTCAGAGCGCAGGATGTCCTCGCCTTTGTGTCCCCTCCTTCCACCGGTCACACTCTTCCCCTTCTATTTTTGTAGGTGTCATTCAGGAGCTCTCTTCATGCCCACAATATTCCCCCTTCTAATTGAATTCTCAAAGTAGAATCAGATCAATACAGAACCCTGAAGGTATCGTGATTGAGAAGGCTCTCAGCTGCACCTGCTACTGGAATTATACCTGTGATCAGAAGCTCCTGTTTTTATTTCGACAAAGAAATGGAATTCATAAAATAGAGTAACAGACTGCCCCATAAAGGAGAGTATGGTGGTGAACTCTCAAGAACTATTGCAATTATTTCCTAGAAGGAAGGAGATACAGAAATATAAGAAACGAATGCAAAGAAGGCAAGGAGAGCAAAAAAGAACAGGAGGAAGGAAGAGTGAAAGGATGAAGAAGAGAGAAGAATATAGTGTTCATTGAGTATCTGCTCAAATTAAGGATAAAGCCACATGTTTTCGTAAATTTTCTCTAATATCCATAGCAATCTAGTATCCATAGCCAAACAAATAAGTGACTTCCACTTAACAAAGGAACTGAAGCCCAAAAAAGTTAATATGGACGAGTCACACAGCAACTGGGATTGAAGCTGAATAAATCTAGCTCCAAGGCATTCTCTTGTAGGCTGCTCTTCTCATGTCTGCTAGGATTACATGGGTCAAGCACAACCCTGTCAGGTTTCAGTGATCAGAAGGACAGAACCTTGCTGTTAGACAGAAACTAGGGTCTCTATACTGGGCCAACTCCTTGTTCTCAAACTCAGGAGCTGGAATTGCCAGACCTTGGAACCAGCTGACTGGAGACTGTGTCCCCATTAAAGGAAATGTCCAGGATTTCATTTCATGTTATGTCCCCCCCCACCGCCCCACCTCTTCCTCCTTAGTGCTTTCTTTCTCTCTGATATCAGCTCTGCTACAGTTTGAGGCAAGGGTTGGGACTAGAATTGTAGTTTTTTGAATCTCAGTGTGGTTGCTTTTGGTACTTGTTGAGGCCTCCATGTAGTCAAATTCATTATCGTATATAAAGTTACAATTAAGAGTTGGAAATAATATATGAAGATCAGATGGAGGATGTGAGGCTACAAATCCCTGACATCTACCTCTACATAGCTAATCTGTGAAATGGGATTATCATGGTATGATGTGTCCAGAGCGGTCCTCATTATGTCATCCTTTCAGTCTATTAGTAAGATGTTTTGAAGGCATTACTAGAAAGCATTCAGTAGATATAAACTATATGACCCTAGAAAGGAATTCACATGCCTGGTACATTGAACAATCATCACTGAGGTTGCTCAATAGGGCTGATAAGGACTCCAGGGAAATAAGCTAGCATAGGTGTAGGGGTAAGGGAACTGAAGTCAGTGTGCTTGACTCTATGTTCCAGCTTTGACTAAATTTCCTGGTTCTTCATTTTCTCAGTTTTAAAACAAATGAAGATGATAAAAAAGAGCTTTCTTATGGCCATTCTCTGCCTAATACTTCATGTCCCATAACAGCAGCTCTGAGCAAGTATCTAGCTCCCTTAGAGTTTTTTGATGGCCTCCTTTGATGCTCCCTGCTATTCTTGGGATAAACCCTAAAGTCTTGAGGTGATCTGTGGGGTTCCTTCTTCTCTGTGCCCTAGCTATCTTTGAGCCTCAGTTTTTATTTGCTTCCCCCTTCTACCCTCAGGTTTGTCATGCTGCCTTATGGGCAGGGCCCCTGTGCCTGAATCCCCACCTCACCTACCTCTTCCTGCTTAGTGCTTTCTTTCTCTCTGATATCAGGTCTGCTACACTTTTCTAAGGAAAGCAGTTCTGACCCTTTTATGCATGTCAATTCTCCTTCTGTTATATGTCTTATTTACCACATAACTCTTGGAATCATTTTATTATGTTGCTGTTGATTTGTGAGTTACCTTTTTTTTTTTAAAAAAAAGAGCATAACAATAAACTCCATAAGGTTTGAGATCAAATTGTTTTTATGTTGTTCATTTTGTCTCTACTGATGACCTGTGATAGAGTCAGATATTTGTTGAATGAATGAATGAATGGACAGATTGGGGGAGGCATGGAAGGAGGTATGGAGGAAAGTAGAGAAAGAGGGAGGGGGGGGGAGGGAGGAAAAGACAGAGAGATGGAGGGAGGAATGATCACCAGATGGAGCTGACTTTTCTCTGAGAAGATATTTATAGTCAATTACAAATGAGTGGACCAGTCAGATGTGATCCTATTTCTTCATGTGGGATATATAAAGATGTGATATAACTCCTTTAAATTTCTTCAAATTCCCCGAGACTAAGACCCCAAGGAAGCACCCCTAGGGTGCTTGAAGCCCTGAAGGGGAGGTTCCATTCTTTCTGAGCTCTGGCAACTGGGCTGTGGACATTATTTATTACCAGAGAACTGCTAGCTTGTAAGATGCTCATCCCCTGCCACGTTTATTATATACTTTTTTGATCAAACTGTAAACCAACAAGAGAGTGCTTAGCAATCATTAACAGCTGTTCTTGGAAGAGGACTAGATCATATACTGGTACATTTTACAATGTTCACCCTGGCCACTGACTGTTCCACCTCTGTGGCCATGCATGTCCTCTGTAGCTGGACATATCACAAACAAGCCTCCTGGCTAAAATCAGAAAGGGAAGGAGCAAGAAGCGTGCGAGAAAGAGCCAAAAAACAATTTACTCCCTATAAAGTTGCTGAGCAGCTTGAGGCCACTGCATTTTGGTTTGCTGCTAAGTGAATATGTAACTACTTTATATATTTCAACAAAATTAAACTTAAACCTACAGAATTAGGTTTATTAATTTCTGTCAGGGCACAATGGGGGAATAAGAATGGCCATTCATTATGGACACACAATTACTGGAGACAAAAATGAAGCCCAGCACTATTAAGTATAATAAAAATGTTGAACACTGAGGAAATTTTCATTAAATATAATCTATTCTTTATATTACTACACTTAATCCTTGCTGTCTACTCCTCTGTTTTTCTCCAACCTATTTAATTTTATTACTTAACTTTTTATAAATGTTTCTTAATATAATTATGATTAAATATTTGGGAGGAGAGAAGAACCTTAGTCTCTTAAAAAAGAAGAAGAAAGGAAGAAGAAAGCTCTTTCCTTCTTCAGTCCTATGATAGTGAAAAATGATGTTTTTTGAAAAAAATAAGTACTAAGTGGGATTTTATTGTTGGGGCAAGGCTGGAACATGAGAGAAGGGAAGGCAATAAATAAGAAAAAAGAAGCACTGATCAGCAATTGTAGTAAGCTCTTAATATTACACTTTAAATAAAAGTCCATTGCCTTACTAAAAGTGTCTGTGAATATTTGCATGGCCAAACCATGTAATTAAAAGATGGGCCTAGCTGATGTTATTGCTTGTGCTACATGGAAACATTTGTGATTCAAGCATTTATTTTTTTAAGCCAGGATAGATTCCCCTGCTAGAAAGCTTTCTCTTTTTTTTTTGAGAATGAACCCTCCATTCTGCTCTCTATAGGAAGAAAGTGGAGGGTTAAGTATTAAGACGTTGTGGTGTCTCAGGCAAACTCTCCAAACTTCTAAAAACCAGAAGGAAAGCTGGTCATGTGGCCATGAGCAGGGGGATAGTGGGACATTAAATGGGAAGCAGTACAAATTCAATTTTATTTGCCAAAAGGTAGTCACTGTGCTTTCAAGCTTCTTAGCGGACATATTGTGTAGCATGGTCTTATGTATTTTTTTGATACATAATAATCACACGTATTTATGGGGTGCATGTGATATTTTGATTCATGCATACAATGCATTTTTAAAACACAGCTCAGTTAGGAAGTAGCAATTATATAAGCATGGGACTTAGGGATATTGAAATGAAACAGTGACTCACACTTATGCCAATTAATGACTGCTTTAATGACTACATTCAGAACAGAGGGGTCCTGGTCTCATGGCCATTCACCTCAGGAGTCCAGTTCCGGGCACCACAAGTTTAGTTTTAAAAGTTGTCTCTTTTCTACATTTTCAAGCTGTGCAAGAAGAAAAATCAAGCTTTTACCATTAGTTTCTCTGTCACACAGCTTGAACCCTATACTCCCGATATGCTTATTCTGTTCTGCTACTAAGCTGGGTACTTGATATTTGCATTGTAATGATTGTGTAAATTTTATTCATAGCTGAGTCATGTAGTATATGGTATGATGACCCTTTTTTAAAAAATTATAGATCTGTTTCTTCGGAAGCCAACAATTTTTGTTGCCATTGTTGTTATTATAATTATTACTTTTTGCATAGTTCTTGACATATACTTATTCTTCCCCCAATCCTGCCTACCATTTGTGTAAATCTCAAAACTAGGATATTTTGTCAATGCTATTTTCTTCAAAATGGCCCTCTTGAGCCTTCCTACCTGCTCCAATCTGGATTGGAGGCTCATAGCTGGGGTTTGGGGATCCCCTGTTACCACCATTCTGGGTGCCCTTCCCTCTCTTGTGCTGAGTCTGTTTTTTCCTGAGTCCCATACTCTCTTCTTGATCCACCCCTTTCCCCACGATGTTTTGTAACACATATTTTCTAGTAACTTCCAGAGGAGGAATGCATGGGAATTAAAACGCCGAGAACTTGCCCTGTTAGAGAAGTTCCCCCTCACAGCACTGTCTGAGTGATCTCCCCCGTTTTCTCCCTGGAACATCATCTTATTTTAGTCCTCTGCCTAATCTTCACTCGAACTGACAATATTCTTATTTATGTATCGGCTCACTTTGTTTCTGGGCTTCCCCACAAGAAAGTAAGGTCATGAGTGCCAGGACCTTGCCTTCTTTGCTCACTGCTGAGCCCCAGTGCTAAGAACAGTAACAGAACCACTAGATCATCCATGAATGTTTGCTGAATAAAGGAATTGATGAGCTTATTAGCTTTCTTGCACATATGAATCTATACAGAGAAGGAGGTGTTGGAGTTTTGGCCCTCATTTGATGTAGCCCATCGTTAGGCAGAGGACATGTGGTTCTCTGTATGAATTCTCCATACGAATGAGAACATACATCAGCCTTTCAAAATAAAATCAATAGCAGCCTTCCCTGATGCCACCTACTCCTGGTCTCTCCAGCATGGGGCTTTCTTTTCAGCCAAAGATGCAAAACACCTAGACTTCAGGCCCTCCCTGGAGCTTTCTGTCCTGTAGGATTTGCTATTGCTCCCCAAAACAATGTGAAGAAATGCTTGATTCTCATCTTACATAGCTGGCTAGATTGGAACTCTGCAAACTGTTTCGAATATGTGAGTGCATGGTATGTGTGAGTATGTGTGTGTGTACATGTAAGTAGACATTGTATGTGTGTGTATATATACATATGTTTGTGTTTATAAATGACATATTGATTACAGTAATATAGCCATTATAAAACATGTGAAAAATAGAAATGAAAAATAGAAGAAATGAAAATAACTTTAATTGGAAACGTTGATATTTTCTTTGTACACTCTATTCAATCATTATGTGTATACCCTTTTGGAAATCCTGATTTAGATTTGTATGTATCAAACATCAATGTGCTGGGGAAGCACCTGGAGGGCTTCTTAAAAATTTAGATTTTGGCTGGGTGTGGTGGCTGAATCCTATAATCCCACCACTTTGGGAGGCTGAGGCGGGTGGATCACTTGAGGTCAGGAGTTCGAGACCACCCTGACCAACATGCTGAAACACCGTCTCTACTAAAACTACAAAAATTAGCCTGGTGTGGTGGCGGGCATCTGTAATCCCAGCTACTCAGGAGGCTGAGGCAGGAGAATTGCTTGAACCCAGGAGGCAGAGGTTGCAGTGAGCCCAGATGGCACCACTGCACTTCGGCCTGGGCAACAAGAACGAGACTCCGTCTCAAAAGAAAAAAAAAAATGTAGATTTCTGTGCTCCTTTCAAAGAGTGGCTCACTAGGACGTACGAATCTGCATTTTTGCTACCTTCAAATACTGACTTAGACACCCTGAGCATTGCTTATTTGGGAAGATCCAAGCAAGTCAACATATTGGGATTATGTTAGCTCAGCTTCTGGTGGAATTGCCTTCACAAATACATTTAAATAAATAGCAACCTTTCGGATTTGATGAGAAAGATTATCAGTTAACAGCAACAACAAAGATCACAGATCTTTCATTTCTGTAAATTTCATTGAAGAACTATTGTCCGTGGTGGCCGTGGATGCTCCTTAAATTATACATTCTTCAAATTTAGTGTGAAGGGTTGTTTTTCATAAAAAATGGTCCAATGGTACTAACAGCTAGCTATTTTGAATCCCGTATTTTGCATCGTACTCAGTGCTAATCACTTTTAATTAGCACTCACAAGAAAGACCATTACAAAATAGGTAATAGTATCTCCAATTCACAGATGTAGAAATTGAGGCCTAAAAGTCACTCCTGCCACTAAACAATGCAAAGTAAAGCAGAAACAAACAAAAAACCTTGATTCCAGACTTGCAAGGTATGATGTGAAAACCTAGAGAAGTGCAGAACTCACCTAGGATCACAGAGATGGTGAGTGGTTGAGTTGGACATTAGCTGGGGCCTCCTGACTCAAGCTCCATGCTCTTGGTACAAGGCTGAGACTTCACTCCCTAACTCCCCTCAACTGATGGTTGGCTCTGAGCTAACTGGGACAGGCAGAGACGTTTAATCAATTCCTCTGTCTTCCTTCAGTTACATCCCCTATCAGCTGCTCAGCTTTGTAACCTTCCTGTGATAAGTAGTGAGCAATGCAAAAGAGAATTCAAAATGATCACAATTCATCATGTCCAGTACACCCCAGAATGAATAGGACCCTGAAGTTCTGCTCCAATGGTTCAATGATGCCACATTATCCTGGAAAAGACTCCCGTATACTTAACATCACTGATGAGCTGCCACTCAGCCCATACCACACACCCTCCTTGCTGGGCTGGGCCCCCTCCCTCTATCCATATGTTTGGCATCAGTTACGCAAAACAGGTGGACGCCAAGTAGCATTCTCTCTTTCCACCCTGATGTTTTGGCATTGTCTACACATGGCCTCTGGAGGCATTTTGATGGATGCTCTCTTCTCCCTATCACAGTAATATTAACCTTGTTTAATAATCTATTAACGCAGAGGATAAACATCTTGTTAACATTCACATGCTTTCTTTGCCACTGAAATAACACTACCTTTTTGTACACTTTAAAGGCTTACTTTTTTTTTTTTTATGACAGGGGTTGATAGATGTGGTGGAAAGGTACTGGCAGAGAAACAGGAGGTCACCTGGTTCAGATCCCAGTCTGCTGTTTACTGATGTGACCTTGGTGAGGTCACCCAGCCTCTCTGAGTCTCTGTTTTTTCATTTGTAAAATGGAGTGGCTGAATCTATATTGCATTGCTATTTTGAAGTTTCAAGAAAATATATATAAAGTGTCTAACTTGAGACACAGTAGTCATTAATATATATCAAATCTTTTCACAATCCTTACACCCCCACGAAATGGGTTTGCATAGAATTGAAATTAATCCCCTCAATGAGTATCCCCTTTACGATGCTTGATTTTGGCTCCTGAGCATCCTCCCCCAGAGACAGAAGCTATACTGTCTACCATGATAGCTGTGCCTCTGCATCAATTCAACCAACATTTGGTGGAGAAAAAGAAACCCAATGGACAAAGCTATGGTGGATCTTCAGAAATCATTATAATGACACGGAAGCAGCCGAGTGACTTGCAAATTCCATCTACGTATTTGTAGCCAGCTGACAAGGAATGGAAGAGAAGGGAGGAAAAAGGCCTTAGTCCCCTTCGCGGTGCACGTCCCGCCTACCTCTTACGGACTACTCACTGGTGTGCTAGAGGCCCCAGCCAGCTGTTTTACAAGCTTCACCATGTGTAAGTATCACTGGGCATCCTGTGAAAATGTAGCCTGCAAATTGCGAATGCAGATTTATTCAGTAGGCCTGGAATGGGGCCCAAGACTCTGCATTTCTAGCAAGCTTCCAGAGCCTGCTGCTGCAGGTCCCCAGACCACTCTTTGAGTGGCAGGCACTCTACATTTTGTACAAATCATTCAATTGGCACAGATGCTTTTACATTCTTTTCTGCTCCATCTACTAATTCCTCACTCCTTCTGCCTCGCAGTGAGTTACATTCTCCTGTATTTCCTTTTCTCTCTCTCGGCCCAGTGATTCTTTAAAGTCCCCTTGTTTTTCTTGGTTATTACTGTCATTCTCCTTTTTAGACTCTGAGTAACAGCAAACAACGTCAAGTTTAATCTCTCAAGGAGGAGTTTGCATCTGGAGATGGAAAAATAATAAAAATAAACAAGTAGACAACATCACAAATCCGCGGAACAGAGTTCCAAGACAGGAAGTTAATATATTAAATAGTAGTTAAAAGAGGAGGGTTTTCTTTTCAGCAAATGTCACATGTCTGGTGTTCAAATAGAAAGTTTAAAATTTCTGACATTGCTAGGAAATTTGGGGAGGTATTGCTAAGATGCTGCACAGATCTACCAAGATTCTCATTTTCATTGCTACTGAATGGAATACTTGAGAAAAAAACAGTATCAACGTCCACTGCATCCCACTACTCTCCATCAAATTCGAATGGTCTGATGTGGGATTCAGATGTAGATTTGTTTTTAAGCCACCGCAATGGAGAATAATCAGGATTCGGGGGCTGGGGTGCAGGTTGGTCGGGAGGGAAAAACTCTTGCTTATCTGGCAGGGAAACATAGAGATGTGTTTCTATACGGATTCTAAACTAATATCTTCCTTTTGGGAAAAAAAGCATCTCCTATGTGATTTTTTTTCCTCAAATATATTCTTCAACAGAGAAATATTCATTTCCCTCCTGGATTAATTGCGGTCCTGTTGCTGACGGTTTTTGCATTAAATTTAGCTGCTGCTTGCTGTGGGTAAAGGCAATCTGATGGGGAATGCGCACAGAGGGGCAGCTGCAATTCGTAGGGAAATTATTACCATTTCAGATGTCACTCAGCCTGATGCATGATTAAGGGGAACGTGAGGCACCTCCTGTCTAGGCAGTGGGCTGATACAAAAGCGGAAATCTGTTCTCCCAAACTGGTGTACTGCATTGTCATAACCAATGCCTGTCACCCCCAAAGCTGCCTTCCCCAACACACTCAGAATCCTGAAGCATTTAGCTTCAATTACAAATGTCACTTGTCATTTCTGGGATACTGACTATATTAATAAAACTTTTTCTTTCCCTTTTTGTAGAATTTGATTAAAGTGTCTTCTGGATAAATAACATTTATCTGTTTTTCTTCATTCCCATGTTGTGTACACGAAACGGCACGAAGGAGAAACACCTGAACTTTCAAGTCCCTGCAGTGGGCAGATGCAGCGTCTTATTAAGTACTCCAGAGGCTCTGTAACATCCTAAGGGATTTTTGCTTAACTTGTTACACAGAACCGTGCAACCAGAGGGCTCCTTGTGCACATGGAGACACAGTGAACCCTTGGGAGGGGAAGGAATGGGTCTGCAGAAAGAACACTCTTATGGAGGGAGCGGGGAAGGCTGGGCTCACGTGAGAAGAGAGCATGTGGCTGAGTGAGGCAGAGATCAAAGGTGACTGGCAGAGGGGTGTTTTCTTGCAGGGCTGGAGTGTCATGTGCTGACATAGCAAATCTGTGGTTCCAATCAAGGGGGTCCGAGGGCCAATGGCTTTTACCAATGGCAGCAGAGCTCATGGTAAGATAGGGGTTCTAGGTTTAGACAGAACTTGGATAGAGTCCCAGCTCTGCCCTGGAGCACCCTGGTTCATGAGTGATGATTGTGGTCCTCAGTCTTCCACAGGATGATGAGTATTGAAGGAGGTAACATCCGGGTACAAAGAAATTAATAATGTTGTTGCCTATTAGTACTGCTCAGGGTGACCCTCACAACACATGGCAAACAGTGAGAATGGTCACCACCATGAGCACAGCTCTGAAGAAAAGTTTTGGATGCTCCCTGCTGGGCCAGCTCTTAACTCTTTAGTTGATGGACTGCCTATCTGGCAGAAGCCATATCAGCAGAGGGGTGGGACACAGGGACCCCTTTCATCTGCACAGAAGTCTTTAAGTATTTTAGCAAGGGGAACAACTGTGTTGGTCCTAACAGGCTGAATATCAGCCTTGGTACTGTGGATTGTTAACTGAGTGACCTACTTTGTAACAGCCCTCTCAGAATGAATAAGATACCTCTGGAGGGCTATAATCCCGGGGGTCTCAGAGTGTAATCTTAGATCCAGCCAGGGGTTCCTGGTGAGACCCTCTGGGTGATTCACACATGCTAAGCACCTTCTGTGTACTAAGCACCACGTTACACACAAAGTGACAAAAGAAGGCAGAAAATGCCACAGCCCCCAGTGAGCTCAAGGTCAAGTAAAAGACAGGCAAGAAAACAGGGAATTGCAAGGTGGAACATCCAGTAAATCAAGAGCATGCAGATGACAAGAGGCGTGGATTCTGCCAGCAGGACTTAGAAACAGCTTCAAAGACAGTTGAGCTTTTTAAAAAATATATTAAATTTTAATTACACCAATTACACCAATTAAATGTCACTGGTTAAAAAAAAATTAAAAGTATATGGATAAACCTAAAGACCCCCACCAGGACTACAATCCCCAACCCCATAGGTAACACAGTTATTAGTCTGATGTGAATCTTTGAGTCTATTGTTTTAAAAAATCGTAATGGTATGTTGTGTGTGTGCGTGTGTGTGAATATTTACATAATCATATCATTATTGTATCTATCAGCATTGAACTTGCATTTTGTTTTTCGCCAATATGCCCAGAGGCTCTCCAGGTGAGTATAATGAATTGCCTGTCTTCTCATCTCCTGCAGAGTAGTTCATTGACAGTGGGTCCATAATTTGTATAGCTGTTCTATTGATGACATTTATATAATTTTGATTGTTCATATTATAAACAGCACTACAGTAAACATCTTGCTCCTGTCTTCTTGTAAATAAGTGTTCAATGCATGAGATATATGAGTATGCATTTGTTGAGTCATTAAATATACAATAACTTTCCTCCTTACCTCCACCCCAAGTAACTGTTTATACACGTATCTTTTCACCAGTTGACTATAGTAATACCAGTGTTTCCATACCCTTGCCAACACATATTATCATTTTCCCCATCTCACAGGTGAAAAAATTTAATGATTTTTTAATAGAACGCATGGGCCTTATATTTTAATTGGTCTTCTCCTGAGTGTATAATGTACACCAGCCATTTATATTTCTTTGGGTTTAGATTTAGAAAAAGATTAAGACTCTACGAGGCAGATAGGTTGCCAGGTAAGAGAAAGCAATGAGGGCAAAAGTAACAAGTGCTTTCAGAGGTCTATAGGTTTGGGGAATGTGTTGTGGGTGAAATATTGGGTACAAAGGGAGAAGGATGTGAATGAGGGAGTGGTGAAACCAGCATTGTAGGGTTCTGGACCACACTAAAGGATCTGCCTCCCATCCTATTGCCAAAGAAGACACATCTGGCATTCTCAGGTTTTAGAGGTTCAAGATGAAGTTTGCACTTCAGAAACATGCCTTTAGCCACCTTGCAGAAGAAAGACTGAATACAAAGCAGTAGCAGAGGGGACAGAGAGACCCAGGACTTATTTCTAAGGTGGAAGTGACAAGGCTTGATAGACTTTTCAAGTATACAGTTTGAAAATGATGGTGTACTGGACAGGCCTTATGCAACTCCTCAGAACTCATTTTCTTTAGTCTTACAGCTGGATGCAGACTAAAATGATAGATAGGTGCAAATAGAAAGGTGCTATTCAAAGTGTGGTTCGTGAACCAGCAATATCAGCATCACTTGGGAACTTTTTAAAATGCAAATTTATTGCTCTACCCCACATCTACTGAATTGGAATTTCTGGTGGTGGGTCGCTTCCAGGTGACTACTTTGCACACTTAAGTTTAGAATCATAGAGGTCCAAGAGTCTTATCCAAGATTCCACATGAGAGGAGTCTGAATCCCTGAGTCACCACCTGGAGGAGAGCCACTCAGGAGAGCCAGCTAAACAGGATCTCTTGCATAAAATTCAGACAAAAACAAAATGTTTGTCTGGTTAAGCCATTGAGATATCTTCTATTTGTTAAAGCAGTTAGACGGGTCTACAATGACCAATACACAGTTCATTTAAATGAAGGTCCAGATTTCTGCTCTCCTAGCAGACATTTTTAAATCCCCACTCTGAGAGGAGAATATGTTTATAATCAATGGCCAGATTTGCATCTTACATGCAGCCACTAGGGAGTAAAACTAGGACTTACGTTTTCAGTCTCTGTGGAGTGAGGAGAGGACCAGGAGACCAATTCCGCTGGCTCATTAAAGGTCTTGAGTGCTGATGACATACTTTTAAAGATGATTCTTTTTCCTAGCTTGGGTCTGACACTCTAGATGCAGAAGTGGCCCAAGTGATTTCTCCACTGGGAGAAAGACCTGAAGAATAAAAACAGGGAAAAAATATTTCTTCTCAAATTCCTGCTTCTCATCCACCACCTTTATCACCTTTAACCTCAGTTCTCCTTGAAGAACAAACACCTGCATCACAACTCACCTTCCACCGAGTATCCTGTATTCCTTTTTCCAGAAAGAGAAAAGAAAAATAACAGCAAACGCTTTGTGTGCTTGCATCGCGCTGTTCCTAGTGTCTCTGTAGGTCACTAGGTTGAGAAAGATTCTGAAGCTCCCTTGTAACGCAGTGGGTGATATGGTTAGGCTTTGTGTTCCCACCCACATCACATCTTGAATTGTAATCCCTTGGTATTGAGGGAGACACCTGGTGGGAGGTGATTGGATTATGGGGGGCAGTTTCTCTCATGTTGTTCTCGTGATAGTGAGGGAATTCTCATGACATCTGATGGTTTTATAGATGGTAGTTTTTCCTGTGCTCACATATGCTCTCTCACCTGCCACCACGTAAGATGTGCCTGCGTCCCCTTTTGTCATGATTGTGTTTTCTAAGACCTCCCCAGCTATGTGGAATTATGAGTCAATCAAACCTCTTTTCTTTATAAATTACCCAGTTGCAGGCAGTTCCTCATAGCAGTGTAAAAATGGACCAATACAGTGGGAGAAGATGCCAATGAATTGTTTCTCATCACAACATACTCCAACCCTGTGCTGGTGAATGCCTTGTTATTTCTGCGAACCTTCTCCTCTGACTCCGCACACTTTCTGCTCTGCCTACATAGTGAAAATTCACTCGGGGGTCTTGAGATTTCCTCTGTGGCTCCTTCAGTGTTGAATCCAGGAGCCTGTCTCTTATATGAATTTCTCACTGGCCTCTCAGAAGGTTGGTGACTTGGGAAGAAATGACACCTTATGCCTTCTATGCACCTCAAGCAGCAGTTCTGGGTTGAAGAGCATCTTTGGATATTGGTGCTGGAATAGGCATGTGTGGTGAGGCCACTCAACCCAATGCCTGTATCCCAGGAGCCAGTCAACCACAGCTGGTTTCCCAAATGTGGCCTACCACCTGTTTTTGTACAGCTCACAAGAATGCTTTCTACATTTAAAAAATAGGAGAACAATTAAAATAACAATATCTAGTGATACATGAGAAGTATTTAGTTAAACACGTAATAAAAAATTATATAAAGTTCAAATTTCAGCGTCTGTAAATGCATTTTACTCATGCACAGCCATGCTCCCTTGTTTATATGGCTGTGGCAGCTTTTCTGTTCCAATGGCAGGGTTGGCCAGTTGAGGTGAAGACTGGGTTGACCTGCAAAGTCTAAAATGTTTCGTATCTGACTTTTTGCAGAAAACTTGTGTCAATCTCTGCTCTATCAAGTTGGGAAACTGGGGGCTTATGGGAACCCTTTCCCATACTGTCAAATAGATTTCCTGGATTGACACATCCTTGGTGTGGCTACTTATTAAATTATTGGGCAGGTTAGGGTAGTTTTGAGGGCTTTCAAATTTGAAAACTGGGTTTTGGGTGGGGTGGTGAGTTGGTCAGATGTCTAACCTAAAGCTCCTGAAACCCACACAGGTGTGAAAGTACATGTTCTGTTGGTGGTGGATTTCACCTTGGGGAGAAGAGCAGAGGGAAGCTTTAATGGAGAGGTCTCTGCTTTTGCAGGTGCCATGTTTTTTAATAAGGGTGTGGGCTGATGAGGCCCAACTCCATCTCAGAGGCATCATGGGAAGGGTGTGGAATCCATCAGACATCAAACAAATGGCTTTGGGTGAGAGCATCTTACAACTGGCACATGCATAATTGCGGGGTTCACCATTCCCGATGGGAGCTCGGAAAATCAAGATGCAGTTCCGAATGGCATTTCCAACCATCCCTGGAAATGGGGGGAAATCAGTTTTATTTATTAATTCCATCTTGCTGGCAACCAATTTGGTGTGAACAGTTATGTTTTTCAGCATGTTTCCACCTTGCAACTCGCAGAGTTAATTTAATGAAATGACTAGTCTTGTGATGACCTGAAGGGGGAAAACACATTAATCTGGAAACTATCAAAGCCGTCTGACATGTATTATTGTAGGACTCAGAAAAAATAAACAGTTTATGTAGAAGATTAAGTGGCAGTGTGGATTTGCTTTTGACATATCTTGTCTCCAAATCTAAGTTGGGAATTTATTATCACGCCATCATGTCACAGCTATCTCATTTATATGATAACACATCTGTAATGTTTTACAAGTGCAGCAGTACTTGTTCAAAATGGGGCTTTTTTAAGTCCTAAATTATAGTACCTGGAGAGGCATGCATAATTATAGTGCGTGTTAGCAAATGAGAGGGTGCATTTTCCACCCGCACTCAGCATTAATCGTCAGCACAGTGGGTGCAATAAAATCATAATTGCTTCTTCCAAACTTCTCATCTGAGCTGCACAGGTTGAAGGCGGTGGTTTGGTGGGGAGATGCCAACACCGTGGTGGGTGGAGGCTTCACTCTCATCTTTCCAGAGAGTCCCTGGATTGTGTGGCTGGAATTAGCTGTGAGTTCAGACAGAGAGCCACACCCCACTGGAGCTACACATTCAGGTTCCCTAATCTTAAGAATATTCTCAAATCAGCACAGGAGAAAAGAGTACAGAATGGTGATTATGGACCCTGTTTTCTGGATGCAGGTTTGGATTCCAGCTCTGCTCTTCAATTTTAGATAAATTATCTCCTTATCTGAATAGCTGTTTTCTCATCTGCAAATGAAAGATGGTAGCTCCTAGCTGAAAGTGTTCTTAAAGCAATTAACAATGCTTATAAAGCACAAAATATACCTGCAATAAGTGGTGGATGTAATTACAACTCTCCTTTTGAACATCATTGTCTAACCTGTGCTGTCCAATAGGGCCATCACTGGCCACATGCGGCTAGAGAGCACTTGAAATGTGGACAGTCTCAATTGAAAAAAGCTGTAAATACAAAACACCTACTGAGTTTTGCGGGTTTAATGTCGGAAAAGAATGTAAAATAACTCAATAATTTTTTCTGTTGGTTACATTTTGAAGCAGTAATATTTTGGCAATATTGGCTTAATTATATTAAAATAAACATTACCTATTTCTACTTTAATTTTTTTATTTGTGGCCACTAAAACATTTAAAATGATGTAAAAACCTCACATTTTATTTTTATTAGATAGTGCTGGTCTAAACAAATGAACACTGGCCAAAACATTATGTGAGTATTTGATTAGAGTTGCAACTCATGTTTCTTTTTATTATTATTAATATCATAATTGATTTACTCTTACCTTACTCTGGAAAAAAAAATATTGCAGATACATTTGTAGAGAAAATAGAGAAGAGCTAATGATTGCTGTGAGCCACCTAATTTAACTGCTAGCTCCCTGGCAGCTAAGGCAAAGAAAGAAAATGTGGATCATATGGATGTCTTTTTAGAAGGCATAGGATTCATTTGGAAAGCACAGCTTTCTCCTAGCACTGAATTCTCAACAGGCTATTTCCTGGAGCAATCCTGAAATTGCATATACACCTGCACCTTTCCATCCTCTCCAAACAAGGCTTTTATGAAGTCAGAATGCTGTGAGTCATGCAAAGTCAGTGATGATAAATACACGCCCCTTCATTTATGTAAAGTATCTCATTTGATCCTCAAAGCAGCCCTGCAGGATGGGCCGTGCAAGGACTATTGTTTCTTTCTTATGTATGACAAATCTGAAGATCGGGGGGATGTCAGGGACTTGCTCAAGTTTTTGTAGCCAGTAAGTAGCAAGGCCAAGACTCAAACCCTCATTGTCCAAAGTGGAAACTCCCTATGCTTTTGGCAATCTTGTACACGTTAGCGTGAAAGACACTCATGAGAGAAGGCAGAGAGCATCAGGCCCCTTGCCAATAAAGGGGACACAAAGGCAACTAGGAGGCTGATAGCTCCAGAGACGAAACTCTGTTTAACCAAATAGAAGGAATAGATACTTCAACGCACATTCCACAATTGACACGCCTAACTCAAAATATGTCCTATCTGGGTCTCCAGGGATGACTGGTCTTCAGGCATATTAGCTCGCTTACCTCTAAGAGTAGTTCTCCTAGAAACCTAATGCACATGTCAGTCACCTGGGACCTTGTCACAATGCAGGTTTTCAGTGAGAGGCATGCGGAGGGCCTGGGTGCTATCATTTCTCCCAGCTCCCAGGTAATGCCTAGTCTGTTGGTCTGAGGTTTGAGTAGTGAGGTCTACTACATTTGTTCTCTGTTTTTCTCCCAAACTGCCTCAACCATAGACTTTTATACAAACAGGAAGGTACTGATTCTCAAACTTGGCTATACACGGAAACCTCCCTAGGGGCTTTTCACCAACACTGATGCCTGAGACCTACCCTAGACCAATTAAATCACAGTGTCTGGAAGTGGGGCTCTGAGGTTGGTAAATTTTCACCTCTCCCCGGGTATTCTAATATGCGTCTGTGCTAGAAGCTTAACGTTTGAGACTGACGGGATCATACAGCTTATTTTCCTCTGCGTAAGAACTACCTGAGACTATCCGAAATGACACATCCTGGTCATTCATTCTTAAATTAAACTATTGAGGTCAGTGGTGTGCAAGGCACTAGATGCAGCCTGGAAGGTCCAGGCCTTCTTCTCAGTGTGTTTATTCTACTGGGTTAAATTGCTGCTGCAGGTATTTCTGAGAAGAGCAACAGGACCATTTTAGATAGTAAGTGCCGTGAGATAAATATAATGGAAATGGGATAGATTCATTGGTGGAGGTTGATGGTGGGGATTTAGATGGGGTAACCAACTTTCAGGGAGAGTTGAGAGAGAAGGGAATGATCCCATTGAAAAAAGGGGGGAAGGAGATTTTGGTAGAAGGAACCCCCAAGCTCACAGGTGGAGCCAGCTAGAAGGAGACCAAAATTGGGAACTCAGCTGTTTTCAACCCAGGCCAGCAGCTTTTAGAAACACTGGTAGAGAATTGTAAAAATCTAGATTCCCATGTCCCACCTTCATTTCAGTTCACCAGAATTCACAGAGTAGGGGCTGGGTATCGTCATGTAGATGTTAAAATCAACTTGGGTGATTCTGATTTAGCCTCTAGACTAAGGAGCCCCAATGTAGACACTAAAAAGCACAAACTTGAGCCAGAAATCAAAGGTGTGTTGACAGCCCTTCCCTTCAATAAGCGAATAGCTCACCCATCTTCGTTGAACTACAGACAGAGTAGTGTAAACAGCCTCTAGAATTCCCACATCACTTCCTTTCTTTTCCTTTTCAATAAACAGCTGGTGAATATGACATTAATTTAACTGTAATGACTGCTTTTAATTTTCATTTTAAATCTATAGTTACTATATATTGGGTTGCTGGCTGGTGCCAACTGCCCTGGCCACATGTCTGGTTTTCATTTAGTCTGAGTTCCTTTAGGGTAGTCGTCTTCAGAGGCCTGGTTTAATGCATAACCCTAATTGCAATGTGGAATTAAGCTGCTGCTGACTGTAGCATTTTCAGTTTCAAAATCAAGAAAAGTATCTCCTACGAGGGGGAAAGAAAGGCCTGTCAGGGTTCCACTCCCTCACCAGGGCCTTATCTTTGTACATTTTTTACTTTCAACGTTTTTTTAATTGAGTGCATAATATTGCTATAAAATAGCCGTTTAGATAATGTGGTCAGCCTGCTGGCTTATGGATGTGTCTTCTCGGTTTCAAAATGTCCCCTTCTCCTCCTCCTACTCTGACATGGGCCTGGTTTCCCATTAAAAATGCTGGCAGCTTGAAAGTGAGGACGGAAATGCAGGCTGAGCTCCTTCTCCCAAGTTATGCTTGGTACTGAGTCTTTCCTGGAGCCCTCACAGTCTTGGAGGGAAGTGAAGTTGTCAGCTGATAATCATTTCCAACAATTGTTGGCCAGAGAGCCACTAAGTAAAGGATTAAATGTCATATTTTCATATTAAATATATAAGAAAAAAAGAAGGATTTTCTCCAAGATGGTAAATACCTTTCAGTGAACCAAGATAGGGACATGAGGTTGAAAATTTGCCCATGTTCTATTCTAGTTCATGGAAAAATATGGATAAAAGGAGGTCCCCGATGGAGGTTGAGCAGTGGATGGAAAGGCAGCTAAGCTGGACATGGTTATGTGGGGTGGGGAGGGGAAAGACAAACCAGAGGCCGTCTCCACGCCCAGCCCTCTGCGGGATGCCTAATCCTCACTGCATAAATATTTGCTGAATGAAAGTCAGTTGTTAACATAGATATGTTGATTTTCTTTCCAAATAGTTTCTGTTGGCTCCCTCTTTGATTTGTTTTTTCTTGCACAGATTCAACGTGCTATTGAGTAGTTGCTGTCCTGGGTTTTGGGGGCCATGGGAGCCCTGCAGACAGCACATGAACCAGGCAGCCCTGTCCACACCCCTCGTGGGCCTCCCAGTGTGGCGATAAAGAAGGAAGAGGCTGGGCACGGTGGCTCATACCTGTAATTCCAGCACTTTGGGAGGCCGAAGACGGTGGATCACGAGGTCAGAGATTCGAGACCAGCCTGGCCAGCATGGTGAAACCCTGTCTGTACTAAGAATACAAAAAATTAGCCAGGTGTCGTGGCGCATACCTGTAACCCCAGCTACTCGGGAGGCTGAAGCAGGAGAATTGCTTGAACCCAGGAGGCGGAGGTTACAGTGAATCAAAATTGCGCCACTACACTCCAGCCTGGGTAACAAAGTGAGACTCAAAATAAATAAATAAATAAATAAAAAGGAGGAGGAAAGCATTCAATGAGCAGTACATGTCATGAGTGGTTTTGTAAGGAGTGAGTGATGCTGTGGGCACCAGCATGTGTCTGATCCAGACTGAAGGGGACAGAAAGGCTGACATTTACTCAGAAGTCTTTGAATCTGAGAACCCTAGGGTGGGTGAGACTTGATCTTTGATCAGGGACCCTTTGTTTCTCACTGGAGCTACACAAGCAGCCACCCAACTGCTCAATTTGCCAGTCAAGGGTGATTCTCCCTACTCTGTGGCCATCATTGCTTTACATTAAGTCCACCCCTGGTTGCTCCACCTGACAGACTTCTTTGTCAGGCTGTGCTGTGCCCCTGGGATATTAGGGATGCACACTGGCCATCAGGGTCACGTATTACAACTCCATCGCTCCCGGGCACCCTACGGCTCCTATTTTCCCAGGACTTTCTGCTCCTTCCAAGTTCCCCCAGTGCCTCCCTGAATGCCCTTGCATGAAGACTTCTCCTCCTAGTCTTCCCAGCTCCTCCTTGGCCTCCCTGTTCCTCCCTCTCCAATAATTTCCAATATTATGACTCCATCCTATTGCACCATCCTCTTTTCTTCAATTCCTTCTTGTCATTCTTCCCCAATACTCTCCCCAGGACACCCATCCCTTCTAGTTCTCTTAGCTGCTCCCATTTGCCTTAGCCCCCCATGACTTCTCAGAGACTGTCAATGTTACATAATTGCTCATTGAAAATAAAAGTGTTATGTTCACATAAAAATGAGTAAACTATAAAGCAAAGTATGAATTAAGGTTATTTTTGTTTTTGTTGTATTACATTGATGAATGCCAGAAACCAACTTGAGCCTTTTAGGCAAAACAAAGTAAATTTATTTGAAGGATCAGGGTTACCTCCTGATACCCAAAGAAGGCTTAAGTTTGGACTTCATATTTTAGGCAATGGGAAAATCACCCAAGATTTATAAGCAGAATGGTGTGATCAGATGTGGGCTTAGAAAGACCATCTGGGCCGGGCGCGGTGGCTCACGCCTGTAATCCCAGCACTTTGGGAGGCTGAGGCGGGTGGATCATGAGGTCAGGAGATCGAGACCATCCTGGCTAACAAGGTGAAACCCCGTCTCTACTAAAAATACAAAAAATTAGCCGGGCGCGGTGGCGGGCGCCTGTAGTCCCAGCTACTCGGGAGGCTGAGGCAGGAGAATGACATGAACCCGGGAAGCGGAGCTTGCAGTGAGCCGAGATTGCGCCACTGCAGTCCGCAGTCCGGCCTGGGCGACAGAGCGAGACTCCGTCTCAAAAAAAAAAAAAACAAAAAAAACAAAAAAACAAAAAACAGAAAGACCATCTGGCTCCATTGTGAGCCTGGGTTAGGAGGCACCAGATAACAGGAAGGAGGGAGTCAGGAGCCTCTTGTCCAAGTGACAGAGTGATGGGGACTTGAGCTATGGAATTTACATTGGCACCAGGGGCAGGTGGATGCAAGAGAGACTGAAGAAGTCTTCGATGAGACATGAAAGGAGGGGTAAGAAGTTAGTCAGGAGGACACCATGGATTCTGGCTTGGACCACAAGGTGGAGGATGGATCATGGATGGAAATAGCAGGTTTTTAGAGAAAACTGATGAGTATTATATTGTTTGACACACAATGAGCTTGCAAGGCCTAGGAACTAGAGAGGAAAGAATCCTTCAAGTCACTGGCATCTTATAATAAGGATGTCACTTGTCAGGGAGGATTGTCCTTATGAAGTCAAACTCAAAACTCCTTTGTTAACCTCGTGTGTCCAGCCATGTGGTACCTGCCATGAAGAACACCAAAGACGAAAGGGCCTAGCCCCTGCCAAAACCATCAGAAGTGGTTGACCAACACAGATTTGACTTGGCATCCTGCTTGGGGACATGAGTTGGAGGTTGATGTAAGATCATCATATGGGGAACTCCCTTCTGGTGCAATTGAGATCACTGAAGATGACCTTGAGTCTATGACAGTTTCTTTTCATGTAGACCCATGGAAGAAATGTCTCTCTGACCTCAATATCCGGAAATTCTGTGCTTTTCCTAGTTTGATATATCTTATGAGCAATGCAAACTTTGTAACTGAAGATGTATGCTTGCCTTGAAAGCTAGCTACCTCTGAGTCACATTTGCACTCCACTTCTAGAATTTGCACAGGATGATAGAATTCACAGTTTCTATGCTAATATTACCCTGATCTTATTTCTCTACTCTTATTTTCTCATTCGAACCAATTCCTTCTTTTTATTTTTTGTGTGTTTATTTTTCAAAACCATCTCAAGTCCACCAGGCAATAAAAGAAACAAGGGAGAGAGGAAGGAACTTTCTTTTCTGTTAAGAAGAACTAGTTTAGTCTACAAGCAAATTTAGTGTAAGTGAAATAATTTGAAAAAATACAAAGCAACTTAAAGTGGGACAGTGTAATCAGAGTTGAAAGAAAGGAGAAATTGTGGGGGGAATGCTGAGCTTTTTTAAAAGTAGGGTTTTCATTGGGGGATGACTCTAAATAGTTGAGTTTTTTTTTTAAAAAGAAAGCAGAGCAGGAGCAAGTCTTTTGAGTTTCTCCAAATCCTGGACATCTGACACCGAGCCAATGCTTATATTAGCTAAAAAGGCTTGGCCCCTGTTCAGTCTGATCAAAAATGAATTAAGTGGATGCTTATAAACGGGGTTTAAAAGAGGACACACACACCACACACACAGACACACACACATCCCACGAGTAAAAATAATAATTATAGGCTTTTAATAGATGCTAATTTAGTGATAACAACTTTACATAGTTAGAGTTGTTTATGCCAAGATCTAACAGTAGCTGACTTGGGTTTTTACCCATGAACCACGAAGCCAAGTGGCATGTTCACTTGCTATCTCATGGCGCTCCACTCCTCCACGTCCACCACACCCATCTAACAACTCCAACCAGTTGCTTTGCTGTTGGCTTGATGCAGGCTTGGCTCAGGTGAACCCCCGTTGCTGGGACCTGACCTGCATTGCTAAGCGTCACCTCCCAGTCTTTCACTATTCACCGGGTTGTGTTTTTTACTTGTCTGCGAAGGGAACATTAAACACCTATGATGAACATTCAGTTAGTTGGGGTCCAGATTTTCCTTTTCTCATTTCCTTCCCTCTGCTAAAACCTTAGCCCATTTTATTTCCAGATAGGTGAAAAAAAATTATCTCTGGAAAGGACCTATTAGAAATAGTTAGGACAAAGGAGGAAGTAAAATTCCAGTCAATGATCCTACTAGAAACTTGAGCAAGGGAAACAGCACTCTGTGCACTGGGCAGCCCCTTGCTTCACCTAAGCTAGAATTGTCCACAACCTATGATTGTGCAGATACAGAGACACACTATTTGAAGGCTTGGGTTTTAGTTCAATGGATCTGTGTCCCAAATCCAGCTTCCTTATTTTCTAATTATGTGACATAAGGCAAGCTCACTTCAAGCTTCTGAGTTCAGTATCCTCGTTTGTAAAAGAATGAGAATGTTTTTAATAACTGCATTGTCGTATTATTATGAAGATTTGATGTCATGGTGAATACAATTAAAGTTCTATGACAGTGCCTGTTACATGGAAGCTCCTCAATTAATCACAGCAAATATTTCTCTATGATGCACCAGATACTCTGCTCAGCAACTTCCGTGGGATGTTTGTTTTATTATTACTTTTATTAGAATCTCCCCCGAGTGAGCTCTAAGAGGAATATCCCAAGGCAACAGTAACTGCTCAATAAATATATGTTAAATGAACGACCAGTTTTATTTAATGCTCAAAAGAACTCCAATAAATTTAGTACTATAAGTATCCTCATTTGTCTGTTGGGGAAACTGACGCACAGATAGTCAAATAACTTGTGCAATACTGTGCATGGCTGGACAACGTCAGCATAAGGATTTAAATGAAGGCCTCCTGGAGCCTCCAGCCTTACCCACTGCAATCTACCAGCTCTGTAAATATTTTTATGGCAGAAGAAGCAATCCCGATGGCCTTCTCCAGTCTTCCTTCCTACTCTGCCAAATGTTGGCGTTCACACTATCCCTGGGGGAAGCCCTTCTCCAGGCCTAGCCATCAATAAGACAGTGCCTGGATTTAGAGCCTGTGGGTGTATGCTGGGGACATAAAACAGCACACGCTACATGAAGTCCTAGGAACGATTCGTTTGACACCAAAGCCATGCAGGGGAGGAAGCTGTGAGCCTATTGGCGGGCCCCGGCTTGCTTCTGCGAGTTGTTTGTGAGACAGTGTCTGGCCTCCATCCATGACATGTTCACCGGAGGCTCTACGCCAAGACTGGAAAGGGGGAAAAAAAAAAAAAAAGCCTCTTCCTGACACTGTGGTCTTGCACCCTTTGGGCTTTGCAAGAGGCTGAGTAGAATGAAGTGCTGAAAAATGCAGGCCGGAGATGGTGAGGGCAGAGGCAGGAAAGAAAGAAAATAAAACAGAGATGGTTTGGGGCTTGTGATCCCCCTGCTGCTACTTTCCCTCTATGCTCAGATCCCTGGCAATCTTTGCTGTTGTTGTTCTCTTTTTCTTTTTCTCTTTCTTGCCTTCTCTCTCCAGCTTTATTTCATTCTTTCTTGCCTATTTTTTACTTTTCGTCTTTCTTTTTCCCTTTCTTGCCTTCATTTTCTTTCTCTTTAAAAATTTTTTTTTCTCTTTTGCTATCTCTCCCCTTCTTTGCTTGTCTCTTTTTGTCTTTCTCTCTGTGTCTCTTTCTCTGTCTCTTTTTCGCCATGTTTCCTTCCCGCTTTTTAAATTTTTTTTTCCCCTTGAAAAATTCAGAACTTTTCTCAAAGTCCTTGCAGTCTAGGGGGACAATTAGAAAAAGAAGAAGACAACTACCGAGAGACTGAGGCCCCCTGTAACAGTGCAGGTTCCAGCAAGAAGCAGCTGTTTGATGATTCTGTCCTGCACAATTGGCTGGAGTCCTCACCTGAGCTTTGCTGTTTATTCTTTGTAAGAGATTGAACATTTAACATGCTTAGACTTACACTTTCCTTTATGTCTTTTCGTGATCCCTTTTCCTTTTGGTACCTGCATTCTAGGTTCATGAAAACGAAGTGAGACCAATTCCTTCACCATCATTCTCTTCCCAAACATAGCAGACATTAGGTGTAACTCATTCAGTTTTATGTCCTGGCCAACCAGTTCTACTCTGAGAGGGAGGCACAAGAATATGGGAGGAAAGTATCCCTGAATACACCATCCATTCACTCACATATTCCCTCCACAAATACGGATTGAGCTCATACTCTCTTCCAGGCATTATTCTAGAAACGGGAGATACAGCAGTGAACAAGGCACAGAAACCCTTGCTCTCAGAGCTTCCGCTGCTCTTACAAAAGAAGCTAAATCTGCATGTGATGGCGAGAGACATATTGGACAGCTGAAAAAGCAGCCTCTTATCTCACTGAGGTTCAAATAGCGAAGGACAATGAGGCTTTCGGTCTGGTGTGCTGGAGAAATGTAGTTTGCTATAATTCAGGGTGGTTGCCTCTAGGTTTGCAAAAAGAGCATTGTCTCGGTTCTCCCCATCTGCAGCCAAACTGTTTTCTGTCTTTTAGCAGGGTCCTGTGTTCTCTTAGTAGCATTAGGAAATGATGCTCCCTAATCAGACAACTGACACTGACTAAGGTCAGCTGAGTTCTTAGCTCCAGGTGACATGCCTGGAATGCACGTTCCCTTTTTTTTTGGGACAGAGTCTCACTCTGTCACCCAGGCTGGAGTGCAGTGGCACCATCTCAGCTCGCAGTAACCTCTACCTCCCAGGTTCAAGTGATTCTCCTGCCTCAACCTCCCGAGTAGCTGGGATTACAGGTGCCCACGACCATGCCTAGCTAATTTTTATATTTTTAATAGACACGGAGGTTTCACCATGTTGGCCAGGCTAGTCTTGAACACCTGACCTCAGGTGATCCACCAGCCTTGGCCTCCCAAAGTGCTGGGATTACCGGCATGAGCCACCGTGCCCAGCCCCTTCCCAGCTCTTATAGTCACCATATGAAAGTGACACTTTAGTTCATTTTACAGATGAAGAAACTGATGACGCTCACAGTTGGAGCCCTTCTCACTGCATTCTCACATTCAGAAGCTTCTAGGGAATGCCCAGTCTTGCTTCATTTTTCTCAAAAAAAAAACCTTGGCTGTCCTGTGACATTCCAGAAATAGCAAGACCTCATATTTTTAAAAGCCAATACATTTTAAAACTTGAATTTATGTTGGAAATACTTGAGGTTCTTGAAAATATATGAAAACCCGGTGCCCTGTTTCCTAGACCTGGAATAGGACCCTGAGTCTGATACAGAGATCTTACTTTGAGACAAGCTGGTATGCAGCCTCATTTGCTCCCCAACTTCACAAGGTACAATTGACAAAGATTGTATATAGTTGGGCTGGGCACAGTGGCTCACTCCTGTAAGCCCAGCACTTTGGGATGCCAAGGCAGGCAGACTGTGTGAGCCCAGGAGTTCTAGACCAGCGTGGGCAAGATGGCAAAACCCTGCGTATAAAAAAAAATTTAAAAATTAGCCTTGGGTGGTGGCACATGCCTGTACTCTCAGCTACTCAGGAGGCTGAGGTGGGAGGATCACTTCAGCCTGGGAAGCTGAGGCTTCAGTGAGTCACGACTGTGCCACTACACTCCAGCCTGGCTGACAAAGTGAAAACCTGTCTCAAAAAAAGTATATAGTTAAGGAGTACAATGTGATGTTTTGATATACCTATATATTAGAAAATGATTATCACAATCAGGGTGAAGCTAATTAACCTATCACCTCACACAGTTACCTCTTTTGGTGTGGTGATGACATTTAAGATCTATTCCCTTAGCAAATTTCAACTCTACAGTACAATATTACTGACAGTTGTAGGAGGTCAGGTCCCTGCATGGCCTTGACTGCCCCAGCTCTCCCTCCTTCTGCTTGCAGTTCACAAAATAACTGTAGAATGTATCGAGAAAATGCAACCTCCTGAGATGTTAAGGAAGTGTCCAGAACAATCCGGTCTTTCTACCTTCCTTTGAGAACAGGGGATTCTGCAATGCTTGAACACAGCAAGCCAAGTGGTACACAGGGTGTAGAACCTGGAGTGAAATGCTTTCAGGGTCCCTCAGCTGCAGTGGGCCCAAGCAGACTAGAGTCCATCTGTCCTGGGCTGCTTTCTTGAACCTTGAGGGAGTGGCTCGCCATTGAGCCTAGGCTCCCGTTTATCTTTCCTGCCTATGTGCTATACCTTTGCTTTTCCTGACTTCTTGTGCAAGTGTTCTGTCTCACCAGACCAGACCTAAGAAGAACTTTTGCAGCCATCGTTACCATGCTGTGCATTAGATCTTCAGGACATATTAATCCTGCCTTGCAAAAACTTTGTTTTCTCATTTTACCCATCCTCAGATCCTGGCAATCACCATTCTATTCTCTGCTTCTATGAGTTCAATTTTCAAAGATTTCACATATAAGTGAGATCATGCAGTATTTATTGTTCTGTGCCTGGCCTATTTCATTTAGCATAATAGCCGGTGAATTGATCCACATTGTTGCAAATGGCAGGTTTTTCTTCTTTTTAATTCCATTGTAGATATATACAAAACATTTTCTTTATCCATTTATCCATTGATAAATGACACTTAGACTGACTTCATATCTTGCCCATTGTGAAGAGGACAGCCTCCACAACAAAGAATTATCTGGCCCTGAATCTCAACAGTGCTGAGGTTGAGAAACTCTGGTTTGTATCAAGGGGAAATCTCTCCAATTTAGGTGTTAGAGAAATATCTCTGGCAATGCTGTGATAGACTGAGAGAGAGTGAGACTGAAGGCTGAGAGGCAAGTGGTAGAAGCCAACTGTGAATATCTGGCAGATCTTTCCTTGATTGAATTAACACAGTTCTGATATTTAAGGCCTTCGTGCAAAGGCGCTGTTTGGATATCAGGGTCTTTTTCATGGAGAAAAAACAGCATTTAGGATAATGATGGTCTGTATTAGTATCTAGAGCCAAGTTACACATCTATCTTTTTGTCAGTTGTTTATTGAATACCTGCACTGTGTTGGGACCCGAAGACACCATGAGAAACAGCTATGGCCTACCTTCATTGAGCTTACAGTCTAGCCTGGTAGGTCAGGGTGATTTTTCCAGTATAGGATCTGTCAGAGCAAATGCATTTGGAGGTACAAGTGATCCACTGAGAAGTGCTGAAATAGCCTGAATTAAAGCTTGAATCTGGGCTGCCAAAAAGAGCCTTTGGCTCAGCACCACATTATTCTAATACTTGGGGTGAATAACGCACCATATCAAAGAGCCCTATCCAATTTAAGAACCATCTTATACTATTGTGCAACCCAGTTATAACTATAAGGTCTCCCAGTAGGATAAAAAGATAGGTAGGTTACCAAGTCTTGATTATATCAAAAGAAGGTAAGACATTGCAGTGGCTGGTAAATTTTTCCTTTGGGGAAAAAACACACACTGGAGCCTGTCAGAGGGCTGGGGAGGGGGAGAGCATCAGGATAAATAGCTGATGGATGCAAGGCTTAATTCCAAGGTGATGGCTTGATAGCTGCAGCAAACCATCATGGCACACATTTACCTATGTAACAAACCTGCATATCCTGCACATGTATTCTGGAACTTAAAATTAAAAAAAAAAACAAGCAAATAAATAAAGTGTTGTCAGCATTCATCAAAAAAAGGCAGGAAAAATAACGACTGTTTCTTATGTACCTACTATGAGTCAAGTACTGAGCTAGTTACTTCACATATAATATCGAATGTAATACCACATAACTAGTACTTACATGTGGCAGATGTCTATTTAATGTTTACACCAGTCCTGTGTGATAGCTGCTACTAGTGGACCATTTTACAAATCAGGACTCTTAAGGAATGTCGTGAAAGAGGTATAAAAAAGAGCTGGGTCCTAGCACTTTGGGAGGCCAAGGCAGGTGGATCACCTGAGGTCAGGAGTTCAAGACCAGCGTGCCCAACATGAAGAAACCCCATCTCTACTAAAAATACAAAAAGTAGCTAGGGGTAGTGGCGGCCATCTGTAATCCCAGCTACTCGGGAGGCTGAGGCAGGAGAATCACTTGAACCTGGGCGGCCAAGTTTACAGTGAGCCGATGTAGTGCCAGTGCACTCCAGCTTGGGCAACAGACAGAGACTCCGTCTCAAAACAAAACAAAAAATGAACAAAAAAGAGCTGGGGACCTGTGGTGTGGGCTGCACGTAGTGACTTCCAAAGAGTACAGTGTTGAAAGAGGGAAAAAGAGTAACTTTACAGAGGAGAAGCATAACAAACACCACCAGTCAGGTGGTCAAATTTAACATCAAGGTTAGTTTATAGCATATACTTCTGATACCATCTAATAAAAATGGCACTTTTCCCTATGGTCTTCCTTCCCAAAATCCATAACTCCAGTCTAGTCATGAGAAAAACATCAGATAAATCCCACTTAAGGGAAATTCGGCAAAATCCCTGATTAGTCCTTCTCAAAACTGCCAAGGTATTCAGAAACAAGGAATATCTAAGAAAATGTCACACCCAGGAGAAGCCTAAGGAGGCGTGACAACTAAATGTAAAGTGAGATCCCAACAGGACCCTGACAGGAAAAAGGGACTCAGGTAAAAGTTAAGGAAATCTGAATTAACTATGGACTTCATTTAATAACATGCCGATGCTGATTCATTAATTCTAACAAATGTATGGGATGAATACAAGATGTTAAAAATAGGGGAAACTGGTTGTGAGGTTTATAAGAACTCTCCGTACTACCTTCATATTTGTTTTCTATAAATTTGAAATTACTCTAAAATTTTAAAAAATTAGATAGAGTTGGAAGCATGGCTTTGTACTTGGATGGAAGAGCCAAAGATAACTTAAGGGAAGAGGTGATGTTTAAGATGGGCCTTGATATAAGAATGACACAATGGACTTTGGGGACTCAGGGGGAAAGGATGGGAAGTGGGTGAGGGGTAAAATACTACAAATTGGGTGCAGTATATACTGCTCAGGTGATGGGTGCACCAAAATCTCAAAATTACCACTAAAGAACTCACTCATGTAACCCAATACCACCTGTTCCCCAAAAACTGATGGAGATTAAAAAAAAATAGGGGTTGATGGGTGCAACAAACCACTATGGCACACGTACACCTATGTAACAAAATTGCACCTTCTGCACGTGTACGCCAGAACTTAAAGTATATAAGAAAAAAGAAATAGGAATAGAAATAACAAGGATAGTCCCACTTCATTTCCTTGGTGAAAAGGAGATAATTAAATCTGATTGTGGTCATCTCTGTTCGGCAATCAGAATAATCCTCTAATCCCCTGATTTAGGTATTTTTCTGAGTGCAGTAGTTATCAACACATCCTAAAGAAATTAAAAGGTCTGTTTCAAATAAAAATTCCTCTGTCAAGAGAACTCTAAATATACTTCTCTTTATGAATTATATTTTTACTATGTTTACAAAAGTGGGCATTTTGTTTCTTTAGAACACCTTTTTATTATACATCTCTTGATGAATAAAATAATGCAATAGCAGGGGTTTCATTTTCAGTAAAGTTGAGAAGTCAAACTATATTTCATAAAGCCTGAAAACATAATTTGTTTTCCATTTAATACCCATATCTGCAAATGTTGACCACTAGAAACACAGGATTCCTTATTACAGTTTTTGTAATTCTAATGCCAAAGGCCAACCAAATCAAGGTCTCGAATATTTGTGCTTAATTTCAACTTTCCTTTAGCTGTTGTATACAATGTTTTCCTTTCTACATAAGTGGAAAGGGTCTAAACTTCTGAAGTCAGCTCTTTTATATTCACAATGAGTTTCAAGCAGGAGAAATAATCTTGGAGAGAATTTACCTACATCTAATTTTAAAGTATGTATTTTAAAATGTATTTGCCAATCTTTATAGGAATAGGGCAGTGCAGAGAGGAACAAGCTTCATAGAAAATCACAACTTACCAAGCCTGTTAATGAAGACCGGCTTCAGGAAAAGATACCTTGCTGATATGCAGGGTCGTTTCTTCTCGAGGGCAACAGATCTTTCACATTGCGTCCCCCTTTTGCCACAACATATTGTTTTGCACATAGTAGACACTCAACGAATTTGTTTTTAATTGAATTTAACTCTTTCCTCAAAGTTCACGTTTATACCCAAAAGTAAACTAACAGCAGAAGTTGTTGTCCCTCTCAGACAACCTTGTGGGTTGATATGCTCACCTCCCAACTGCTGAAATTGCTCTAGCTAACAGCTTATACCTGTGACCATCGCTAGAGCACTGTCTCAGCTGGAGATGCCTGGAAGAATCAGATCACGGTTATCGCCGTGCCACGCCTACCTCTGAGGATGGCCAATGATTGGCTAACACAGAGCACAGAGCAGGTTTTTCTTGCCTTGAGACAGGACAGCTCCAGGTGGAACCACTTATACTCCAGAGCCCTCCACGTGAAATCAGGCCAAGCCTGAATGTTTTCCAAGACCATATTATCGCTCAACTCCTCCTTTTTGCCAATTCTGCTTCCTTCGCTCCCTTTCAGATTTTTCCTGAGGAGCGTTTCCTCATTAACTAACATATACCCCAATCCCTGCCTCAGGTTCTTCTTTTAAGGAATATAATCTAAAACGCACACTCTCTCCCCTACCCCCCCAAAAAAATAATTTAAAAAAAATGGGCCTTGAAGTGTGGGTGATATTAAACGAGCTAAGATAGGTAAGGAGAAGCATATGGATATGCGTGGGATTGGAAATATTCAGCTAGTGCATGGAGACGGGGTAAAAATCAGGATCAAACTGAATAGCTCTAAATGATCTTAAAAAACGTTCATAGTTTACAGGGGGAAAAGTAGGGTTATAGAAAATAAAGGTAGACTACTGTGTGACTGGGATATATTCAATTGCAAGTGAGAAGACTGGAGTGGTTCATTGACTCCACGACATCATCAAAGACTCAGTCTTGATTTCAAGTCTCTGCTCTGCCATCCATCTACTACTATTGGCTTTTCCTTCAGGTATTTACCTCATGGTTACAAGACAGCTGCCATAGCTCTGGGCATCACCTCCTTACTGCAAAGGCAGAAAAGGGGTAAGGAAAAAAGTCTAATTTTATCAGGAAGACCAAAACCTCCCCAGAAGTTCCCCAGAAGACTTTATTATATCACACTGGCAAGAATAAGAACCTATGGCCACCCTGGACTACAAAAGAAAGCTAGTTTTTAACAAAGGGTAATCGGATTATGTTCTGGGCTTGGATGACTCACCATTTGTCTCCTGCAATTGGGCACATTGCTACTTAAGAAAATAGCAGAAGTTCTGTTAGCAAAAGAAAAGGAGAAATGGCTCTTTAGTAGGCATCTAACTAAAAGTATCATAGATACAACACTACATGTATGTGACTAGGTTTTATTTTTATAGCATATAAAACATACGTATTGTGTATTATATACTATATATTATATATAATGTTATTAGGGCCAGGTGCAGTGGGTCACGCCTATAATCCCAGCACTTTGGCAGGCTGACGCAGGTGGATCGCTTGAGGTCAGGAGTTAGGGACCAGCTTGGACAACATGGTGAATCCCCGTCTCTACAAAAAATACAAAAATTAACTGGGCATGATGGTGCATGTCTGTGGTCCCAGCTACTCAGGAGCTGAGGCAGGAGGATCGCTTGAGACCAGGAGGCAGTGGTTGCAGTGAGCCAAGATGGTACCACTGCACTCCAGCCTGGGCAACAGAGTGAGACTGCCTCAAAAAATATGTATTATTAGTATATATACAGTATATATGTGTTTAGACAGAAGGAAAAGAGAGAGTGAGAAACAAAGAAGTGAACCGTGTGGATTTTCCAGTTTTTATCAGTCATATATATTTTATTCTATGATAAATGTTATGAACGAGAAATAATGCTTAACTGTTGAGAATACATTAAAGTGATGGTTAAGACAGTGATCTTTATTTTTTCAGTTTTTATAATTTCCTGTTATGAGTCTCTGTCTTTTATCATTTAAATTTAATTTTAGGGAAGAACACAAGGGGTAGTCGCAGGCATGATAGGAGCTGTTGTAAGTGAAAAAGAGAGAACTCAGGTTGATTTCCCATGCTTTGTGAAAAGGAGCTGATCATAATATAAGGAAAATAAGCACCTAAAATAAGATGAGGATGGTAAAGACAGAAAAGAGTAGAGAGGTGTGGGGCGATGTCAGGAAAGGGGAAACTTTTGTTTCAAATGATGTACAGTGTACGAAATCTATATAAAATACCATTCTGAGGAGCCCTGGGTATGTGACCCAGTGAGGTGCTTGATAAGGGACCTTCAACCACCACAAAGACAACATACAGACTTGGGAAGAGAAGTCTAATGGCAGAAGTGGAGTGAGCTCAGGAAAGCTTTCTTTTTTCTTTATTTCTTGCAGGTGTCAGGGAACATGTGGAATCAATATCTATTTTGAACTCATTAATCTTACAACAAGAATTAGTTCCAGAACTTTTTTTTCCATTTCTTACTAGCAGTATGACATTGGGAAACCTACTTGACCTCACTGTATGACACCTCCCTATCTGTAAAGCGGAGATCATGATACTACCATCTTGTATGGTCAGTGAGGCTTAAGTAAGTGAGTTAATTCCCGTAAAGTGCATAGAACAGTACCTGGCAGTTAGCAACCCCTTAATAAATGTTGTTGTTGATGATGATGTTAATAATTGTATTTTTCCTTAAAAATAAGATTCAATTTTTGTGCTTTATTTGCATATCACACAACGTTTGGCAAAATCTTGGAGACATAACAGCAATTCAATAAAAACATATTAACTGTTTAAGTGCTTCACTATTTCTACCGTTTTCAATTACACAACTCACCATGTTGCATGCCTTCTTAATAATTTTCAATTGTTTCAGATCTTCTAAGAGATAAAGCAAGATATAAAACATCTGCTAGAATTACTCCCTACTTCCCCAACTTTATTTTTCTCATCTTTTCTCAGCTGTGTAACTTAGCAAATGCTGATCTTAAAAATAGCCAAGCCCACCATATTGTTTATGTATATTTCGAGTATTAACCTCTGCTGATTTGGTTTCCTCTACCTGAAACATATTTCCACTCCTGTTACACATTTGTTAAACTCCTATTCATTCTTCAAAACCTTTCTTAGACATCATATCCTCTGGGATGTCTCTCTGGGATGCCATTTCTTGCCCAATAGTGTAATATTTACATATTATGTTGTATTTGTACTCTGTATTTATGTCTATTGATGATTTTGTTATTGTAACTTAGGAGATGTCCTTGTCTCCACTGTTTTTTAATTTCTATGTTAAACTTTCATTTTAGGCTCAGAGGTACACATGCAGGTTTTTTATATAGGTCACAGGGGTTTGATGTACAGATTATTTTATCACCCAGATAATCAGCATAGTACTTGATAGGTAGTTTTCTGACTCTCTCCCTCCTCCCACTTTCCACCTTCCAGTGGGCCCCAGTGTCTGTTTTTCCCTTCTTTGTGTTCATGTGTACTCAGTGTTTAGCTCCCACTTATAAGTGAGAACATATGGTATTTGGTTTTCTGTCCCAGTGTTAGTTCGCTGAGGATAATAGCCTCCAGCTTTTTACATGTTGTTGCAAAGGACATGATCTCATTCCTCTTTAACAGAGCAAGATCCTCTTGTCCTTATATGTATATGCTGATGCCACTGTTTTCCATGGTGTATATGTACCACATTTTCTTTGTCCAGTTTACCATTGATAAGCATTTGGGTTGATTCTGTCTTTGCTATTGAGAACAGTGCTGTGATGAACATATGAACGCATGTGTCTTTATGGTAGAATGATTTATATTCTTGTGGGTATATACCCAATAATGGGAGCACTGGATCGAAGGGTAACTGTGTTTTAAGTTCTTTGAAAAACAGCCACGCTGCTTTCTACAGTGGCTGAACTAACTTACATTCCCAGCAGCAATGTATAAGCCTTCCCTTTTCTCTGCAACCTCACCAGCATCTGTTATTTTTTGACTTTTTAATAATAGCCATTCTGACTGGTATAAAATGGTATCTCATTGTGCTTTTCATTTGCATTTCTCTACTGATCAGAGGTGTTGTTGGTCTCCACTTTTAAGCTACATCAACGGTGGGAAGAAAGTATCTTATGCACCATGCTTCTGGCTGCAAAGTTTAGTTTTGAGTATGTCAATAAATGCCTATTAGTTTGTTGAACTGAACCTTTCAGCAGAGACCCCTTACATCTGTAAACTACTGTGTTACCATAAAAACAGCTATTTCTGTTAAACTCTATAGCTGCAAGAGAATCTCACTTGCTAATGATAAAATAATTCTCTTTACAAATGCTCAATGATTCTTCTAGGTTTGGTTCACACAGCTTACCAACTGTGTTCTGCTTCCTTCTTATTCCTTCTGGGTTCAAATGCACAGGGAGCCCACATTTGTCACTGAGTTATTGCTAACAAATAAGACATCAACAAGGTTGTTTCACAACCCACAGGGATTGACTGATCAGAAGAGAGCAAGATCCTCCTGTCCTGATAAGGATATGTTGATGCCACTGTTTTCCAGCTGTGGTCTTATCAGACAATGATAGTTCAGTGAGAGTAAAGCCCTCAGCTTACTTCCCTGTTTCTGGCACCACAGCCAATCTCTGTTGGTTGGTACGAAGATATGTTCGTAGCAACTGGGCTGGGTGAAGCTTTATGTTACTTGAAGGTGGCAATAGCAGACACATCTGAAGAGAGGACCAAGGCTTGGTACCAAAACACATACTCCATTGTCTTCTTATCCAGGGGATCACCAAACAGGAAGGCAAGAGCAAGAAATTCCAGTAACAGGTCAGAAAATGGACTGCATCTTGGTTCAAGACCAGATCTATTATAAAAATAATAATTTCCCTCAGGTTCTTACTGGTTGCTGTATCTAATTGTGGGAAAGGTCATGTGGGAAAAAAATGCAGAGAGCTGGGAGAGACACTGTCCCATGGCACAGCCACCTCTGATTGCCTGGTCTGGTGGGAAGAGAGAATTTCTACGACCACTGACTCTTACTCCAAAGCTGCCTTGTGGTTTTCTTTGCATTGGTTCTTTCAGCACCAGCCTCCGTGTGTTCCCTTGAAAACATTAGCAGTCCTTAGGGGCTCTGTAGAGAGGGGATTAAACAGCATTTAGTCCTTTGTCCATTACCCTATTCTAATGAAATGTGTTATTTGAAAGAATTATTTAAGCCTATGTAAATCAGTCAACGTGAGAAGATAAGGTTGGTGGGGGCAGGCAGAGTTGAGCTGGGTGATAAAAATAGAGTTTTATCTCCATTTGGACTGATTTTGAAAAGGTTTTTAACCATTGCAACTGAATCCCTTTCAGAGCCCTCTCTCTCTCTCTCTCTTTTTTCTGTACCCGAGTTGCTATGAGAACAGGAATCATCTCTTCAGCACAATGACAGCAAGTGTCGCATTTGGGAACGCACCCTGATTTTTCACTGTTTGTTCTTTGCTCTCAACAAGATAAGCTGTTGTTATTTCTTTCTTCTCGAACAAGCACGCCATGATTGCTGAAGTGGTAGGAATAATTGGACCAAATAGTCATGCGATTAATGCAAACAGAGGGAACTCATCTGTTTCGAGTACAGTAAATGCACTTCTGAAGACGCAGAGAGCTTGCTTTCTCTGTTTATTCTTGGGCTGCAGAACAAATGTTGCTGAGTTCACTGCCACAGATTCCTGTGTTTCTTCCATGGGGTGGAGACCTTAAATGAACTGGGTTGAGGAAGAAATCAGCCCTATCTTGGGAGAGGGTGGGCCAGAGAGGGGGAATGCGGGGGGAAAGCAGGGGAGAAGGCTGCTCTCTCCCCCAGGCGACACCCTCTTCCCCACCCTCTTCACTGGGGACACAAAGACTTTTGTTTTCTCAAGGATATTTTTCAATTAGAAGGTGATGTGGCAAATTGAAATGGAAGGGGAATTAACATTCATTAGAATCCTCAAGGTGCTCAGTGTTGATGTCATTTGGATATTGCAGACACGAGGTAGATTTCATTATCCCCACTGGACAGACAAGGAAACTGAGGTTCAGAAGTAAGTCTCCCAAACTCACAACACTCATATGTTGAGGTGCTGGGGTTTGAATCCAGGTCTTCCTGTTTAGTGTTGTGATGGCAGCACAGGGCACAGGCTCTGTGGTTCCTTTGAGTCCTGACCATCTTGTAACTGAGAGACCTTGAGCAAGGGACTTCACTTCTCAGCACCTCATTTTTGCCAACTGAAAAACAAAACAAAACAAACCACTAGGGTTGATAACAGTATTTATCCTATAGGTCTATTGTAAGGATTAAATGAGTTATTAAATGAAAATAATGTAGAATCGTGCCTGGCAGATAGAACACCCATAATATCTGCTACCCTGGACACGGATTCCTCAAAGTAATCAATGGTGCTTTCTACTACACTAGCACCCCTTCTGCATCACACCTGGGGTTCTCTGCAATGGCTCTGTAACTCATTGCTTTGCATGCAATCTCTCTGACACACCTTGACCAGATTAATCTCCCCCAAATTCTTAAAATGCCATTTTTCCAGGTCACTCCATAATTTTGGAGGCTCCCTATTGCCTGTGGGGTAAAAACTTGAACGTTCATCCATAGAGTGGCTATGCCCTGCTTATCCTGCTAACTTCCGGTTGCCCTCACCACCTGCCCCCCCCCCCCATCCCCTAGCTGGCCCCTGCCCCACCAATGGCACTCAACTTGCTCTCTCCCATTTGAGCAGTAGGTTTCAATCCTGGGTACTTCTCAAATGTCCCACCCCAACTTTATCTTCTCCCAGAAACATCCCTTATAATACGAACTCACAGAGATCTTGGCCCACTCCCTATCTCCCAGAGCCTATACAATCAATGTTTGCTGTTCTCTGACCTGTGCCACCCCATGAATGCTTGGTTCTCTTAAAGGCAGCTGTTGGGGAGGAGATGGAATTTATCATCCCTTGCCATTGTCTGTTGACTTCTCCTTTACCGTGATGTGTGGAGATTACTGGGTTTCCAGGAGGCTGTGGAACGTGGAAGGTCCCTGCAGCAAGAGAAGTCAGAGTCTCAAAGGACAAGATAAAGTTAGACATCTAGAAAACTGAAAGGAAGGAATTCTAGGCAGAGGGAGAAGCTTGTGCAAAGTTTTGGAGGCATGCGAATCCCTGCAGATGGTGAAGTCTGAATGTCAACAGATGATGGAGAGAGGCAAGGTGATGCTGACAGTTCTCAGTGACCAGGGATAACAAGGGCGATTATTCTTCTCAGCTTTCAGCCCTCTCCCCACCCCTTTTCCCTTCCCCACTCCTCTGGAATCCACCTTTAGCCCTGAGCTTGGTTCTTCTTTCAGTTTGATGAACGGTTTCACCACTGCGCTTAATTGTTTCTTTGCAGTAGTCACCGAACAGAATGAAGATTAAATCCTACTAAATAGATGAAGCACCTTGCACAGACTTTGGCCAATAGAGCCTCATCTACTTGCTTTTCTGTATGAAGCGGGAAATCCACTGGATGTTGTTTCACTGTAAGTCGGTATTCCATCCTGGGTTGGAGATCATGTGGTGCCCTCCTGCTAGAAGTCCTATAAAATCCAGTTTCTCCTCTGAGATTGCTGAAGTACAAGACAAGGGAAAAATCACTAGCATGGTGTTGGAGTCTTTCCAAGAGCCAGAGGCGTAGACAGCATTATCCAAGTGAGCTGCAGAATAACCCTACAAAGGTGCCGGCTTCCTTATCTAATAAATGAGAATAAGGAGGCTTGAAAAAGTAAGAGGATGCTCCCAGTTTCATGAATCCAGTGAGCACCATGAACAACAGATGTCCCCTGGGCCCTGCCCACACCCTGTCCTGTATACATGAGCGTACACCAGCCTGTCTTTCAACTGCTGGCACCTGCATTTCTTCTCACAAGAACATTTTCTGGACAACAAAGCCCATTCTGTCCATTTCCGAGTGACATCCTCAACCAACGCCTGGAGGGAAGCCCCCTTTGCCCCTAACATGGGAGAACTCCAAGGGACCCTGTTCTACACAGGCTCCCGGAGTCCCCATGAGGAGTCACCTACAGCTACCTACCATCACCATTCTCTTGAAACTGATTTTTACTTTTTAATTTACTGCCCTTGCTTCCTTGTCTTGCCTTTTCACTCTGTGACCAGTTCTTCTCAAAATTACACCCTAATAAATTCTTCGCACTGAAATCCTTGTCTCAGTGTCTGTCTTTGATGTTTGAATGTAGATCTATTTGATCCTGAAATCTACAGCCCTTTCACATTGTGGAGCCATACTGCAGAGATAGCTCATGAAGAATTTCCCTGGGACAGAATAACAGTGGAATGGTGGAACCCACTAGATTAGAAATGACAGGCGGGTTCTGTTTCAGGGGTCTTCTATGATTGACTGGTGGGAGAGCCACTCAGAAACTAGTTGGAGGATGAGTTTGAGCCCATATCCATACAGATGAGAATGGACAGCCCGACAGTGTGATGGTGTATGCTGCATATCAGAATTGGTCTTCCTGGACCTTGCTCTTGTTCTCCAAGTGCTCATGTTTTTGGCCCTTTCTGTGTCAGCTTGCAAATAGGAGGTTAAGGCCATGTATTTGGCACTGTATGCACTTTCATGTTTAAAAGCCAGAGTAAGTAGTAACAAAGCAGAGAGAATACAGAATTGAGCATCAACTCAGAAACCCTGAGCTGCAAAGCTGATTAAAGCACTGTTTGGACAAGTCACTTTTTCCTTTCATGCCTCTTTTTAGTGATGAAGATATTAAGAGCAACTGCCTCATGTTTGCTAAAGATCTCTTCCCAGCCAGCATGTCATCTATTAGTCTATGACTTCAAGATGTTCGCCTCTTGCAGTGTTAAATGTCTTTTTCTAGTCAAGGGGTTAGTTGTCATGCTGGTGGATGTTTCGTGTGTGTGTGTGTGTGTGTGTGTGTGTGTGTGTGTGTGTGTGAGAGAGAGAGAGAGAGAGAGAGAGAGAGAGAAGGTGTGGGGGATGGGGTGGGGATCTGTCCACCTTCTAGCCCCTGCTTTTGGTTAATATATCTCATTTTTTTTTCAGAGAAGCCAGTTTCTCCCCTTCTCTCCATTCATGTGTTTTAGCTCCAGGAATGGTTCTGTGTTCTGGTTCCAACCTGGAAAATTAGCACATTGCATTCCTAAGTCTCAATGTGATGAGATTGGGGTCCAAATTATAGAAAGCGGGGCCCTTATCAGGTCACCTGGGAAATGGATATGAACCTGGAATGGAAAAAATTCCATCTGGATTTGCCCCATGGTCCCTCACTCTGGGATCAACCCAGATGAAAGAAAGTTAAGGAAACTGACAAAGAAAAATTTAGTCTGGGAGCCACTGAGTAATTCCCTTGGTCAAGGCAGTCCTGAAGCTAACCCTTTCCTAGGACTTTCCATTTAACTAATCCCTAATATTCCATTTTTGTTTAAATTGTTTTGGTTTGAGCCTATGTTGTCTTTCAAACAAACAAAAATCTAACTAATTTATAATGCAAAAATTGTGCTGGTTGTGTCCAGTATTTTATGCCCACGTTGAGCTTTATACTCCGATGGACTTCCCTTTAGCTCAGCAAATAGGAAAAATGGGCTCCCAAACCTACAGGGTGGACATGGAAACTCTCCCTAGCACCCTTCACCTCACCCCGCTCTCAAATCCCTACCCATCCCTGCCCATGACTGTGCTCCTTCCCCAAACAGAGAGAAAACCGATTTAAATGGTTTCTATATCTCAGCGGTAGGTGTTTATTATGGCTGTAAAATAATTTCCCAGAGACTCCAGCCAGGCATGAAGCCTTTGTGTTCTGAATTTACCAATCAGTGGCAATTTGCTAAAATAATCATCTTCATGTTTGCTGTTAATAATCTTGCTTCAGGCTGTTCCAACCAAATGGTTGGTCACTTTCAGTAATGGCCAATTTCTCAGAGATTGTTGCTAAAATGATTAGGCACATCATGATTTCCCAGGGCACATGCTTTGGAGTTGATTCATTAGAAAACTAAAAGGCTTCTGGACTCCTTTGGAAACTGGAAGATGCTTATCTGAAAAGATATGCCATCACGCCTCTTATTGTTTTTCCTTAGCTACGTCCTGGTTTAACTTTTTTCCTGCCCCTTGTTGGTTCATTATCTTGTTACTAGACAGAATGCTTTTTGTTTGCTGTAAGCTCATCATTGTAGCTGATGGACCTGGAAACATTTTACAGCCAATTAGATGAATCAATGAGTCCCTTTTTAGAAAACATCCTTTCTTGAAGTCCTTGTATGAACCAGGCACTAGCCCAGAAATTTTGTACAATGTCTCACTTATTTCTCCTAGCAAAGACCTACTCTCCAGTTTGCACATGGGGAGAGTGTATTAATCTCAGAGAGGTTAATTGACTTGCCGCCTGTCACACAGTTAATAAATGCATAGCCTGCATTTGAATCCAAGACTCAGTGTTCTTTCTCCTGCACCAAGAAGCCTGCCTTGCTCATTCAACTCCACTCACCCAGGTCCCTGCTTGTACCAAGGCCAAGCCTGGCACCTGGGAGCCCAGCCTCAGGTGGAGACAGGTTAGGACACTGGCAAGCAGAGCATGGGAAACCACAGCAGCAGCAATCCTGATTTTCTTGTGGCTGCCTGGTTCACACCCAATGCCAGCGTGTCTGCTGCAAACCTAGTCTTTCAGCTCTAGCTCCTGCAGCTGGAGAAAAAGAAGAAAGCGGGATATAGAGAAAAAGACTTTAGGGAGAGCATTCTAGGCAGAACTTGATCTGAAACATGCTCTTATTTACCAAAATAGAGAGAGGAAAGCATCTTCTCATTGCAGTTGTAGTAGGCATTCTGTAGAAAGGATCCCCAGACCCTTAGATGAGTGGTGGGAGAAAGTCACACCTTGATTCTTTCTTTGGCATTGTGCAAATGCATGCAGGAACAAATTGGGACAAAAATGCTAAGTCATCAGGTAAACAATGAGCAAAGGTGGAGAAAGACATTGTCTGGTTTTTAAAGACTAAACAGCAACTGGGGCAAAGCTGGTAATTCTCTGCAATTAGAATATTGCTTCTGTCACCCAGAAAATAGCCATTTGAATGGGGATCAACATGAGCACTAGGAAAAAATAGTTTCATGACACAGAAACCATATGATGAACAGGAAGAGGATCCACCTGGAGTGGGACAGACAGTTCTCCAGCCACACCTGGCAAATGTTTCATCACAAATTAGTGTGAAGTCTTTAGTAACTAATAGCAGAGCCACATTGCAATTTTCCAGGTATCATATCATCTACATGTTTTTATATCTTTAATTATTTAATATTTTATAACAAAGCTACCACATTTGCTTCAAAACAGAAGTACAGGAACCTTTCTTAACTTGGTAATGCTTGTCCATCAAAAATCAACAGCAAATGTCAACCTTAGTAGTAAACAGACAGAGGCAATTCAATTGAAACCCTTAGGTTAGGGTGATCTTAACTAGCTGGATATATTAATATTAATACTTAGGTTAAATCTTAGTAAATTGTACATGTTTCATTTCATGGGGTGGCCCAATGGTTCAACTTTGGTTGCTTGGGAGAGATTAGTACTGCTCACAACTCATTGGCAGAATGAGTCACGTGGTTCTGACTTAACTTCAAGGGGTTGAAAGGTAATCTTCGGTGCCTAGGAAGCAGAACAGAACTGAATACAGGTAAACAGCAATGTGTCACTTCTGGAACAAGGCAACTGAAAGCCAATATGTAACTTTCTTTGCTCTCTTCCCCTGCTGAGATGACCTTGGAACCATGTGTTTCAGATCATTCAACTCCAAGATGGTGGAGTTTCTGTTAGCCTGGATCCCTGAGTGATCATATGGAGCAGGGCTGTCTATTGATCTAGACCGGGGAATCTTCGTAAAGATTTCTGAAATTTCAGAATGAATTTGTTACTGTTGTACAACCTAGCCTCTTCTGACTAAAACAGATGATTCTTAGTTTTTCAATGAAAGTCTTCAGGTATTGCAAAGGAGACACACCTGAAACAGAGGAGCTTCCTGGTATACGCAGTCCCTGTCCCAGTGACTATGTTTGATATATCAGGAAACAGGTACCCTAATAGGAAGACATCGAAGCAGAGATGCTTTCAGCAGAATGAAAAATAAAATTACTTATAAAAGCAAAAGAGAAACAGGGTAAGTTTGAGGGAACAGACATGGAGAAAAGGGTGCAGATATGTCTACTTTTTTGAAGACGTGCTGGACCACTCCTATTTGAAGCTCTTGTTTAGCCTCTTGTCTTTTTCTGCTGAGAATCTTTCAAAATGGACTGAAATCGTAGGTCTATTCCAAGGCAGAAAAAGAAAAAAAGAAACTCTCAAAATGTTATAAGCAGGTGATGACCAGGAAATATTTTCAAGGAGTGTTCCCCGGGTGAAATTTTGCAAGTGCCTGATGCAGAATTGCTTACTGAATCAAACTGAAGGGCTGGCGCTGAGAAAGTTTCCTATAAACCAGGTTCACAGTAATACCATGTCCACTAAAGTTTGAAAACAACTGGTTTAAATTTTTCCTTCTGGCTACCATGTTATGTTTTGGCTACTAAACCTATCCTTTCTCTAGACTAGTTATTGAAAAGCAGTTTTCTACTTACCCCTTTGCAACGTATTAATGATAACTATTAAATGAAACCAAGACAAATGATTCTCACTTCAAGAAAAGGTATTCTTCAAGTAGACGTGGCTAACCTGAGACATGCTGGTTTGGGCCATATCTCCCCTGTCCCTGTTTATGCAGCCAGGTAAGCCACATACGTATTCTAGACCACGTTTTCACAGACGTTTGGGTGAGAACAAGGGTGAGTCACTGGCAGCAGCTGGCAATACTACATGGGGTTTGCATGCATCAAGATTCACTGCCTCTTCCTCCCTCAACCTGCTTCCAAATCTCAGGCTAAAATTTGACTTAGGCTTTCCAACCACAGAGAAAGCCGAGGTTCCATCACCTCTTCTGTCCTTTGTGGAAGATAGTACCTTCAGTCATCACCTGAGATGTGCCAGAGACTCTGAGACTTGGTCTGAAATGATGTCTTGAGCCAGGATTTGTGTCCGAATTAGAAGCATCTCTGAGTATTGTAGAACTTGCCAAGTGAATCATCACAATTTGTGCCATAATAGGCTTCCAAAAATTAAGTAAATGTAGCACTATTTTTCAAGAGATGCAAAACCTTTTCAGATTTTGTTTACCTCCCAGCACACTGACAAAACTGACCTAAATGAAATAACTCCAAACTACAAAGCCTGGACACATTTCAAGGATTACAGTTAGGTCAAGAAGATTTCTCATACATTCTCCTGTTTGTTCATCAAGCTAATCCAATGAGGTGATCAGAGGTGAGCCTGGGCAGAGGTGAGCCTGATTTTACAGAGGAGCAAACTCAAGTGTAAAAGGAACAAGTGGTTTGCCAGAGATCAAATATCTTACAATGAGCAACAAATTCATGATCCCAACTCTGGCCTTCTGATTCGAAATACAGTCCTTTTGCATGAGGAAAACTGCAGAGACTCATGTTTGAATCCTGGCTCTGTCACTTAGTGGTTAACTGATTCTGGAATATTTTCATAACCTCTCTGGGTTCTTGACTTCTTCTCTTGTGCAATGACTATCACATCTTTTTCGGAGGGTAAGTGGGATTGCTTTTTAAAGTACTCAACATAGTAGACCTTGAATAATTCTAAGCCCCTTTCTTCCCAGTCACTCATGTTCACTTATCACATATTTACTAAGCATTTAATATGTTCCAGGAAGTATATGAGATCTGGAGGATGGAGAAACTAACAGAATATGCATAGTCCCTGCCCTCAGGGAACTTACTGTGTATTCTCCCACCACCGCTTAAGCAAGGTAACAGAAAGCCCTGTGTTATCTTGCTCCTAAACTTCTCTGCAAGCTCATCTAGGGCCACGTTTGCCCACCTCTCCCTCTGTGCTCTGGTCTCCTTTTTGTTTCTGGAACATATCAATCTCATTTCCACCATAGGGACATCAACCCTGTTGGTCTCCCTTCTCCTAATTCTTGATCAAGTCCCAGATTAAATAGCCCATTTTGCATATTTACTCTTACAGTGTCCCATTCTTTTTCTTCAGAGCACTTGTCAAAATTTACAATTACCTGTTGATCTATTTGTATTCTTGAGAGATTTTTGTCTCACACCAAGCTATGAATTCCATGAGGTGTATATTTATCCATGGCCTAGCACATGACCTGACACACATTATAAACTCAGTGGAAATGGAAAAAGGATGTGTGATTACCAAATAAATAAATAAATAAATATGCCTACAAACAAGTCTGAAAATCAATTGTTGAAATTGTATTTATGTATACCGGAAATAGTAGCTAAGCAGATATCCTAGATTGTTCTTTGACAAAATTAAATATATGAAAGTCATTCATTCATTCACTTATTTAATTGAAATTGTGATGGCATGTAGTCGAGGGAACTTTAATCCAGGCTAGTAGATACTACACACGCGCTTCTACTTCCGCTTAACTTTCCCATGCAGACATCACTAATCAACTATAGCGCTTTTCCCTCTGTTGAGAGAAGAAGCAGTTTTCTCAATACAGCACTTCTAGTAGACACTAACAATTGATTGCAGTGGGCTGGTAAGACACTTCACCCCAAGCCTCAGAGACCACTGTTAACTCTGGTACCTCCTGCTCAGCATTTTTCTGATGCTTACCCCACTCCCAACCTTTAGCATTGTCTTGGCCCAGCAAGCTTCCTCACCCATAGAAGGATCTCTAGTGTGTCAATGAATTTTAATTACTAGAATGTACAGCATGGTGATGAAGTTATTGAGATAGAGACAATGCAGGCTCCTAAAACTGGTTTTTGTCTCCTTTCTCCATTCACTTTTATTTCCAAGCATGCCAGGAAGAGATGAGAGATTTTCTTTCACTTTGTTTGGAAATTGAGAAACTAAAGTCTGTGCATAAATCCAAGGTTCTACCTTCAACTTCTGACTGTAACAGCTCCACTTCACTTCCCACAACAACAAAGAGAGAGGCTTTGGAGATTTCTGTCCTCAGAATTGTGCTAAACCAACATCTTCCTTTTCAGTGCATTCAGCACCCAGATTCTTTTATTGGAGATTTCTCTGCTCCAAATATCCCAGCTTATCTCCTTCATACAACTTCCCAGCTGACTGCAAATCAGTCATTTCTCATGCTTCGTGAAACTTAAATTTCCCTGAAACCCCCTTCTTCCCCTAACTACCAGCTTAATCTTTCCTTCCTCTAGAACAATAGATTTCAACTGGAATTGATTTTTCTCTCTGGGGACATTTGACAGTATCTGGAGACATTTTTGCTTGTCACAACTAGGGGCAACGTGTTGGGGTACTACTGGCATCCAGCAGGCAGTGATTAGGGACACTGCCAGACATCTACACTGCATAGGACAGCTACCCAGCAAAGAATTATCTGGCTTCCAAAGTCAGCACTGCTGAGGTTGAGAAAAACCTTGTTCTAGAGTAATACCAAAGTCCCTCTTGACATTTTAAGGTCTCCTTAGAAATCTCACCAGGACTGGCAAACTCCATAAGGTGACCACGAGTCGCTTAACAAAAGGTCAGACCAAATGGCAGCACCCCAGGACTATTTCTTTTCAGTTCTCTGGCTCCAGCAAGCATTGGGGTAATCAGATGACATGAATGTGGGTCTGCTGAACATGCCTCCATTTTTTTTCATCTGTGTAGGTGCGACAACAGCACTTCAGAAGGGGCAATGTGATAATTAAATAAGAAAATGCAGATACTTAACAAGTATAATATCTTCCCCTAGTCAGGGCTGAATAAATGGGAGCTGTTCTTGTTGAATTGTTGTTTTCTTTTTCATCGTCACTATTATTCTCTCCCTAAAATATCAGTCTTTGACCCTGGGTCTGTGTGCAAGGCTGTTTCCTCTTTCCCTCTTGTTTGACTTTCTGTCATTGCCTTGGGAACCACTGCTACCTTTTTGATACCTTTTACCAACTTCAAATTTTGTGGTGGGGGGGAAGTAGATTTAATTTCCTGTGTTTATTTGTTTACCTTGTGAATTCCTTTCGCCCAGCCTCAAGGTTCCAACTGAGAATTTTTTTCCAAACCATGAGTCACTTACCAAAGGGGCAGACCAAACGCAACACCCCAGGACTATTGACAATGACAAGCCATGTAGCAAAAGGGCAGACCAAATGCAATACCCCGGGACTATTGAAAACAACAGGCCATGTCTAGGCTCAGGGCTCTTTGGGCACACGGCTGATGACCCAGCAGGGGCAGTCATTAGTACTCGAGAAATTGTGTTATCTTCTACTTATGGGATATGAGCAAAATTTTAGGGGTGTCCACATTATTTCATCAGACACATGTTGTGGACACATGTGGATCAGAACCATTTTTAAATCTTTTTATTTTATGCAAATTCAGCAGATACGTACTGCTGTCACCTCAGATTTATTTTCTTTCTCTGTCTCTCTTTTTGACGTGGAGTCTTGCTCTGTTGCCCAGGCTACAGTGCAGTGGCACGATCTCAGCTCACTGCAACCTCTGCCTCCCAGGTTCAAGTGATTCTTCTGCCTCAGCCTCCTGAGTAGCTGGGATTACAGGCAGCTGCAACCACACCTGGGTAATTTTTGTATTTTTAGTAGAGACGAGGTTTCACTATGTTGGCCAGGCTGGTCTCGAACTCCTGACCTCAGGTGATCCACCTGCCTGGGCCTCCCAGAGTGCTAGGATTACACGCGTGAGCCACCACACCTGGTCTCAGATTGATTTTCAAAAATGTTTTATAGAAATATAGCAAATATATAGAAAATACCCAGAAAAGTGTACAAATCATAAGCATAGCTCAAAGAATTTTAACTGAAATAATATAACCATGTGACTCACAACCCTGGTCAGAAAATAGACAATTATTAACTCTCTAGAAGCTCCCTGTGTCTCCGTTCAGTGACTACCACATTCTTATCCCCAGTGGTAACCACACCCTAATTTCTATTATTATAGACTAGTGTTGCCTGTTTTTGAAATTTATGTAACCGTTATTAAACAGATCTGCTCTTTTCCATTTGCTTGGAATTTTTTTGCTTAGTAATTGAAATTCAACCATGCTAACATGTATAGCAGTAATTTATTAATTCCCACTATTATATGTGATTTGTTTAAAAGTATATACCATAGTGTAATTATCTGTTCTGTTTTTGGTGGACATTTGGATTTTTTCCAAGCTTAACCATTGTGTGATGATCTCATGAATGCTCTCATCATTGTCTTTTGGTACATGCATTTCTTTGGGGCTTACGCACAAGAGTAGAATGGCTCCATCACAGAGGTTACATGCATTTGGCTTTAGGAGATACTGCCAGTTTTCCAATGTGATTGTACCAAGTTATTCTCCCGTAGAACAGTGCAGGTGAGTTCTAATTGCTTCAAGTCTTTGCAGACACTTGGTAATGTCTATTACATTTTGTTTTATGTTAACAATTTCTGTTGGCCTGTTGTTATATATCATTGTGGTGCCATTTGCAGATCACTAATGGAGTTGAGTATCCTTCACATGCATATTGTCCATTTGCTTGTCTTTTTTTGTAAAGTGACTGTTCAGGTGTTTTGCCCATTTTTTATATTGAATTGCCAGCCTTTATTGATGTAAAGAGTTTTATTGTATATTCAGGAGGAAAACTCTTCATTTTTAAGTATGATGTTAACTGTGGGGTTTTCATAGATCGCCTCTATTAGGTTCAGAAAATTCATTTCTGTTGTTAGTTTATTGAGTGTTTTCATCATGAATAGCTGTTGGCTTTTGTCAAATGCTTTTTGTGCATCAATTGAGATAATCATGTGTTTTTTTTTTCCCCCTTATTCTGTTGAGTGTCTTGTTACATTGATAGATTTTATATGTTGAACCACCGTTTTATAATCTTGGAATAATTGCTACTTGGTCATGGTGTGTAATCCTTTTACTATGATGGTGGATTTAATTCACTGGTATTTTATTTAGCTCTCTTTATCTTTGGCTTTTAGCAGTTTTACTGTGATATGCCTAGATGTCTTTATATTTGTATTTATCTTTCTTAGGTTTGTGGGTCTATTCTGGTGTCCTGATTTTTGTTTTTCTTAAATATTGTGGCTTTAAACTTTCCATCACTTTTGGAAAATTCTTAGCTATTTTCTATTCAAATATTTCTTCTGCACCTTCCTCTTTCCCCTTTTTCTCCTCTTTCTCTCTTCCATTTTTGTCTCCAATTCCATATGTGGTAGACCTACTCCCCATGCCTTATATATTTTTCATTTTTTTTTTTTTTGAGACAGGTTCTCACTCTATCACCCAGGCAGGAGTGCGGTGGTGCAATCTTGGCTCACTGCAACCTCCACCTCCCAGGCTCAAGTGATCGTCCTGCCTCAACCTCCCGAGTAGCTGGGAATACAGGCACAAACCACGATGCCCGGCTAATTTTTGTAGAGACAGGGTTTTGTCACATTGCCCAGGCTTGTTTCGAACTCCTGAGCTCAAAACGATCCACCCACCTCGACCTCCCAAGGTGCAGGATTACAGGTGTGAGCCACAACGCATGGCCTATTTTTCATTCTTTATTCCTTCCATACTTCAGTCTAGAGAGTTTCTGCTAACTTCCAGTTTCTCCCAGTTGCTCTCTTCCTCTACATCTCAACTGCTGTAAACTCAACCACTGAGTTCTTAATGTATTTTTTAGTCTTGAAATTTCCATTTTTTTCATATATTTCAATTCCTTTACAAAATCTTCTTTCTTTTGATTATTTTAGAGTCTGTGCCTGACTTCAGTGTTTGCCTCATCTGTTCTGTTTCTTTTGTTAGCCTTTTTTTTTTTTAATTGTTGTTTAGTCCTGTGTCTTATTAGCCCTGGTCACTTTTTGTTGAGCACTGAGCACAGACATTGATATGAAAAATTATGGAAGGCCTTGACTGGGTGTGGTGGCTTATGGCTATAATCCCAGCATTTTGGGAGGCCTAAGGTGGGTGGATCACTTGAGGTCAGAAGTTCGAGACCAACCTGGCCAACACAGAGAAACCCTGTCTCTACTAAAAATACAAAAATGAGCCGGGTGTGTTGACACACATCTGTAAGCCCTGCTACTCAAGAGGCTGAGGCAGGAGAATCGCTTGAACCTGGGAGGCAGAGGTTGTAGTGAGCTGAGATTGTGTCACTGTACTCTAGCCTGAGTGACAGAGCAAGACTCTATCTCAAAAAAAAAAAAAAAAAAAGAAAAATGAAAAAATTATAGAAGGCCTAGATGAGCCTTCAGCTTCCAGCAAGCAGTTAGGGTCAAACTGAGCTGTTTCAAGCCTGGAATTCAGCTTTGCAAAGATCTGGTTTGTTTCCTCTACTCTCTGTTTAGAGTGTCCTGATGGTGAGCCTGGTGAGCTTACCTCATCTCTATCTCTTTGTTGGAAGTTAAACTCCAAATTTCACCTCCTAAGGACCATGAGACACCTGCAAATTCTGTCTCTTTAGCCGACTGTCTGTGATTCCTTCTCCTGGCCTAGAGAGCTTATGAACTGGTGAACACCTTCTGCGAATACATAGCTCAGACTGTTAGACTTTTATCCCTCTACTTCCCTTTGAAGATTTTAGCCCCTCAAGTCTTGACTATTTAGAAGTCTAAACTTGAGTTTCTCGCTCCTCCACTCTGTAAGCCTGTCAGAAACTCAGCTCATCTTCTTGGTTTCTTAAAAATCTATCGCTACTTGGCTTCTCACTCTTTCTGCCCAGGATCCTTACAAATTGGTGTATGCCCCAAAGGAAAATGGTGAGTAGAGAGCTGTGCTAGCTTCAGTTAATTTTTCTTTTTTGCAGATCTTAGCCCTTGTTGTTTGGGGTACCTTGATGGCTCTTTAATGGTATTTAGGTTTTCTGGTCATTTTCGGCGAGGCTTTTGTTTACCATAGGCTAGTTTGCTATAACTGCAAGCAGAGCTTCCCCAGATCGACTCTGGATTCTTTATCCATAAGCGTGAGAGGACTAACAAGGGTGAAATGAGCCATCTTTCTGACCACAGAGAGTGCTTGTGAAAGCTTTCTTCACTTGTACCTGTGAGGAACCTGTCCTCAGCTCCATGTTGTATCTTAACATCTTGTCAGTCTTCCTGCCTCTCTGTTTTTCAATAAAGACATTTGCCTTGGCTGGCTGTGGTGGCTTATGCCTATAATCCCAACACTCTTGGAGGCCAAAGGGGGAAGATCACTTGAGCCCAGGAGTGTGAGACCAGCCTAGGCAACGCAGCAACAAAAGATAGAAAAAATTTAGCCAGGTGTGGTGGTGTGTGAGTGGAGTCCCAACCACTTCAGAGGCTGATGCAGGAGAATCCCTTGAGCCTGGGAGGTCAAGGCTACAGTGAGCCGAGATCGTACCACCACACTCCAGCCTGGGAAACAGGTCAAGATCCTGTCTCAAAAAAGAAAAAAATAATAATACGACCCTCACTTTTTGGATGAAAATATCATTGTTGCACTGGAAGTATAAACAGTATCTGGCTACGTTTTAAAATGTAAAGTTCTTATCTTTTAAAAGTAATCCTAAAACAATTAGAGATTAAATAATGAATACCTAAAATTTGATTTCAAATAATTCAGTGGAGATTCTATTCTATGTCAGAGTGTTTGAATATGTTCCTAATTTAAAAATTAGGCAAGTAAAAAAAGTCACAACCATGAAAAAATACTCTGACTTGCTACAGAATAAAAATCAGAACTCCTTAGCAATTATACAAAAACTCATCTACACCCCACTTAGCCAGTGGTCATGCCATGCTCTCAATCCTTTACAAGTGATGGTACCTTTGCTCCTTATCATTTCCATCCTAACATCCTTTTTAAAAAGCTGGCACTATTGTCTTTAGTATTGTTAGACCATGATCCCCACAAGAGGTTGAAGGAGAATGCACAAGCTGTTGGAGGCCTAGCAGAGCCCCTTTAGAGAGGTTTTCTAAACTGCCACATTTCATAAAGGCACAAGCAGGCATCTTCCAAACCACCGCCATCAAAATCAAGACCGACCTTGACAAAATCAAGGCCAACCTTGACTGTCTGCTGTGTGCAAAGCTTCCTGCCAGATGTTTTACCCAGGTTATCTCTGTAAACCCTCACAGCAATCCTGTGACTATTATTACATAGTATTCCTTTTTACAGGAAGGGAAACATGTTTAGAGAGCCTAAATAGCTAGAAGCAAGGGAACAGTTACCAACTAGCTAAACCAGGATTTAAACCTCAGGTGTCTGACACGAGAGTCTCATGATTAAGTGGTTCTCAAACTTGAACGTGCATCAGCCTCACCTGGAGGGCTTGTTAAAACACATGCTGCTGAGCCTTACTCCCTGAGTTTCTGATTGAGTAGACTTGGGGCAGGGCCCAAGAATTTGCATTTTAATAAGTTCCCGGGAGCTGCTGATGCTGTGTGTCCAGGGACTTCACTCTGAGAAACACTGTATTAGGATACATTGTACTTGGGTCAACGGTCATATGATTTGTTGTTCACAGATATGCAGGAAAACTTAGTGGTTTCTTCTTGGCCTGGGGGAGTCAGGAACTCTGCTGTGTTAAACATGGACCAAATGACCCATCGCTTTCGGTTCATTCACTCAGGACATGGGTTCACTCTGGTAATGGTCACGGCAGGAGACTGCCTGTTTCTTGGGCCTGGAATGCACTGAGTCCTTCCTGTTGACTGATAACAAGTGGCTAGCCTCATCTTGCAGCAACACGTCAGATGGTCCCTGTTTAGGAGCCATTTTGATGATAATTTTTGTAGGACTTGCCATTGCAATATTGACTCCATTAGGCTCCCTCATTAGTTCGTTCTTGCACAGATAGAAAGAAATACCAGAGACTGGGTAATTTATAAAGAAAAGAGGTTTAATTGGCTCATGGTTTCATAGGCTGCACAGGAAGCATGTCGGCACCTGATTCTGGGGAGCTCTTAGGAGGATTTTACTCATGGTGGAAGGCAAAGGGGAAGCAGGCTGTCTTACATGGAAGGAGCAGGACTAAGAGACAGATGGGAGGTGCCTCACACTTTTAAACACCGAGATCTCCTGAGAACTCATTCACTATGCAGTACCAAGGTGAGATGGTGCTAAACCATTCATGAGAACTACACCACCATGTGCCAATCAACTCCCCTCTAGCCACTCCTCCATCGTTGGAGATTACAATTCCACATGAGATTTGGGGTGGGGACACAGACCCAAACCATATCAGCCCCTATCTGGAAAGGCCTCAAGTGCAGCCACAGTAAATGTGTGAATCATTGCTCCTTTCCTAATCCCACCTGCTGTTTCAGCTTAGTTTTCCACTGTTATTTCCCTACTCCCAAAGCTCCTGCTGCACAAATCTCTTCTTTCTTCCCAGGGCATTGTTGTCAAGACTCTTGCAAGCTACTTAGAAATGTTTGCACTCAGCAAAGCCTTCTTGTATTCAAGAGGGTGAATGAGATAATGGCGATAGAGAGGTTTAGTGGCTATGGGGCCCTGCTGCTTAGCAGTTAAGAACCTGCCTCTCTTGTAATCCAGCTAGCATGCACTGGAGCTGGGTGGTCTGATAGAAGTTTCTTAAGTTGGTGCTTCCACTTTCCTCATTACCAAATAAGATAAAAAAATTACAATATTTCTGAGTTATTTGGACTGTTAAATGACTTAGCATATGCAAAAACCTTAACAAGGTGTCTGGCACAGAATAAGCCGCCACTGGCAAGAGTTCCTTCTCATGTATATGAAGGTCGTGCGCTTTGGAGAAAATGTGGAGAAAGGACATTTGGACTGGATCATGAAGTGATCCAGCTTATGGGCAGTGTTTGGGGTTTGGGTAAGAATAGTCTTTGTGGAAGGAATAACACAAGCAAAAGGAGAAAAATAGCCATGGGATGGGGGCATGGGAAGGGAGGGGTCTGAGAAAATGTGGAGGAAGGACATTTGGACTGGATCTTGAAGTGATCCAGCTTATGGGCGGTGTTTGGTGTTTGGGTAAGAATAGTCTTTGTGGAAGGAATAAGACAAACAAAAGGAGAAAAATAGCCACGGGATGGGGGCATGGGAAGGGAGGGGTCTCTAGCGAGGAGACTGTCTCTTGTCTATCCTGAGAGCCTCTTCTCCCCTTCTACCCACCATGAATCCTGGGCTACAAATAGGAGAACATCTCACTATTCTTAGGAGACCAGACCTTTGAGGTACATCATGCCTGGGCTTCCTCCCTCCACGCTTTGGAGCACTTTCTCTGACTCACTGGCAAGATCACCTCTTCTTTATGCACCATGCACAGAACAACCCTCTGTTTTCAGCCTTATCTTGCTGTATAATTATAATTATATATGTGTGTGATAGAGGGTCTTGTCTCCTTGTTGAACTGATTTTTTCCATGTTTATGAGGGAGCCATGTCCATCTCTATGTTCTCCATGCTTGACTCATGGTGGGGATTCCGTGGTTGTTGTCTGAAAGTATAAATAGACAATGAATGGATAAAGAAAGAGTTAAGTGAATACAGTATTTTCCCACTAAAGACTAGTCCAAAGCATAGTGTGAAAGCAGTATAATATAGAGCCATGTTCCTCAACAGGTGGGGCGTGGATCAGTAGCATCTTCCTCACCTGGGAGATTGCTAGAAATGCAGACTCCCAGGTCTCATCCCAGACCTGCTGAATCAGAATCTGCATTTTAACAGGATCCCGGGGTGATTCATGTACACTTTACAGTTTGAAAAGACTGGTCTAGTGGTTAAGAGAGAAAGCTCTGGAGACCGAGTTTCAATTCCAGATCTGTGTCTTACCCAGCTATGTGGACTGGACTTATTCCCTCAGGGCCTTAGTTTTCGCATCTTTCATATGGGCAAAATGATAGGAGCTCCTTCATTGTCTTGTTGTGATGATTAAATGTGTTAACATGTGTAAAATACCTTGCACGATGCTTGCCAAATGCAAGCATTCAGTGTTCAAAAAATAGTAGCAGTTGTTATTATTATTCATATCCTTCTGACTGCCCGTGAGACCGTGGAGAAAGAAAGGAAACCTCGCTGAAGATCTAAATAGACACTGCTCTGTGTTTCCTCTCCAAACCCGGTAGCTGGGTGGTGGGGACCGGCTGGCCTCTGGGCTGCCTCTTCCTGCATCGGGCCCCCTCAGTGGGGCACTGCTGACGTGAGCAGCGTGGCCCTTCTCTCTGCTGTCATGCCGCAAGCCCAGAGCTTCCTGGAGCTGAGGACATCAGCTAGACAGAGAGAACCACCCTTTCCCCGGCGCTGAGTCATGCTATCTCTATTCAGACAGGGATCAGGGCAGGTGGGAAACTCTACAGCCTGGCGGAGATGCCCCGGGCGAGGGATTGGGTGACTCATACTGGGACATGAGTAACACTTATTACATAAGGGCAGATCGAGAGTATTCAAGTGCCACACAAGCCTGAATCTGTCCCCACAGACTGGGGAGGGGGTTGTCAGGAAGGAGACTTGCCCAAAGACAAGTCCTGGAATCTCCAAAACAAGTTGGCCCCACTTCTCACGAGTTGCTTCTTTCACATATATGCCCAAGGACAATATCATCATCATCATCATTGATGTGGTTATAATTTGAAACAGGCAGATAAATTGCTTTTCAGGACTAGAAAAAACCTGTGGGTAACTTACTTTAACTTTTAGAGGTGCAGATTAATTAGCACCCAAACTTTGGAGATATGAAAAAGCAATAACTCTCCTTTTTAAGAGCTATGTAAAAAAAGTGAAGTCAATTTAAAAAGCAATTCAGTAGAAGAAATACATTTATTTAACAAACAAGGATAAAAATTTTACACTGATGAAATTAACAGTATTCCTCCTTCAACATATGCATATTCCAGGATTGTGAAGGTAGAGAGAGATGTATACCCACTGATGATGAGTGTGGCAAAAATCAATGGAAGCTTTCTGTCGTGAAGTTGGGCTTAAAAGTCTTGTGACATTGGACCTTCTAGGTTTAAGCTAAAGACGCAATCTGAAATAAAAAAGATAGTTATGAAGAGAGAAACGTTTTCTAAATTATTACTTATAATAAGGGAATACAGAAAGCACTTTTCAAATCCAACTATACAATTTGGTTTCGTCTATAAGTGGTAAATGTACTGGGCATTCAGCTATTGGAAAATCTTTTGAAGTCCTCAGTACTATAGAAGATCCTAGTGCTAAAATGCTGGGTTAAATGGTAAAGCAGAAAACAAAATTTTTAAAGCCTTAGGGTCAAAGCTACATTAACAACAACAAAAGGTCTCTCTACTCTGGAAAAAAATCCAACTGTAAAAGACTAGAATGAAACATAAAAATATTACCAGTAGTTATGGAAGTTCAGTGAACATTTTCCATCTTGATTAAATTTTCAAAACTTTCTGTACTTAACATGTCTTTATGACATAAATGTATATACAAAAGTATTATAAATAATAAATATCATATACACTTATTTAGAATATATATGAATATATAGTATAAAAGTGATATATAATATATAACATATGATTTGAAACAATGAATACTAGCAATATAGTATAATATAATATATAGGAAACTGTCAGATTAAAGTTGAAGGAGACTCTGTGGCCAGTGTTTTATATTCATATACCAAATTCTTCTTATGTGCAAAGGGTGACCAGCATACAAAGGTTAGCTAATTCATAACTTTAGTCCAGTGTACTTTAGAAGAAAAATTAGATGGGTGTGGATTATGTGCTATATTAATCCCTATGGATTAGATATTTCTGTGTAGAGAACTCTGATTAATTTCCTTATTGCTGATCTAGCCAGGCAACAGCTTTTACTTGTGGTAGTTACAGGCCTTTCGACCTCACAGTAGATAAATCAGATGGCAATAGAATTGGTACACACTCCCTTCCATCCTCTCCCCACCCTTTCAATAAATGTCAATTTTCTGGGTTTTTCCGGGCCATGGAATGTACGTGTCATAACCGAAGAACAAATCCATTTGCATTCTCAACCCAAACACCATTTTGGAACTCCAAACCTCCCTGAATGCCAACAGGGCTGTGGCTCCATGCCCAAAAATATAAAGGGAGAGCCTCTCACTTCCCATGAAATCTTAAATCTGCTTTATGTCAAATGGTGGCTCCAACAGAAGAAAGTGGCCAGAACCAAATACTCACATTCTGATACATCAATCCGGTTAATCCCCTGGTCCTGCTAAGCTACAAGGACTTCCAAAAACACAGTCCAGCTATCGTGAGGCATGATGTTTTTTCCAAGCCCTGATCTACCAGGCATGCAATTGCCATATTCATTGTCCAAGGCCCCATCTCTTCTCCTGTTGATCTCCAACCAGGGGTTGCGAACTAAAGCCAGTGGGCCAAATGCAGCCAGTTGCCGGCTTGCTTTTTCTTTTGGCCCTTTCTTAATGGCCCTTGATCTAAGAATGGCATTTATTTATTTATTATTAACCAGATGGTTTGAAATGATTATATAAATATGTACCTAATAGCCTTGAGGCTGCCTTTTGGCCTTGATTTTGCGCAGAATATTTACTATCTGGTTCTTAAAAGAAGCCTGTCCTGAAAGTTTTTGTTGTAACCATCCCAACCTAAGAAATTATTTCCTGGATGCAGCTCCTTACTGATACTCCTGTTCCATGCTGCCCCCTCCCCACATATTTTTTGTTTTTTAAAAGCATCCAGAAAACCCGTCAGAGCATGATTTTCCTCTCCTTGGAGCCTTCCTACGGCTTCTCTTTCTTAAATAAAATTCTACTTCCTATCTTTTCCTTCAAGCCTGAAGCCCCTGCCTACCTCTGCCTTCATCACCAACAACTCTCCCATTGGATGGGTTCCAGCCTCCTGAGTAACCTGTTCTTTTTCACGTTGAGCCTTTGGACATGGCCCTAGAATATATGCTTCATGAAGCAGGGATTTCGTATTGGTGATGTCATCATGTTCTTCAGGGTGGTCTTTGGCACATAGCACACATTGTATTTATTCTGCACCATGGAATATATATGTCATTACCAAAGAACAAATCCATTTGCGTTCTCAATTCAAACACTGTTGTGGACCTCCAAGCCTTCCTGAATGTCAACAGGGCTGTTTTTATATATGTAAATATCATACATGCCAATTCTACTACTTACTGTATTTTGCTCCTTTATCCATCTGTAAAATGTTGATAAAATATAAATTCTGCCTCCCAGCATTGCTATGAAGATTCAAAGTCACTTATTTTTGCAATATATAGAGAGAACTGACATTAGAACTCAGGTCTTTCTGATACTCTGCTGCATCATGCTGTCTTCATTCAAACATTAAACCTTCCTCTGCTACATGACCTAGGGACAAATCCCTGTGTCTGTGTACACATGGCCTTCTCTTAGAGGAAATATCTTTGTCTTTGTGTCAGAGTGATCTGTTTACATGCCCTCATCCAGGCGGCCTTGTGGTACTAAATGACTCAAATTCAAGTTTGTAATCCTCCAAAGCCAGTGTCTGGTTTGGTGCTAGATAGCCTTGTTTTTATGCTGTAACTACTGCCTAGAAGAGCAATTCTAGCACCTTTTGTCCATCCTCTCCCCTGCCCAGCTGTGGGGCATGAGGCCACCCCTCTGGCCAGACGTCTGGGTTCCTGCTGCTTTTTGCTGTGTTCACATGACTCCTTGGCTGCACTAGGTTCTTTGGTTATTGGTTGGAACAGGCAGTTCCAGGGAGGGAGAGGAGAAGGGAGAAAAGGATTTGATACACAGTTGCAGCCTTTCCATTTATGGGAACATGGCTTTTAATTCAGGCTTCATATTCAACCATTGTCTTTCCCAAGCTTTTGTCATGTTATTGCTTCCCTTGTGATTTTTGTTTATTGGTTCTGCTCCTAAACAATTACTTACTTAATATTTTCCTTTAAATCATCTCACTTTTTTTTTTTTAACTTATTTTGTATGCAAGTCTGTGGATGCCAGGCCAAACTCCTTGGCAAGGTTCAGAAGGCCCCTCACTGTGTGCCCGGCTCCCATCTCAGCCCCTGTCTCACCACTCACTGTATCTCACCAGGCATTTCACTTAACTAATCATCAGAGTGGCTAACAGTGGCACTGCTCAAGCACTTACTGTGTCCTAGGCTTGTGTACCCTTCATTTTGGTGAACCCCCCCACAAGCCTTCCCCAGAATGATGGGGTTGACCCTAGAGAAGTGAAATAATCAGCCAAGGTCCCACGAAGAGGAAGCAAGGCAGAGCTTGGGTGGAAGTCCTGCTATTGTTTCCATGCTTGTTTTTTCCAGGTACAACTCCCTCACCTGAAGTGACCTTTCTGCCTCTAGGTCAGGATCTTTCAGATAGAAGTTCAGGAAAAAGCACAGATTTGATGCTTTTGCTCCTTTTCTAAACACCGCTCAGTGAATGACTTGTAAGTGGATGGGGCCATATCGAAGCTTGTTACCTGTGTCATGGAATCCAATGTCTAAAGCATTATTGTGTTGACCAGGGGAGAAAACAGTTGTGTAAAGAGATTTTTTTTTTTCATGAAGAGATGAAGAAGAGTAGGAATATATTGGTCTACTTCCAAAACAACAATAAATAAATGGTCCCACTTATTTATTTTTTTAACTGGTGCAAACCCTTCTTTATCCAAAGAATTTGCTTTGCTTCTTTCATCTTCCCCTTGAGGCTGGCTCCCAAGGCCATACAATGAAAGGGGCCTGAAAAAGCATGCCACCAGTAAACCAGCATGCCATTCAGTATCTTTTCTTACACAACAGTTATTTGTAAACTAATCAATAAACTTTTCTCATTTTGTTTGCTCCTTTAGAACTCTTAGCAGCCGCCTGCTGAACCATGAAGAAACTTAAAATAGCGATGATCTCCTCTTGACGCTGCCGCCTCTTTCTCCCCATAGAACCCACGAGCCAATCTGTGGTGTTTATACTCGAGGCCGTATGAAGCTAATCTGTATGGAAATAAAGGATAGAAATATTCAGATTGAGTTTTACTAAGTGAACCTGAGGTTTTTCAGTTCAGCAAAATAGGCCAGGTAAATGCGTTTCTGATACAAAATAAATCACTGGTTTGAAGACCTATGTTTCCCGTTTACCATTTTGCTTAGACGCAACTCACAGCTCTCTGCATGGATTGTGAAAAGCACCAGCCCCTTCCCCCAGGATAGTTCCTGGAGCAAAACTCGTGTTCCTGTTAGAGTCTGGGAGTCCTCTTCTCCCAGCCTGAGGCTGAAGGTGTTCAGGACTTCTCAGACGGCCAAGGAAGACAGAGGAAAAGGAAAACATTCAGGGATGTGTTTATAGAGCAATTTACAAGCTAGGCCCTGAGTTCTTACTCAGGAAATAAGACACACACTCTGGCTCTGGGTACCAGAAGACTGTCACACAGTGTTGTCAATGCAAAGATTGAGACAGGTAAGGAGTTGCCATAGGAGAACATAAGAGACGAGCCTCACCAGCAGTGCAGGTGTTCAGGCCAACCCTTTTGAAGCACTTGGTTCTAGTCTAGGTGTTTTCATTCATTCATTCACTTAGTCATTAGTTCAACAGTATCTGCTGAATGCAGGTGCCTTTTTAGAAGTACAGCAATGAACAAAAAAGACATGTTCTCTTCTCTCATGAAGTACACAGTTTTAGTGTATCTTATTATTATTATAATTATTATTAATATTTGAGACAGGGTCTTACTATGTTGCCCAGGCTGGAGTTCAGTGGCATGGTCAGGGTTCACTGTGGCTTTGACCTCCCAGGCTCAAGTGATCCTCCAGCGTCAGCTCCCCAAGTAGCTGGAACTAAAGGCATGCAGCACCACATCCAGCTAATTTTTTTGAATTTTTAGTAGAGGCTAGGTCTTGCTATGTTGCCCAGGATGGTCTAGAACTCCTGGCCTTAAGCGATCCTCTTGCCTCAGCCTCCTAAAGTGCTGGGATTATAGACGTGAGCCACCTGGCCAGTTTTAGTGTATCTCAAAGCATTCGCTGCAACATGGGAAAGAGGGAAGGAGAGGAGAGGATAGGAAAGTCATTCCAGGTCCAGGGAGTGGCAGGAGCAAATGCATGGTGACAAGACATAGCCCAATGTTTTCTTGAACTGCACTGCATTCATTACTTCTTCATTGTGATCTTTCAGGCTGGAAGTTGCAAGAAATGATAATAGGAAGGGCTACGTCTTTAGCTTGTCCAGTAGGCAATATAGAAAAATTAGTGCCTTTTTTTTATGGTTCTCCCATATGCTTTATTTTTATATCTCAGGCATAGAAAAAAATAAACTTTAGAACTCTTAGAGCAAACATTTCTGAGAAAGCTCTTGATTTCTTTATGATGGACTTATTTCAGTCTACCTCAGGTCATAACAAATGCCATCAGACAGAGGTGAAGAATGCAAAGCTGTGGGCAGGTGCTGATCTGGACTCCAGAAAATACCATGGTCAAGGTCAGCCCTGTGTGGTCAGCAGAGTCACAGATTTGGTGGCAGAGCTCAGAGAACGGTAGCCTGGTACATATAGTGCATTTAGGGCATCCCGATGAGGGGGAAGCATTTCGACATGCTCTGGTTTGTGAAGTCTGAGTAAAAACAAACAACAGCCATGGACAGTCCTTCCTGAATTATCAGAATTTATCCAGGAGTGAAAGAAGCTGCTGATAACTGAGGCTTGCATATATGTTGAACCATATGAAAGAAGTTGATCATTTTTGCTCTGTAGGGTGGCAGTTTTGTAGATTTTCACCACTCTGTTGCAGGTACAGAATGGGGCTCTTTATCCTTGGCATCTCACATTACCTATTTGAGCTACTAAAGTCTTCATTCCATAGCTGAAGAAATCAAATCTCAACAAGGTGACATAAATTGCCCAAAGCCACACAACCAGAGCAACCAGGATTCAGATTAAATCTGTTCAATGTCAAAGCCTGACCATGGATTGAAGCTCAGGGGCCTCTAGCCTCCCTGTGTCGGAGCCTACAGAGCCTTTGAGAGCCCTGTGGTCTGGGTTCTTTTCTACTGGGTGGCCCAGTCTGCTCTTTTCTACTCTGCATATCATCTTCTCTGGACTCTGAAACCAGCCTGATCCTGGGTGTCTTTGTGCCCTGATTGGCTGGAACTTCAAGGAGCTGGAGGATGAGACTCTGACTTCTGCGGGACACTTGGCTTCTGATGAGGGTGGAGGCTGGACAGATTCTGGAAGTGTTTCCTGCAGGGGTTTCTCATACTGACTGTCTCAGCACCCACCTCCCCCAACCTCATCACAGATCCTGTTTTGTCAAGAATTCTCCAGGACTGATATTATTATTATCATTTTTATTATTAGTTTGAGATGGCATCTCACTCTGTCACCAGGCTGGAGTGCAGTGGCACCATCTTGGCTCACAGCACTCTCTGCCTCCCTGGCTCAAGCCATTCTCCTGCCTCAGCTTCCTGAGTAGCTGGGATTACAGGCATGCACCACCACACCCAGCTAATTTTTGTATTTTTAGTAGAGACGGGATTTCACCACGTTGGCCAGGATGGTCAGGACTGAATTATTAATGCCAAAGCTTAGATACTTACCAGCCCTTCCTTGAATCCTCAGCCTTAAAAGGAGGTTTATAGCAGTCAGAATGGGCAAAGTTATGCTGTACAAACAAACATTTCCCCAAACTCTCAGTGGCTTAATATAATCTAAATCTCTGTCTCTTTCTGTCTCTTTTCCTCCCTGTGCTACATCTCCAGCAAGGGTCTACAGGGGGTCTCTGCTCATCAGGGCCACACAAGGCCCTAGGCCAAAGGGGGCTTTCTCTCAGTATATGTTTCTACAATCACCTTGGCATAGGGAGTAATATGGTTTGGCTGTGTCACCACCCAAATCTCATCTTGAATTGTAGCTCCCATAATTCCCATGTGTTGTGGGAGGGATCTAGTGGGAGGTAATTTAACCATGGGGGTGGAGCTTTCCAGTGCTATTCTTATGATAGTGAATAAGTCTCACAAGATCTGATGGTTTTATGTAAGGGAGTTCCCCTACATAAGCTCTCTTGCCTGCTGACACGTAAGACATGCATTTGTTCCTCCTTCACCCTCTGCCATGATTGCAAGACCTCCCCAGCCATGTGGAAATGTGAGTCCATTAAACCTGTTTTTCTTTATTGATTACCCAATCTTGCGTATTTCTTCATAGCAGTATGAAAATGAATTAATATAGGAAAGAAACATCAAATTGCACACTGGCTTTTAAAGCCACCCAAAGTGACGGGTGTCACTTCTTGATGAAGGCTTTGTTCACATCTCATTGGCCAAAGCAAGTCACCTGTTCATAGCTATCTTCAAAGAGAGTGGAGAAATATAATTTTGCCACATGTCTAGAAGACAGGGCACAAGAAATTTTTAGGGAGAGCACTGAAGACTCCACAGCCATTCAGGATAGTGTAGAGGAAAATGAGCTCATCTCTTGGCCATTAGGCATGGCTCTTCCAAGCCCATAGCCTCGTGAAAGGCTGATTCAATAGGACAAGAGGCTAACCCAAGCAAGCTCTAATGTCCAAAAAAATCATGAGGGCATATTTGAGTGCACTTCCATCACTGAATGTTGTTATTGTGGTAAGAGTCTAGAACCAAGTGAGCAAAAAGAGTTTGCTTGCTAGGAAATCGCCATATTGCTAAGGCAGCTTTTTCCGTTGGTCTTCCATCTCAAGCAGGCCTGACCCCAAAGAGTAGCCCTCCTTGAATAAGTAATAATAAAACTTAGACGTCACATCCAAATAGCCTTCCCATATGAAAGCCAATGGTAATTTTTAGGGAAACATGTCCAAATACCATTCCAGAATCTTTCTCTGGGTTGCACGAGTCAGATCAGCATTGGAAATCTTTCTTTGGACAGACATTAGTCACTGGGATGAGTTGCACACTATAAACTGATAGCCCTTAATGTTCATGTCAAATAAATCTATTTATACACAGTTTATATGGCTATATGTAATAGAAGGCATCAGTGAGTACTTCCAAATGCTGATGTGTCTGATGTGAGTACAGGCAGCTTATAGGCAATGCCCAGAGACAAGAAAAGCAAGCTACTGATTTCGTTTATATTGTGACATTGCATGGTTCTACACCTCCATTTCTTTAAATGCCATCTAAATCTGAAGGGGGAAAAGGTAGTGAATAAAGAAATTAAATAAAATGTTGATGTTCACACAAGCTGATATTTCTCATGCGTCCTTTCTTATTTAAGCCAAATGATTGCATTTAATATGAATGCAAAAAAGACAAAGTGCTGAGAACATTCTCAATGTTATTATTTTTTTTACCAGTAATATGAATCCTTTTTTCAACAAATGTTTATTTAATGCATACAGTGTGCTGAACAGAGAAGAAGATAGACAAGGTCCTTGATTTCATAAGAATTATATTCTAGTGAGATACAGACAGTGAGTATGTAGACAAATACTTATATAATAAAATTTCAGATAATAAAGAGTCCTTTAAAGAAAAACAAAGCAAGGAATGAGGATGGTAAGTGACAGGTTGTCTTTAGGCAGCATAGTCTGGGATGCTTCTCTAAAGAGGTAATATTTGGGTTAAGAAATGGATTAAAGTGAGTGGATGAGTCATTGGAAGGCTTCATGGGAGATAATTTCAGGCAGAGGAAGCTGGAAATTCAAGGATATCTTAATTTTTGCTTTGAGCAACTGAGTATATGGCAGTGCTATTTACTAAACGGGGAAGAAATGAGTTTGAGGTGAGAAATCAAAAATTCTATTTTGCATCTCTAACATTTGAGATGCTTACTTGGCATCTGAGTGAAGATATCAAGTATGTAGATGAACGTATGAGTCTGGAGATTTAGGGAGACATCAGAGCTAGGTATACCAATATATAAATTTGGAAGTCATCAGCAATGAGATGGTATTTAAAACTAAGAAACCATATGAGGTCACTTAGGGAATGAGTTACAAATATGGAAGAGAAGAGGACTAAGGCCAGAATCTTTGGATGAACCAACATTAAATATTGGGACAAGACAAAGAATTGAACTGGCCAGAGATAAGGGAGGAAAACCAGGAAAGTATTGTGATTGAAAGCTAAGATCATAAAAGATTTCAATCAGAAGAAGTAACCTAACTACGTGTGCCACATGACACTGAGAATTCAAAGACAATGCAGCCTAAGATGTGGGCACTGAATTGATGAAGGTGATTAGAAAATTTAACAAGAACCGTTTTAGTTGAGCAGTACAGAGGAAAGTTTGGAAGTGCGCTGAGGGATTCTGGAATGACATTCTGATGTGTTCCTCCGCAAAAAGGTGGTAAAGAAATGGGAGGAGCTACTAGGAAAATGTGTGAAATCAAGGGCAAGTTTCTTTGTTTCTCTGTAGATGGGAGACCTTTTGGCGTGTTTGAATGTTGGTGGGAATGACTCACTAGGTTGCTGAAGCAGGACGGAGAGCAGTAACTGCAGGAGTAAAGTCCCTGGAAGGGTGGGTTTAGGTAGCAGCAGGGATGTTGCAGCCATCATAATAGGAAAGAAGAGAAGATTGACTCTATGTGTAGGGATGAAAGTAGAAAAGAGAAAACGCTCTTCTGATTGTTTCTATTTTCCGAATAAGGTAATTATCATGTTCATCTATCGAGAATGAGCATTGACTGTTTGAGGAAGGAGAAGAAAGTGTCAACAGTCATCTGGATCAGTGGGAGGAGGTATTGACTGGGGACTGTGGTTAGCTGTTCAGGTGGTGCTGGAGGCCCACTTAAGGCATGTGGCCATAAATCTAAAGTGAGGCCGATAAACATGGTTGTAAATTTTTCTCTAGCCACATTCTGATGCTCGGGTACGGGCATGAAGCAAGAAGAGAAATGAGTTTCAATTGGGATGCGATTTACAACAGCAGTGACAGAGGGAGATGAAGCTGAGGTTAGGAGAGGGAATTCTTGTAAGGATGAACCATGGAATCCAAACTGAAGTAAAGGGGGTGATAGCATATGAGCCTGGAACTGGAGTCTCTAAAGGGGCATAAGCCCTGCCTGTGTTGGTGTGTAGATTAGAGAACGTGATCTTCCTGTGGCCAGAAAGCCTGATGTTTGACACCTAGATATTGGGAGTGGTGTGGCTATTGACAATATACAAGGCTAGAGTACATCTTTGGAGGAAGGATAGCTGAAGTGTGCTGGAGGAAAATCACTAAAAGATCATTGTCTAGAGGAAGAAAATATAGCAAGAAAACATTGACTTATTATTTTTAAACAGTGGCTGCTAAAAAAAAAATGAAAAAGGGAGGTGGGAATGAATTCCCAACTTGAATAACTTGGTAAAGTGAACCAGTGAATGCCACCCAAATGCAATGACCTTCTTTTGATCAGTTTTGAGGTCTGCCTATGCAATTTTATGACAATGAGGTGTTAACATTTGACATAAGTGAGTTTTTCTTTTTAAAAAAAGGAAAACAGATTTACAGTTATTCTTTATAATAATCTCACAGGGTCTGGCTCACATTGCCCATTTATTCTTGAATGTGAGAGAGGAGATGGATTTAGAATAGGGTGGAAAATAATACAGATTCCACAGTTTCTCATAATGATAATGCAAATGGCAATGAGTGACCTTAAACTGAGGTGCCATTAATAGTTGTGGTGATTGTGAGTTTTTGTGGTATTTTGTCCTTCCCATGCAATTTGGAGGGGTTTCATGAACATCTGGACACTGCGATGCATGCATATTAGTCACGTGAATGACATCCAACAAGAGTGTTTACAAAAAATAAAGGGGGCGGATGTTATGGATTTCAACTCTAGCAGACAATGTGTTCACTTGTTACAGAACCAGCCCCAGTGAATCACACCTCCTCAAACACGTGCTCCTTTGCTATGTGATTTTGCTATTCCTTCCATCAAGAAGTAGAGTTTACTTTCCCGTGCTTTGAACCGAGCTAACCTTGTGACTTGTTTTGACTAAGAAAATGTGGCAAAAGTTACATGGTGTGATTTCTGAGTCACAGCCTTAAGAGACCTTGGAGTTTTTGCTCTTGGTTTCCTGGATCACAGGTGCCACCACATGAAGGTCCAGGCTAGTCTTTTGGAAGAAGAGAGGCATATAGATTGGGAGGCCCAGCCGACAGCCAGCACTGTTACCCAGAGATTTGCCATCTTGGATCCTCCAACACCTATTAAGTCACTAGCAGACTGCCATCATAAACACAGCCCCACTGGAGATCAGCAGAAGATTCACCCTGCCGAGCTCAGCCCAAATTGCCAACGCATGGAATTGTGAGCTAATGAGTGACTGTTAATTTACTAAGTTTTTGGGTGATTCATTATACAACACAAACCCAAAGGGAGGGGGAGAAGTAATGTCTATTGAGTATCTACTTTGTGTTGAGCAACCCCTGAGGACATTTTCTTGATTTTGCTTGATTATATCTCTCCTAGGAGGTATAAGTTTCTTCACAGTGAGAAAACTGAAGGTCAAAAAAGTTCAGTAGCTGACCCAAAGTCACACAACTTCTGAATAACAGAGCAAAGATTAAAACCCAGAATGTGTCCATGGGCCCAAATACCACTATTTGAATATGTCAGTTTCCTAACTTAAACTCACTTGCAAAACATCTTTGTATGTTGTGGCAGATCTTTATACAACCTTATGTATTATTTATTTAATAATAGTTTCTTTGAACTGGCTCACTTGAGTAAGTAACTAATCAAACAAATATATTTAAGGCAGAAACATTACTGTGACTAATAACCATGTCTAATATTTGTTGCATGGTTTCCCTAGGGTAAGTTCTCTCCTAATTGCTATGCATGAATTAATTAATTTAATCCTCACAAAAACTCTATGAGGTTGGAGCTATAATCATCATTATACCCATTTTACAGATGATAAAAATAAAGCATGGAAAATTAAATAGTTGCTCAATGTCACCAAAGAAGTAGTTGGCTATAAGCTCTGTGGTTCTAGCACCTGCACACTTAGCCCCTAGGCTAGAGGTTTTTAACCACGGGCAGTCTTGCCAGGGAACATTTGGCAATAATCTGAAGACATCTGGGATTGTCCTGATTGGGGAATGTGTTACTGGCATCTAGTGGGTAGGAACCAGGAATGCTAACAATTATCTTACAATGCACAGGATAGCTCCCTACCACAAAGAATGATCCAGCCCAAATGTCAATAGTGCTGAGGTTAGGAAATCCTCTTCTAGGCCATTCTCCCTTTATAAATGGTAAACAGAAACAAGTAAATAGAAACTCAGCCAAAACCAAACAATGTTAAACAATCTCTCTAGAAACCATTGCTTGCCCAGTATATAAACCTTGGATCTCTCTTTGTGTTGAAAAAGAGATTTGCAAACATTAGAGAGATAGTAAAGACAAGCACCCAATGGAGGCTTTTTCCTTGGTGTCATCAGAGGATTATGAAAGACTTATAATGAAAGTTAAATCTTCTTGTGTGATTCTAAGTTTTTTACACCATGCCCGAGTCCCTACCAAATCATCCCACAGTCCACTGGCACACATCCCTTGTCCTCAGGGACATGAGGCTGTATATCCTCTATATATTGGCTGGTGGTCCAAATCCAGCCCACCATCTGTTTCGCAAATAAAATTTAATTGGAACATACTCACACCTGTTCATTGATATACTGTCCATGGCCGCTTTTGTGCTATAGCCACTGAATTGTGTAGTGACAGCAGAGACCATGTAGCCTGTGAAGCCTACAATATTTACTTTCTGGCCCCTTACAGAAAATATTTGCCAACCCCTGCCTAGAACTGTGCCTGGTACACAGTTGATACTCAATTAATACTTGCTAAATGAATAAAGCTTTTGAAGACACCACTTTGAGCTGAAATCCTCTTTCTACATTGCCATTTCCTCCATTTCCCCCAACACTCTCTTCCTCTTACCCCATCCTTCACCCATTTATTTATTTGTTTATTTATTTATGCATTTCCACTTTGCTCAACGTGAAGTGACAGCTCCATTCTTAAAACAAACACTTGTTGGCTGTGTCATTGATCAGTGTAAGCTGCTCAGTTTTAGGGCTCAGAGATATAAATGGATCTGCTTGAGAGGGGATGGTGATGGATCACCGTCTTCTCGGGAGCCTGAGCAGGTCCCTTTCTCCCTGTGGCTGTTGGCATTCACCACACTTTCTCAGCTCCAGCACTAAGGGATATATAATAGACACGGGAGGGCCCATAAAAGTAACATCTGAAACTGCCGCAGAGCTGAGTATTGATTTATTCATTACTATAAATTTTTTGTCATTACTATGCAATTGCTCTATCTCAGGAAGAATTGATAGATGTGGTTGGAACCTGAAACCCACTGTGCAAAACTTTTTCCCCCTTCTATAATTTCCTGTAACTGTTCTAAAGAATCATTATTCCTTATTACATAGCTCTGGCATGCCACCTATTTAGATAAATGCGTGAGCAAGTGTGCAGTAAATATTCATAGTAGCCCATGTGTCAACGATATATGTCACTAATTAGATAATTTAGTGGTTCAAATAAATAAATAAGAAAATAGAAGAACACCCAGGAAAATAGTGAAATAAAACACAGACTCCTTGTAGGGGTCTGAGCATATAGGACAGCTTTTCAGGCTCATAGTATCATCTTGTATGCTGGCAGCCTATCAGAAGGTCACAGAAGGGCTGAAAGAGACTGCTTACAGATGGGAAAAGAAACAGCAATGTATTCGAATATGGAGGAGATGGATTCACTTTGTCAATGTGCATGACAAGTGAATGACATTTGTTTGGGCCTTCTCAGCAAGCCACACACTTGTTACCTAAGCAAGTCCACTAGGGAGTGCTCTCAAGAGATACATGGGCCTTTTTATCTCTTCCACCCTTGTTGTTTTGTTGAGTTTGCTATTTTACTATTGTGTTGATGCAGAGATAACTGGGCTCAGAGTTTGAAGATGATGAGTTCGAGTCTTGACTGTGATGCAAAGTGAGAAAATTCCTTATTCAACTTGGGCCTTAATTTTCTTATTTGCAGAATGGGAATGGTCATCGTTTTGATAATAATGACAATGGTGGTGCTAATAAAGCTCAGATGAGGCAGTGGACATTGAAGTCCTTTGCAGAGTCTAGAGTCTAAACAGACGTAAAAAGAGTTGTGGATTTTTTTTTAATTTTTAAATCAAGGAATGTGATATAGGCATATGAAGCAACCATTTACAGAATCAAGAAATTAGAAGCTACTATTTACTGGGTTCCTTCTTTATATTCTGAGCTAGACTTTTCCTATGGGTTGTCCACTCGGATGCATCCAAGTGAGAAGGCTGTTTTTCACATTTTACCGATAGAGAAACAGAGGATTAGAGACATTCAGTGTAACTTGCCCAAGGCCAAGTGAGGTGCTGGAATAACACCTACCTCCCTCTGGCTTTATCCCCCATACCTCCCGTGCTGCTAATACACGCTGTGTTGCTTCTAGGTTAAAGTTTAAAGGACTTACTCTGTTTTTGAAGAAATGAAAAGATTTCAATTTGAGTTGTCTAAAGAAGTTGACTGTATCGACCAAACTCACAGAGCGATCCTCCTCAACTGGCACCGGTTATATGAACAAGTCGGAGTCCTGTTCCCATAAATGCAGTTATCCCAAACTCAGTCAGTTTGATTAAGGGTCTCTGTGGTGACCTCTTCAAGTGGTGTTAAACAAAAATAATTGGATCTACTGAATCCTGAGATCTGACTGATTAGCTCCTAATGCATGAATCTGGCCTTAGCCCTTTCTAGTGGTGTGTTAGAATGGGAAGGAGATGGATTCACTTTGTCAAACAGCTAAAGCTGTGTCTTCTAGACATGGTTAAACTAGTCATGGTCCCCTCTGGTATGTTAATTTCTCAAATGTAGATAGGATAAATCCTACACATGGCCATTAAGCAATCATATAAAAAGCAAACTTATTCATACCTGGGTTTACCTAGCTGTAATTAAGAGCACTAGTTACTTTATTTAGCAAATAGTTTACACAGGGCAGGTATCGGTAGCAAAGGAAAACACTAGGAATGCAAGGATGAATCAAATTTAGATGATTGTACCCATCATCAGAGCCCTCGTTAAAAGCCCCTGCTGTAATTGTTAAACAACAAAAATATGGATGCATGAATGGATAAAATATGGATGCATGAATAGGTGGACAGATGAATGAATTGATGGATGGATGGAAGGATGAATAGATGAATAAATGAAACTGTCTGAATTACCTAGACACCTTTTCAAATTTTTCTGATTCAGGGGAAGGCTCAAATCCATTTATTAATATACACTATGGCTAACTTAGGTACAAGAATGAATCTTTTTATGTTCCATACTGATATACTCCTATTGCAAAATGTCTTCCTTTTTATTGATAGCCGAAGCTCTGACTTGTCTCTTGTCTAGGTTTTGTCTCTTAGTCAAGTCTTTCCCAACTGTCACTCTGATTGCACTCTGCATGGACTTGAATCAGGGTTAATCCCTATGTCTCTCTTCCAGCCTCCCTGGGATTCACCTCATACTCAATTAAGTGCCCACAGGAGTAAAATTCTACACAGTGGATAAATGAATAGATGCTAATCAATGGAATGTTGCTGGGTGGATAGAAAAATGGATAACCATGTCTTTCATGCTTGTTCCTCCAATATCAACAGCAGTGCCTGGCTCATAATATGGGATTATGGATTGGGTGAATAGGTGGTTAGATGATTGAGTAAAAAAGTGATTAGGTGACTGAGTACAGAAATGGTGAGTGATGAGTGGATGAATGGATGGATGCCTCTGTGCATGAATGGAAGGATAAATTACTGGGTGGGTTATTGAATCAGTGAGTGGCTAAATAGAAGAGTTGATAAGTGGGTGAATGATTAAAAGGGAGTGTATGAGTGGATTTCTGCATCAATAATCCAATGAATGGGTGGGTGAATATATGGAAGTATAGCTGCCTGGATCAGTCTTGGGAGGATGTAACCATAAGTGAATGAATGTGTGAATAAAGGAATGGATGGTGGGATGAATATGTGGATTGCAGCCCCAAAGCTTGTTGAGTGCTGGAAAAGCACAGGCTCAGATGTAAACTCTGCCCTGATTTTGGCCAAAGTAAACAATCCTCTTGGTTTAGGGAAATTACGTTGCTGACTTTGGGAAGATTCAGGGCATCGTACACAAGGGCATGGAAAGTCTGACTTGCTGGCCAGAAGAGTGATAATGACTGGCGGTTTCCAAGCACTGTTTATAAAATAACCAAAAAGGCAATGAGTGTGTTTCTTGGGTTCCTTCAGGCCACAGTGAGGAGGGATTTAACCTCAGCAGGGACAGCCTTATGTAAAAGGCTAGCCAGCACAGTCTGCATGACTGCCTTGGGGTTACAAACCTGCTACTGACCAGATGGGCTTGATTACTTTATGCTCTTCTCTTCTTCTCTTCTCTTCTCTCTTCTCTTCTCTTCCTCTTTCTTCCCTCCCTCCTTCCCTCCCTCTCTTACTTCCTTCTTTCCTTCCTTCCATCCTTCCTTCCTTCTTTCCTTCCTTCCTTCCATCCTTCGTTCCTTCTTTTCCTTCCTTCATTTCCTTCCTTCCTTCCTTCCTTCCTTCCTTCCTTCCTTCCTTCCTTCCTTCCTTCCTTCCTTCCTTCCTACTTTCCTTCTCTTCCATTTTTTTTCCTAACTACCAGGCAAGGATAACCCAGGTCCAGAAAACAAGGGCTCCTAATAACTGACCCATGCTTTGCTTTGAAATTTGGAGCTTCACTTGGGAGCCTGGTTCATGTCTCAGGTTAAGCTGGCTGGAGGATTCCCCTCTCTCATGATCACTACCTACCTCTACCACTACTACCTAAGAGGATAGATCCTCTACCCCTACTACCTAAGAGGTAGGTAGTGATTCTAAGACAGGGGAATCCTACAGGGACTGCATTTGGGGAGAGCCTTCTTGCTAGTGAGAATCTGCACAGTCCTCAGGTGGTGTGGGGTATCACATGGCAAAGGGACTGAGTGTGCCAGCTCAGGTCTCTCTTCTTCTTCTTATAAAGCCACCAGTGCCACTCCCATGATAACCCATTAATCCATTAACCTACTAATCCATTAATCCATGAATGGATCAATCATGAGGCCAAGCCTTCATGACCCAATCACCTCTTAGGGTTAGGGTTATATATTATATATGCATTCTGATTAACTGAGAGGATCTGTGATGTAGTGGAATAAGCAAGGGGCTTGGAGACAAACTGATGTTAATGTCTAGTGACCTTGGAAAGTTTTCTATATTCCCAAAGTCGGCTTTATCTGCTAAAAACAATGAAGCATGAGTATGATTATAAAAACACCTGCCTCATGTCATTATATTATAAGACTTAAAAGAGATAATGTGAAAAAATTAGTATTGACTGGCACATATGAGGTGTCTTATTTAAGTTAGTAATTCTTATACTTTTTGGTTAATTGTTTAATTCCTCTTCCATAGTTAGGGTACACCAAAGCCTGTGGGTTAAATATCAGGTGGCTTATTCACTTGGTCTGTTGAAGGCTTTTCTCTTGGGTTGCAAAGGAGAAGACTGCTGTACCCGCATTCATGTTGTCAGCTTAGCTCAGCTGGTTAACCGCAGAAAGTATTTGACCCATTCTACCACAGGTTAGCTTTCCAAGACAGGAGGGAGGGGCAATCAGTATTAGTTAGCATTTTCCTATGTTACTGCAGGTATTGCTATTTATCCAATTTCACTGAGCTCAATGAGAGAGCAAACTATTAATTTACTATCCCTGAGAACATCTGAGCCCATCAAGGCCAGGGTCTTTCCTGGTCCTAGGATGAGATTAGTCCTGTTAGATGTGCTCTGACTATACCATGAACTTTCCCTATGTCTTAGACTGCTTTCTGTTGCTTATAACAGAATATCTGAAGCTGGGTAATTTATAAAGAAAGGGAAATAATTTCTCACAGTTATGGGAGCTGAGAACTTCCAGGTGGAAGGGCTGCATCTAGTGAGAGCCTTCTTGCTAGTGGGACTCTCTGCAGAGTCCTGAGATGGTGCAGGGTTTCACATGGTGAAGGAACTGAGTGTGCTAGCTCAGGTCTCTGTTGCTCTTCTTATAAAGCCACCAGTCCCAATCCCATGATAATCCATAAATCCATTAACCTATTAATTCATGAATGAATCAGTCTAGTCATGAGGGCCAAGCCCTAATGACCCAATAATCATCTCTTAAAGGCCTCACCTTTCCATACTGCCATATTGGGGATTAAGTTTTCAACATATGAAATTGGAGAGACACATTCAAACCACAGCACTCTCTCATAATATTCTTATGTTGTATCATGATGGCTTGTATAATGTCTTTTATCCCCAGTAGACAATAAGACATATAAGGACAGAGGTTGTGTTGACTTATTTACTGTTGGATCCCAGCAACACACACATAGTAGAAACTTCAAATAAAACATTTGTTAAAAACCGAATAGCTAAAGTTTGGTATTTTTTGCAGCATCAAAAGAAAGATTTTGTTCACCATTGAATCCTCAGCTGCTAGTACAAAACCTGGAAGCAGAGGAGGATTTAGTTAGGGTTATTTGAATGTAAGCAACAGAAATGAACTCTGATGAACTTTGCATATAATAGGGGGTGTGTTGAAAGGTATTGGGTACCTCACAGATTATAGGGAAGGGTCAGGCCCACCGAGACTTGGGTAATAGCCAAAAATTAAAAAGCAGTCTCTTTAGCACAAAAACACTGGATGCAATTCAGCTGCAATTGCCTTTTAGAGCTGGTTCTACTTGAGGTTTAAATTTCCGAAAGTAAAAGTGGGATTGGCCTAAGTTTTAGCAGCAGAAGGCGAATGGACACGGGCTAAATTAGCAAACAGAGGTCCAGAATGTTGAGAAAGGAGGTAATGTTGAGACTTTTTTCACCCCCTCCCCAACTGGGTAGACTCCTGCATCATTGCTCAGAAGTGTTGGAAGCCATCTACCCCATCACCCTTCCTGTTCCCAGATATTTTAGAGAATTGGAAAAGTGTCTGCGTCACACTGGGAAGGCCACAGAACAAAGTAAGTCTTTTCTGGCCCGAACCTCGCATGGCATATGTGGAAAACCCAAGCTCTGCTGGAATCCTGTTACACTATACGAAGAGCCAGAGCCTAAATTATGGGTACTCTGAGGACAGAATTTCAGACTTTGCTCTGGCTTTTGTCAGCTTAAGGCTCTTAAGGTAGTTTACACAAAGATTTGTATGTCTGAATTTTTCCCTGGCAGGTTCTCAGTATAACCTAGATAAAACAAACCCCAAATATTTGTGGTTAGCAACAATAAAGAATTTTCAAGTTGCCTGACATCTCCTATCCATGTAGATCACCACCTAGGATCAATATTCAGCTCTGAGACAAAGGTAGAGAGAAGGATGGTGGGAAATTTTTCCACGATTTGAGCACGATCCAAATTTAAAATTATTTTCTAACACCTTCTCTTCTCTCTCTCTCTGTCACACACACACACACACACACAACCCACACATACTTTTTTTTTTTTTTTTTAACCTCCAAAGGGCTCTTTCAGAGCTATGCAAAATAAATGCTGATATTTCACTTGAATGCCCAATCACCAAACAAAGTATCACCCAAAGAACTATTGTTTGCCAGCATTGCAGAACAGGGGAGGAGCATCTGAAAGTGAGCTTTTTCACAGTCTTTCCTTTAAAATCTCCTGATCCTGGGTTATACCCTTTGCTTCCATGACAATCTCCTCTCAGATTCCAAAGTTAAGCAGAAGGACTATTCCACGGTGGTAAACAGAAGACAGTTTACATAAAAAAATATAGATTTCCTTTAAGCACTTTGCTTAAGCCTTTAGTAAGTTGTATTTACATTATTATTGTTTATGTTCCCAGAAGTGGGCGGGAGGATGGCCTTCTTGCTGTTTATGTGGTTTCATGATTCACACTTGATGAGGCAGCTATCACCTAGGGCGGGGACGAGGAGAGGGGCCGAGACAGGGAAGTACAAAAGAGATGAGAGCTCGCTTGCTTGTGGGATCCACGGCCCTCACGTAACAGTGTAGCCAAGACCCGGGGGTTTCTGAGTCAGTCTTTCAAATTCCCAGACATGTTTATCAGTTTTGAGTTTCAAAACTGGCCCACCCAGAATAAAACCCTTTTGCACCTGATGTGTTTTACGTGGCCTGTGCTTCGGGGAATTCTCTTGACATAGAAGTTTCTTTCCCAGCTGTCAGCTTGACAGTGCACTCAGTTAAAGCTACTTGTCTCCAGGGTCCTGAGCATGTCTCGCAGGATCTGCTTCTCCGGCCCTGTCGTGGCACGCATCCAGATGTCTTCCCTTGGATGGCGTTGGTGGGGAAGGGAAGTCCAATGGCCAGGGCCAGAAGTTTTCTGGCCTTAAATTTCAGTGGGCAATCTCTGTGAGCCGTGTCCTGTTGTGTGTCCAGCTCAGGGCCACATTATATATTAATATTTCTGAGCCAGGTTTTGAAGACTGGATGAGACAAAATAATAAGAAACGCATGTTCTCTTTTGAGAGGCATTGGGACAGAATAGAAAACAGCCTGCATTTTGGAGACATTCAGATCTTTTTTGTTTGTTCCTGAGTTTTTTTTTTTTTTTTTTTTTTTTGAGACGGAGTCTCGCTGTGTCACCCAGGCTGGAGTGCAGTGGCACGATCTCAGCTCACCTCATCCTCCGCCTCCCGGGTTCAAGAGATTCTCCTGCCTCAGCCTCCTGAGTAGCTGTGATTACAAGCACCCACCACCACACCTGGCTAATTTTTCTATTTTTAGTAGAGGCGAGGTTTAACCATGTTGGCCAGGCTGGTCTCGAACTCCTGACCTCAAGTGATCCACCCCGCTCGGCCTCCCAAACTGCTGGGATTACAGGCATGAGCTACCTCGCCCAGGCTGTTTTGTTTTTAACACTGGCTCTGCTGCTTATTAGCTCCATGGCTTTGGGCAAATTTCTTAACCAATTTTTGCCTTAATTTACTCATCTGTAATTGGGAGATACTCTGTACCTCATAGGCTTCTGAGAGGATTAGATGAGATAATGAGTATAATGCACTTGGCACAGTACCTAATAAATAATAAGCTCGTAATACCTGGTAGCAAGACTTAAACATATTTTTGTTATATAAAGGCAGCAGGCAGGAAAGCAGAAGAATAGCTAGAGTGGCATGGAGGTTAGTCGGGAGGAATTGCCTGGGCCATGTTTTAGAGTCCATGGAGGGGTGTGTGTTTGTGTGTGTGGTGTGTGTGTGTGTGTGTGTGTGTGTGTGTGCGCTGTTAATGGCTTTGGCGTGGAAAGCTAGGGGTGTTTAAAGAAACCTCAAGTTGCAGACCTGGGAGTAGGATGCACCTCATATTCCATTTGGGTGTAAGCCTAATGGAATTATGTCTAATGGAGTTAGGGACTCTTAGTCCTCTGAGACTTCACAGCAACATCTTTTACCAATTTTTCTGGGCACCACATGTCCTGGACACTTGAGATTTTAACTTATAAGCCTCCTTTGATAGAAGCTCAGCTCAGATTTGGCCACTAAAGAACTAATATTTAGGGACAATGTCTGTTATCAACATCTGCTAAGTTGGACCACCAGATCCCAACTCCTAAGCTAACCAATTCATTCCTGTATTCCTTCATAAAAACAAATATTTATTGAGTACCCCTCTATGTGCCAGGGTCTATGCTCAGTGGTAGGGATATTACGGGGAGCAAAAGACGTAAATCTTTATTATTAAGCATAAGCTCTAGTGAGGAAGACAATCACAAATAATCACAAAGTAAATGCAAATTATCAATGGCTGTAAGTGCTATGAATGAAACGTGCAAATTTCTATGAAAGCAGAAAGGAGAATGTCTAGGAACCTTCGGTGAGGGTTGTCAGAAAGGTCCCTCTGAGGGGGTAATAGCTGAATTGAAAAATAAGGAGGAATTGGCAAAGCTAAGAGGACAGAGAGATGTTGTATTGTGTTCTGATGATCTCCTGCTCCATAACAAATCACCCCCAAAACTTGGTGACTTCCATCAATAGTTTATGATGGACTTTACCCTTTGGGTAGTGTTTGTGTCTCAGTTTCAAGGTAGTTACTGGAATTACAGAGACATGAAGGCTTGGCTGGACTGGACGGCCCAGTTGGCCCCCTCACATAACTGGCAGTGGATCCTGGCTGGGGGCTAGGAGCTCAGCTGGGCCTGTCCCATGATGCATCTCCCCCAGGCCTCTCCATGAAGCTTGGGCTTCCCACAGCATGACAGCTTGGATTCAAAGGGGAGCATCCCACGAGTGTGTTCCAAGGGCCCCACGCAGAAGCTGCAGGACTTTTTATGACCTAACCTCAGCAATCTCAGAATATCCCCTCTACCCCATTCTAATGGTTAAGTGATTTGCCAAAGCCAGCCCAGATTCCAGAAAAAGGGAGAAATAAACCATACTTCTCAGCCGGGAGAAGGCGTAGACATGCAGAGAGGGAGGACAAATTGGCAGGCCCCTTGGGAGTAAGCTACCGCGTGCTGCTTTTGCTCTCTCTATTCCTTCTATTTGGGATTATCCTCCCAGAAATACTCACACAATCTGTGCCAATGAGATCTCAGTTTTAGAATAGCTCTTCATTTCTAAACGTCTCCTCCTCTAAATATCCTCTTCAAAGTGGATTTCACCAACCTTTGCAGGCAGTCACTCTCTGCCTCATGACTCTGTTTAATTATTTTTATGACACTTATCACTCCAAAATTATCCCTTTATTGGATTATTTTCTTGTTGGCAGTCTTTCCGTGACTGAACCCACCCTCACACACACATAAAACACAAGCCCCATGAGGTCACATCCTTGCTTATAAACGCATCCCCTAGAAATGTGCCCGACATTAAGTGGGCACTGCATATTTATCCAGGGAAATAAGAGGATTCTGGGCAAAAAAGAAATGGCACACACGAAGATGTATTGTGAAATGCTGCAAGTGTACCTTACTTTCTGGTATGCAAACACTGTAGTTTGAATCTGTCTGATGTATACCCCAAATGGCTTATTTCATAGATGTGTGAAGCTCACTGAATTTGGGCTATTTCTCACTCTTCCCAAAAAATAACTGAAAGACGAGCAACAGCAAAAAGCACAAACAACTAAGTGATGAACCGGCTATATTCATGGAAATAATTTTGCACTTTTCCATGTAGAATATTAATTCACTTGTTTCTTACAACATCCTTAGGAGGTTGATATTTTAATTTCTTTTTATACCTGATGACAACTGGAGCATAGGGAATTTTCTCGGGGGTCTCCCGTCTAATATTGGTAGATACTGGGTTCAAATACAGATCTGCTTTGCCTCAGAGCCCTGCAAGTTTTGCCTAATAGCCTAAGGTTGAAGAAGAAAATCAGGGAAGATTAAATGTCCAAACTGAAACCCAGAATGATACATTTTCCCTGTGGCATTGAATCAACTTGCAGAGGCCCATGATAACTGAGTTGGCCCAGAAAGGCAAGAGGTCGCCTCTGATTATAAGGCAGGGAATTGATTCCTACCTCAATTACAGCTGAATAACTACTAGTTAGGAATCACGAAAGGACCAACATTAGGGCAGTGGGGATGAGGAAAGATCTGCCAGTTGCTGCAAATGGAGGCAAAGGCAGTCAGAGTTGGGACCCTTCATCAAGCCCAAACCAAAGCCATCAGAACATGATGTTCTTGACCAGAGGTGAGGGCAGGAGGGGGAGACTATGGCTGGGGAGATTGTCGGCAACCCATCTGGTTTAATTTGGAGAGACAAGAGGAGGCTTCTCTTCTGAGATTTTTGAAAAGCAATGTCAATGTATCTCTTGCAGACCTTCAAGGCAATGGTAGAGACAGGGGAAGGATTTGCCTAGAGCTGGTTACCATCATTTCCAATGGAGTGTCCATCTCTTGGTGAATAGAAAAGTGTGTGTGTTAAGTCACACTGGGAACCTCGTGGCTGTCTCTTTACACTCTGCAGCCCCAAGGGTTCTCTCCCCTCAACCCATGTGAACCATGATTATTTTAATATCTTCCTGTGCTTGGATGGTCATCTTACTTGATATCTCAGTCTGTGTTTTGAGCTGTTTTCCTCTTTCTCTTTGCTTCACATGGGAAACACTTAAATACATGTTTTAAAGGATATATAACTAGAAAAACTTTCTTTAAGTCAGGCCATCTGTGTTGGCGGAAACTTTAGGCTTTTGTCTGGGAACTGGAATTTCTTTTTCTTGTTTTCTGCAGTTTCTTGGGAAGGCCAGGGAAAAATAACAACAACAAAAATCCCCAAGTAATAATTTTTTAAACGCTTCTAAAAGGTATCTGGAAATGAGAGAAAGTAAGATGCTTAAGAGACATTTCAGAAAAACTTGAATAATCCATCCTTTCTCTGAAAGAGTGTACAAATAAAGAGCTCACTTAATTACCAAAGAGTTTGTGTTGGACTTGAAGAACAAATGGTGCATGTTATTCATTTCTGACCTGGGATGTGTGTGCTAAAGCCAAGGTCAGCTTCCCAGAAAAAATATTAGATAGTCTTGGAAGTTGAGAAGAAGCATGGTGGGTGGAAGTGGAGAATGGTTCAGCCAGCGGAGCTCAGCATTAAAGTTGATGTTCTTGGCCTCCATGTTAAACCTTTCTGCCCACCAAGGTAACTGTGACCTCAGCTGACCCTACACCTCCCAGAAGTAACTCAGAACCCTCTACCCCAGTTCTTGCCCATCCCAGATCTTTTCCTGGCCCGTTGGTGCTATCATTTTTTCACACCTGGACTCACACTGTGAATGGCAAATGGGTCAACTAAAAGCAAACTGATGGGGTAACGGGAGCCTCCCCTCCCTGGGTAAACATGTCCATGGTTGATGAAACTCTGACTGATGCTCTAGTCTTTATGGTGATATTATTGAGCCCGGTCATGGAATGGGGTGGAGGGATGTGATGCCTGTTTCCAGAATTTTACATACATTTCTCCATTCAAGTGAAACTCCCTAATATAAAGTTTGGAAAACATTCAGAAAGCCTGAGACTTGGACCAAAGGGGAATTGGATGCTATCTAGACTGGTCAGAAAGACATTCAAAAATAGGTAGGCAATGAAGGAGGCTGCCTCTTCTACTTGCCTAAATTGAGTCTGTTTCTATAATTGGCCCAGTAACAGGTACTCACTTAGGAACTCAGGCCACCTGCTCCTGGGAAAGGCTGCACCTACCACTGATTGATTTTGTGCATGGGGAAAGTCACCTGCCCTCCCTGAGCCCATTTTCTCAAATGTAATGAGATGAGCAGTTTTCAAGCCAAGCCTCTTTGAGCTCCACGTATTCTTCGGAGAGGTCCCAGGTTGTAAACTGAAAGCGTGGGGTGTTTGGCTCACTCCCGCCTATGTTTTCATAGACTGGGAGTCTGCATAAAATTTCACTTATTAAAAGAGTTATATTGTTTAGTCGAGAAAAGCTTGATAATCTTCAAGTTAGTGATTTCTAAACTCTAATGTGCACCTAAATAGCCCACAGGTCCTGTGAAAATGCAGATTCAGATTCCATAGACTTGAAGTGGGGCCCAAGAATCTGCATTTTAATAAGGGTTCTGCAGCAAAGTCCTAGACTACTAAACTAGGGTCTTTCTTTTCAAAAGCATTGACTTGGTGTTCTACTTTTACGGCAAAGTGACCAATGAAAATACTAAATCCCCCAGAGCTTGAGAAGTGAACTGTTTTAGGATCTTTTTATTGGGGTGGGAGGTACTGACTATTGGGGTCCAGGAGTCCAGGAGGCACAAAGTGCAAAACTTTCTTTAGCAGGTAGGCTTTGAGAGCAGAGAAGAAAAGGGCTACCTTAGGACTCAGGATTGAAGGTAATTTTCCTGAGCCTCAGAGGGGTGAGATAAATGAACTTACCATGGCCCCTCTTCACGTGGGCTTCTCGACCCCTTCCCTTCTCCAGTGCTGGTGGCAGCAGTGGTTACATTGACCTAGTTCTAGGGGAACACGATTGAGTTCTAGCTCCTGCAATGAGATGAAACGCAATCAGGATGGGAATCTTGGGATTACAGGCAGCCACATGCTCCCAGCCTCTGCAGTGGAGGCACTTGGTTGACATTCCTGGGTGTCAGTGGTAGCAATGAGAACAATGGTTGTGCCATGGAAGGATCAATATCTAGGAAAATCTGTGATGTCCTCTGGGCTCAACAGATCCCAGTCAAGACCTCTGTCTAGGGCATGGGCTAAAGAACAGGCAGAACGGCCTTTCTCAAATGGATTTGCTCCTTGGTCAGTGATGGATGGGTCTATGACAAAAGGAGAAAGTACAGAAAGGGTTATGATAAGAGATCAAAGTCGTGTTATTTGATGTCTAAAGAGAATGAACTTCATCTCATGCCCCAAGTTTGCAGGACATTTTGGTTTCGTTATTAGACCTTATCTTGCCACTATTCTAATCTGTATCAGTGGTTTCAAACTAAAAATGATTCAGAGGCTGATGGTCCACAGGACACTCTTTCAAAACTTGGGTCTGGGCTTAATAACGAGAATATATAAAAAGCTAAAATAATAGAATAACAATTTAATTAAAAAATGGTCAAAAGATCTGAACAAACATTTCTCAAAAGAAGACATACAAATGATCAACAGGTATATGAAAAAATGCTTAACATCACTAGTCATCAGAAAAATGCAAGTCAAAACCACAATGCAATGTCACTTCATCCCAGTTGAAATGGCTTTTATTAAAAAGACAGGGAATAGTAGACACTGGTAAGGATATGGGGATAAAGGAACCTGCATACACTATTGTTGGGGATGTAAATTAGTACAGCCACTAGAAAGAATAGCATGGAAGTGTCCCAAAAAACTAAAAATAGAACTACCATATGATCCAGCAATTCCACTACTGGGTATGCATCCAAAACAAGGGAAATTAATAAATCAAAAAGATATCTGCACTCCCATGTTTATTGTAGGACTACTCACATAGTCAAAATATGAAATCAATCGAAATTCCCATCAATGGATGAATGAATCTAGAAAATGAGGTATATATACACAATGAAATATTACTTAGCCATAAACAGAACGAAATCCTGTGATATGCAGCAACGTGGATGTCACTGGAGGTCATTATGTTAAGTGAAATAAGTCAAGTACAGAAGACAAATATCATACGTACTCACTCATATGTTGGAGCAATAAAAGTAGATCACCTGAAGACAGACAGTAGGTTGGTGGTCACTGGAGGCCAGGAAAGCTGGGAGTGGGGGATAAAAAAGGTTGATTAGTCTGGGTGCAGGGGCTCATGCCTGTAATCCCAGCACTTTGGGAGGCTGAGGCGGGTGGATCACCTGAGGCCAGGAGTTCCAGACCAGTCTGGCCAAGATGGCGAAACCCCATCTCTACTAAAAATACAAAAATTAGCCAGGCAAGTTGGCATGTGCCTGTAACCTCAGCTACTGGGGGGCTGAGGCAGGAGGATAGTTTAAACCTGGGAGGCGGTGGTTGCACTGAGCCGAGATTGTGCCACTGCACTCCAGCCTGGCAATAGAGCGAGACTCCATCTTAAAAAAAAAAAAAAAAAGGTTGATTAATGGGTACAAACATACAGTTAGATTGAAGAAATAAGACCTAGTGTTATAGTGATCAATAGGGTCACTATAATTAACATTAACCTATTGCACATTTCAAAATAGCTAGAAGAAAATAGTTTATAATGGGACAATCTAAGATGTAATCATTGAGCTGTATCATTGAGCTGACAAATGACAAATACAGGATCAAAGAGAGAAAATACAAATGAGAATCAGGGAGAGAAGATAAAGCCATAGAAGATAGCTCAACCTCAGGACCAGGGGCTGAAGGAGAAAGGTAAGTGAGCAAGAGCTTTCCCAACAAGGCTGAGCAATGAATTCCACTTCACATTTAAAGCTTTGATTCCCTGCTTTCTTTTGCAGGTTGATGCTGAATCAGGTTATAATCAACTTTAGAAAGCGAACTTTCATTACTAAAAATATCAGAGAGAAAGAGCCACAAAGGTTTTGAGAGAACTTAAAGAGATCCCTGGAGGTTATACAAGAGAAAGAAACAACTCAGAAATAAGAGACTTTAGCAGTGTGCTTGTGTGTGTCTCTCTGTGTGTGTGTGCATAAAAGAGAAAGGGAAAAACTAGAAAGCAGGATAAGAAGGAATCTCATTTTCCATCATTTGTTTTAAAATGTTGACTTAAACTTGGGACAAAGTACTGTGATATTATACCCATTTTATAGAAGAGAAAATTGAGGCTGCAGACATAACAGCCATGATCTCTGCCCTCATGGAGCTCATGGAAGTCTCGGTACTCACGATGTAGCCCATGGATCAGTCAGCCTCTTTAGGAGCTTGTCAGACATGTGGAGTTTCAGGCCCCATGCCCAAACCACTTGAATTACTGTGTTCTTTTAAAGCTGGTTTCTGGGCCATTGGGGTGCCCATTAAAACTTAAGAAGATGGCCGGGTGCGGTGGCTCACACCTGTCATCCCAGCACTTTGGGAGGCCGAGGTGGGTGAATCCCTTGAGGTCAGAAATTCGAAACCAGCCTGGCCAACATGCTGAAACCCCATCTCTACTAAAAGTACAAAAATTAGCCAGGCATGGTGTCTCATGCCTGTAGTCCCAGCTACTTGGGAGACTGAGGTAGGAGAATCGCTTGAACTCGTGAGGTGGAGGTTGCAGTGAGCTGAGTGAGGTCAAGCCACTGTACTCCAGCCTGGGCAAGAAAGCAAGACTTCGTCTCAAATAAAAGATGCATATAGCAAAAATGCAAGGCCAATAGAGAAGAAAGGAAACACGAGAGCTGGCACCCCAGGCAGTGGAAAGGCTACGTGGAAGAAAAGAGCAACCTGGGTATGGTCTAGAAAAGCGAGTGGTTTGATAAACAAGAGCAGGAGAGGAAAAGTGGAGAGAGAAATACCTGAGGCTGGACTAGATGGCTTGGGTGAGTTTGCACCCCTGCCTCTTAGGAGCTGCGAGACTTTACTGAGGCTCAGTTTCCTCAACCGTAAAAAGGGAATAATATTAGTATCCTTCTCACAAACTTGTTGCGAAAGATTGAGTCAAAATACGTAAAGTTCTTAGCAGAGTCCTGGTGTACAACAAGCCCTAAGTTGACTATTGTTATTATCCTAATTATCCCTAGAGCGTGGTGGCTCTGAGGACTTCCTGGGTGGAACACACTGCCCCCTGGAGGAATGTGCAGTTAGAGTAAAAGCGAGGTGGTTGCCCCTGAAAACAGATTGCCCACCCAGGCACTTTCTAAATTGTCCTAGAAAACGAGCTTAAGTACCCCCTTTTAAAACCATCCCTTTATTTATTTTTACATTTTTATTAGTATGAATAATGTTTCTTTTAATTACATAATCATAGATAATAATAGTAATGATAACAGCCAATGTTTATCTAACGTCCATGACATGCCAGATACTGTGCAAAACCTTTTACAAGCATTTAATTTAATTCTCCATTTAATTCTCTCAAAATCTCTGTGAGGTGTTGAATAATCGTATCCTATTTTTACAAATGGGAAATGAGACCAGCAGACAGATAAGAAGCATGGTTATGATGATAAGTCCACCTGGTGGAGGCCTGGGTAAGATGTGACAGGGACTTCTAAGTGCATAGCCCCCCTGATATTCATTTCCGCCCCAGCTCATATGCCCACCTTCCAGTGCTCAATTTTACCTCATGTTAGGCAGAATCCCAATGCTCGCCCCCAAGATTCTGGTCCCCTGATTGTTGAAGAAACCCTTATCTACGTGCTGCTGTGAAGGGATTTTGCAGATGCAATTAGGTGATGTTAACATATGGAGAGAAAGTGCAGGTGGACCTGACTCAGTCAGGTGAGCCCTTTAAAAGCAGGGCGTTTCCACTAACTGGAGGCAGAAGGGAAGTCAGTGAGATTTAAAGTACAAGGAGAACTGGACCAGCCATCACTGGCTTTGAAGATGAAAAAGTCCATGTAATGAGGACCAAATAGACGTCTCTAGAAGCTGAAAGTGGCCCCAGCTGACAGCAAGGAGGAAAACTGACACTTCAGTCCTTGCAGCTGCAAAGAACTGGATTTGACCAAGGACCAAAATGAATTTGGAAGCAAATTCCTCCCCAGAGCCTGGAGATAAGAGCCCAACCCAGCCAATACCTTGACTTTTGCTTTTAAGACCCTAAGCTCACCCGGACTTCGGATCCATGGAAACTGTGAGATAGTAAATGAATGTCCTTTAAAATCTCTGTTTTTGGTAATTTGTTCCATAGAAATAGAAGATAAAGACAATCTCCATGAAGATCACATTTCACCATAAAGTTAATTGTCACTCAATGTCTCTATAGGTTCTTGGAAACTGCCACTGTCAGTGAAACAACATAAAGTAGGTATTGGAATAACACCATTTTATTCAACTTTCTTTATAATGTTAATGAGAACAAAATTGGTTTCATTATATGTGATTTCACTCTGCATCTTTTTTGTTGGATCAAGGGACATTGTTTGACATTTTCTCAAACAAAGAAACATAAAAATTGATCCAAATATGTTTCCTGAAGGAAAGAATGGATGAGGCGTAGAGGTTTCTGCTTTTGATCACAGATTCTGGCATCAGGCTTCCCAGATTCCAAGTCCAGCTTCCTCCCTTAAGAGTTGTTTGGCCTTAAGTCTTTTTATCAATCACTCTGAGTCTCAGGGTCTTCTTTCATAAAATTGGGATAATAAGAGGGTTGTTGGGAGAATCCAATGATGTAAGACTCAAAGCATTTGATTCACTGCTCAGCACATAGAGATCACTCAATCAGTGCTATCTGTACATGTGATCTTAACCTGCGTGGGTTCATGAATGAATAAACTCCAGCGAGAAGGAGATAAGACATCATAACCATTAACATCACTCTCAGGTTTTGAAACTCAGGCCACATGTTGTACTAGGTTAGATCACAGGCATTTCTGGATCTGTGAACCTGACGGATGATTCCCACACAAGACCATGGGAAGTGGAGTCAGATCCTAAAGGAAATGTTTGGATAACCCCAATACTGAGTCTACTTGGAAACCAGGAGAGCCACATGGCTCGGCCTGGGAGGCTCCCGAAAATGTTGGGATCATGGCCAATTCGGCCATCTAAACTGCTGACTCAGGGAGTGGATTCCTCAGAGAGGGTCCCCTAAATAACAGGACTGTCGATTCAATCAAAACCATAGAGTCGGTACCGCAGGTAGACAAAGCCAGACTTCAGCAAATAGCCTCATTCACAACAACTGTTCATTCTAGGCCTTGCCAAGGAGCCAAAGGGAGAAACCTACAAAAGTATGCTCCTGTTTCAACTGAGTGGGTATTATTCCTTTCTTTTTTTTTTTTTTAAAGGTTACTTAGCTTGGGGCACCATGTTTAAGGCCTTCTTTTTTTTTTTCAGTTGTATCATGTCTTTTCTGAAGGAAAAAAATGTAAAAAGAAAATAGTTTTGTCACTGAAAAAAAAAAAGAGAGATACTAAAGATAAAATAGCTCCCTGGCACACAAGGGCAACTGGATCTTTTAATTAGAGCTGGGTGAAACCTGACATCATAAAATCTGCCATATAGGGAAAGAAGGAGGGTTCCGTCCACACCCAGACAATGACTGCAGTCTGTCCTGCAACTTAACTACCAATTTTGGCAACTTGGCTTGTCTCCCTCCAACTATCTATTATTTACAGAGCTATCATGCAAGTGAGATTTCTACTTTTATGCCCCCATACCCCTAGTCCTCTAATTTTAACAAGTTAGGAGACATCATGGCCTGCTGCAGAGGAGGAAACTGGAATATTTGTAAATAACTGGTGAATGCAAAGATCCATTTCAACTGAGGGAAAGAAAAAAAAAAAAAGAATGCAGAGTACCTCGTGGTCTCTGTAATGGGTGAATATTCAGGATCTGGTGCACGGAGGAAGGAACAAAAGCCGAGAGGGCTGGCCAGAACAATGGACCATCACAGATGCTGGGTTATGTAACTGGGTTATTTGAATTCACAATTGTGAAGGCAACAATTGTAGAAGGACTGTGCTCCTGCTCCATGGTGGGAAGGAAGCAGGCTCCTGTGCCCCTACCCAGCTGCTCTGGGAGCAGGCTCTGTGCCTCCTGATGACGCTGACGGCTGGCATTCAGGAGAGGACTGGATTACTTCTGACACTGCAAAGGTGTTCAGCAACTCTATGTTGAGCTAAACTTTTTAACACTATTAATAATAATTTTAAAAAAAGACAATGAGCCAATTAAATAACTTTCCCCCTACAGCAATTGGCCATTTGTAAAGGACCCGATTCTTTCCATTCAAAGCAAGCTCCTTGAGCTCAAATGGTGTCTCTGGGTATACACTGGGACTAAAATTCACATGTTTCATGCACAACTGAGTCAAGCAACGTGGACATGAATGTGTGGAAAAGGCGCAGTATGGAGGAATCAGGGAAAAGTTCTCAGAAGAGGCGAGCTTTAAAGATAGTGCAACCAAGATCATGGAAAGACACCACGGACAATGCTGAAGGTCATTTTCCATTCTCACGTGGTGTCTTGCATGGAGCACCTGATAAACTCAGGCTTGGGCAGTGAAAGGACAGCATTCCCCTTGCCTGCCTTCCCAGTACTGAGCTGCCCATGTGCAAGCCCTAAACTGCAGCCACACCCAAGTATCTCATCCGACTTGGCACGAGCTGTTCCCTGAGTCAGGGACACTGTCCCCATCTCAGTCTTCTCATGACTATCCAACCCCTCAATTCCAGGTGGAATCTCACTCCTGCTGTAAAGCCATCCTCAGGCACTTTCTTCACCCTCCCACCCTCATTGGGTAACACACCCCTTTTCTTGGGTTTCAATAACTCCTTGACTTTAACTCCTACAAACACTTATCTACCCTGCCATTGTGAGCTATTTATGACCCTGCTTCCCTCACTAGATTATGCCCTGCTGTAGGACAGAGGGCAAGCCTTCTCACTTTTCTATTTTCAATGTTCAGTACAAATGGTAGTCTTATAATGTTTGGGTAATAAAGGTCTTTCTCCTAAACCCAACGTAGTTGCAAATAAAGTTTGAGAATTTATAAGCTAATTTGCAGGAACAGGCTGAGTTCTTTTATTCTTTGTAGTTGTGGCTGTGTTGTTGCTGTTACGTATTTAAGCTGGGCATGCAAACAGAAGCTGGGCTCTGATTCTTCAGCAATCTCACCTGTCTGGGCACCTTGTCAGTCTGTTGGAGGCAATTTCCATTTCCTATTGGCTGCCAGTTCCATGAGGATGAGCTTTCCAGGCAAGAAGGGGCACTAGAACAAATAGCTCAGAAGCTTGCTTGCTCACTGGTGTCGATAGGTGGGAATATATGAATGATGACAATGATGATAGTAACTTGAATGCTTGAATGGGCAATCTGGAGTCCTAAGCACTTTCCATGTTTTTTCATGTGAAAACCTCAGAACAAACACAAAAGGTAGGCATGGTTGATATTCTTTTTTTCGTTTTCGAGATGAAGTTTTGCTCTGTCGCCCAGGCTGGAGTGCAGTGGCGCAATCTCAGCTCACTGCATCCTCCACCTCCTGAGTTCAAGCAATTCTTCTGATTCAGCCTCCCGAGTAGCTGGGACTACAGGCACACGCTACCACGCCCAGCTAATTTTTGTATTTTTAGTAGCAATGGGGTTTCACCATAATGGCCAGGATGGTGACCTCATGATCCGCCCACCTTGGCCTCCCACAGTGCTGGGATTACAGTCATGAGCCACCAGGCCTAGCCGATATTCTTATTTAATGGTGTGACATGACTTGTCCCCAATCACCCAGCTTAGGAGGGGGAGGACTGAAGCCCAGCAGCTACACTCAAAAGCCCATACACACTCCTCAGCACTGCTTCCTGCAGCTTCACGTGTGTAAGCATGTCTACACTTATGTTTAGGTGCACAAGTGTGGATGAACACATAGAGTTGGGTGTGTAATGTGTGCTTGTGCGCATATGGGCAGGTGCATGCTAGTGTGTATCTGATTTGGCCTGTCCCCATCAGAATGTCTGTGTATGTATGTTCTTCTCTCAACTAGGAAAACAAAAAATCAGGGTTTGAATAGGGTCAATGTTAACATAATGAAAGTTTCCCCCAGGCAGCAGGTGGTCCCTTCCTCTGGTTCCTTGGCCTCTTTGTCCACTTCAAAACAAGAACACATTGAGTAGAGTCTGCATTTCTTTGGGTGGGGATCCTGGCCTTACCCGAAGCAGTGCTGCAGAGGGAACTTGCAGATTATGGGAAGTAAATTTCCACTAGTGAAGACTTGCTCTTCAGTGACGAATTTACATTTAAATGCACCCTGTCATTTTAAATCTCAGGCACTTGGCGCAATCACCTCCCAAGAAGCAGACTCTGTAGCATCTGTTTCAAGCTAGGTAGCACCCAGGCTGCAGCAAGACCAGTGCAAACTCCAGGGCCCAGAGGCATGCAAGGGCGTGGAAGGAGTAGTCTGGGGATATATGCAAATTTTACTGTCAGGGGTGACTCAAATGTGCCTTGAGGATAGCGCCAAGGGGCATTTTGTGTTACCAGGCCATGGGTGGAGTCCCTTGAGACAGGAATTCTCCAGGTTGGAGGTGAGACTGCAGAGTGGCTTGTTCAATCCTATTAGAGGTAAGAATGCATTGAAGGCTGCTGACAAGGCAGAGCAGCTGCTGTTTGTCTTATAAAAGCCATCAGATGACAGTTCAACGAGAGAAGCAAGCTTCCTTAACTTTCCTATCATGCTCCCAAGTCCCTGATTTAGGGCAGAGATACCTGGCTGGTTCAATTTTTTTTTTTTCCTTATTGTCAGAAAGCAAACTATTTACTCCCGGGATTTATTTTGTTTTCTTTGTTTTATCCCATTTCACATAATTCTACTTTATTCAGATTTTCAGGTTAAAGATTACTAACAATGCCCCCGATGACACTAGTGAACAGGTATTTGCTACACTTCTGTTTCTACCCCTTGGACCTGCTTGAAACCTCTCGTTTGCATCTGTTTAAGAGCTTCATATTTTTTCAAAAGTCCTTATCTGGCTTAAAAGTCCACAACTTGTCATAGCACTGAGCAATCCAGAAGAAGTTACAAATGTTTGCTGTGTTGGAGCCATGAAAAGCCTGATTGTTTTACCTATGAACACTCTCAACTCAGGATATGGCAACATGCTAGAAACGATATGATAGGCAAAAACATCCAATCAAAGTTTCCACTCGTAAACTTCAGTGGACCACAGAATGATATGAAATGAACACCCATAAGGAAGGATCAATTAACAGAGCAGAAGGCCAGAAACAAGGTATGAATCTTGGATATGGAAGATAGCACGAGAAATGGAAAGACTCATTATTGGATTTTGAAATTCTGAAACAATGCTTTTGCATTAAAGGAAACCTGCAGGTAAAGCAATCAGAGTGTATAAAGAAGGGATTTTAAAAGTATCTATATTTGCATCACAAATATAGATAATGGTTACTCAACTTTTCTTCCAGTCTTTCTTCTATTCATCTGAGAGTGTTAGGTCTAGAGTTGAAGGAGGGCTATGGCCCTTGGCTCACCACATGGTGAATAGCAGACCATGGTATTAATCATAAGTATGGGGAATGCAGACAAATAATGTTGTTTCTCACCTCTGCTGTGGCTTGCATGAATTTAACTCATGCTCGATGGAGACTAAAATGCCTTAAAGCCTACGGATGCCAGTCTTCTGAAAAGTGGATGTTACGTGTTGAATTGCGACCCCCCCCCCCGCCAAAAAAAAGATATGTTGAAATCCTAACCCCTGGTACCTCAAAATGTAATCTTATTTGGAAATAGGGCCTTTCATCAAGGTAAGATGAAGTCATTAGGGTGGGATCTGTTTTAATTTAACTGGTGACCTTATAAAAAGGGGAAATCTGGACAGACACATAAAACAATGGAAGGTGACGTGAAGATGGCTGTGTGATGATGGAAGCATGAATTGAACTGATGTAGCTGCAACCCAAGGAAACCCAAGGCTACCAGCTAGCACCAGAACTAGGAAGAATCGAGAAAGGACGCAGCCTAGAGCCTCAGTGAAGCTTGCCCCCGCTGACACCTTGATTTACAACTTCTGGTCTTCCGAACTATTCGAAAATATATTTCTGTTGTTTAAAGCTACCCAGTTTTTGGTACTTTGTTACAGCAGCTCTAGGCAACTAGTACAATAGGATTTCCATTTCTGTCCATGTATGAGCACTGGGCATTATTCTTCATTAGTTTTTCTCTTTTTTCTTTTTCTTTTTTTGAGAAGGAGTCACGCACTGTCGCCCAGGCTGGAGTGCGATGGCATGATCTCAGCTCACTGCAACCTCTGCCTCCTGGGTTCAAGTGATTCTCCTGCCTCAGCCTCCCAAGTAGCTGGGACTACAGGTGCCCACCACCATGCCTGGCTAAGTTTTTATATTTTTAGTAGAGACAGGGTTTCACAATGTTGGCCAGGCTGGTCTCAAACTCCTGACTTTGTGGTCTGCCCACCTCGGCCTCTCAATCAATAGATTTTCTTGGTTTGGTTTTTTGATAGAGAGATCTGAGTGCATGGACATAAAAGTTTGAGATTCATGAGCTGAAAGAATGCCTGGGGCTCAACAGCCAAAGTGTGTGGGTGCAGCTGCCTGTGATGGAGACTAACTGATTTGTGCTTGCTGTACCTTTCCTCTTTCTGGGCACACAAAGGACTTATTTCCTGGTCTACCTTAGCCTTAAGTTGGTAACAGTGACAGTTGCCTGCTGCCAGGCCTGGGCCTTTGAAATCTCTGATAATTTCTCTTCTGCCACAGTAACCTTGGAAGGCATGCATTCTATTTGGCATAGAAACAAGATTGAAGAAAAGCATCCAGTCCCCACAAAGCTTTGTGTGCATAAGAAACACACCTTGTATTAAGCTGAGATGTTGGGCTTAATCTGTGACTTTGAGAATCCTATCCTATTCTATTACTGGACCAGTAATTGCTCCCAAATGATTTCAGAGGAGATATCCAGGGATCTCAGAAAACAACATTGTTGTCAACTGCAGGCAGACCTTTAAAAGACGTTCACGCTCTGAGACCTATCTCTTCTTTCCACCCACATTCTTGCAGCTTAATACCATTGCTTACATTCCCCAGAAAAGGAAGACATTATAGACACGTGCTTAAAAGAAACACATCTTAATAAGAAAAAGTAGGTGTGGGTAGGGTGTCTTAAGGAGGAAGACATCCTAAAACATGTGTTTAAACTGTTCTCCTTTAAAGCTGTGGTTTTCCACCCTTGCCTGTGCCCTGTTCGCTGTACCCAGAACTAATAAATCATAAATAACAATTTCCGGGGTGGAGCTTAGACACATGTAATGTTTGATTACCCTAAAGTGATTCCAGTGGACAGGCAAGCTGAGAAAACTTCCTCTGGAGAAAAGCTGATCCAAAAAGCTGACTGTCTTATTAAGATGTGTTTCTTTTAAGCACATTGAGATAATTTCTTACTTCACTGAATATTGTAAGCAATGGTATTATTAAGGCATGTTCCCAAGTCCCTAAGGGTATAGCAATGTTTACCTGCACTATCTGGAGAACGAAACATGGAAACCCTGATTACAGGCAAGGCTTTGATGGCCTAAGGACAATTCCTATCATCTCAGGGATGCCATTGGTAGACAGACTTCTAGAATTTTCTAACGCTTATCACATCTTCACAAAATGACCATGAGGTCATGAACATTCTCCACATTTTTTAGACATGGAATCCGAGTCTCAGGCAGATGAAATACCTTGTCCAAGATTGCACAGTTAGTAAGAGCTGAAGTTTGAACTTAAATCTCAGTCTCAGTCTGTCTGAAGACAAAGCCTCCAGAGGAGAGGGTAGCCTCATTGCTCTATGGGCATGATTCTGGTGGTGAACATTGGCATTGTGTTCCAAACACAAAATTGTGTTAGAAATTTTTAACTTAGGAGCCCATGATATTAGTCACAGTTTAAATTTCTCCACATAGAACCGTTCTGAGAATTTTGGTGCCAAGGCTAGCCTATTAATTGCATGGGTCCAGAGTTTTCATAATCAATAAGAAAAGAGAAGGTAAGTTTTGGTTGCAGGCTTATTGAAAGACCAACCTCCTGAAGCACACTTTTAGCACACAAACCAACCTTCACCACCCTCCCAAATAGACTCTCTGACAATCCTAAATAGGCTTTGATGCCCTGCCCTACTTGCCTTTGAAAATGGCATTTCCTCAGCCCCAATCCCCCTCACTGATCCTTTTCCCTTGAACAATTCTTACCTTCCTTGTAGGAGTATAAGGGTTAACTTCTGCAGGCAGAGGGTGGTTCCTCTTTCTTTCTCCTCCCATGGCTGACAGTATTCTCCAGAATGACCCCTTTCACTCTGTGACCCAAAGGTCAACTGAACCAGCAACAGTCAAACAGCGGAGTCTGTTTCCATAGGGCTGAGACTATGCCACGTTCACCTTGATGTCCCAGGGTCTGGATTCAAGAACAACGACAGGCATAGATGAGGCTTGTGAGTTAGAAAAAAATAAATAAATGATGAATCAATGGAAAGTTTGCTCTTTTGAGCTAGGCCAAGGGATTTCATGAGCCAAAGAATCCTTGCTATTCCTCTGACCGTATGAAAAATAAAAACAGCAGTGAGGTGTGTTGGGCCATTTGCTGTTAGCCTGTGGTTCATTTTATCATGGGGAAATCATTTGAGCTTGGAGCTGGAGCCCCTGCTGTTGGTAGCATGTCCTCTGCCCCATTAAGAGGATTCCCCCCACCCCCCGTAATTACAGGGTAAATGACTTGCTAAATCCAGAGCCCTCACAATACATCTCCTGACATGCAGTTCATATTCCTTGGGCGGTTTAATCGCACTTTCGAGTAGTACATATTTTACAGAGAAGTGAGAGTTCTCCAATTAATAGTAATTGTGATCAAAGCAGTAATGCTCCTCTGCAGCCTGAACCCGCAAGAGGAGAGACTGGAAGGCCCACGTTAATTGTCACAAAGAGCTATGTCTATCTGCAGCGGTATATAAATAATAAATTAGAGGAAGGGGGGATGCTGCAGCTGTGATGGTCTTCCAGGGGGTTCGGATATTTATGTAGTGCTGATTGCTAAAAATCTTCTCCGAGTAATTATTAGTAAAAGTGGAATGTCTACATTTGTAAGGGAATTTTAATTAAAGGGAAGGTGACTCTCATTATGGGGAAGAAGTAGTGTTTGGGGATTTACATGTAGGTCCAGAACTAAAGCGTCAGGGCCTGATTGGCTCTCGCCACTGCTGCTTGGACAACAGCAGGAAGCTCAATTCCTCTGGGTTCAATTTCCCCTGGTCTTTAAACCAGGGGAAATAAAGTAGTTATAAGTGCTTGAAGTTCCATTGGATAAACAAGTCCTACAGTTGAAGGCTTTTTATCTGATTCAGCTCAGGATTGCCTGACAGAGCTGGGCCACACATCCACTCTTTTGAGCCCCAGTGTCTTCACATATAACACTTGCATGCCGCCATTTTCAGGTTGCGTTTCAGTGCGGTAAAGGAGACCAAGTATGCAAAAGGACATGGAACCACTACTGGTATGTCTCGGACTTTGAAAAATATTATGAGAACAACTTCTGTCTATTGCTTCAATTTTCTTTGGTGTAACTAATTTGGCTCTCGCGATTTAGAAAAAAGTAAAGCATTTTCCTGTGTACTCTCAGTTTATGATCATTCTTCATTTCCACAGTGAGTATGGTGACTCTTAATATTTTAATTAAGTAAGTAATTTGGGGGGAGATGTATAGATTCTTTTAAGGAGCTGATACAGGCCATGCCATATCATGCAAATATTGCACATATTTTGTGTGAAATTCCAAATATCTCATGGAACCCTGTGTTGACCACCAAATGCCTTCCGTTAAGGACCTATGGCCTAGAGGGCTGGACTAAGGAGATTTCCAGAGCCATGTGAAGAAAAGGAGAAGCAAATCGTCCCAGGTGACATATGATGCCATGATATTATGGGCAGGCTCTCTTTCCCGCCGCAGGAAGGCAAGTTAATTTCAGACTCTGCCCAGCCCTTTTGCTACATGCCAAAAAGGAAACTCATATTCCGGACATGCATCCACCCACAGATGGTCAGGGATTCTCATCTGGCCTGTGGGAAACACTGTTCAGTCTTGTCTTCCCACTATCCCAAATATACATGGACACAGACAATCAAGATATAACAACATTTAAGGGAAACTGGCTTTTAGAAGGGAGGAACAAAATTCAAACAGATGAGGTAATGTGCAGGGAAATAGATTTCATAGAGAAAACGCATCAGCTTATCTATGATCCCTTGAGTGATTCAGTGGGATATACTGACATCAATACAAGGACAATTCTGCTGTTAAAAATTTGAGGTCTTAGAAATAAAAGCTTTAGAGGCTAGGCGCGGTAGCTTACACCTCTAATTCCAGCACTTTGGGAGGCCGAGGCCGACGGATTCCTTCAGGTCAGGAGTTTGAGATCAGCCTGGGGAACATGGTGAAACCTCGTCTCTACTAAAAATACAGAAAAATTAGCCAGGCATGGTCGTGGGCACCTGTAATCCCAGCTATTCTGGAAGCTAAGGCAGAACCCGCTTGAACCCAGGAGATGGAGGTTGCAGTGAGCTGAGATTGCACCACTGCACTCCAGCCTAGGCAAAAGAGGGAGACTCTGTCTCAAAAACACCAAAAAATTTTTTTTTTAATTTTTAAAATATATAAAAGCTTTAGGTAGTTAAGAGAATGACTGGCAGAAAAAACACAAAGATTCAGTTAGGAAACTAGAGCAGGAGTTGGCTGATTTCCTCGTGGAAGACTGGAGAGTAGACATTTCCAGCTCTGTGGGCCTTACCGTCTCCATCACAGTTAATCTGCTCTGCAATAAAAATAAAAATGTTAAAGCCATTAGTAGCTCTTGTATACATTACTAGTTGTATAAAAATGGGTGGTAGGCTGAGTTGAACCTGCAGGCCATAGTTCATTGACCCTTTATATAAACCACGGAGCTGAGTTGTTTAAAAAAATTCCATTTGAAACATAGAAAGATGTGAACAGGTGAGGGAAGTGGTAAGAAAAATAGAAGCTTGATTTAGCCAAGTTTTTCTTATCACTGAAATTAAAAATGCATACAGCTCTATATTTTAGTTCATTCATTCATTCACACTGCCCTAATTAACTGGAAAATGAGGAGAATGAACATTTGATTCCGCACTGTGTGTTAAAAGATAAGTTATTTTTATATCTCACCTTCCTATAAGGTGAGCATTATTTAAGGTTAACCGGATACAGCATGCATAAAATAACTCAATTGAGAACCACAGCATTAAAAGAACCACAGCTAGCAGCTGAATCCATGTCTGCAGCTTTCCGAAGCCGGTTCCCATTCTCCTTCACAATATAAGGGTTTTAAATATTTTTGACCCAGTCCTGGGTTCTGCTACTTTACTTTATCTCATTTGATATCCCAGTGTAATTGAGAAAATTAGAGATTAACAGGAAAGTTCAATCCATGCAGCTGGTAAATGGCAGAGCCAGGAATCAGCATTAACCATCTAAATTTACAAAGGCCAGGTGCGGTGGCTCATGTCTGTAATGTCAGCACTTTGGGAGGCCAAGGTGGGTGGATCACTTGAGGCCAGAAGTTGGAGACCAGTCTGGCCAACATGGTGAAACCCTGTTTCTACTAAAAATACAAAAATTAGCTGGGTGTGGTGGCGCGTGCCTGTGATCCCAGCTGCTTGGGAGACTGAGGCAAGAGAATTGTTTGAACCCGGGAGTGGGAGGTTGCAGTGAGCCAAGATCATGCCACTGCACTCCAGCCTGGGAAACAGAGCAAGACTCTGCCACAAAAAGAAAAAAAAAAAAAGGTATCTCAGTTTACAAAGACACAAGCCAACCCAGGAACCAAGGAAAGTTAATAACTTAATTATCTAGGTGGTTTTTCATCCTATAGAAATTTAACTTGCAAGGCCCTATAAACATCAGAAATGCACTTATATAAAAGTAACAATAGCCAACAGGTTTGGACACCTCCCCTTGGCAGATATCATGCTAAGAGTGTTTCATGTATCTTTTCCGCAATGGCTGCTTGAAGGACAGTGCTACTACAATCCAAGTTTTGCACATGGGAAACCAAGGCTCAGAGGTTAAGTGACTCAGCCCTCTGGAAGTAGCTTGTATTTATTTATTTTCTTGTTTATCATTGTCTCTCTGTCTCCTTTAGAATGTATGCTTCATAGGGAAGGGTCACTACTGCATTTCCCAAATTTTTAATTTAATTAATTAATTAATTAATTTATTTATTTATTTATTTATGACGGAGTCTTGCTCTGTCGCCCAGGCTGGAGTGCGGTGGTGCGATCTTGGCTCACTGCAACCTTTTCCTCCCCGGTTCAAGTGATTCTCCTGCCTCAGCCTCCTGAGTAGCTGGGAATACAGGCACCCACCAGGATGACCAGCTAATTTTTGTATTTTTAGTAGTGACGGGGTTTCACCGTGTTAGCCAGGATGGTCTCCATCTCTTGACCTCGTGATCCACCCCCTCGGCCTCCCAAAGTGCTGGGATTATAGGCGTGAGCAACAGCGCCTGTCCACATTTCCCAAATTTAAAAAAGTGCCTGCTGCACAAGTAGATATTTAAAATATTTGTGAAATAACTGAATAGACAAAGGGATTAATAAATGAATGGGTAAATAAGTGAACTTACCCACAGTTTCACAGTGAGTATCACAGCAGACATGGCTAAGTGTCCTTCCCTCATCAACAACACACAACTCTAAGAAACTTAAACAAAAGTGTGAAGAATCACTGACGGTGAGACATGAATGAGAAATGAAGAGGAAGATGACCATCTCTGAGTTTATAGGAAGCTCTGTGAAAACAGTACACCAGTTTAGAAAACCCAATTTCAACTCTCACGGCTGTGTCTGATTTGTAAAAACAAGTACTGACACCCGTGATGGAGACACAGCAATGGTATTTTCTAAACCACATCATGGCTTCTTTTTTATTTTTTTTATTTTTTTGAGATGGAGTCTCACTTTGTTGTCCAGGCTGGAGTGCAGTGACGTGATCTCGGCTCACTGCAACCTCTGCCTGCCAGGTTCAAGCAATTCTCTCCCTCAGCCCTCCTGTGTAGCTGGGATTGCAGGCATCCGCTACCATGCCCAGCTAATTTTTGTATTTTTCGTAGACATGGGGTTTCACCATGTTGACCAAGCTGGTCTTGAACTGCTGACCTTGTGATCCACCTGCCTCAGCCTCCGAAAGTGCTGGGATTACATGCCTGAGCCACCGCGCCCAGCCAACGTCATGGCTTCTTAATGTATCTTAAGCAAAGCAACTCACATAAGAAAAGCTTCATAAATATTAGCTGCTGTTAAGATTAGTACGAGGGTACATATGGTGATTTGTGGGAGTGCAGAAGAAGACAGACTTACAAAGTTGTCTGCACACGGTTATATGAGAATGTGTATGCTTTCAGAGGGGAAAGAAGAGAAAAGAAAGGAGGGAAGAGAGAGGGAGGAAGGAAAAGAGGAAGGGAAGAAGGGAGACTGGCAGGGATGGAGGGAGGAAGGAGAGAAAGAAGAGAGGGAGGAAAGGGGAAAGGGAAGGAGTGAAAATAGAAGGGAGGGGGAAGAAGGAAAGAAAGAAGGGGAGGAAGGAAGGGAGAAATGAGGGGAGGAAAGAAAAGGAAGGAAGAGAAAAAGGAAAGAAGAAAGAATTGTTGATTTGGATTGGTGGATAGATACACAAATAAAATATGGAAGTATCCAGAGAAATTTCTAGTTTCTGAGACTTTTCATCATTCTTCAACAAGGTTATGTACTTATAAAATTTGTATAAACTTAAATTGAAGCTGGAAGAGTCTGGAAAACTTGTGGAGGGAGCTCATGAAATGCCCTGGGGAGATGAAATGGGTGTCACACGTGAAAGGGAATTTATTTGGTCACATCAGAGACCAGAGTTTGTTGCAGTTACTCAAGCTACCTTTTTTCAGCCGACACTTTCTGTGATTGCTCTGTGGTCTTGCTAAGGATTTCTGCCATTCATTGGACCAGATGGCAGAGTCAGCAGGCAGGCTGGCATGGTGCGGGGGAGACCCAGCAGCTGATGAGCCTTTGAAGTGTGTCTCTTATAGGAGGGTTGAACTGTGACAGAACTGATGCTGATTTCTCAGACAACATGGCAGCACCCAGGATCACACGCACACACTCACTCACACATACTCACACAAATAAAAACTCAATATGCATACCTTCACATGCATGCTCACACACACACACACAGACTTATACACACAAATACCCAATGCACACTCTCACTCACACATACTCACACATAAAAACTCACGTATACATACCTTCACATGCAAACTCATGCACACTCACATACACAGACTTATACACACAAATATGCGATCCACACTCTCACACATTCACGCCTAGGACTTCTCACATGTGCATGCTTTTACCTACATACACACACACTTATGCAAATACTCAGCTCTGCATATTCTAACTGCATAGTCATATACACAATCCCATATAGTGTCACACGCACATGAATGTACACACACACATGTGTACACACAGTGACACATGCACATTCACATACATAGTCACAATATTCACATGCATTCATACATGCAAATGCTCACGTGCAAAATCTCACATGCATAGTCATAATACACACATGCATTCACACACGCAAATGCTCTCATCTGCACAATCTCACATGCATGGTCACAATACAAACATGTACTCACATGCACTCATACATGCAAATGTGTCTGCACATTCTCACCCACACAATCACATTCTTATGCAATCATACCCAGACACACTCACACACACTTGAACACACTCAAATGTATCCATCTGCACCTGTTTATCCTTAAACCTCAGAAATGATTTTACCATCCTCTACAGAGCCTGTAGGACATGCTCCGTAAACACGCACCACCCATCTCTCACAGACAAATCCTCTCGGCAGAAGCCAGTCTTCTGGCTATATCAGCCTACCTGCCTAGTTTAGGTTGCCTCCCCGCTGCCAGAAAAATCTTGAAGGGCCAGGTCAGGGAAATTCATGGAAAAGCTAGAAAGACTTGGGGGAAGGGCCCTCTAGCTGGTCAATAGCATAGCCATTTGTGCAGCAGCTATTATCCCCCGCCTTTGTATTATTCAGAAATCCATAGATTGTGTTTGCCTTTTGTGTTCAGCTTCCAACAAGCCTCCCTTTGTCCCTGTCACAAAGGCCAATGAACTCTGTGTGGCAAATAAGTTTCAGGGCTGGCTGGACATTATGACTAATTGTGATGCAGTCTATATCCTTGAGACTGTAAACCGATATCAGAAGACAATGGCAGAGAGGGAGCCCATTGAGTGGAGAGAGTCCCCTAGTAACCTCCGGGGGCCGAGATGGGCAACAAGGAGGCTATTGAGGATGGCAGCCCCAGCACAGAGCCTGGCGCAGCGGAGCGGGTGGCAGGGCCACACGGCTCAGCTCGAATGCTGCTTTGTTTGCCCAACAGTGAAAACCAGCATGTTAGAAATAGTTCAGTTTATTTCTTTCCAACATTATGGAAACATAATTGACAAGTAAAAATTGTATCTATGCAAGGTATATAACAGGGTGATATGATATATGGGTATATATTGTGTAATAATGTTTACAATCGAATTAGTTAACACATCCATCACCACCCACATTTACCATTTGTGTGTGTATGTGTGTGTAGGGTAAGGACACTTAAAATCTGCTCTCTTATCACATTTCAAGTAAACAATAGAGTATTGTTAACTATAGTCACCAGGCTGTACATAAGATCCACAGAAGTGAGTCATCTTATAACTAAGTTTGTACCGTTAAACCTACATCTCCCCATTTTTCCTACCCCAGGATTAGTTTTGTGTGGATTGCTCAGAAACTTGGAGAAGAAAAAAGAAGACAAAATAAAACACACAAAAAATAGACCATCCCAGGCCCCTCCCCAGCAACATGCATAACCCAGGCCTGTTCACTGTAGGTTTTGTTTTTTTTTGTTTGTTTGTTTGTTTTTGAGAAAGAGCCTCACTTTGTCGTCCAGGCTGAAGTGCAGTGGCGTGATCTCAGATCACTGCAACCTCCACCTCTTGGGTTCAAGCGACTCTCCTGCCTCAGCCTCCCAAATAGCTGGGATTACAGGCGTGCACCACCATGCCAGGCTAATTTTTTTGTATTTTAGTAGAGACAGGGTTTCACCATGTTGGCCGGGCTGGTCTCGAACTCCAGACCTCAAGTGACCCACCCACCTGGGCCTCCCAAAGTGCTGGAATTACAGGTGTGAACCACTGCACCTGGCTCTACTGCAGCTTCTTGATGCAGTGCCAGGAAGTCATGCTAAATCATCATAGATATCAAAAAGGAGTGGAGGAGCTGCCTGATCCATGAACATCTCGTTTAACTAAAAACATCACTTCCACCTGGCTTCTCTCTGCCATGGCATGGCCTGTCTAGGGACCACTGTCCACCTAGGATGAGAATGGTCATTTGATCTGCCCAAATCCCCAGTGCTAAATTCCCACGGGAGAGATGATCATTCTTCCATTGGCAAGTAGCACTTATTTATTCAATCAACAAATATTTATCACATGCTTGCTGAATGCCAAGGGCAAGGCACCAGAGGAAGAGTAGTGAGTGAGTGAGGTTAAAGCCCTGCCATTTATGTTTTATTTTTAAATTTAAATAATAGCATTTATTTGAACTATTATTTTCATTTTGAAAAAAATTAAGCAGAGATTAAAATGGTCTTTTTTGTTTCTGTTACAAAACATCACTGAACAACTAAGGTTGGAATATAGAATTCAGTTGGTCAGTGTTAAGAAAAACCTGGATTTCTGAATGCAAATCAAATGTTAGATGATATTCATTTTGATGCTATTTCCAATTGAGATGGGTCACTAAGAAAATGATCATTATCATATCTTTATTTCTGTATAAAGTGCACTATTTCATTTTTCTGTCCATAATTACTCATTAGATTCTTGTCTGTCTTCTTATCCACATTACTACTCAGAATATGGAGAATGGAATAGAACTCAATTTCTTTTCCTATCCTAGTTTTCCACTGAAGTGCAAGAAGGTTAAAAGGCCATAGACTTCTGAAAGTAAGAAAATGTCAGAGACTGCTATATTTAAAGTACCTTCCTTACATGAAGTGAGGTTCCAAAGCTGAAGTCTTTTCCCAACAAAACACCAAAATATTACCAAGATTCTGAAAGTATATGCATTTTCAATAAATACCTTCAATAGTCTCACCAGTTATAAAATGATAATTGCACATTTTTAAGATCAGCTTATAATCTTCCCCTATAAAAGATGCAATTTCCCTTCTGTCTCAGAGTGGGCATTCCATTAGGCGAGAGATAATGCATCCGAGGACAGGTGACTACAGGTACTCATAAAAAAAAGCCTGTGAAGGGGTTGAGAGTGACAAGGGGAATGACCTAGTTCATCTGGAGCTCCTGGGAGCTCCCAGCAGAGATGACTTTGAGCTGAGACCCCACGGATGAGAAGCGCTACTGTGCAGGCAACTCTCTGGGGAAAGCGTTAGGAATGGAGGACTCTGAGCAGGTCGTGAGGTTGGCTGCCCTAGGATGGAGAGAAGGCCAAGGAGGCTGCAGTGTGCTGGCAATGGGGAGAGAGAGTTGTAGGAGGTGAGCCTGTAGAGGTGGGGTGCTAAGTCAGGTGAGGGGTCAGTATCTCCCTGCACTCTGATAGACAGGTGTATCTAATAATTATTATAGTTCCATTATCTACTGCTTATGATCTGTGTGGCCAAGGATGAGCTGTTTACTTTCTGAGCTCTATTTTACTTGTCTCTAAAATGTGTAAATGATCATAACTTTCTACTAGGACTAATGCCTGAAGTCCGTAAAGGGACTAGCAGAGTTTCTAGCATAAGCTCAACATGAAGCACATACACTGTCACTTAATCATCAGAGCTGCTATGATTAATGGCAAAGATGGCGACAGTGTTATGTGGCTCCCATCTTCCTAACAAGCCAGGCAAAATGTTAGATAGAGCAGACATTCATGGGGTTAAGAGGACCTTCTTAGGTCTCCAGCAGACTCCAGTGCTGTGAATAAAGAGGCATGAAGTGAACAAAGGAGGTGTATTAGTCTGTTCTTCGATTGCTATAAAGAAATACCTGAGACTGGGTAGTTTATAAAGAAAAGAGGTTTAATTGGCTCACAGTTCCACAGGCTGTACAGGCAGCATGGCAGCATCTGCTGCTAGGAAGGTGTTAGGGAGATTTTATTCATGGTGGAAGGCAAAGTGGGAGCAGGTGTCTTACATGCAAGAGAGTGACGTGGGGAGGAGAGATCTAGACACTTTTAAACAACCAGCTCTCATGAGAACTCTCACCATCACGAGAAGAGCACCAAAGGGACTGGGCTACACCGTTCACGAAGGAACCCCTCCCATGATCCTATCACCTCCCACCAGGCCCCACCTCCAATGCTGAGGATTCCAATTAAACATGAGATCTGGGTGAGGACACAGATTCATACCATATCAGGAGGTCACAGATGAATGGGAAAAGTAGACAAAAATGTTAGCAATTTTAATAAAATGTGAAGGAGGGGCTGCAGGATGCTACGGAGCACCACGGAAGGCACCAGCCCAGTCAGAAGGAACACTCCTGGGAGCAGGTCACAGTTGGCTGCAGCAGGGAAATTCTAGTGGGTGTGAACCAGGCACAGCAGAGAGCAGGTGGGGGTCTCTGCTGTGCCTGGTTCACACCCACTAGAATTTCCCGGCTTCAGCCAACTATGCTCACATAGAGCAGGCTCCATGTGCATCACGTTCAAGGGCAAGAAGACCTGGACGCTCTTGGTGCTCCCATGAGCTTCCTGGCAACATGGTCAGCTGGAATCTGAAGAATAAAGGGCTGGTGACAAGGAATAGGGTAGAAGACATCCCAACTACGAAGCCCATCTGCGAAGCCAGGATGCACAGCAAAGAAAGCTCTTGCCCATCCCAGTGTTCAGTTATAGGAAATAGCAAACTTCCCTTTTTGCTAAAGCCGGTTGGAATTTGCATTTTTGTCATTTACCACCTAAAAGATTCTTACACTCTTTTCCTATCCTATTTTTCCACTGAAGGGCAAGAAGGTTAAAAGGCCATAGACTTGTGAATGTGAGAAAATGTCAGAGACTGCTATATTTTTTTTGGATCTTTACATAAGATCCACAAAGCGCCAGGAAAAGTAGGATGCTGTGCAGAGAAGAACAACAAGTACCCCAAACTCAAGTGTAACCCATTCAGGGCTACAGGGCCATTGGCCGATGTCTAAAGGGTCATCAACCAGCTAATCTAATTTTCAAAAATTAATCACACAGAATACTGTTTCAAATACATGGGCACGGTGTGTGATTCTTTCTTTCTGGCTTTTAAGAATTACATCACGTATCTCTCCTGAATTATTGCATTTTGCGCTGGTCTCTAGAACTTCCTATCTTGCCTACCGTTGGAATCCAGCTATAGTCTGGGCATAGAATCATAGCTGGGCAGTGAAAGAAAAATTGGAAATTAAGAGTGACTTAGGGTTTTAGGATTTTTGGCCTGAGCAATGGGGTGGTGGTTAGTGCCATTAACGTGGAAGAAGGAAATTGGCAGAGGAAGAGTTTAGAATGTGGGGAGATGAATGAAGAGTTTTGGTTTGGATACATTACGTTTGAGATGCCTAGTGAAGAAGTTGAGGGAGATGTTACACTGACAAATCTGGAACACAAAGAAAAAGACAGAGTTGGAGCTATAACTGAGAGGAAAAGCAGTATATAGATGGCATTTAAAAGCTGGAGTACTTTTGGAAGAAGTGAGCTGTCAACTATGTCAAATGAAGCCGAGCCATTGATCATTGACTGAAAGTAATCCAGATAATTGACCACTGGACTTGGCAAGATGTAGGTCTCTGGTGACCTTAATAAGAGCAGTGCAGGTGGCATATGGAAGGAAGGAAAGTTGAGGAAGGGAAGAGCATGGGTTTTTATAACCCTGTAGTATTTTTCATGTCAAAAGGGCAGAGAAATTTGGCTGTAGCTGAAGGGCAATGTGGGAGGCCTTTTATCAGTGAGTTTGAGATGGGCCTCTTTATTTTTGTTTTTTGAGATGGAGTCTTGCTCTGTCACCCAGGCTGGAGTGCAGTGGCATGATCTCTGCTCACTGCAACCTCCACCTCCCAGGTTCAAGCGATTGAGAAGGGTCTTAAATGAATGAATAAAACTCTGCATAGAGGGATGAATGAACCAACCATCCAAGCCTTAGGTAAAAGCTCAAAGCTAGCTTCCTGATGGTGTGCCCCCCAGAAAAACAATGCTCTGGACTCGCAGCCTCCACACAATGAATTGTTTGGCATTGGCTTATCAAAGAGACCTTCCATTTCTCAAACGCCCTTATGGAAAAACAGCCATAAATTTTTTTTTTCAGGATTGAGGATATTTCCAGGTGTTTCCTGGATGGTCCAGGTGGATGTATGAAAGTACTTCCCAGGGAGGCTTGGTACTTTCCTTGTTGGTCAAAGTAGGTCCTGAGAATTTCTGTTGTAGGGATGAGGCATAAGGCTCCAGTTTTGAGTCTAACAATATATAGAGTGGCTCACTGGGATAACTCTTAGGAGAAAAACCAGACTTGATGTGAATGTTATTTCCAACAATCTTCCCTAAATTTTTGTCCATAATTTCCTTTTTCCTTTTGCTTAAAAGAAAATAGAAAAGAAAAAGAACCCCAAGAAATAAAAACACGCAAAAACATGTTTATTTTTTGAATTAGCCCAAAGCAAACAACATCAAATCAGGTGGCCTATCCTACCATCTATTATTTGTGTGGGTTCTAAGATTTTTACTCCTCTGTGCCTGAATAATGTTATTGGAGAGCTGCCTTATTAATAAACCGCTCTGGTGAAGTTTCACAGGCATAGAATAATGAATAACAATTAGGGACATTTAAAAAGTAATATTTTTTCCTGCAATTTGAAAATTGATTTATGAATTTGAGGAGCCTCCAATTTCATTAAATAAGTGGTTTCTTCAATTGAGTCCTTTTGCCAGTCTTAAAAAAGCCCCCTGAAAGCTGGCAAACTAGTGAACTTTTCTTGCCAGTTCATTTTGATAGAAAAGAAATTTTTGACATTTAACAACATTTGATTATGTGCACGAGGGAAGTCCAGAGTCATTCTCACCTAGATAATTACGACATGGAAACCATTTATCCAACAGTTTGGGACCATCAACAGTTCTCTCAAGACTATTTTTCTAAGAAATTTGGTCAAATTTTCTAATAAGTATAATCTTGAAAATTCATAAAAGAGGGTATCTAAAGCCAAAGAAAGAACTGAGAAGAGAAAAAAATGAAAAAAAAGAAAGAGGGTACATCATGCATTTAGAGAATTATTACGAAACGATAAATAGAGAGAGATTTGGCTTATCAGATTCTTTCCAAAACTGAGCCAAAACACCACCTCTGGAAGACTTCCTTGATAACTCAGACCAATTTGTATCATTTATTTAGTGCACAAGTCCTATGATCCTATAGCTTGGAAAAATAATTCATCTAAGATATATTTATTGATCATTTACAATGCTCCAAGAACTGAAATGTGGTCTAAGGACAAAGAAGTAGATAGAATATTTTACTAATTCATAAAATTCTCAATTTAGGCCAGGCACGGTGGCTCACGCCTGTAATCCCAACACTTTGGGAAGCCAAGGCAGGTGGATCACTTGAGGTCAGGAGTTCGAGACCAGCCTGGCCAACATGGCTAAACCCCGTTTCTACTAAAAGTACAAAAATTAGCCAGGTGTGGTGGCAGGCGACTGTAATCCTAGCTACTTAGGAGGCTGACGCAGGAGAATTGCTTGAACCCAGGAGGTGGAGGTTGCAGTGAGCCAAGAACACGTCACTGCACTCCAGCCTGGGTGCCAGAGCGAGACTCTATTAAAAAAAAAAGAAAAAAGAAAATAAAAGAAAAATCCTCAACTTAGATTCTAGAATAATAGAATAGTCAACAGAAAAAAAAGAAATGAAAACAGATAAGCATCTGACCCTTCTACTTCTCACTTGTTTTTATTATCACACAGAGATAAATTTTTTTTCAGTAGGATTACCTATAGTAAACACAGAGAATATTTTTTTCTTTTACTTTAGGTTTCTTCCCTGATACATCCCCATAATGCTTCTTAATTGGCTTCACTTTTGAATCAATGATGTTAAACCACAAAGTCCGCAGGACATCTCAAGCATTTTATGGAGAACAGCAACTGCCAAGCAGCAAATCTCAAGTCAGGGCTAATCACTTGTTCTTCAGTGTATTGAGCTCTCACCTGGAGTCACTGGTCCTATTTAGCTATATGTGTCAAGGAAAGCCATAGGATTGATCTTCATGCATCAGGCAAAATCCTAACTAAAATAATATCCAGCTGCGCTCAGAGGGCTGTTTTCTCAGGGAGACACAAAATATTTCAACAGCACAAAGTCAATCATGTTCTTTGGAATTCTTTACATTTACCTCCATCTCCTGAGTTAATTCTTAGAGAATCGTGATTTCAGTTTGCTTTCTCCTATTAACCATTTTAGATCTTTATCTTGATTTCCACCCTTGGTCAGCTATACAGATCTGGATATTAGAATATATACCCTCAACAACTCCTCCATGCAAATATTTGAAATTAAGAAATTCTAGGAATTAGCTTGTCTAGCACCTGGAGTCAGGCAGACCAAGGATCCATTTATGACTATGGTCACATGTGAAAGTGCCTGGATTATAGACTAAATTAGTCTGGGGTGAGGTGGGTCTCTGTTTCTTTACATGTTTTCCAGGTGATTCTAACACAGTGGACCTCCACCTTGCCTGATTTAAATATCTCAGTATGCAGCCTCTAGTGAACATTGGCTGTATGAGATCCCCTGGTAGTTCGACCCAAGCATCAGAATTTAAAAAAAACTGTCTGTGATTCCAATGTACCATCAAAAATGGAGAAAAAGTGCCCTAACCCTGCTACTTAATAGATGTGTAATCTGGGTGAGTGGTTTAACCTGATTTACCTCAGTCTACTAATCTGTAAATTGGGGATAATTGCTATTCCTGTTTTACAGAGTGTTGTAAGGGTTATATGAAATAATTTATGTGAAGGATTTCATAGTGTTTAGTACATAATAAATGCTTGATCAATAAAATCGTCATTGATTTATTGTTATTGATCAGTTTGCCTCCACAACACAATGCCACTGACTGAGTGACCTGAACAACAGACATTTGTTTTCTCACAGTCCTGGAGGCTGGAAGTCTAAGATCAGGGTGTGAGCATGGTCAGGTACTGGTGAGGGGTCTCTTCCTAGCTTGCAGATGGTCACCTTCTTGCTGTGTCCTAACAGGGCGGGGAGATATATATATATATATATTTTTTTTTTCTCTCTTTTCTTAATAAGGCCATAGTTCAATCAGATGAAGGCCCAGCCTTTATGAACCCATTTAACGTTAATTTTCTCCTAAAGGCCATAGTTCCAGATATAGTCACACAGGAGGTTAGGGCTTCAACATAGGAATTTTGATAGGACACAATTCAGTCCATAGTAATTATCATTAATATCTATTTGCAGAGCTCTTCTGTTAGGGTGATTGTCTCAATTTGCCCAGGATGTTTCTGGTTTGGGCATTTAAAGTCGAGTGTCCCAGGAAACTCCTGTTGCTTTCAATACAGAATCCATTCACCCAAAGATCCAAGCTAAAATCCTTAGCCAGCCTAGGGTCTTCCTTCATATCTATCTTCTGCCATCTGATCAACTACCAAATCCAAGCAATTCTAATGTTTATAAACTATCTTTGTTTTGCTTCCATATGTCCATTCTTACTGTTGCATCCATTGGTTATTTTCTCATTATCTCACATCTGAACCATTACAGAATCCTCTAAATTAGTTTTCCTTTACCATAAACCAAACTTGAGCATGAGTCAGAATCTCCTGAGGACTTGTTAAAACACTCATTGCTGCTTGCCTGCTCCCTCCTGTTCTCTGATGGGGAAGGTCTGGGGTGGGGCCTGTGAATCTGCATTTCTAACAGGCCATCCTGATGCTTTGGGGCCCTGAAATTTCAGTTTCAGAGCAGAGTGACTGGTGGTTTTCACTCTGCACATCCAGAGCCATTGGGGAGATGGAGCCTGCTGGAGATTCCAGAAGCATGTGGGTCATGCAGCAATGACACATTCCCATCCAGGGTCCTTTTGTGGACGGCAGAGCTCCACATCAGCAGGAAAGGCCTGGCACCAGGCTAGCTTACTGTCAAGTGACCTGCTCAGCTGTGAACTCTTTTTATCCTCTCCTAGTTCCTGTTCACAACAGTTACTCCTAATGTAAAATGCTGAGTCAGTGACTCTTAACAGACAGTTAGGTTGAGACATCGTGACTTATGATTTGGGCTGCAACATTATCCATCATGCTCATGACCTTGGCATGCTCCAAACTCTTCACCAACCCGGGAGGTAAAGTGAATGTCTCCAAACAACTGGGAAATTGCACGTCCTAAAAATTTTCACCTGATATTAACATATTTATTCACACCAGATCAGTTCTGGATTCTCTTTATTCATTTGTCCATTCATTCATTTGTTCAGTAAGTATTTATTGTGCCTGCTTTGTGTCAGGCATGAGGAATACAATGAGGAAACTCAGAACCTCTTCCAAATTCCATAAGGTTTTGAGTCTAGGGAAATTCCTCCATGTCTGAAATTTGAACAGAAGCTCAACTGTCTTGTTTCTGTTATTTTCTAATATGTATGAGGCAGAGCATCTCCCCTTCTGCTGATAAGCCTCCACATAAACAATTTGACAAAATCCTGAAGTTTCCACCTGCTGCTGTATTCTTAAGATATGGACACACATGCTCTCACATGCACACATCTTTCATGGCACATATTCACCAGTATTTCTTTGGTGAAGCTTCCATCAGTTAATTGTATTAGTTATTGTTACTGCGTAAAAAATTGCCCCAACACTTGTGAGCTGAAAACAGCACACACTGTTATCTCTCAGTTTTTTTGCAATAGGAATCTGGGTTCATTTTACTGATTGGCAACCACTGTCCAATAGTCAATTGTACCATAAGGCTTTATATATATTTAGTCACATATGTAGGTATAGATAGAATCTTCTAAAATTCTAGAAGAAATGAACTAAATAAGCCAAGGCCCTGGAGAGAATTGGCTACACCATGGGAAAGGTGGCATATCTGTGAGAAGACAGGTATTCAATCTATTATATGAGACTTTAGGACATATCATTACTTCTTTGAAAACTCAAGCTTTGCTAGTGGACTCTCCTTATATTAAATGGACCTTAAGATTTCTTTCTAAGAGGGGAATATGAACATCAGCTCTAATTAACTTGGAGGATGTAATTTGCTTAGAGCTGGCTCATGGACATGGTGGCTCCCAAGCTGTTCTGATGAGTCAGCAAACCGTTGAATGACTCAGCACATCTCTTATAATGAGCTTCGAGATATCTACTTTCCAAGTAAAAACGTTGTCTCATAATATGGGAGTCAGAATATGAGGCCATCAATGGGGCCAGAAAATGAGAGTCCAAAATTCAGAAATAGTTACCTGCTGCTATATTTTAACACTGGTAAATGTGAAATTTAAAGTACCCAGACCCATTGTGGGCATTAAGGCATGGGATTGAGTTTATAGAATGCAGGAACGACATAGGAAGCAGGGTTATTAGTGGCTTACTTAGCGTGATAATATCAACTGGTGAACACTTCCCAGGATCCATTCCCACTGATAAGAACTTATCACTGCACATATTGATTGGGGATTTATCTGTACCATCTGTGGCTCTGGAAACTAACGATTTGGGCCTGTGTTTCCTCCAAAGGTGAAATACTGAGAAGCCCCATGTGGATGTGTAGGAAGCTCACACTGATAACTTCTTGTACTCAGGCCAGTGTTGCGAAATGTTTTGTAGGGTAGTTTCTGGGCTGCCGGCCTGGACTAAGAATGTGCAGGGACTGCACGTCCCAGAATCAGAAACGGTGACCTCTTAGCCCAGAGATTCACATGGTCTTGATAGTTGAAAGAATTCCACAAAAGGTGGGGCCCACAACTTCAGCACCAAAAGAGCTCAAAATGTGAACATTTACCCAAATATTTTTTTTAAAAGGCTGTTTATGGCCTGAGAAAGTTTCTGTGGCAGAAACTCTACCTAGAACCTTTTGTAAGAGCTATTTCAATGCCCCGTGCAAACATTTCATGAGCTGAATTGCTAAGGGTCGTTTGAATGACTGAGTGAGGCAACACACACATGAGGTTAAAGAGAATGGAAACCAACAAATGAATGATGATATTTAACATAGATCTCAGCCCTGTCAAAGCACCACGAGAGGATGAGATGAGAAAATGTAAATCTAACACTGATGGCTGTGTGTGTAAACATTCCAGGGTACAACTTGGAATTTCTGAGATAGGGTCAAAGCAGTGAAATGAGGAACAAGTAAATGTTAACATTAATAATCTTTTTTTTTTTTGAGACAGATTCTTGCTCTGTCACCCAGGCTGGAGTGCAGTGGCACGATCTCAGCTCACTGCAACCTCTGCCTCCTGGGTTCAAGTGATTCTCTAGCCTTAGCCTCCTGAGTAGCTGAGATTACAGGTGCATGCCACCACACCTGGCTAATTTTTGTATTTTTAGTAGAGACAGGGTTTCACCATGTTGATCAGTCTGGTGTCGAACTCCTGACCTCAGGTGATCCACCTGCGTCGGCCCCCCAAAGTGCTGGGATTACAGGCGTGAGTCACTGTGCCTGGCCACCATTAATAATATCAATACTGAAAATGCACACAATTTATTGAGAACTTATTATGGGAACAGGCCTTGGGGTAGCTTCTTTATCTATGTATTATGTATCCAAACTGGCATTATGCCAGACAAATATTAGTCTCCCATTTTAAAGGTAAGCAAATCAAGTCTTGGAGAGGTTAAGAAGCTTTCTCAGGATTAAGCACTTACAAGTGGTAAAGCTGGAATTGAATTCAGTTGTATTTGATACCAAGATCGAATTCAAGAACACCATTGAGCCCTGGAATATTTTGGAAATAATGGTGTTATTTCGTTCAATGAGTGTAAATAGGAATTCCTGAGCATCATTTTTGTCAGAGATTTACTAGCTTCCTGCTTGAGTATTCCAAGAATTGGATGGATGCTTCTTCTCAAGGTAGCCCAATTTACTATGGGAGGGAAGAAAATATTTTAAAGTTCTTATTTTAGTCCAGATAGATAGACAGATAGATGGAGGTAGGGTTTGGCTGTGTCCCCTCCCAAATCTCATCTTGAACTGTAGTTCCCATAATCCCCACATGTCACGGGAGGGACCTAGTGGGAGGTAACTGAATCACGGGGTCAGTTACCTCTATGCTGTTCTCATGACAGTGAGTGAGTTTTCATGAGATCTGATAGTTTTATAAGGGGCTTTTCCCCTCCTTCACTCTATACTTCTCTTGCCTGCCACTGTGTAAGATGTGCCTTTGCTTCTCCTTTGCCTCCCACCATGATTGTGAGGCCTCCCCAGCCATGTCTGCAAGTCCATTAAACCTCTTTCCTTTTTAAATTACCCAGTCTTGGGTATGTTTTTATTAGCAGTGTGGGAGCAGACTAATACAGATAGACAGATGGATAAATAGATAGGTATCCTGCAGTGACCATTGGACATATTTGTTGAACTTGAAAAAATGCATATGTTCATGCCTTTAGAAGTACAGATATCTGTTCTGTGGAAAGTGCACCTGAAGGGATTTTAAGGCATATTTCAGCTCAAGAACTTCTTTATTCCAATGAGTTGGCAAACTCTGGGCAGCAGCCAACAGCCAAATCTGGTTTCCTTTTTCTCTCTTTTTTTTCCCAAATCTGTTTTTGTAAATAAAGTCTTATTGAATACTAGCCATGCCTACTTATTTATGTATTATCCATGGTTTCTTTCAAACTACAGTGGGAAGTGTTGAGTCGTCTTGACAGGCACTGTCTGGCCCACAAAACCAAAAATACTTACTGCTTGGCCCTTTACAGAACAAATGTGCTGCCCTCTTTTCTAAAGCAGGAATGTTTATAAAACAAACAAACTAAAAACACCTGGAGATGTTATTAAAAATGCAGATTTTGGAGTCCCACCCAAACCTACTGAGAATAAATTGGGGGAGAGCTTTCCATGCATTTGGGCGAGAACATCAGAGATTCTAAGGCAGGGAAGAGCGTGGCTTATTCATTGGCCAGAAAGTTCTCAGTAGTGCTTGAGCAAAGAGAACAAGGGCAGGGCAGTAAAGGTGCGTTGGGTATATCACACAGGACCTAGTGAGCTTTGGAAGATCTCTGAACTCTATTCCACTTATTGAAAAAAGTGAACGAGTTCAAAGTAAGGACATAATATGAACACATTCATGTTTTAATAGGATGACACCAGCTGCTGAAAGGAGAACAGATTGGGGAGGGGCAGGAAATCACACAGACGACCCAAAAAGACCTCTCTATACCCTAGTTCAATAACAAAGATAACTTGGACTAGGCTGCCCCATGTCATATATCTGGGCAAAAAGTTCAACTGGATTTCATGGAACAAATGAAGAAATATGAGCTCTGGCCTGCAAAGAAAATCTTATCAGAAAGAGGTGAAATTAAGAAGGGCCTTAAAAGATGGCTGAGGCCGGGCATGGTGGCTCATGCCTGTAATCCCAGCATTTTGGGAGGCCGAGGCGAGTGGAACACGAGGTCAGGAGTTTGAGACCAGCCTGGCCAACATGGTGAACCCTGTCTCTATTAAGAAAATACAAAAAATAGCTGGGCATAGTGGTGCATGCCTGTAGTCCCAGCTACCTGGGAGGCTGAGGCAGGAGGATTGTTGGAACCCAAGGGGTGGCAGAGGTTGCAGTGAGCCGAGATGGCACCACTGCACTCCAGCCTGGGTGACAGAGTGAGACTCCATTAAAAAAAAAATGTGGATACCCGAGAAAAATCAAGTGTTTTTTTTTTTTTTTTCTATTCTACTGCATTCCAATTTGGGAAGTGGTCTAAAAATCATGATAGGTAGGCAATAATTCTTTATAAAAACTCTTGAATTGCGATTTCCTCTTCTTGGCAAAATAGCCAACATTATATCAATGTTATACTTGTTCAATCATTCAACATTCTTTCTCCAGCCCAATGACTTTTGCTTTAAAAGTCTGCCATTTTGAGTGTTTTACATATTAATTCATTTCCAATAATAATTACCAATAGAATGTTTACTTTGCTTGCTAACATTTATAGTTCCTCTGATAGGCTAATATTTGTTATTCTTTATTGAAAACCTATTATTAGGAAATGCCTGCTTGAAACTTTTGAGTATTTTGTTTTGTTCTAAAGCATGTTGTGCTTTGTACTATGGATTATGGTTGTGTGCATATGAAATGTGAATACACACATACATACATGATGGGAGATGAGATTTGCTTTAGATACAACTAATAGGAATACTCATCTCTATTCAATACCATCTACTTGACCCAAATAAATTATGATAGTAAATGCAATTGCTGACCCTTCAGGATTTAGTTCTTTGTGTTGGAATATGGGGACATTTTTGCCCAGAGAAAAGGTGGATTGACAAGTGACTCTTTTATTTTGTTGTTCTCTCTTCTTCCCCATTATCTAGGATAAGCAACATCACTTTGAATGGTTTGATCACATATTTTAAGTGGATTGCCAAATAGGAGGCATTAATACCTTATGGAAAAAATATATAGTCTGTGACATCATCTGAGCCCCATGAGGAATGCATTTCAAGGTGGAGGAGAGATATCCTACAGGATTCTTTATTGATGCATCACATTTATAAAGTTTAGAAAAAGCTAAGTATTCAAGGCACAGAACCCAAGAGGTATTCCATACAGGAGAAAGGAATTAAAGAGAGGGCCGAGGATGAGGCTGGATCATGGATGCTGCTGACCTGGCTGGGCTCCGGGGCTCCTTGCTGAACATGCTCCCTGCTTTGGGATGGGTGGAGGCTGCTCAAAACCCCTCTTGGCAGCCATGGTGAGAAAGGAAAGGAAGGTTGAGGAAGGCCATGTGGGAAGGTACTCATTCCCTGTGAGAAAATGGTGACTGGAAACAGCTTTCGTCCTGGCCAAAGGATGCACCAAAAGACATTGAGCAAGTGTCATAATTGTGGCCAGGAAACATCTGGCTGGATCAGGAAATGAAAGGAATTTTAACATAGGTACATCTGTGGTGACAGTTGGGTGGGGTCCAGTAGTATAAAGACATTTTAACTTTGAGGGGAGGAGATATAAGTGAAAAAATAAGAAAATAAAAATGTCTAATAACCTGTGTTCTTTTTTAAAAATTTACAAACAGTCTTTTATTTTTTGTCTTATTTATTTAGCTTGGATAGGGTTTACATCAAATATATTATGAATGCTGAGATAGGAGACTACAGAGAATACATTTCCAGGGAAAGTCCAAACAAAAAAGCCAACCAGAGTCTTCTGGAAGAGATATCTCAAACTTAGTTTTTCTGCAAAACTATTATCAGAGCCCACTTGGGAAATGGCAGATTAGATGCCTAATTAACATATGGCCCTGTAGTTATACTTGATGGCTACTCTCCAGTAGGAAAGAAAACATCTTCTTCAAAATATTTTAGAGATTGCTGAGTCAGATAAGAGACTTTAAAAAAGGATTAAACAATTCACAGTCGGGGAAGCAAAATGGAGATTAGGGGTGGGTGATTTGGTTGCTTTCAAGTACATAGGAAACAGCGGGAGATATCAGGAAGGCATCAGAGCAATTTAGTAAGTCGGGAGCCAGAAGACCCCATCTGGGGAGGTTTGTATCTCCTCCTAATTTGATTTATCCCTGACTGTACTTCTCCCCACTCCCCATCCCTCTAAAACACCTCCAACTGCGTTGGGCTTCATGCATTCATTTAGGGATAGCTTAGAGGTACGGGAGAAAAAAATGAAGAAGGAATCCAAGAAGATAACAAAGAGAAAGAGTTTTTTTGTTTGTTTCTTTCTTTGAGGTAGGGTCTCACTCTCTTGCCCATGTTGGAGTCCAGTGAGGCAATCACAGCTTACTGTAACCTCAAACTCCTGAGCTCAAGCCATCCTCGTACGTCAACTTCCAGAGTAGCTGGGTCTACAGGTGCATGCCACCATGCCCAGCTAATTTTAAAAAATGCTTTGTAGAGATGGTGACTTGTTGTTGCCCAGGCTGGTCTTGAACTCCTGGGCTCAAGCAATTCTCTTGCCTAGGCCTCACAAAATGCTGGGATTACAGGTGTGAGCCACTGCACGCAGCCAAGAGAAAGTTTTAAAGGTGTAGAAACAGAAATGTTTTACTAGCTTGCATTTTTTAAAGGTTTCAACTTTGGATTCTGCTCAGGCTTGAGGGCAGACACGTCCAGAAAGTAGACCATTAGGTGAGAACAGCCCCAACACTAGAGAGTCATGGAAATGAAATGGGTGTGTGATATTGAGCCTTTAAAGTGGGATTCGAAGAGGAGACAGTTGAGATCACAGCATTTTCAACTCTGAGCTCTTCGCCAAGTTTCACAAGGCCCCACATCATCACCTGCAGGAGTTGGGCTTGGATTTTCTGAGAGGGAAGGGCAGTGTCGCAGGTGAAAGTACAATTCAGCCAGGACTGAGAATGCTCCTTTAAATCACGAACTCCTTGAGAACAGGGTCTCTGTGTTTAACCTAAATCTTGATAACTTCAAGACTTAATTCACTGGCTGAAAGACAGGGCATGCTCTCTCCATATTAGTTGAAATGAGTGTCCCTGAGTGTGCCTTGCACACAAGTTGATAAATGCTTTCACGAGGACATCTGTGGAATCAACTTAGAGCAGCAGAGCCTGGACTTGTTGCTGCCTTGTCTTTGCCTTAGTTTCCTCTTTGATAAAATGAAAATAACATGGCCCGGTGCAGTGGCTCATGCCTGTAATCCCAGAACATTGGGAGGCCGAGGAGGGAGGATCACTTGAGCCCAGGAGTTGAAGACCAACCTGGGCAACATAGGGAGACACCGTCTCTACAAAGAATACAAAAATTAGCCAGGTGTGTTGGCAAACGCTTGTAGTCCCAGCTAATTGGGATGCTGAGATGGAAGGATCCCTTCATCCCTGGAGGTGGTGACTGCAGTGAGCCAAGATCATGCCACTTCACTGTAGCCTGGGAGACAGAGCAAGACCCTGTCCCAAAAAAATGAGTGAAGGAGAGAACGAAGGAAGGAAGGAAAGAAAGAAAGAACAGAGAGAAAGAGACAAAGAGATAGAAAGAAAGGAAGAAGAAAGAAGGAGAAGGAGGAGGAGGAGGGAAGGAAGGAAGGAAGGAGAATAATAAGAAGAGGAAGAAGAAGAAGGAGGAGAAGGAGGAAAGAAAGAAGGAAAGAAAGAAAGGTAAAAGAAAGAAAGGTAAATAAAAGAAATCAAGCTACCTGGTAAGACTCTTGTGAGAAATAAGCCCATAGTCAGATCTAACCTGGGTGAAAGAAACAGCACACAATCACAGTTCGTTTAGCCTCTTTTTAATGTCTCCCTCAGATCAGAAAGGGTATGCTAGAAAAAGCTGAAGGGTTTTCTGATGCAGAATCAGCTTCATTTGTGTGAGAAAAGCCAAATGTGAGATATTGGGTGAGATCCAAATTATCCACAGTTAAATCCGTCTGTCTCCAAGCACCGAGGCTGCATCCTGTTGGGGGTAAGGTGGCCTGGGGGCGCTGGAGAGGATGTTGGAGGTGGGGGGACAGGTGCCAAGGAGGCCATAATTCTATCAAAGGGTTGATGGAATATAATGGGGCTTGAGGGCGTGAAGCCAATTGTGGGTCTCCCTAAGAACAATGGCAGCCACACTGTCTGTCTGATGCTAGTCCAGGATGTTCCTGGTGTTTCTTCTCACTGAACCCTGGGGTCCCCCTTTTTGTTGTTGTTGTTTGTTGGTTGACTGGTTGATTGGTTTGCAAAATAGGACACAGGGAAACCTGGCTAAGGTAGCACTCTATGAGTGCTTTGAACTGGCCTGCCTGCTTAGGGCATTAAAATCTTAACCGGACCAACCAGCCAGCACCACCCAGTCTGCGGCTCTTTGGAAGCCAGTGGTTAGCCACCCAGGCTTTGGAATCAGGCTGCTGGGGTTAATGCTTCTGCTGCTGTACTACTAGGTGGAGTGTCCAGCCATGCCCAGTCATGACCAATTTTGAGGGGCCAGTCGTGGAACACGTTTCTATTAATCAAGTATAGCCCAGTTTCCCCTTCTGTCTTTTTCCTCAGAGGCAGGCTTTGAAGTTTCACACTGGATTTGAATCCTGGTGTCTACACTTACTGGCTGATTGACCTTGGGAAAACAAAATCCCTTAATCTTTCTAGGTCTCAGTTTTCTCAAAGGAAACTAATATTACCTGTTAGAGGATTAAACAAGATAAAGTATGTAAAACACCTAGCAGGGTTTCTGTCACATGATAAACTTTCAGGAAATGCTAGCTGTTACCACTGTTCTCCTAGCCAGGAACATCTTCCCCGAGGTTTACATATGGCTTGATCGCTTGCTTCCTTTGGGGCTTTGCTCAAAATTCTGAAAGCTGCTTTTTATGAGTGAGGTCTTGCATGATCATTTATAAAACACTGAATTCTGAATTTCATGTCTGCCCCAGTACTATTTCACTCTTTCCTCTGCCTTATTTTTCTTTATGTGATTTCCACAATCTCAGACTAATTCATCTGTCTATTCATCTATTCATCTACCCACCCATTCATCCATCACCCGCCCATCCATCCATCCATCTATCTCCATCCATCTTGCTGTTTAGCCAACCGTCCCTCCTTCCATCCATCATTCATCTAGCTAGCTATATCTATCTTGTCTGTATCTTCTCTCTAGAACATAAGCTGAAACAAGGGAGGACTATTCATCTGCTTTTTTTTTCTCTTCTGCTATATCCATAGCACTTAGTAGACACTCAATAAATATTGAATGGCTTAATGCATATTATTATTATTTAAGTTGGAGCTTTGCGATATAAGACTTAGTTCAGAGTTGTTAAATTCACCCAATGATATAGTTTAGATATTTATCCCCTACAAATCTCATGTTGAAACGTGATTCCCAATGTTGGAGGTGGAATCTAGTGACAGGCATTTAGGTCAAGCCCTCATGGATGGCTTGGTTCTCTCCCCAGGGTAATCAGTGAGTTCTAGCCTTAATAGTTCATGTGAGAGCTGGTCATTTAAAAAAGCATGGTGTCTATCTTGCTCCCTCACTTGCCATAGATGTGCCTGCTCCTTTCACCTCCTGCCATAATTTTAAGCTATCTGAGGGCTCACCAGTAGCACATGCTGGCACTATACCTCTTGCAGAGTCTGCAGAACCATGAGCCAAAATAAACCTCTTTTCTTTATAAATTGCCCAACCTCAGGTATTCCTGTAAATCAATGCAAAATGAATGAACACACATGCTAACCTGAGAGCTAGCTATAATAACTTCCAATTATTAATGTCTGTATTCTTAGGATAATTATACAGATTTTCTGCATTGGGTTGGTGGGATAGTTGATGCAGTGGGGTGCCATGAGACCCACATTCAGGACCAAGGCACTTAGGCACTTATTCCTGCAGCTGTCTTTGACTGATGAGAGCTATTTGGTTCAAAATCATGCCTTCTTCCCAGGGGCAGGTCACATTCAATGGCTGGTAAATGCAATGGTATAAAAGCCTAACCCACATTTTTTTTTTTTTTTTTTTTTTTTTTTTTTTTGTGAGATGCAGTTTTGCCCTTGTTGGCCAGGCTAGAGTGCAATGGCGTGATCTTGGCTCACAGCAACCTCCACCTCCCAGGTTGAAGCGATTCTCCTGCCTCAGCATCCCTAGCAGCTGGGATTACAGGCATGTACCACCATGCCCAGCTAATTTTGTACTTTTAGTAGAGATGGGGTTTCTCTATGTTGTTCAGGCTGGTCTCAAACTCCCGACCTCTGGTGATCCGCCTACTTCAGCCTCCCAAAGTACTAGGATTTACAGGCATGACCCACCGCGCCTGGCCTGAAAGCTTTTTAAAGCAAAGTTTCTGCATGAAAATCTCCATCTCAGAATCTGCTTCCTATTTACCTGCTCTAGTGACTTTATTTGTGCCTTGTATTACTATTTGTGGGAGCTTCTTATTCTTTGCCTATGTAACTGGCCCAAATTTGACATCACATAGAGGTCCCTTCATATGACTTCTCAAAGACTGTGCCTCTTCTCAAGAGGCATAAAATGTTTCAACTTTCGTTTACGTTAAATTACCTTATCTCACTCATCCAATGAACAAACAATGAGTGTTTGCTCTGTGCCCGGCACAGTGCTGAACACCCTAAATTGAGAATTTAGATCTGTCTCTGGGATCTCCATCACAATCAGCATTTTGCTGGGATTGGAAGGATCATATGTCATTCCCTTCCCTGGATTGGCGAGAGTCACTTGTGAACTATATGATCCAAGTTTTAAAAGTATGTTTCCATAAAGCAAGATCATTTATTCCATACTGCTTCCTGTATAACCATCTTTAGATCAGCTCAAAAATGTGATTCCGTCTAAATAGTCACATATATCATTTAACTTAAAACCGCATTGGGTCATTCTGTGAATATTTTTCATTCTTTTTGTTTGTCCAATGTGTTTTAAAGATTTGCCCACATTCATTCACACAAGTCTCTCTCATTCTTTTTAAGACTAAATAGTAAGATGGCCACATTTTCATTCATCCATCAACCCATTTAATTGTCTGTCCAGAATTATTTATCAAGCGTTTCCAAAGTGAGAATGCCTTCTCAGCTCTAAACAAGACCAATGATGTGTATACCTTCAAGGAGATAAGATTCTAGCGGGAAAATCAGAAAGTAAGCCAGAATGCAAATAGAATGAAATGAGACCCTTGCAGAGAGAAGAAGATGTTGTGAAAAAAAAAAAAAAAAAAAAAATGAGTCAGAATGATGGATAGTGTGGAAAAGAGGCTGAACGAAAACTAAAAACACCAATTAAAAAGAAAAAATTAGCTGGTCGGAGAAAGTTTCTCCCAGGAGGTAACATGAAAGCTGAGTTGAGAGAAACAAAAAATGTCGGACATGGGAAAACTATGCTCATAATCATTTTAAGCAGATAGTTGAGCAGATACCAATGACCCAAAGCATGGGTAACTGTGGCTTCTTCAATGAGCAGATCAAAGCCAGCATGCTGTGGTCCTAAGGGAGCATATATCCATCTACTGAGAGGGCTAAGTCTACAACACCACTTAGCCACTGGCAGAGATATAGGATTGCCTATCTCTGAGATATACATTTTGAAATTCATTCAAAATCCGTTATTTATTCAAAAATATTTATTAAGCATTGACTATGCCTAAGAGTTAAAACAGTAGGCAAAACTGGCATAATGTGTGTCCTCAATGAGCTTATGGCTCATGGAGGAGACAGAAACTATCTTTTAAAATAACTTAATTAGCAAAAATAGACATACGACAACCAAAAATTGATTTGAGCATTACATTTTGCAGGTGGTAAAGTCCAGCTCCTCCACAAACTGTTTCCCACTAAGGCAGTAGAATGGTCATGCTCCAGGTAAAAAACAAATAATGTTATCTGCGGGAGCTCATTGGTCTTTCAATGTTAATCCCGTGCCTAATTCTCATTAATCACCCTTACACATCATTTATTACATGTTGTCTCTGGGAATTCCCATTCTTTCCACGGCATCATCCTAAAGTGTTTTTCTTTCCTATTTCTCTGAGTCCGTTCTAAAAAGTGATTTCTCTGAAGATGCTAATGATCACTCGGTATTCAGAAATTCTCACTCAACTCAGTAGGTTCCACAGCTGCCTGGCCAGTGCATAGCATCTTCTTGCAATTCCTATTTTAATAATGGCTCTTGATTATTTTAGAACTAAACTTTCCCATTGAAAAGAGTTTAGCAATGTATCTCTCTTCCACTTTCCCCCACTTCCATTGTCCTTTAGGGACATCTTTTTTTTGGGGATGGCATCATGGTGCCTTGTGCTGTTACCTGCACAGGTGGTAATAGATAAGTTTTTCAAATAGAGACAGCAGGTAGGGTGGAAACAGTGGGGCTCGGGAGTCAGGGTGTGCTGAGTTTCAAATCAGCTCTTATGCTAACTAGATATGTGGCCTTGGCCAAAGTACAAATGTTATCTGAGCCTCACTTTCCTCATTTGCAAATGAGCCTCAGGGCCAGGAGTAAGGTGAGGTGAGAGCATTATTCACTGCAGGTGCAAGATCTAAGAGGGTGCCAAAAATATTAGTGATCAAAATAAATAATATTTTAATGCAGTATTTAATAAAATTCAAACAATGCAAAAAGATCCACCATGATCAAAACATCAAATTTTTTTTAAAGGGACCTAAGGGACCAGGATTGGGGTGAATCAAGAGTCCAAGTTTTGCACATCCAGGGCTCCCCGTTAATTTTTATACTGGAAGCTGGTGTCCCACTCACCTTACCCTAGTACCAGCCCCATGGGCCTATTGACATTGCATGATAAATCTGTTCTAAAAATACATTTTGACAATCTAGGTAAAGAATATTACAGAGTGACTTGTATCCATGTAAGATAATTCTCTCCCCTGACTTCACATATGTGTCATCTGCTTACATTAGATGGTGCTAGATGGGGATAAACCAAAGTGAGCTTTCTACTCATTGAGTATTTACCCATGCTACATGCAACTCATCAACTCCTCTAAGCCCTACAACATTGGCCTAGCCTACTGACAGATGCTTCTAAGTGCTCTTCTTTCATATGGATCTCTCTCCCTCCCTTTCTCAATACAATGTTGGCAGAACATTTATTTTCTCTCTGCAACAAAATCACTGCAGCCCTTGCCTGAGACATTCTCTGGCTCCATGAGACTTATCCAGACATTGTCTAGATCTACGACTTGAAATTTTTCCCATCAGCCTCCCTTCTTTGCATAACCGAGCATCGTGCATACTCATCACCTCCCATCCTGTGCCAAGTTCTTGCTTTTTGTGGGCAATTTCGGATCCATTGGCTGTTTGGGCAAGGGGCCTAATATGAAATCCTAAGTATCTTCTTGGCACTGATTCCCTACTTGGTGCTGTTGCCAACCTCTGCCTCCCCACATTGTTTTCTATATTCACTAGTGCAGAAGATAAGGGTTTTCTAAGCTTCCAAAGGTCCCCTCATGCTCCTTCATGGTCTCACAGCATCTTCAAACCCACAGAATGCTTCCCACAGTATCTCTCCTACTGAAGTAAGATGACCTCAACCTGGAGGCCCCAGGGGACTGACCAAACCTGTTGCTGAGAAGGTGGGAGCACTAGGCCAACATGGTGGTATTTGAAGCAGGGGTGTTCCTAAAGGAAAATGTTGGTAACAGAGACGGGGAAAGTAGAAGAGAAATTGAAAGCTAAACTGTTTTTAGTGGAAAAGCTCAAAGTTATAACCAAGAGCAAATGTTAAAATCATAATTAAAGGAAGACCCTATGCATTGGACAGACAGAGGAAGAACACAGTGAGTTAAATGAGAATTTCTGTGTACCATAGAGTCATTAACATCTTCAGAGAAGTCAATTTCTTTTCCTAGAACACACTCAAGGAAGTAGGCAAAGAAAGTGCTTTATTTGTGACGCTACTATGGTAGGAATCGGAATTTCCAGAGACAACATCTAATAAATGATGGATAAGGGTGATGAAGGGGAATTAGAATGTGGTTCAAATAGATTCAAAGGCCAATGAGCTCCTGCAGATGACTTATTTATGTTTACCTGGATCCCGGCTGTTGACACAGTACTTGGTTTTCATTTTGCACACTGATGAACATCTTTGGAATCATGTAACTTAATTAAGATTGTCTAGAATCGTACCATCATGGGTTCCTCAGACCTCTGCATAAGGATTATACAAGCTGGAACAGGGGCACTGAGGGGGAAATCAGGGTAAGACCCACCTGATTTCAAGTCTGTCTTCTATTAGTGGGGCGACTTCATGCAAATCCCTTCGAACTTCTGAGCTTCGATGTTTGAATGTGTCAATATCTCTTCCAACACTCAGGTTCTATTAAATAAACTCCATGTGAGACTTCTGTGTTAACTTAAAAGACGGCAGAAATTAATTGATTTAAACAACAAATCAGAATTGAGAATCTGTAATGACAGCTTTTCCCCTCAAGTGATTCAAGGCCAGTAGAAAAACAGACAAATAAGCAAACATTAAAAAGAGGAAGAGGAGCATGGTATCACATACGAGTAGAGGTATTTACAAAACCCCAAGGAAGCTCATGGGAACTTAGTCTGGGAAGTGGGTGGGACAAAAAAGTGCTTCCCAGAGAAGGTGCCACTTGAGTGGGTTAGTGATTTGCAGTTGGCAGAAGAGAATGAAAGATGTGGATTTAAATGCATTGTTCTTCCTGTTGCTACCGGTGGCATAAACCCATTGTAACCTCTTGACGAACTTCAATCTTAATCATTTACTGTTCCTTTGTGTTGTTTTTTGGTTATCCACTTGGTTTTACCCAACATTGCTTTCTTTCTCAAATAAGAGTGCCTTGGAAAACATCACACATCTCAAAGGATTTGTGTTAATCAGAGCAAAGTGAGACATGAGATTCTGAGAGATGCAAACAGAAGATGGTCCTGCAGTATCCAGGTTGAGGAACAGGAACAAGCCCTTTGCTGGGGACATTGCAGATAACAATGGCTATTTTGTGTCACACAGCTTGGAGAAAACATCTCTGAGATGAAACTCAGTTCTTCAGATCCTGGAGCTCATTTCTCTAGCCACGATGCTAGCTAAGTAGGAGCAATAATGTGTCTCCCGTATTAGTGATTCTCAACTCCAGCTGACAATAGTATCATATTTTAAAAATACATACTGCTTCTGTGATGCCATGTATTGGTGTTTATGTCTATAGTTCTACTAGATTGGAAGCTTCCTGAGGCCAGCTATGCAGACTGTATCATTAGTGGCCAGCTTATACCACAAATCGTGATCTACTTGCATCACAGTTGTCTGGGTTTCATCATATAAATGCTAATTTATGGATCTTGCCTTAAACCTACTGTATTAATCAGTGTTCTCCAGAGATTTATATGCATAAGTGGAGATTTATGATGAGGAATTGGCTCACCCAATTACAGAGGCTGAGAAGTCACGTAAAATTAACCATCATACATACTGAATTAGAATCTCCAGGAGTCAGAGGGGCTTGGAAATTTCATTTTAATAGCGTTCCTAAGTCATTCTTAGTTTCATCAAGAGAACCATTATGACAGGGACTCAACAATGAAGGACACAGAGGTAACTGATAAAATGGTGCTCATCTTATATTTTCAGAACTCTGGGATGTTTGGGAGACCCATCAGAGATGGGTAGGGAAAATGAAAGAATGAGTCCTTGGATGGAACACAGAACTCACAGGAAATGGAACAGGAACTGTCCATGCAGATTTAGTATACCAGTGAACCACAAAAGAACGTGGACATTGTTGGTTGAGTCAAATCAGCTGTCTTCACTGATGCCTGTTAGTATATGCCAGTGAGAAACTCAGTACCTTGTGCCTGGCTAGTAAATATTGACAGAATTGAGACTTCAACAGGGTCATTAAAGCAGCCCTCAGGGTTCAGCCTCCTTTATCATATTCTTTGTGTTTGGCACTCGGTGTAATTCAACAATTCTCACATCAGTCCTTATGAAGGAAAATGCCTACTGTTGCGGGGCTACATCAAAAAATTTTTTGGGCAGCTTTAGCATAAGTAGTTTGGGGATGTGGAAGGATTGGACAATACCATCGTTCCAGAGAAGATCACCTGGACATAGCAGACATAGCATGTGTATATGTGCATGTGTGTGTGTGTGTGTGTGTGTGTGTGTATGTGTGTGTGTGGTGGGCTGTGCTTCTTTGCATGTAGGAATGTATATGTATGTGTATGTCTGTGTATGCGCTGTAGCCATATCCATTTTTCTAGGGCTGTGCCTATTAAAGGCAAACCACTCTTCTCACTCTGACACCCTTGTTTCTAAGGCATTCTGGGACATCAGTGACAGCTGAGTATGACAGAAAATCAAGGACATCAGTGACAGCTGAGTATGACAGAAAATCAAGGACTCTGCTATGTGAAAGTGGTGAGAGTTTGGTTACTCAAGCATCACAGACTGGTTTTGAATCTAGGTGCAGCAATGATTTCTGCAACCTTGTATAAGCTATGAGAATAATAACTTTAACATCAACCTCAAAGGGTAAAGAGGATCAAATGAGAACATCCATGTAGAGAACTGGTTCACTGCAAGTGCCAATAAATGTTAGGTGCATTGTTCCCCAGAAGGATTCAGTTGTTTTGAGTCAGCCCCAGAAAGTCTTCCTAACAAGCCCATCTAAACATGTCAGTTTTGTCTCGGAATGCTCAAGAGTCTCCCTAAGTTAGTTAAGAGAGAGACTGGGTCAGAGTCCATGAAAATCCTCGTTGCTTAACCCAACAGAGATTTGTTTATTATTGCTCATGCCAAGTCCATCGTGGGACCAGCAACTCCCTATAAGAGCTTTCCTCCATGTGGTTACTTGATATTCATGATTTTGCCTTCTCAACTGGAGGTTCTGTAGCTCTTCAGGGCAGAGAGATAGATAGAGATAGCCATAGAGATAGAGATAGAGATAGAGATAGAGATAGAGATAGAGATAGAGATAGAGATAGAGATAGAATGATAGAGATAGATAGAGATAGGAATAGGGAGGGAGACTGAGGATGTTTGGGTCCATTTCTTGTTAATTTCAGCCTGAGAGTGACATTTATCACACTTGCCCACAGCCTATTGGCCAGAGCTGGTAACAGGGCTGCCCCTAAGTGCAAGAATGCAGAAATGAGGAGTGAATGGATGAGAAGTGATCACTACTCTGTCTGCTATACTCTCATTTTCCACCAGAAACAATACAAAATGTCTCTGCAACACTATGGCTTCTATATCACCCTCTCTCTTCCATCTCTTCTTCCACCATATTCCACCTCCTGTTTTAAAAGCCTGGAAATTCCCTAAGCAGGTCATGGACTATCACATCTCTATGCCTTTGCCATGATCCTCCTTCTACCCAGATGCCATCTCTCTACTTGTTGCCCTGACAACCTCCTATGACTGCCTGAAGTCTCAATCTCTTGGAGAGGTCTCTTTTAGACATGATGTACTTTGGCAACAAAGATATAAAGGAGATCCCATGATTTTTATACAATAAATCCACCACTATTTTTCACTCCCACAGGTGGTGTTTGAGCCCAAACTCTTCATCATCATTAGTTCTAAGCCATACTTCTTAGTGACCTTAATAAAAATTTAAAGACCATATAACATACATTATCCAGTAGGTGTGTTAATTAGTCTTCTATATGACATCATCTCTGCTCCTGGGATTTTTTATGGCTGTCATATATCTTGAGAGAGAGAAGACTTAGCCATTCTCTACCTAACTACATAAAATTCTGTTTAGTTGGCAAGGCAGAACAAAGAAAATAGATCCTCTGAAACATCACTATGCATTTATGAAAGAAAATTATGCACAGAAAAAAATTTAGAGGATATATTTTTAATAAATATGTAAACTTTAAATTATTAATTTTTAATAATTAAAATGGACTTGTAATCGACTTCCATCATGTTGCATTATATTACTTTAGAAGATTTTAATATTTTATAATCTTTCTAGGATTTATATATAAACACATGCATATAATATTGTCACCTTTCACCTTTAACTCATTTATGCCAGGCCTCAGAAAAAGCCTGTCAGTCTTTCTGATGTTCATTTGGCACATGCATTTGGGAACACAGCCAAATGTTTTAGTCCTCAGCATTTTGGAACTTGCTGATCACTTTATCACTTTGTCTTAACTCTTTTTTTTTTTGAGATGGAGTCTCACTCTGTCACCCAGGCTGGAGTGCAGTGGCACGATCTCGGCTCACTGCAGCCTCCGCCTCCCAGGTTCAAGTGATCCTCCCACCTCGGCCTCCCAAGAAGCTGGAATTATGGGCGCTTGCCACCATGCCTGGCTAATTTTTGTATTTTCAGTGGAGATGGGGTTTCATCATGTTGGCTAGGCTGGTCTTGAACTCTTGGCCTCAAGTGATCCACCCACCTCACCCTCCCAGAGTGCTGGGATTACAGGCGTGAGCCATTGTACCTGGCCTATCTCTTTAAACTCAAATTGAATTGTATTGGAAGGAAGGCAATACCACTGAGAAGAGATTCAGAATATTTTCTGAAAAATCCTTCAAGAGTTATTTCAGGTATCACAAATAGTGTCATTAGTAATGTGTGCTTTTAACAATTATAAACTTAATGTGTACTGTGTTCAAAATGTAGGGTGATATAAAATGAAAATATGTATCATATTTCATTTAGTTCTTATGAGTTTGACTTGTTCTGTTTTTATTGTAGGTGCCTCAAGGCAAAGAAAAAATGTCTCTACTCTGTTGGTGTGAACCTTCTTGTAGCACCTTGAGTATATTAAATCTAATGATTTCCTGAGGGCATGTGGATAATTTAACCAACAAAATAAATATAGTCCTCCTACTTTCCACTGAGAATTTTAACATATGGTCATCGTTATCCCAAGAGGTGATACAAACAGAATCTATAATTATATTCAAGAGGGTCTAGAGGAATGTATGGAAGCCAGAGAATGCCATATACCGTCCTTGGGGTTCCCATAAGCGATAAAGAGCATGAATGTGGCATCTTCACTTGAATCCCCACGAGACTGTAAATTTCTTAATGGCAAAGAACCTGACCATTGGCATTCACTTATTCATTACAGACATTTACGGAGTGCCTACTATGTGCCAAGCAGTGGTTTAAGTAAGTAAATGCCTAATTAACATTTCTCTTTCTAAGAATCACTTCAAAGAAGTTTCCTCTAATGGTGGAGCAGACCATGGCATGCTTCTACCTCCTCCTACCTTTATAGCCAATAGCACAAGATAGAAGGCAGTGAGCTGCCTGGGATGTGGACAGAAGCCATGCTCATGAATCAAAAATCGGGTTTAGTGGCCCAGAAATAAACAATTGTCACAAGTAGCACCCTACTTTAGCTCATCAGACTCTCCATCTATAAATATTATTCAGAATGCATTTCTACCTAACTGACATTGCTGATTGGCCCAACAAAAATGCATAAGCAGGTGTCAAGGTGACTTTATGTCTGCATGCTGGTACCATCTCATTCCAGTGTATAAGATTCCTTAGGGATAAAATGTCTTTGTGTTAAGATCAAGAAGTATACAATGACTTTTATGAATAACGGCCAGCCATTGGGCACAAAATACCAGGAAATTGGGTTGTTAAACTTGGTTTTAAAATTCCAAGGAAAATACATTTATATAGGATATGTAACTATTGCCAGGGAAGGAGTTTAGTGCACTTCCTGTTGATGGGGGGAAATTCGCCAAGCAGTGGAAACAAGGCACTAGAACTTGTTAATGAATTAAACCCTATCGATTGGTGTATGAAAAGGTTTAGATTCGAAGACTAGTAGAGAAGCCCCAAAAGGTAGAAAGCCCACAATAATTAGTTTGAACAGTTTTTGTTGTTTGCATTTTAGGAATCAGATCAATAAAGCAACATTAATAATTAAAGACCAGGATAAATATACCAATTCCAGATTAGAGCTTTAAGCATTAAATTGCTGGTGCCAAAGCATTTTTTTATGGGCTCTAATCTTCCCAGATATACTGAAGTGCTATAATGTGACTCCTTAAGCTATGGGTTTGGTGAGAAATATGAGGTTCTTCTTGATGGAAGCTGTTGAGAGGTCCCAGACCAGGTATCTGGTACAGCAGTAACAGGAAGGGACAGGTATGGCTCATTTAAAAGAGCTGGATCTCTCTTTTGTCTTTTATCAGGTTCAGCTTAGTGGCTCACAAAACAATGGAGAAGAGTAGAGCTTTTTGCTTATCAGAGGCTAGCTCGAGTTCTGCCACAAAAGGTCAAAACTTGGAAGAGAAGAAGGAAAGGTCAGATTAAGATTTGACCAGGGAAGTGCTGCTAGAGTGCACATTCTGAGGGTATTAGATAAACACTGGAGAGGCAGTGAAGGGGAAATTCTGCAGAGGACAACTTATGACCAGTCATGAGGGAATTAGGAAGTGGTGCTTGACATTAAGAAAGTATTAATATTATGACTTCCCCAAGGCTGGGGAAAAGGAGAATTGGAGACTCAAGCATGCTCTTAATGAGTGCTTAATCCAAGAAAATGTGCACCAATTTCAGTTCACCAGACAGCTACATCCCATGAAGGAAGGGGACAGTGGTTTCATCAGACTGGTGTGCCTAAGGACATTCTCTGCATGAAGAGCCAATCTTGTCTGAATCCACATTTCCTGTGAAGTTTTCTGGCTGGATTTCCTGAGGGGCTCTTCCCATCGGGAAGGAAGTTGACTATGTCCACACTGGTCTGGTCTGAAGCCAGGTACATCTCATGCTTAAAAATAAAAGACACACCCACAACCAACACTACTTCATGTCCTTCCCGTTCTTTATGGCTCTTGTTTTGTTATCTAATTCTCCCATTGTCTTTTTTTTTCTATTTGCAATACATAGTCTATTAATCCACTTATGTCCACCACTATATTCATGTCCCAGTTACTCAGAGACATCTCTACAATGTTGGTGCCTTTATTTCCCTCATTCTTCTCTTTTACCTCCTTTTAGTTACAGGTCCCTAATTTTGCTATCATGCCTGTACTCTTAATTTTCTAACTGTTAACGCCATTAGACCTCACCACAGCTAGGTCTATTGGTGTGGTTTCCTCATAGAGACTCATGGATTCTTCAAGTTGAAAATGTTTTGCAGATCATATATACTAACGTCTCCTAAAAATCGTTTCACCACACATCCCTCCCCTGCCCCCAGCATGGAATGCATCTTGCAGAAGCGTTTCATTTTTCTATTGGAAATGATGCATATTAATATCTCCTAATGGAAAGTCTCAAAACAAAAGATTCTGTGACATGGTTTAACTGCTTAATGTTTCCCAAACTTACTTTACCAGGGAATTAGCCTCTCTTTATTTTTTATAACTATTAATATGTTGTAGCAGTACTTTGAGCAATACCATGGGAAATGATGAATTAATCCAACACCCTTGTTCGGTGAAGACATCACCTCTTCAATTTTTTTAAAACATAATTTTAACCTTTATTTTACATTCAGGGTCTACATGTGCAGGTTTCTTACCTGGGTAAATTGTGTGATACTGAGGTTTGGAGTACGAATGATTCTGTTACCCAGGTAGTGAGCATAGTACCCAACTGTTAGTTTTTCAACCCATGTCTTCCTCCCCTCCTGCTCCTTCTGGTAGTCCCTAGTGTCTACTGTTTCCATCTTTACATCCATGAGTACCCAATGTTTAGCTCCCACTTATAAGTGAGAACATGTGGCATTTGGTATTCTGTTCCTGTGTTAATTTGCTTAGCATAGTAGTCTCCAGCTGCGTCCAGTTTGCTGCGAAGGACATTATTTCATTCTTTTTTATGGTTGTGTAGTATTCCATGGTGTATATGTACCACATTTTCTTTATCCAGTCCACCACTCATGGGCACCTAGATTGATTCCATGTCTTTGTTATTGTGAATAGTGCAGAGATGAACGTCCGAGTGGATGTGTCTTTCTGGTAGAATGACCTATTTTCTTTTGGATATAATCGGGTTGCTGGCCTGAATGGTAGTTCTGTTTTAAGTTATTTGAGAAATCTCCAAATTGCTTTCCACAGTGGCTGAACTAATTTATATTCCCATCAAAAGTGTATGTATACCTGTTCCCTTTTCTCACTGCCTCTCCAGTGTCTGTTTTTTTTTGACTTTTTAACAAAAGCCGTTCTAACTGGTGTGAAATGATATCTCATTGTGGGTTTGATTTGCATTTCTTTAGTGGTTAGTGATGTTGAGCATTTTTTCATATGTTTTTTGGCCACCTGTAGCTCTTCTTTTGAGATGTGTCTATTCATGTCTTCTGCCCACTCTTTAATGTGGTTTTTGTTTTTTGCTTGTTGAATTGTCTAAACTTCTTATAGATTTTATATATTAGACTTTTTGTTGGATGCATAGTTCAAGAATATTTTATACCATTGTGTAGGTTGTCTGTTTACTCTGCTGATAGTTTCTTTTGGTGTGCAGAAAGTCTTTAGTTTAATTAGGTCTCACTTGCCAGTTTTTGTTTTTGTTGCAATTGCTCTTGAGGACTTAGTTATAAATTTTTTCCCCAGGCCAATGTCCAGAATGGTGTTTCCTAAGTTTTCTTCTAGGATTCTTATAATTTGAGTTCTTACATTTAAATCTTTAATCTATCTTGAGTTGATTTTTGTATATGGTGAAATGTAGGGGTCCAGTTTTATTCTTCTGCATGTGGCTGGCCAGCTGTACCAGTACCATTTATTGAATAGGAAGTCCTTTCTCCACAGCTCATTTTTGTCAGCTTTGTCAAAGATCAGATGGCAGTAGGTGTGTGGCTTTATTTCTGGGCTCTGTAAGTGATAGATCATCATCCATATCAAATTCCAGTTTGATGCTTCCAATGATGCAGAGCTCACTATCTCTCAAGGCAGGCTCATTCCATTGCTAGGGATAATTATTACAATATTGTGCCTCTGATTCTTTCAGCCTGTTCTCTTTTATACCATCCTTTCCTAAGTCCTATTCATGAACATTGTTCTACCCATTTTTAGTACATCCAAACACTCTCAAAAATTTAAAAGGCAAGCAGGGTTTCCTTATCACCCCTCTTTCTGAAATTTTCTGAGTTCAAACACAGGAATTTGCTCACTTCTGTCACATTTTCAGATCTTGAGAAATTAATTTTGACTGCATTCATTGAATTGATCAACAAAGGAAGCCCCTTCCTCTATATGTCATGCTTCCTAATTTTACTTGCATAAATATTCAAGCTCATTTGAAAAACATATTTCAGGCTGTTAGTAGGTCTGTTAAATTATACTACCTTCCAACCTATATGCCTGATCTTAAATACTTGGTTTAAAAAATATCATCTTTATTTTTTTTCTCCTAGACTTAATACAATTACCTATTAGGAAAAAATATCTAATACTATGCTTTAAAAATTACGTGCAGCCAGGCACTGTGGCTCACACCTGTGATCCCAGCACTTTGGGAGGCCGAGGCAGGAGAATCACCTGAGGTCAAGAGTTCGAGACCAGCCTGGCCAACATGACGAAAACAGATCTCTACTAAAAATACAAAAATTAGCCAGGCGTGGTGGTGGGCCCCTGTAATCTCAGCTACTTGGGAGGCTGAGTCAGGGAGAATCGCTTGAACCCGGGAGTTGGAGGTTGCAGTGAGCCCAAGATCATGCCATTGCACTCCAGCCTGGGAGACAGAGCAAGACTCTGTCTCAAATGAATAAATAAATAAATGCAAGGAATCCATCTCACTGTTATAAAATCTCTCATTTAAGTGTTTATTTCTAGGAGCCTTCACATTAGACTGAACCCTACTTCATAAATGTTTAATTCATCCGTATATTTCCTCCTTTTTTGTCAATCTTCTTTCTTGGTACTGATCTGGCCCTGAGGTTTTCGATTCTGAAAGCACCACAGGTTACACCCTGACTGTGATAACCACGACTTGATTGACTGTTAACATGGTCCTGCCACAGAGCTAAGTTTTTTTTTTACATGTATTGTCTTATTTTCTTGTACTAGCCCTAAAAGGATAAATATTTTAAAGAAGAAAATGGAGCATTATGGAGGCTAGGCAAATTCATCTGGGGTCACCCAGTGCATAAAAGCCAGGTCAGGATTGAACAAATTTGATTCTATTGTGAAAAACTTAGCACCTGCTGAATAATGCTTTAGTTGTTATGAGTCTAACTGCAGTTTTCTATGACTTGAGATTTTATTTGGTGACTTAATTTTATCCATAACAGACCCTTTCCCTATCCTCCTTCCTTTCTTCTTTGTCTCTTCTTTCTTCTCCCTTTCTTCTTTCCTTCCTTTTTCTATTTATCTATCTTCTATTCTATCCATCTTCTATCTCTTTTCTCCTTCCCCTGTCTTACTTAATTTCTCATCTTTTCTTTTATACTAATATTCTTTTTACTTAATTCTCTCCCCACTTCTCCATTTCTCCTTTCCCAGCTACACATGGGAGTCTCTTCCAGCTTGGAGAAGCCGTACTCTATAGTGAAAGAGACTTAGAACTGTGCCACAGGAAACTTGGATTCTTGTTTCAGCAATGCTGATTAACTCTTTATCCTGCATTCTTGACTCCCTCACCATCTTCCCAGAAGGCCTTCAACAGACCATGAGCATTTATCCTGTCTCAGGCACTGGTGATACAAAAAAATAAAACATGGCTGCTATGTATTGAACTGTATGATTTGGCTAGTTGTGAGACAATCACTTTACATGTTTTATTTACTTATTTATTTTATTTATCTATTTTAGCAACAATTCAAGCAGACAAAGTATTTTATTCGCACTTAACAAAGAAAACAAGCATTGGTCATAGAGTCTCCATGTCCACATTTAGAAAATAGTAGAGCTGAAAATCTAACCAGGTGCAGTGTTCCAAATTCCCATGCTGTGACCCATTACACCAATGCAAATTCTACAAAGAGATGGTATATCAAGTGCTGTTATGAAATAAAAAAGTTTCTGTAATCAAATAAGTTTGGGACAATATGGGTTAAATAAAATCCAATTGGCTCACATTGGTATTAAGCGACTGATTCATTATTCTAAACAAGGGACTTATGACTCTCCTTTGGTACTCTTCCCATGGCGCTATATTGCCTTGTTAGTAGTTTCCAGGAGAACGCTCAAAAATATATTTAAGCTTAAAAACCTACCCATATTTAAGACTGTGCAGGGCCCAAAGACATTTTTAAGAATGGATATTTATACTGAATGACATTGTAAATGTTAATGTCATGTGTCCATATTTCTTCCAAGGATAATTCATAACCAAAAGGCACAGGCATGCTTCAGTGGTGACGACAGCAGAACAGTCCTTTACAACCAATTGCTGCCTTTTTAGTAATTAACTTGCTCCATATAGATTGAAAGGTCATTTCTTATCCCCTTTCTCTAGCAGCCTTTAATATTTACCAAATAGTGTTGCATTGTTGGAAATGTCACAGGCTCTACAGCACAAGGCGGGATTCCACACAGTGATTCATGATGACTTAGTTCATTAAGAAAATTACCCCTCATTTATTTGGATGCTATATCTCTTCTGCTCTCAAAGAATTCTCTTTGATTAGAAAAGTGAATTATGTTGACTTGTTTCTGTATTGTAGGTGGCCTCTAATTAAAATAAAACGATAATGTGTCTCAGCCTTAAGGATGTATTTCCTTTTCAATGATCATTAGAAGTTTCAAGACAAAAGTTGTGATGGCAAATGCAAAGCAATTCTGAGTTGAATTCACTTTCCTTTTTCCAGTAACTCACATCTCATTATGTGATGTCTCTGTTAATGCAGTTTTTCTCTCTGGAGACCTGGGAGACAGCCCTAAGGCCCACTTCTCTTTTTCCCTACCTCCCAGCCCATCACCAGGTCCTGCCTATCTGCCCTTCTAAACTTTATTTAAAACTGTCCATTCTTTCCATCTCCATGACTTTTAATCTAACCTGTGTCAACATCACTCCCTTAATACTCTCCCAAATGGGTTCCTTTCTTCCAAACTACACTTCATCCCACTAGGTCCCTTAGCTAGAGCAGTGTTTTATAAACTATGGTAAAAGGCTAAGTGTTTTTTCCCCCAATGCATTGTGGATCAATATTCTTGTAAAATGCAATATATTTATATCTTGGAGATATATATATATATATGCATGTATATATGTGTGTGTGTGTGTGTGTGTGTGTGTGTATAGTATCCAATACACACACAGACATATATGTTTGGATATATGCATAAATATATATTTGGATATATGCATATATATATTTATGCATATATGCTTGGATATTACAGCAGTTTCAAATGCTAAGAAAGTTTCTGAATGCTTATGCTCAAATTCTATACCATCTAATGGGTAACAACGTTTGCCTGGTAACAAACTTCGCAATCTGGGTCTGGTCTGACACTCACACTTCGAGTGTTTCTGAGCTAGAGAGATTTTTAAAATATATAAATTACATCATGATAATCCTTGATGCTGATTTCTATTAAAGGACACAGTAGCATACTTAGCACCACCTTCGTGGGCCACCCTGACCAGGCCTTTGCTATCTCTGCAGGTGTTCCCTCCTAATCTGTCCTCCAGGCTTATTGCCATCATCCACACTGACATTTTTTTCAGGTCTTCAAAACGCCAAGTGTCTGTGCACATACTTTTCCTCCTGCCTGGAATGCGTTCCCTTTTCCCTCCTCCCTTATGCCTCTCAGCCTGGCACTCTCCTATCTTCAGGTGTCATCTTAAATATACCTTATTCGAACAGGTGCTGCCTTATTCTCCCCCCCAAATCACTGTAAATAGTTAAGTTTCTTTGGTAGATATAAGATGAATAAAAGTATTGGACACTCCTCCCATCAAAGGGGAAGGGGGCATTCATGTCCTTTTCCTTGAGCCTGGGTAGGTTCTGTGACTGCTTGTCCAAGAGGATATTGCAGAAGGGAGACCGTACCAGTTTCCAAACTCAGGCTTTAATACTGACAGGTTGCATTTGCTGTCTCTTGGAATGGGAACTTAAGGAAGACATCCAAAGTAGAAAAAGTTTAACTTTCAACTACCATGATGTAGGGAAGCCCGAGCTAGCCACATGGAGGACTCCATGTAAAGAGGGATGCCCATCCAGTTCACCCATCAGAGATATGAATGAAAAAGCCTTCAGGTGACTCTAATCTTAGCTACCATCTGACAGCATTTATAGGAGGGACCATAAAGGGGAACTGCCCAGCTGAGCCCATCTACCCCAGACCCATAAGAAGTAATAACTGATTGTTTTAAGAGAATACAGTTTGTTTGTTGTGGAACAATAGATAAGTGGAAGAGTTTCCCTACTGTGTATACAGATGACATCTTATAACTTTTCCTTTATGGAATACACATAGTAAACATAGATATCTTGTCTTGGTTTGGTTTTCTCTCAAAAGCAGAACCTGAGACAAGCATTTATTTCAGGTGACTCACAGGTCAAATGGATTTCTTAGCTTAAGTATATATTTTCTTTTCTTTGCCCAATTAATATTCTAGTGCAAAGCTGCCATAATATTCAAAGTACAGAACAGTCTGGAATTGTGTTTTCCTTGTTTCTGTCATTATCTAAGGCAGTGATCCCAGGAAGTGCTGTGAGAAAAACAAGAGTGGTTCCTCTGGGAATCACTGAGGCTCCATCCCCCTGGGACCTGCGAGGCACTGTAGACTATGCCTCAGAACTGTCTCACTGCCTGAGGGGGAACACAAGAAACCTTGGATATTAATCCACTAACTTTCATTCATCCTTGGTTGAGGGTCACTTCTGGAATGTTAATTCTTGGACACTTCAGCCTGTCTAGCAAGAGGGCTGGGCACTGAGAATGGAGAATTTCCCTCACTAGAGAGACGCAGGAAGCTGTATCCACATGTTCAGAAAACTGTGGGTGACCTCTGGATGAAAGACAGGGATGTGGCAACTCTTGGAGTTCTATGGAGCAGGGGACAGGTCTATCTCATTCTTGCTTTATATATAGTGCCTGGTGCCTGCCAAGCATGCAATGCATATTTGTTGAATGAGTAAAGAAATGAAAAAGACATCTCATTTCATAACGATTGAAGCTTCACTCTGTACCCCAGAAGGCACGAATTGTAGTTTCAGATTTTGTTTTTGGCTTTAGAAAGCCCCCTCCCCTCTCTGGGACTTAGTTCTCTGCATTATGCGTTAAAGAAGTTGGAGCTGGTCATTTCCACGAGGCCTTCAGCTACAGTATTCTATGGTTTAGGAGTAGAATCTACATAGCCTCATTAGGCCAACAGATGATATTGTAAGCTAAAGAAATTAGTTTTTTTTTTCTTTTTACCAAGAAATGAAATGAGTATTTTAGCAAGAAAGTGTAATTAATGGAATCATGAGAATTACATTATGATCTTACGTTCTTTTCTAAAGGAAGGCTAATTATTGCATAAATTGGGCTACGTATACACAATGAAATTATTCAGCAGCCATTAAAAATCAAGTTTTTGAAGAACATTTTATAATATTGTAATATAGGAATGTTATATGTATAAAAAGTGTGTATACTCACACTCACGTGTTCATATGTATCTAGATGTTAAAAAGGAACATCTGAGCTATTATTTTAGGTTAGTGGGATACTAGGTGATTTTTTATTCTCAGATTTAAGGTTATTTATACCTTCTAAATTGTGAACCATAGACATGCATTATTTTTATGATCCAAATGTATTTAACAAATGTGCACATAAAAGTGTTCAAAAGGTGCAAAGAAAAGACAAGGAAATGCAATCAAGGAAGCATTACCCGGCCCCTCTGACCTCACTTGCTTGCTCAGAGGAAGGCTCTAGCACTCTCCTCACACAGCCATTGAAAGTATTGAAAGAGTGAAAAGTGCTGCATATGACACAACTTCAGGTGCATATTCAAACACTATCATGAGACCTATATCTCTGCTGAATTCTTTTATCCTCAGTATCTATACCCATAAAATGAGTATAACAATATTGAATTCACCTCAAGGTTATAAATATGAAAGGATATAATTATAAAAACACTGGTACACTTAAGGTCAATTAAGTTTTCATGAAAGATAATGAGAAACAAAACCAAGGAAACTATTAGTAAAGTGGTTTTTAAGAGATAGCTTCAAAGGCAGGGGAATGACCTCCTTGCTACATTCTACCAACGTCTAGCTCCTGGATGAAATGGTGGGTGCTCTAGCTTCAGGGGAGATCAGTGGTGCTAAGGGCATTGATTTGAGCTTAGAGAAGAGGGAGTTGAGGGGGAGCAATAAGATCACTGTTTGCATGTGTTTTCAAGATAGTCATGTGAATAAAAGAGCAGTCTTACTTTCGGGTTTCTTAGACTATGCTATGGGCAGAATTGGACCCTTCTCCAAAAGCAAAATTTTGTATGTTACAGTTTCAACCCATAATACATCCTAATGTAACTATATTCAGAAATAATACCCTTAGAGAACTGATCAGGTTAAAATGAGGCCCTCAGGGTGGGCTCTAATCTAATGTGGCTGGTGTCCTTGTAAGAATAGGGAGAGATGCCAGGAGCACACAGAACAGAGGATGACCATATGAAGAGGCAGCAAGGGGGTGGCCATCTGCAAGCCCAGAAGAGAGGCCTCGGGGAAACCAGCTCTGCAGGCACCTTGATCTTAAACTTCCAGCCGCCAAAGCTGTGAGAAAGTAAATTTCTGTTGTTTAAGCTGCCCAGTCTATGGTTCTTTGTTATGACAGTCAAAGGAAATTAATATAGATAGTATTAATTAATTGGTTGAACCATTGGTTCATATATTCGACATGTATATGGGCCACCAGGTATATAGGCTTACAGAGATAAGGCCCAGTACAAGTGTGTCTCAGTCAGCTCAAGTGGTTATAACAAAATAACAGAGACTGAGTGGTTTGAACAATCCGTTATTTATTTCTCACAATTCTGGAAGCTGGGAAGTCCAAGATCAAGGTGACCCCAGACTCTGTTCATGAGGGGCCCATTCTGCCTCGCTGTGTGCTTATGTGACCTTTCCTCTGTGAATGAGTATGGAGAAAGCTATTTCTTTCCCTTCCTCTTATCAGGGCACCACTAATCTCTTTAGGAGAGGATATAACCTAATCTAAACCTATTTACCTCCCAAAGTCCTCAACTCCAAATACCATCACACTGTGGGTTAGAGTTTCCACATATGAATTTGTGGGGAACTTAAGCATTCAGTCCATAACAAGGTGGCTAGAACCTAATTCGTGTAGATAAAAGCCAGAGGAGGACAGATTTTTGGTTCTGCATAAAGTAGCAATATAGACTCAGAGTGAAGCGACAGTGGCTGCCCCAGACAGCTAGCCCATCAGTGAATAGACACCTTCTTTCAGGTCCTAATTCAGCTGTTCCCCACTGGCCTGGAAATGGCCAAGGAAAACAGGAATTATGCTCCCAACATTGCAGCAATCAGTTGGTGGCAGATAGTATTTGCCAAAAATGATCATGCTAATCCCATATGCTTTTCTTACAATGTAATGCTAACACCTGCATCTAGAAATGAGGTCTAGGTTTCTTCCTCTTGAATCTAGGTAAGTCTAGAGATTCCTGGGGTGCCCACTTGCTCCAGCATCCCTCTGCTCAAGTCTTTGAAGCCCAGGCCCCAGATATGAAAGCCAGAAAGCCTTCCAGATGACCCCAATCCTAGCCACCACTTAACTTTGAACTCATGAGATACAGTGAGGTGGAACTGCAGATCCACTCCTGAATTTCTGACCCACAGAGAGTATGAGATAATCAATGAATATTGTGGTTTTAATCAACCAAGTTTTGGGATGATTTTTTTTCCCACAGCAATAAATAACTAATCAGATTTAAAGAACGGGGAAGATATAAACTGATATATCACTAAGCCGCTTTTAATTCCAAGTCTGTGCCTGTATCATTGTCATTCATTGCCACTAATATAATACAATTAAAGGTTTCTCCATGGCAAGCAAGGTTCAGGGAGGAAGCCAAAGGGCTTCGGCTTAATATAGCCACCCTCTCACTTTTGATGCTGTTTAAATGATGACTTATGCATGTATGCTGTGTTTTTCATTCCCCGTTTTGCCCTGTGTAAACACATTTCTCCAGACTTGTTATTAACAATGGCCAAGTGGAAATTAATCAGTGGAAAGAGAGCCAGCTCTTTAATTGACGATTGTGAATTTGGAGTTGGGATAAGGTCCTGTGAAAGCATATAGATGCATTACTTTTACATTTTTCCTTCGACAATTTTTCCTGCTATTAATTCTCAAAAGCAGACATAGGCTGTATTTAAGGCAATGCAGAAACATCTCCACACGAAGGGGACATTTACAACAGTCTCCTGAATGGGCTATTTTCTTCCAAACCACCCTTCATCCCACTAAACTCTTTAGCTACACTAGTGTTATTGGAAGTTATCAGAATTTTAAAAATTGTCTTCCTCATTCCGTTAACGACTTTTTTGATCGAATTCCAACACTTGCTGGGTATTTTGGCACAACATAGAAATTAATTTATTATATCACCTGTAATTCTCCATTTTCATCCTCAATAACAGATTCAATAGTTAAGAATATAGAGTATTATACTGCTTCTGTCTACAAAGAAGAATCTGAGGGAAATATAATCTTTGTCTACCATAAACAAAATGTCTGTGTTCTAAATGAGAAAGCAACCTCAGGGAAGATGTCTCATCTTAGGCTTCTTTATCATCCAAGTGCCTGGCATTGTTCCTGACAAATCATATGTGCTAATAAATGCTTGAATAATAAATGCATGAGTAGATGCTGGAATAAATATGACTTGGAAAAGAACATAGACGTTTGTGCATTTGTTTAGGCAGGTGATGTGTGTGTGTGTGTGTGTGTGTGTGCATGTATCTCCTGTCATCTGGCAAACACGGTACTAGCCACTAAAGATGCAAAGATAAAAAAAGGCACCTGTGATCTCCACATTCACAAAACTTAGACTCTAATTGAAAAGATGATCATTAATTGAATAAATAAAAAATTATGGATGTGTGAGTATGTATAACAAGCAGAAGTCTATTTTATGACTGAAAAATATATTAGAACAACCATACTTAGAACAACACATATTACAGCATAGAACAACATATATTAGAACAGCATATATTAGAACAACATATATCTATATATAGAACAACATATATTAGAACAACCCTACCAAAATGTGTACATATGTTCACCAAAAGACACTTAATAGCATGTTCCTAGCAACACTATTTGTCATAATCCCAAAATGCGAATGACATAAAATACACATTGAAATTAGAATAGATTTTAAAGTTGTGGTGTATTTATGCAATCAAATACTGAACAGCAATACAAAGAAATGACCTACAGCTATATAGAACAATATTATGAATCTAACCTACATAATAATGTGTCAAAGTGTGCACTGTATTATCCCACTTACATGAAGTTCAAAACTGAGAAAGTCAATCTGTGCTATTCGAAATAAGATAGTGGGGACCCTGGCTGAGGTAGTAACTGCAAATGGGCAAGTGTTGGGGGCTGTGGGTGGTGGCTGTGTCCTGTTTTTGATCTAAGAGTTGCAATATGAATGTACTCATTTTGCTGTGCATTTGTCTGTAGGCATGTTATACAGTAATGTAGAAAGATAAAATGGTCGATGGCTCCCTATTGTCCGCAAGTTTAATCCTAAAGTCTTGGGAATGAAGATATGACTCTTTATGGTTGAGTGATGATCTACTCTTTTCACCTTATTTTCTTCCCTTGCCTGCCAATCTTTGCCCAATAGAAATAGCCTCATTTCTCAAGCACGTCTTCCTGTTTTCCATCTTCTTGATTCTATAAATGTGGTGTTCTTGTCTGACATACCCCATTACTCTTCTCTACCATAAATGTCCCTTCTCATTGGATACGCAGGCTCAGCTGTGATGTTATATTTAGTTAAACGTTATCTCAAATTGCTCTCTCCACCCCTATAATTCACCTCATGTGTTGTTCAGTTTATCTGTTGTATTTCCAATTATGAATTATTTAAAGTTACCCTTTTACATATTTTATTACGTACCTCCCAACGCCTATGGGCTGAGCAACTTCAGGAAAGGGAACATTTCTTAGACTTCATCTTCCAAGTGCCTGGCATAGTTCCTGACATACCATACGTGCTAATAAATGCTTGAATAATGAATGCATGAGTGGATGCTAGAATAAATATGACTTGGAATACAGGCATTACTAGACTGTCAAATAAAAAGGAAGCTGGGGAACCCCAATTTGTGGAAACAGTGAAACTATCAACTCATATGATCATCCCAAGCAGGGGATGAGACACCTAAAGCTTTACAGAGAAATTATGTCACCAGGCAGAATTATTGATGCAGGTGGGAAGATTGGATATAGGAAACATGCACACACACACACGTGCGTGCACACACACACAAAGACTTCTAAGCAAATGAATGCTAAAGGCATTTTCCACACAACAAAAAAATACAGTTGCCTCCCTTATGGCTTATCCACGCATCTAATTCATGCACTCATTCACTCACTTATTCATTCATCCACAGCTCTTTATTCAGCAATGATTACATGCTAGGTATCATTCGAGGTGCTAGACGTTACAGGTGACTCAGTCGTTGCCTATAAAGAGAAGAAAAACATGCAAACATATTATTAAGTTGATCCAACCTGATTATTGAGAACCAGGAAATGTCTACCATTGCATTTTCTCTTGATGTCTTTAGGATCATCACTTTGTTTAAATTAACCATTTCTAAATAGTCCTCAAATCAATTGTATTATTTATCAGCTACCACATTTTTCTTTTATGTAATCCATAGGCAATACATTATATTTTCCTTTTGGAAGCTAAAAATTAAAGAGAGAGAGAGAGATAGATAGATAGATGATAGAGACAGGAAGGAGAAGAAGAAGAAGAAGAAGAAGAAGAAGAAGAAGAAGAAGAAGAAGAAGAAGAAGAAGAAGAAGAAGAAGAAGAAGAGAAAGAAGAAGGAGGAGGAGGAGAAGGAGGAGGAGGAGAAGGAGGAGGAGGAGAAGGAGGAGGAGGAGGAGGAGAAGGAGAGGGGGAAGAGGAGGGGGATGAGAAGGAGGAGGAGAAAGAGAAGGAGAAGGAGAAAAGAAGAACTTTAGTAAAATTTATTCTCTATCCAAGGAGATAAAACACACATTTTATAATTTTCCTCAGTAAATGTTCCTGACTTTTCACTGGAATACACTGAGAACATGGAGAAGCTTGGTCAAGCATTATCTCTGCTTGGTTGATAAACAGGTCACTGGAAGGAAATTGTTACAGTGATAAAATGTCATCTATTTTATATCCTAATGTCTCTTACTTAAAAGGTTACTTCACCACTTCGAGGATCTCTTTTTAAAAAATATTTAAATATACTGAAAACCAGAAATCAATAAGCAAACCTCAACTTGCTTTCTTTTCCACTTTTCTAGGTGTTAATCACAACCATTCCAGTAGGTAAATGACCCCAGGGAGAACGGATAACACCTTCTCGTGCTCTTACCTTATATTTATATCATTATACACTAACCTTTGTCTATATGTCTGTGCACAGGTATATATCTCACTGCACTTAATAATTTGGTTGTGTATCTATCTCTTGTCTTTGCCTTTAAACTTCTGGAGTGAAAGTTAAAGTTTCCAAATCTTTTATCTTTGCATCATTGACCTTGGGTTCAATGCATGGTACATTTTGGAGATGTTGTGTTTGCGAAATAAACTGAACTAAACGAGTGTCTTATCTTTGGCTATTTTCCAAATTATTTCTCCAAAGACACACATTTTAAATAGTCTACTTAATGCTTTGCCTTGATTTTGTTCCTATCAAACACTTAGATTCCAAACGGATTTGCAATGATTGTTAAAGCATTGGGCTGGTAAATGTCTCCACAGAGATTCTGCACGTTAATGTTTTAACTGTGTATGGAAAGATACACTATCATATGCAGACACATTCCCCCAAACAGAGAACAAGAAGGTGTTTGTGATGTTATCCCTCTGCGAATCCCACTGCCCACTAAAGTAGGAAACCTGCCTTTGAAAGTTGGCGCGGCTGTGGGATGCTCAGCTGTCACTTTCTTCTCACATTTATTCTGAATGAGCACAATCCATCCATCAGAGCTTAAAGAGTTTTCCAACAGTACATTGACCTTGAATGTGGCACATTGATTTTCAGTAACGCACCGCAAATAGGGTCGTTACTGAGTCACCCAACAGTGAATGTGATTGGGAACAGATTCCTGAAATTCCGATAGGGTGCCAGCTGCCTTGCATGATGGATCAGCCTACTGTAAGCCATCAATCCTTGCCGGGGTCTTGAAAATGGTGACACCTGTATGAAATTCATCATTATGCACACCACCAGGTAAAGCATGAGACCATAACCAGGCTTTTCTGCAACAGTGGGGCCTCTTGGTTGAGTGGTCTGTTTTGTTTGCAGCAGTATTTATTTACTGAAATGCTTTCTGGAGAAGGACCCCCTTGGTGAGGGTGACAAAGATGTAAGCACTATAGGGAATTACATCTGCAGCAAGGATTGAGCGATAGATAAAAAGCCTATGTCTTAAGCTGTTAGAGGTTAACGCTAGATCAATTAAGGTGATTGTTTCTTAGATTGCATTGGATAAATGTACACACACAAAGGGGGACATGAGCACAGCCAGAAAGGAAGAACAAAGAGAAATTAACTGATGTTAGGCTCGAAATCAAACTGGAAAATGATTTTGTGTTCTTTTGAAATGCCGTATTATCTTAATAAAAAGCTTCTTTCCCAAGTGAAGCATCTAAGGCCTTTTTTCACTTGAGTGTAAGAAACCTTAGAACAAATAAAGAGGTTTATCAAGGACTGGATAATAGTGGGTGTCATGTAATTTTGCAATAATGTGGCTTTTGGAATGTGTGTCCTTTTTTTGAGAAATGATATCGTGTTTTATAAATGATAATAATCATCACTTGTAGAGTTTCTGCTATGTGCCAGTTGCCACTCCAGGAAAATTACGAGGAATGTACTAACTTCCTAATAACTCTGGCATGTAGATTTGACTTTCTCCCCACTTTACAGATGAGGAAACTGAGCATCAGAGACCTTGCTCAGGCTTATACCATTATCCATGGCAGAACAAAGATTGGAAATCTGGCTTTCGCTCTTTGACTTCAACTCCTCCATACTTTCCCCTGTGGTTCACTCTTGCTTGCAGAGCATGAGAAATTAAGTCATGGGCATTTAGACATATTACCTGGTTTTAACATTGCCCACTTTAAAGGAAGCAAGTTAGAGCAGATTGCACCTTGATCCCTTGTCCAAACAGGTTAAGAGATATTGCTGGGCATGTGAAGTTTGCAAAGGTGCTCCTTTGAGAGGTGCTGACCTCATGATTATAGTTCCCTAATTATAAGCTTTTTGCAAGAGGGAAAGTGTTTGGAGGGGTCTGAGTCTTATAATTGATGTTTGTGAATGCACGCCTCAACCCAGCATCTCTCCTCGTTGCAGACAACCCAGTGTTGGGTGCACATGATCTTCCTCCACCAGACTTAGGGGTTGATATCCAGCCAGGCAGTACCTACAGTGATGATAGGTGAGGGCCACCATGGGTCAAAACTAAGCCCATGCTACTTGCAGGAAGATTTGGAAAATGCTCACCTCGCTTCTTTTGATAATTAAGTCCCGCATTCATGAGGAATCCAATGTTTGCAGCCAGATTGAGCTGCCTGGTGAGATTCTGCTTGTTCTTAGAAGTCTTCTCTGTCTGACTTACTTTCTAGATCAGGCACAGATGTCTGGCTCCAAAATGTAGCCTGATTCATTCATCCATTCATTCGTTCATTCATTTATTCATCATTCATCTTAATCCCCACTTCCCTCCAAAATTCAAGTTTCAGTCCCAGAGTGTCTGACATGCCTCTGGGGTATAAGGCTTTTATAGAAGTCATGTCTTCTTTGTCTTTTTTATTTTGAGCATTGTGTATAAAGCTTTGGAAATAAAAGACCCTCCATGCCTGCTCTGTAAAAGACAAAAAAAAAACGTTAACAGAGAGACTCATCATGGTCCAGAACATTCTTCCACCTCACAGAGGCTGTGAGGCCACATGGGATAAAGTAGGTGAAGCACATGGCCTTTCTATGAAGGTGAAATGGCGACCAGGGACTTTCCTGAGATTCGTGGGCTCATGGTGGCAATAATGTAGCTGCTGTGAAGTTTCACGTCTGTGTTTTAGATACAGTAGAAATTTAACAAATATCCATTAAAAAGCATAATTATTCATTAAATTAGTGGCTGCATAAGCATCTCTTGAATAAATAAACAGCCACAGAGTGAATGAATACTGTAAATAACTATTTGTCAAATAAGTGCGTGGATATCTACTCACCGAATGACTTTAGACACAACTTGGCTCTGTTAAGCTTCCCACAGTTCTAGGAATTCAAGCTGAACTGATACAGTGGACAACTTTGAATCTAAACTTGTCAATGCATTGTGTTCGAACTGTCTGAATATCTAAACTCCCCAAGTACACAGTTGATGGAATTGACTACACAGAAATCTGTTCTCAAAATTCCAAAAACTTCCCCATAATTCTAGTTTCTGTGTCTAAAGATAAACCTCCCACTCATTTTTGCTATTCATTTTCTCATTTTTGAATGACCAGAAAAATGGTATCCTGGGTGGTAGGCATACTGTGTGTGCTCAAGGAATGAATGGGGCTTCATAAACATCTATTCCAAGAGCTATCAGTATTCATAAAGGAAACTCAATACATGACAAATGTGATTAGAAACGACTGTCCAATAATGACAAACAAGTTCTAATAAAAACAGACACAATCTTAACAATTACTTGAAATGCAGGTATTTATCAAACAGGGCAAGATTTTAAATGACCATATTGCATTAAAGAAATCGAACTGATGGAATTTTAAATATGCAGCTTGGCCATTTCACTTTGTTCACGCCTTCCCCCTCACCAGGCTCCTTGCAGAGAAATGGGGTGGGAGTGAATTTAAACAAAGAGCGTTCTAATGTGCCCTGAATTATTCACATTTTTTACCAATGTTATCTCCAGAGTTCAACTCTGTAGAAAAATGAGACCACAGTCTAGAGGAGAGTGGGGCAGATGACGGCCTCTCAGACTCCAATTGTGAGAAACAATGGAGAGACACACACACAGCTGAATACACTCTGCGTGGGTGGGAGGTGCGACTGGGCCCCTTGGTAACGGTCCTCAAAGGGATTACTAATGGAAACGTCCAGATAGATGGATCTATGGAAAAATATCTAACTGGGCAGGACATCGATGATTAGAAATCCTTCTCTTTCTCTCACTACCAATGCACTCATTGTCTTTCTCTATTTTGGGGACTTTAAACAAATCCTATGACTCTAGCCACAAGGCACCAGAATATCGAATGAAAAGCCCACCAGTTATTAACTTCCTGTAGAAGTGAAAATCGTATTTTTCAAACAACATCACTAATAACAATAATAATAACCTTGATAATTATCAGGACATTTATTCTTTTCTTTTGTCTCCATGATTTTAGTTAATTAATATAAAAATTCTTAAAAAGTTCTAGAAAAATTAAATGAATTGTTATCATCTAACATTTAGTAATTGCTGTCCATATGCCAGGTCTTGAGCTAAATATTGCACAGGTTTTATGGGGCCTGAAGATCAAATGTTTTGAGGACTCTTTTCAGGAAAAATAACACAAAAATTAGGTATGAAAGTAAATATTTATTGAGACTGAGAAGACTATAAATTTTATCAAGCTTTAAATACTACAAACGTTAAATGTTTCCAGAGTCTTGGAAAGAGCCTATGCAAGAGAAAGGCCTCAAAGCTTAAGCTTCATTGGCTTCAGTGAGGTGACCCTGCTTCTCACATTATCTGGAATTATATTACCTAACCCTCTTCACAATCCTACAAATTGGGTGCAACAATTTTTGTCATCCTACAGAGTAAGAGGCTATGGCTCAAACAGGTTACATCACAGACCTCACATTACAAAGCCAGGATTTGAACTGAGCCTTAAGACCAAAGATGACACAAACACACACACACACACACAATCCCTCACAGTGAATCTGCATCTAAATGACTCCTCTAAATGAAAAGATAAACATCTCATACCTATGAGTCAGAGTAGGAGTTTCTGGACTTGGGTACACGGGGTCAATATCCTAACAGTTATCAGCTTCAATTAAGATTGAAGAAGGAAGGAAAGGAGATGGGGAATAAAGAAAGAAGGGAAGAAGGAAGCGTGGAAAATCATGCCAACTCCCATTTTTTGACTATTAGCCTGTGCTTGGTCATGATGTCATAAAGCGAGTCACTGAAGAGAGACCTTTCTCGACTTAAAGGGAGGACCACATGGTAAGACGTCTCAGTGGTTGAGGACTAGCTATTGTTTCTATATTCTCCATGAGAGCAAGGTGAGCTTCAGGAATGAAGAAAGCTTCATCTTGTTCAACATTACTGCTCCAGCATGATTTATATTCTTTCTAAATCTTCATTGAAAAAAATGATTATTTAACTGAATGCATGAATGTGTGCATCCTCCAGTGGTTTTGCCCTTTATATTTGTGACATGAAGAATAATTGCTATAGAGTTAAGGATGGGCAGGCAAGGCCTTTTTTTTTTAAATTTTCCAGAGACAAACAGAATGCGCTTGTTCAGTTGCTGCATGGGTGAGGTTGGAGGGTAAAGAGGACCCAGGCAACAAAGATTCTGAGTGAATAAAAGACACCTTGTTATCCACTGTCTTTGATCTGCATGTCAGTTTCAAACCAGTCTGTGGTCATCCAGGTGGCAGCAAACAGCTACCTGGGAATGTCAGTGCACAGATTATCTCAGGTGTGGACATACTTTTTCAAGGGGATGTGGGGAGGATAGATGAGTGAGGCCAAGGTCAGTAGACAAGCTGCCCAGCCAGCTGGATGCTTTGTGTGAGCTTCCTGTTTACTCTGGAGCCCTGTGTCCAGTCATTGTCCTTCCCTACTGGGTGGACTTCCCATCTCCATGCACAAGAATTTGGAAAAAGAGAAAAATCAGAAACACAATTGTCCAAGCCAGGGTGGCTGGAAGCAGCATGGAGGTTTAGAAAGGGCACAGGCCTGGAGATCAGAGAGCGCTAGTGTGAGTTCCAAGGTGGGGCCTTGGGACTCTCATTTCAGCTCTGTAAGCTGTTATTGACTCATCCACCAGATGAAAATGATATAAACATATATATCACAAAATGGTTATGATGGCTGAATGAAAAATACATGCAAAGTGTATAGCACAACGATTGGTTCTTAGTAAGCATTAAAAAAACGTCATAGATACTACTAGTAGTATTACTAGGAGGGTAGTGGTGGTCATCATCATGGGAAGAAAAGGAGGAGAAGTTGCAGGCTGGTGGTGATGGTAGTTACCATATTAGCAGTAGTAATATCAAGAGGAAGAATTGCGGTAGGGTGGTGTTGATGGTAGTTGTAGTAGTAGGATCAGTAGGAGTTAAAATAGGATGGTGGTAGTGGTAGTTGTTGTAATACTGGTAATCATAGTAGCTGTAATACTATGCTGGTGTTAGGTATAGTAATGACAGTAGTAGGGGGAGAAGTTATTCCAAGATGATGTGGGTAGGTGTAGGAGGAGATGGAAGATGAGTCGGGTCGGGGTGGTAGTTGTAGTATTAGTATTAGAGGTAGTAAGAGGAGGAGGAGGAGTTGTAATCAGGTGGTATTGATGGCAGTTATTACAGCACAAGAAAAATAAGCTGGATTTTTAATAGAGTGGCAGTGGTGGCAGTTGCAGTAGAAAGAAGAAGAGAGAAGGAGGAAGAGGGGCATTAGTAGAGTGACAATGGTAGTAGGTGTAGTGTTCATAGGGGTGGAAATAAAAATAGTAAGTTTTAGAAATGGTAATAGTAGGCCAGGCTCAGTGGCTCATGCCTGTAGCCCTAGCATACAGGAAGGCCAAGTGGATGGATGATGGCTTGAGCCCAGGAATTGGAGACCAGCCTGGGCAAGATGGCGAAACCCTGCCTCTACTAAAAATATAAAACTCAGCTGGGCATGATGACACTACCTGTGGTCGCAGCTACTCTAGGGGCTGAGGTGGGAGAATCACTTGAGCTTGGGAGGTTGAGGCTGCAGTGGGCCCTGATCGTGCCACTGCAAGCCAGCCTAGGCAATAGGGTGAGACACTGTCTCAAAAAAATAAATTAAATAAATAAATAAATAAATGGTAATAGTATCATAAACTAATAGTAACAATAATGAAAATAGCCATAATAATATAGATAAGGATAGTAAGAATAGGTTTGCTACATGTGTGTCTCTTCTTCAGTCCATGCTGTCAAGATTCCCAGGATGGATTGAGTAGTGATTACTGCATGCCGGTTAGTTTTGAAAAATTTCTAACGTTATGAAATTACTAACACACACCCACACGCACACACACACACACACACACACACACACACACGCAGACAAGCTTGCCCTACAAAAATTAAATGATTTTAGATCTTCTAGGAGATGATCCTGGAGTCTACCACATGGGGAGCAGTGAGTTTTCTGAAGGATACACACAGGACACACACCTGAGTGTTGATGAATGCCCTGGTCTATTCATTAGCCTTGGCAGTAGTGAAAAGCTTAATCAAAGGGAAAGAAAGGAGGGATTGGCATCGATTTTGTGCCTACCCAGTACCATACCAGACATTGCCACTTGCCTCATTTACTCCTCTGCAGAACACCAAGAGAGAAGACGTTTATTCATGAAACAAAGGCTCAGGGAAGTGTGGAAACCTGGCCAAGCTCACACAGCTGGTACAAGGAGAATGGGATTCCAATGCAGGGTGATCCTCTTACCAGGGGCCTGCCCAGATTCCTGCAGCCCTCATTTCTCCCTCTTCTGAGGTCTGTGTTGGGTTACTGAGCACAGAAATCTTAGTACTTAAGGTTTTCTTACTAATTCATGAGTATTAATTTGTCCTCAGCTAGACTATAAACGTCTCAAGAGGAACCAGAGAATTATCTTTGTATAATACATGATACCCTTTAAAAAACAAAGAACTTTGTTGCTTAACTATGATGTGTTGGCAGTTGCCCTGAAGACGAAGTTATTTGTATAAATAACCAGAGGAAAATTGAACCAGTGCCTGGACATATTTTTTCTTGAAAGAAAACAGACATTGGTGTAAAATAGAGGTGGATTTAGATCCAGCCCCAACCCTTATTTTTTGAGAAATAAGAATAGCAAATTACATTGCTCCCCTGAGTCTAAGTGTCCACATCTCTAAAGCAGCCACATTTCTCTTCAGATGATTGGAAATAATCCAGTGATACATACAACTTGATGTCTGACAATTGACAAACCTAAGAGTAGCTATAGGCAGAGGAGGCACTGGAGCCCTGACTCAGCCATTTACTAGCTATATGAGCTTGGGTATGCTGTTAGTCACTCATTGCCTCAGTTTTTTAATCTGTAAAATGGAGTGATAAGAATAGGAGTTCATAGAATAAAACCTTTTTGAGTGAATACACATTTAGAGTATTCAGATATGTCTGACACACAATGATCAATAACTTCTAGGAAATAACATCAGTTATTTTTCATAATGATATAAGATGCAATGAGCACATGAGACAGAAAAATGTGCTTTACAGAAGAAGAGAAGTTGAGATGGGCCTTGAAACACAGGCTGCTTTCTGAATGGCTAGGAGGTTCCACACATTCCAGGCAAAGGAAACGGTATAGGCATGGCAGTGGGGAAGGATGTGGCCTTCCTAGAGGATTGGGAACAGATTTATGGATAATATCTCTTGTCCACATTATACCTCTGGGATGCTGGGATGAGAAGGGTGAAGCAGAAGTTGGAGGCGGCTTTCCTGAAGCATCTGGGATGACCAACCTCAAATTCTGACATTGGCAACATTCATACATTTATATTCGACTTACCCTCCATGGATTTTACTCTGCACACTGTGTACTGATTTGTCACTTTTTTAGGGTAAGATTATGTCTCTGAGTAAGCTGATTAGTGTTAGACTGATTGTTTTAAAATAACTCGAGCGGCATCTGAATTTATTTACATACATGATATTGCCTTCTATAAACACAGCTGTATGCAGAAAGAAAATTCAACGGTATTTTAGGAAGTTAAGCCAACAGTTTAGCTGTAATAAAGGCAGCTTTCTCATTCTGGTTTCTCTTTATTTTTTCTTTCTGGACTAAGTTTTTCTGCAAGGATTGAGCCTAAATGCTTCTGCCCAGAAAAGTCTCAGGGAGTGGGAGAGTTGACATTCTGCTGGCCACGGGGAACAGCCATCAGGAGGAGGCAGAGTGCGTCTTTTAGGGAGGTGACCTCTCCTGGCACCAATTCCAGGAAGCGAGGCCATGCTGGCTTTCAAGCAAATGTGGAAACAGTCATGAGTCTTAGGACCCTTTCATATTCTGTGCAGGGCAAGGCTTTTCTGATTTCGTTGGTTCCATGTGTATTTAGAGAACAACATTCTGTGTTGCCAGGCTCTGTGTTGGGCTCTGGAGATTCAGTGATAAAAAAGGAAGATGCAGACCCTGCCCTCATGAACCTTACACTCTATGGGTAGAGTCAGGTGATCGGTAAGAGGTATGAAAATGACTATGTAAATGCCATTATGATGAAGGCAATCACGTATTAGGTTGATGCAAAATTAATTGTGGTTTTTGCAATTAAAAACATAATTGCAAAAATCTTACTTTTGCATCAACCTCATACAAGGACATGCAATGGGCCACTTGATGGCAGGAAAGCAAGTGATAAGAGAACACTCCTCTGAAGAAGTGGCATTTACACTGAGAACTATGGGATGAAAATGGATTGACTAGGTGAAGAGGCAAGGAAAGAGTGTTAGCTTGAAGGGACGAACTTGGTGCATTCAAAGGAGGAGAAAGAGGACAGTGGGGCTGAGTAGAAGAGAGTGAGGTGAGGATGCAGAGGAAGTCAGAAGCCAGACCAATTAAGCAGGTGCGGGCTGTGCTGTGCATTTTCACTTTATCCTCTGAACAATGAGAATCCATCAATGGGTTTAAGCCATGGAGTGACATGGTCAGATTTGTGTTTCAAAATGACCAGAAGAGAATGGATTTGTAGGAGACATGAAAAGGGATGTGGCACATCCATCAAATGGCTACTGCAGAGGTGTAGGCAAGAGGGGAGGGTGACTAAGACAAGGGCAGGGGCAGTAGAGACAGAAATGGGCAGTCAGATTGAGACAGAAGTTGGGGATTTGATCAATGCAGCTCACGTTTGACTGCACGTGAGGAAAAGGAAATAACAGGTCCAATTAACATTTTTGTTTGTTTGTTTTTGACCTGAGTAACATTAGTGGTAGTGATACCACTCAAGGAAATGGGAGAAGATAGGAGAGAAGCAGGCTAGAGTTAGAATGTAAAAATTATGAGCATTCTTTGGCTTATGTAAAATGTATGATGATTATAAACTTCTAACAGGAGATGGGGGAAGACAGAGATGTATAGGTCTGAACATCCAAGACGGACTTTGGCTGGATATTTTGCTGGAAAGAGAGAAAGTAAGTATGCAAAACCATGAGAGTGGATGAGATTATGGAGAAAAACAGGACGAGGGTAGCAGCAGAAGCTTATGAAGATGTGAGTTCCTTGAAATCATCTCTGCTAATTCAAGACATTGCAGGCAGTTCGAAGTTCTGTCTGGGGAACAGGTGTCTGAAACAAGTTTTGTATATAATAGGATGGGACTCAGAAAAGTAAGCTGTGCACACAGACAATGCACCAATTCCAACAGGAGGATTTACACCATTTGTCCTCCTGATGTGTCACGATGCAGGGAAATGTCAGCTGTACATCCACAGAGGATTTATGTCAGCACTCCATCGCGGCCAGTTTTTGAAGCCCATCGCAGGAGGGATTTATTAGGCCCTGGCGCTAGATCACTTTTTCTTAGGATTTTGACTGCAACACATTCTTCTTTTGATTATTTAAGCTCTCGTTATTTTTTAGCCCATTGCCACAAAGTCTTCTGAGTAAAATGGAAGAGCTTCCTAGTGCCCAATAAGAGAAAGAAAATACAAGAAGGAAAATGTTGGTAAGAGATTAATTTTGCTCTAAAAACGCCTCCATGTGGACATTATCTTAGTGGAATTGCTTACAAAAATGTATTAGCTAACATCAAGAGGCAGTTTAGTGGAAGCCGGAATGGTCCCCGATCCCAGCTCTGTCACTTACTAGCTGTGTTTCCTGGCACAACTCACTTAACTTCTCTGTGCCTTCTAATCACATCTTTATATTAACATTCCTAATACATAGAAGCATTTCCTTAATGTTCACTCTCATCATTTTTATATCAGTTATAGGAGCCCAGGGCTGCGAAGGAAATCTCTATTTTGTCCATGATCATTTACTGATTAATTCAGTGGCTCCAGGCAACCAAGTATCTTGAACCATATTTTCCTAGAACAGAAAGAGTTTATTTTATTCAAAGCCCCCACAGAGACCATAAAATTGCTGCTCTAAAATATGAGAGAAAAAACCCCTTATGTGCAAAGGTATTTATCACAGCATCGTTTATGTTACAGAAAAAGCGTAAACAAATTAAATTTCCAATAACTAAAAAATGGTTAAATAAAATTTGGCCCATTAACTTGATGAACTATTAAACAATTAAAGTTACTTTATGTGCATGTGAATTAGTATATGTACAAATGTACTTTATGTATGCCAACATGTTATTTTTGCTAAAAAATAATTGTAACTGGGCATGAGAGAGAAACACTAAATGTACATTGTTTATTTCTGTAATTATTGAATGTTATTGAGTAGTGGGATTTATTTTTTTCTTTATATAAAGAAGAAACATATAAAACATATAAATACATAAAGAAGATCATTCTAAAAATACAACTTGTTTTTGACACAGAACTTGTAATTTTAGAATCATCTTTATTGAGGTAAAATACATATATGTAATAATAGAATATATACATATTTATAATAGAATTCATAAATTCTGAGAGTGTAATTCATGAGTCTTCATAAATGTATCCAGTCATATAGCCATCTCCACAATGGGCATTTCCACTCCCCCGTGTAACCATCTCCATAATAAGGCATTTCCACTACCCTGTGTCCTCTTTTTCTCCCTCATGCTTTTTGCGTTTATTCCCTCCTCCCATCTCAGTCCTGGAAAAACACTGATTTACTTTCCATAACATTAATTTTATTGTATTTAGAATTTCATATAAATGGATTCTACTGTCTGGTTTTTTTTTTTTTTTTTTTTTTTCTGAGGCAGAGCCTCACTCTGTCCCCCAGGGTGGAGTGCAGTGCAGTGGTGCGATCTCGGCTCACTGCAACCTCCGCCTCCTGGATTCAAGGGATTCTCCTGCCTCAGCCTCCCGTGTAGCTGGGACTACAGGCGTGCACCACCATGCCTGGCTAATTCTTGTATTTTTAGTAGAGAGGGGGTTTCACTATGCTGGCCAGGCTTGTCTCAAACTCCTGACCTTGTAATCTACCTGCCTCGGCCTCCCAATGCATGCTATATTTGAGTCTGACTACCTTCAACTAACATAATACTTTGGACGTTCAACTACGCTATTGCATTTATCAATACTGTGTTCCCTCTTATTGCTGAGTAATAATCCATTGTATGGATCTATCACCATCTATTCACCAGTAGACAATTGTGTGAGTTGCTTGTAGTTATGGGCCATATTGAATAAAGCATCTATGAGATCTACTTGATTTACTACTCTATAAGCAGTACTAGTCTTTGCATGAACATAAATTTTCACTTAACTCTGGTAAATACCTAGGAATGGGATTCCTGGGTTATGTACTAAATGTATTATGTTGGTGCAAAAGCAATTGTGGTTTCACCATTAAAAAAAATGTATGTTCCAATAGTTCATATGAATGTATGTTCCAATAGTTCCACATCCTCACCAGCATTGGTATTACTTGACTTTTAGCATTTTGGCCATTTTAGTGAATTGCATAGTTGTATCTTTTTGTGATTTTAATTTGTGTTTTTCTAATAACTAATGATATGAGTCTATTTCACATACATATTTCTCATTTGTATCTCTCTTCTTTGGGAGAAGTGTCCCAGTTTTTTAAGAGTTTCTTTTTATTATTATTGTTGAGTTGGAATACTTATTTTGATGTTCTGGTTATGATTCCTTTATCAGGTATTTGTTTTACAAATATATTCTCCCAGTCTTAGCAGTTTTTGTTAACAGAAAACTTTTAACTTTGATGAAGTTCAGTGTATTAAATATTTTTCTTTTAAACTTCATTATTAGTGTTTTAGATTACAAAATAAATATATTTACTAGTCATGGGACTATCTTGGTTATCTACTTCTTGAAGAAACTGGTTGTTTGTGTCTTTCAACAGATGTGTCCATTTTATCAATGTTATCAAATTTATTTAAATGAAGTTCATAATATTCTCTTACCCTTTTAATGTTTGAAATATCGGTTATTTTAGCACTTTATATTAATAATTTGGGTCTTCTCTTCCTCTTTCCACCTCCCCTTCCCTTTGCTCTCTCTTTTATGAGCACACACATAGCTATGCATGTGGAGTGTGTGTGTGTGCATGTTCAGTCTGGCTAAAGATTTACCAATTGTATAGATTTTTTTCAAGAACCTGCTCTTGTTTCATTAATTTTCTTTATTGTTTTTTGTTTTTCTACTTTATTGATGATTGCTCTTATCTTTATAATTTCCTTGCTTCCTGTCCTTATTTAAAATTTGCTTTTCCAAGTTATTAAAGGGGAAAGTAAGGTCACTTATTTGAGACCTTTCGTTTTTCTAATGTGAGCAATTAATGATATAATTTTCCCTCTAAGTACTGCTTAAGCTGCATCTCACAAATTTTGATACATTATGTTTTTATTTTAGTTCATTTCAAAATATTATCTACTTTGTCTTATTATTACATCTTTGATTCATAAATTACTTAATAAATTGCAGTTTCATTTTTCAAATGTAAAGATTTTCCATATATTCTGCTGTTATTATTCATTAATTTTATTGTAGCCAAATAAAACCTTTCACATGATTAAAATTGCCTTAAATTTATTAAATCTTGTTTTATAGCCTCGAATATCATTTTACTTGGCAAATATTTCATATGCGCTGAAGAAGAATGTGTATAATGCTGTTGATGAGTAGAGTGTTCTACAAATGTCAAGGAAGTCAAGTTGGTTGATAGGGTTGTTTCTGTGTTCTCCATTCTTACTGATTTTCTGTCAACTCATCCTATCATTTACTGAGACAGGAGTCTCGAAGTCTACAAATATAATTGTGGACTTGTCAATTCTTCATTTTAGTGATACCATATTTAGCTTTATGAAATTTGAAGCTCTCCATTAGGTTCATATACATTTAGAGTTGCTATGTCCTGTTGATGAATTGCCCCCCTTCACCATATAAAATCCGCTTTATTATTCCTAGTCATATTCTCTGTTCAGAAGTCTAATTTTTCTGAAATTTATATAGTCTCTCCAGCATTCTTTTAATTACTGTTTGGTCAATACATCTTATACCATCCTTTTGTTTTTACCTATGTGTGTTTCATGTTTACAGTGTTAGAAACATATAATCAGGTGTGATGGCTTATTTTATATGTCAGATAAGCTATACTATGGTTCCAGTTGCTTGGTCAAATGCCATGGTAGATGTTGCTGTGTAGGTATTTTGAGATGTGATTAATATTTAAATCAGTAGACTTTGAGTAAGCAAATTACCCTCTATATCGTGGATAAGCGTCATCCAATCAGTTGAAGGCTTTAAGGGGAAAGACTGAGGTACCCCACTGAAGAAGTAACTGCCTCCACACTGCCTTTAGATTGAATATTGAAGCATCGTTTCTTCTTGTGTTTCCAGCCTGCCATCTGCTTGGACTTGCCAGCTTCCATAATCACATGAGCCAATTCTTTAAAGCAAATGTCTCTCTCTCTATATATATATATACATGTATGTATATACTCACATATATATATATATACACATACATATATATACACACACATATATACATACACACACATGCATATATATATACACACACAGGTGTGTGTGTATACATTCTGTTGGTTCTGTTTCTCTGCAGAACTCTGAATAATACATTGGGTTTTGCTTTTTTATACCGTGCAACAATCTTTGACATTTAACTGGAGTGTTTAGGCTATTTACATCTATGGTAATTACTGATATGGTTGAGTTTTACTCTATCACCTGGCTATTTGTTTTCTATTTATTCCTTCTTTTCTTTCTTCATTACTTTTTTTGCCTCCTGTTGAACTAATTGAGTATTTTAACATTCTATTTTATCTCTATTATGGCATATTGTTCTACCTGTTTATTTCCCTTTCAAGAAGTTGTTGTACTATATGTATATATGGTATTACAGCGTATACATACTTTATACATAAAAACATACATATGAAGTATAGTACTACGTACATGTATAGATATGTAGTGGTATCATATTTAAGGGTAGGGTGTAAGACTATATATAAAATACTATATATAGTGTATACTGTATATAAAATACTATATATATGCATATATATACTGTGTAATACCGTATATGCATAGTATATATAAAAACTACAGCCTACCTTCAAATATTACACTGCTTCATGTATAGTATAACACCCTTACAACTATAAAACTTATTTTTCCCACTCACCTGTTGTGCTGTTTTTGTAATATACCTTATTTGTGTAAATCCCACAATAAAGTTGTTATTTTGCTTTGAATAGTCAGTTATTTTTAAAATGAGAAAATACTTATTTTTACATTTAAAATTTCTTATACTCTCCATTAATTTGTGAAAATCCAAATGTTTATCTTTTTTTAAAATTTCTGACAAAGAGACTCATGTAATTTTTATCTTTTTCTTCTGTATATAATGTGTCATATTTCTTTGGATTTTTTAAGGTTCTATTTCTATTTCTAGATTTCAGCCATTTGATACTGATGTACCTTGGTGTGGTTTTCTTTGGGGTTATTTTGATTGAGGTTCACTGAACTTATTGTATGTGTGAGTTTATGATTTTCATCAAGTTTGTAGAATTTTCAAATATTGTTTTATTTTTTTTTCTGTTTTCTTCATCTTTTTCCTGGACTTCAGTTATTTGTATATTAGATTACTTTATATTTTATTATACCTTACTTTTCCACTGTTTATTTTTTTCCATGTCTTTTCTGATTTGTTTACTTCCTATTGCTATATCTGCAAGTTCATTAAGTTTTTCTTCTTTAGTGTCTATTCTGTTAATCTTAATTTTCTTTCATTTAAGATATTGTAATTTTCATTTCTGGAAGTTCTGTTTTTAATGTAACATTCAATTTCTCTATTCATCATACTCATATTTTCCTTTACCTTCTTGAACATATGGAATCTTTTAATAGTAATTGTTTTATAATAACAGTTCATAGTAGCAATTATTTCTAAGTCTGCCTCAATTGATTGATTTCCTCCTGGTTACAGGTCATATTTTCCTGTTTCTTTGTATGTGTGGAAATTTTGTAGTAGATTAATTAAGTGTAGAATATTGTAATATGCTGTCAATTGTAATACATTGTTACGGCTCTCAGTTATTTAGAATTAGTTGAATACTTTTAAGGCTTACTTTTAAACTCTGTTATTCAGATTAGTATTTAGTCTGGGGCTAAATTTGCCCTAATACTAAGGCAATACCCTTCTGAGGATTCTACTTAATGCCTCGTGTTTTAACAAGATCTTTTCCCACTGCTGGTAGAAAGATGAACAATTTTCAGTTCTGTGTGAGCTCCAGGAATTTTTCTGCCTTCTTCTCTCCTGGGTCACATCCTCTCACTCACGTACAAATTAATACTCAGCCAAAGATTCAAGGGCACCCCCTGCAGATTTCTTGAACTCTTTATCCATCTACCTCCCTTGCCATCTTACTCTGTCCCACAAATTCTAACTGCCTTGACTTTTCTGAACTTTGACCTCTAGTTCTCTGCAACTCAGCAAGACTGAGCTCAGTCTGTTCAGGTTCTCCATCTCTGTATTCAGTCCTGGTAACTGAACCCAGGCAGTAATCTGTTAAAATTATAGAATTCACGTTACTTTCTTACCTTCTTTCAGGAATCATAGCCGTATAAGGCCTGTGGTTAATAAGTGTCTAAAAACTATTGACTATATGTATGAAAAATTATAGAAATGTATAGATATTAAAAAAATCATTAGAAAGTGATTAGAAAAACAATGTATATGTTTTTAAAAATTTTAAATTTTTTTCTAATTATTTAAGGTGAGAGGATACATCTGTTCCCTGTTATTTTGTGTAAGTCAGAAATGGAAATCTGTAGTTATTATCTATTTCAGTGCTTTTCTGACAACTAATATTTTAAATCATAAATTGCACATATTTTCTAAAAATATGGAATATGTATTTAGTAGTGAAGGCAGGGTATATGTGCATGCGCAACTTATTGTCATTGTGCCAGCTGTATGAAAGATAAGTATGAAAAGTTACTGCAGGTCCTACTTGTGGTTGTCTTTAGATGTTAAAACTTTGCAGCCTATGTTTCTTTCTTTCTTTTTTGGTGTTTTTCCAATATGTTTTAATGGAAATGTAAAAATTGTTTTTATATTGGAAAAATAAACTTTACTTGCAATCATTAATGCTATTGAATAATTTACATGGAGGAAGAAATTCCAAGCAGAAAGCTCTTACCTATAAAAGAATTATGTTTACATGAGTTAATGAATATAGAGATCATCTTTTCACGTACCCAATCTTTTCATGTACAGTTTCCCGTCATACTTCATTTATTTCTGAAACGTATTTAGAAAATACATTCATAAAAAATACATTTTCATATTTTATTTTTTCCAGAATATGTTTGGAAAATACATTTGTAAAAAATACATTTATTTTTTAAAAACCAAAGGTATGATAAAATAATAAAATGATTAAAATGAAGGTAAAATTTCAAGATACAGAAAGTGGAATGGTTAGGAAATATATGGGTTGAGAGGAGAATAGTGGGAGGGGCATGGAAAGGAAGCAGTGTAATTTTAGCAGAAAACCTAGACTAAGGGAAGCTTCGGAGATTGAAGACCAAACTTATCTGTGAGCTTACCAGTAGCCACAACAAAGAAACAGTGGGATTTGGAGCTCTCAGAATAAATCAAAAGTTTTTTCATCTGCAGATGCTTTTTTTTCAAATTTTATTTTTTCTAATTCTAACTTCTAAAATAATATTTTATATTAACTAGATCAAAGAAACACTCAGCAAATAGAATTGTTGTGCTCAGCTGTTTAAGAACAAAAAAAGAATGCCAGGCATAGACCCTTTCTTAATGAAACTGAGTTCCAAGACAGTGCGAGAACAGATAAGTTACACCTGGACTGGTTTCAGATTAAAACAAGACAGTGTATGATTGACTTTAAAGTCAAAAGCATGCATGATCCCAGTTTAAAGTAGACCTTTGGTTCTTAATGAACAAGTGAGTGTGGATAAGCGCAGGAGAAGAATGAGGCATTCTAAGAAAAATGCAAAACACAGGGAAACAAAGAGGCAGTTAAGGACATTGCAAATGGCCTGGGAAGGTCAGATGATTGCAAAGTGGTCCTGAATAATTACATAATGGGGGGTGCATTGACCATTGATAGCAGACGACAGCCCTGGGCTCAAATCCTACCTCTGCTAAATTAAACCAAAACCAAAACAAAACAAAACAAAACTAAAGAAATGCCACACCCACTACCTTGAAGTTTTAATAGGGCTGGCTGAAGTTTCAGCTTTTAATAGATGCTATCTACCAGGCTCTGCTGTGTGTAATACAGCTTTTTCTTCCATGTATTGACGTAATAACGCATTTTGGACCAGCAGAGGTAAAACCAAAAGTCTTAAGCTATTTAGAATTAGCTGGATTTCTTTAAGGCTTACTTTACTAAGAAAGTTTCCTGACCCAGACCAGCAATTTCAGTACAGAAAGTTCATCTTGTCCGTGGCTGCAAAGGGGAGTTTGGGTTTGTGGAAAGGGCCACAAAGGGACCTGGATGGAGGAGGTTTCTAGTCTGGCCTTTAGATGGGGCTGAGTTAGAGAGCCTCTGGATAGAAGACTGAGGCAAGAAACAGGCATGTTGCTGGTGTGTGTGTGTGTGTGTGTGTGTGTGTGTGTGAGAGAGAGAGAGAGACAGAGAGAGAATGAGAGAGAGTGTTGTTGTTGTTGAATCCTCTGGGAAGAAGCAAGCTGCTATAGGACTGAATAAGAGAAAGGATGAAGTTCCTTGGATGAGTTGTGACAATCTTTGGCCCTCACCCTTTGTTTCAGCAATGATGCAGTTAGGAAAATACAAATACACATTAGGTGTTTTAGCTAAATAATTTAATAAAAGAACTTGTTTGTACAGTTACTGGAAGATTTAAAAGGCAAAAAAAGGGAACACTGAGGCCATACCTCAGTAATAGCTGTAGGATGCAGCTGACAGCTCTAGGGTGATATAAGGTATATCAGAATTCAGAAGCTCAGTGGAGAGGCCTGGTAGGGCCGAGGCTCAGACCTCTGAGTTGCCTCCCAACTTGTGGCTCATGGCAGGGTCCCTTGGAGCTGAGACCCAGAGGTCTGAGAAAAGGGTCTTCCTGTTGGTGTTGGCACTTCCACAGAGGTATGAATTGGTCTAGGCTGGAGCCTGGAGTCAACAGCTGCTGCAAGGAGGAAGTATTACTGCCAAGGTGAAGTGAGGCTGTGAGGAACAGAAGCCAAGAGAAGGCCGAAATCCCTTCTCCCTACATTATCCTGCAGTCTGCCACTAGCCCCATCTATCCGCAGAGCCCAACCTAGAGCCAGCTGCAAAACTGAAATGTGGAGTGGGGAGACCGAGCCCCAGCCTCACAAAGCCTGGAGAGAAGCTGGGGATGTGAATGAGCCACGGGGACTTCACAACGGAATTCCCATCAGGACCTGACAAAGGCTGGCACAGGCCAGGTGCGGTGGCTCATGCCTGTAATCTCAGCACTTTGGGATGCTGAGGCAGTCGGATCATTTGAGGTCAAGAGTTCGAGACCAGCCTGGCCAACACGGTGAAACCCCATCTCTACTAAAAATACAAAAATTATCCGGATGTGGTGGCATGTGCCTGTAATCCCAGCTACTCGGGAGGCTAAGGCAGGAAAATCCCCTGAACCTGGGAGGCGGAGGTTACAGTGAGCTGAGATCGTGCCACTGCATTCCAGCCTGTGGCACAGATGCTCACTAGGGATGCCCAGTATCTGCCTGAAAACAGAAGACAACAGGCATGTTTTGATGAATGACTGTAGGCTACATCAAAAAATTCACCTTTTTTGTTTTTTACTTTATTTTATCCTTACAATAACCCAAGAGGTGAGTAGTATTATTCGCATTTTACAAGTGGAGGATTTGAAACTCAGACAGGTCATGTAACTTTCTACGGGTCTCAAAGCTAGTAGATGGGAGAGGCAGGAAATAAACTCAGAATGTGGTGATTTCAGTACTTCCATTTTCACTAAAAGGCAACTCTCTCTCCTGCCTCTTTGGTCCTACTACCTCAGTTACACATTGATCACACAATACCGTCTTGGAATATAAGTTCCATGTGGTCGAGACTTGCTCAAAGCTTGATGTGGTCACTGGCTGCTATGTCACTGGTCACTATGCCTATGACCACATCCAGGTGGTCGCATAGGTACACGGGCACTCAGTCAATACTCATTGAATAATCAAATGGCATATTTATGTTCCTTTAGGCTTCTTTATGTATTATATGGAAGTATATCCGGATATATAATTTAATACCGAAACATAATGTGTGATACGTGTGTGTGTCTAAAACATATTTTGGCACTGCAGAGAGAAAAGCATTTGAAGTCAGAAGTATTGCCTGCTAAGAGACAACATGTAGCTTTCAAATGAGGCAAAAGTGAATGCATATTTGATTTTCAAATTAACTATCCCATTAAACTATGGTCTCTTCTTCCCCTTCATCCCACCCTGTCCGCATCCCACCGCCCCCACACCAAGCTTAGCCTATCATTAGCTGCTATCTGGAATCGACAGTGGAGTAATTTGAACTCTGGTTCCCAAGGGCCTATTCTTTTACTTCCTGCTGTAGGAATACGGTGTGTATTGATTAGATATCAGACTGTAATGGGCTTCCAATCTCTCTGCTTTAAGATATATGATGGAGATGACAGGAAACAGATACCCTGTTACTACTTGTAAATAGTCTGGTTGAACAAAATGGTTGGTAACCACTTCGGTGCCGTTCACTTTTTTACCATCAGGAAGGAGCTCCTTTTTTCACTCTTTCTAATATGACTTCTTGGAAAGGGAAGGCACAGAGTTTTCTTTTTGGGCCAGACCCGTTGACCAACATGGTCATCTCCTTTAGAAACTATTGGCTGGGCGCGGTGGTTCACGCCTGTAATCCCAGCACTTTGGGAGGCTGAGGCGGGTGGATCACAAGGTCAAGAGATGGAGACAATCCTGGCTAACATGGTGAAACCCCGTCTCTACTAAAAATACAAAAATTAGCTGGGCATGGTAGCGCATGCCTGTAGTCCTAGCTACTTGGGAGGCTGAGGCAGGAGAATCACCTGAACCTGGGACGTGGAGGTTGCAGTGAGCCGAGATTGCACCACTGCACTCCAGCCTGGAGACAGAGTGAGATGCTGTCTAAAAAAAAAAAAATACTATTCAGGGAGAAGGATTTCCCTTAAAAGTTCATGCTTGCTTGGAGAGTTGTTCACAGACTACTCAGAAACAAAACCCACAGCATCTGCAGCCCACTACCACCTGGGTGACTGATACAAGGTAATGGGGGTTGGAGGCTGAGTGGAGGCAGAAGCAGCCTCCTCCCCTTCTGAGCAAGACCTGGGGCAAGTCACTTGTAGAAGCCTCAGTTTCCACATCTGTAAAATGGGAGAATAGTCTTGTTCACAGAACTGCTGTCAGGATTGAGTAAAATAATGCACTTGGAGTAGCTAACATAGTGCCTGGGGCTTGGTTAGTTTTCTTTCCTTTCCTCACTTTACCCCATCTACCAAAACTGATTCCCTCTGCTGGAATTCTGACAGTTCTTCAGTTTGTAGAAGAGGCAGGTACACATGGAGTGTCTCCTTGTGTGGCATCATTCAAACCTCAAATAGCACATAATGGTGGCATTTGTAAGGCAAATGGACTGAAGCTCCCAAGCTGAAATAAAATTCCTCTGGAACTGAGTAAACACTGGTTCTATGTTGCTGATGGCAGCCTGGCTCATGCGTTGATGACTCCGCAATTTGAAGTTGGCCTGGGTTTGTTTTGCAGATTTTGCCTACTTTCTGGATGAGGCTTGGGATATTTGTGTGTATTAGAAGGACCCTGGCTCACAGCTTAATAATGCAAAGGTAAATATGAAGTTAACCAGTGACATCCTTCTCCTAGTGGCCCAGCAGATGCCAAGATAAAGGTTCACATGCCTCCCTTGTTGATATGGGTTTGATTTTGCACAGATGGGAGTGTCTTCTGTTGAGTCTTCAATTTCCTTCCCTTTTCTTATCAGCAAAGATGACTAAAAAACAAGTTGAATGGTGGTTCAAGAAGCATTTCAACAGAAGATTGTAAACTTTTAAGGGGGAATAAACTGTGAGTTTATACATTTTTAATTACACCAGGCTTAAAGCTCATATTCATTTATTACCAGAGATATCAGCCAGTTATCTGCCACTTCTCTAATCTTTGCCCTGAAAACAGACTTGACCCTGGTCAAGTAAGATAAATGGAGAATTAAAAATGGCTACCTTCTGGGAATTGATTGGAAAAGAGTGGGAAGGCAAGCCGGGCTCAAATTAATCCTGGACTCTTTCCCAGTCTTCCTGCAGCTACGGCTTCTGTGGGTGAAGGCAAAATCAAGCGGACCTAACCTCTGTCTTTGCTAACATTTCCTCATTTCTCCTTCTTCCCCTGCCCCCATTAGAATGAGGGGATCAATAAAGCTAGCTTTGAGAGAGGAAGGAACCGATCTTCATGCTGGTATCAAATGCCGTATCTCTGCGGCATGTGGAGAAGGGCCAGCGTGCTGTAAGTGACCTAATTGCACATTCCCCAAAACACCGAATTCATATTATTGGCTTCATCAGCATTGTCCCTCCTAGAGGTTGCTCTTAAGTAGTTCAGGAGACGATTGAAGGAAAGAACTATGACTGTTACCTTCAATACAGAGGAATCTGGCCAAGAAAGAAGCAGAGACACACATAATGATGGTCGCCATTTATTGAATGCTTTCCTTGTACCAGACCCCGTGCTATATTCCTGATGTCCAGCATCTCATTTCATTCTTGCAACAATCATTTTAAGATGGTCTGATTATTCCTGTTCTACAGATGACGGTAAATGAGACTCAGATAAATTAGGAAACTTATTCCCATTTATACAGCCGGTAACTGCAACAGAAGGTTTTAGACACAGGTCTGTCAGGCCGACCACCCCGCCCCCAACCCCCAAAAATAACGAGTGCCCCTGATATCCCATCATGTCAAGTTACTAACAGCAAAACAAAAAAGAAGTTACAAAGAGGTTATTTAATCTAGCCCTTCATTTTTTAGATTCAGAAACAAGTCCACAGTGGGAAAATGACTTGCCTGAGGTCACAGAGCAGTGCCATAACTATGTCCTTTGATTTTGGACTGTCCTTGGACCCCCCATACCCTTAGCAAAGATACAACGTACTTATCCTCTACTCCAGTTCCCAGGCCGCACGTACGAGCAGGAAATACATCAGTTCTCAATACCATGGCTTGGTGGGGGCCAGAAAAATGGGGAAACAGAAGGATGACATAGTAGAAGTAAGTTTAATGGGTTACTTTATTTATAACAAACATTTATCAAGCACCTAAAATATACAACGCACAGTTAAGGTAACAGGTTTCTGCTATGAATAACAGGTGTACTAAAGGTTGGCCTCTGTGTGCCTGTGTGTGTGTGTGTGTGTGTGTGTGTCTGTGTGTGTGTATGTGTGTGTGTGGTGTGTGTTTGTGGGCTTCTTTTCTTACACTCCAGTAGCTGTATCAAAGACAAATTTGAGCTTATAAGTAAAAGGAGGTAGAAGTGAGGTAAAAATGATATTAAAGTAACAAGAACAGTGACAATGTGTAGACAGGCGCTACAAATTAAGCCACAATTTTTTTTTTTTTTGAGACGGAGTCTCGCTCTGTCGCCCAGGCAGGAGTGCAGTGGCGCGATCTCGGCTCGCTGCAAGCTCCACCTCCTGGGTTCATGCCATTCTCCTGCCTCAGCCTCCTGAGTAGCTGGGACTACAGGCGTTCGCCACCACGTCCGGCTAATTTTTTTGTATTTTTAGTAGAGACGGAGTTTCACCGTGTTAGCCATGATGGTCTCGATCTCCCGACCTCTTGATCTGCCCGCCTCGGCCTCCCAAAGTGCTGAGATTACAGGCGTGAGCCACTGTGCCCGGCCAAATGTTTGTTTTATAACTAACCTTGATCACCTACCGTAGATAAATTTTTTACAGTATTGAGGTAATCAAGTGTTTGGGATTCGCTACTTATAAAAGTAAATAAAAACAAACCAAAATTAAAACATCTCTAGATTGGATGCTTTTACTTAGGAGTAAAATGCTGAGTATTTTAAAAAGAAGGAATAATGACACCATTATTTGCTAAGTGCCTACTCCCGGCCAGGCATTCCATAGACATTACTTCATTCAATCCTCTCGAGACTCTTGCAAGGTATTATTATCTCCATTTTACAGATGAGAAAACTAAAGCAGTAATGACATCTCACTAAGGCATGTAGCCAGACAGCGGAAGTGGTCAAATTCGCTGCAGAACTGATACTATTGGAAAGGCACCTCTCCACCTACTCACAAGAGGAGATTGAGAGTCTTATAATCATGATAAAATCATCAAAATAAAAATAAGAATTCACATGTATTGAGCATTTGCAATGTACCAAGTACTGTGCTGAGCAAATGTCAGACATTATGCTAGTTGATTCTCACAACAACCCCACGAGGGAAGTACTATTATCAGCTCCATTTTACAGGTGCAAAAACAAAAGCACAGAGAGGGTAGGCAACCTGCCCAGGATCACACAGCTGGTAAATGATAGACCGAGGATTCGAATCCAGTAAGTGTAACTCTAGTTCTGCACTCTTATCTGTTACACTGCTTTGTCTCTACAGCAAGAGAAAATAACAGTTCAACATAAGTAAGAGAACAATGAAATTGAGAATTCTAGAAATATCAAAATATCACTGCAGATATGGTTTAATTGGGAAGCAATTGCCCAAGATAGCATTTTCACTTAAAAATTGGCTGAAATTTTGGCCCATTGACATATATTCTATTATTTCCTTCTCTAAGACTTTGAGCACACTGCGCCAAAAGCTCTTATTTTTACACAGTGATGATTAAGGGACTTCTCATTTTCCTTAATGTGTTTCTTACTTATCAAAATTGTTCCAAGTGATCCTGCGGGTGAAGAAACCATGTTCACAATTCCCTAGTATAAACGTATGTAGAATTTCTGTGTAGCTATACCTTGAATTTCTTTTCTTCAGACTGCAAACTGTTGAGTTTCTTCTCCCCATTTGTCTCCTCTCACGGTTTCCTAGGGGCTTCCAGAACGCTCTCTGAATACCCTAGTCCATTTCACCCTTTATGCTTCAAGGAACAAGAATGTTTTGCTATAAGAATATTGGGTCTTTTTCTTTGCTGCTTGGTTTGTCTGGCTCATAAATAATTCTACAGGTCACCCATAGCCGAGACAAGCAACCTCTCTTCGTAAATGCCAACAATCAGTTCACAGAAATATCATTACTATTCCATTGATGAGAGTCACCCAATACATGGAAGGTCAGATATGGGAATGGAGTCGGCACTTAACTAATTTTTGCTGCTACCTGATACCAGGCACTTTATATTCATGAACTCATATAATCATCATAAAACCCTGAGAAATTGGCATTACTGTTCCCATTTTATAGATGAAGAAACCGAGGCTCCTGGTATGCCAAAGGTTATAAAATGAGTTTAATATGAACAGCTATCACTAGTATTTATTAGGCTTGTACTATATTCTAGGAGCCTCCTCCACTGTTCTTGGGCATTAGTTCATTTATTTCCACAGCAACTTTATGGGGGAAAACTTGATTGTTATCCCTCTTGTACAGTTGAGGAAACTGTAGTGCAGAGATATTAAAGCAACTTTTGCAAAGTCCAGCAACTGGGAAGTGGCTTGAAACCGGAGGACATGATGTTTGAACTTGCACTCTTAAGACAAAATGAATGGCTACCAATTTCCTAACAAATCCTAGAGTAAGTTTCTATGACCTCTTCAAGATATAAATCGATGGGAATAGCTTTGGGCGATTGCTGGTCTTGGGATTTAGGGCCAGACGGTATTAACTGGAGGACTGTTCTACTTCTTCCAGCAAGATGATCTCAGGCAAGACACCTCTGGGCCTCATGACACCTGCCTCCCAGGCAAAGCTAAGAAGCAAGTAGAGAATGTAGGGAAAGACACCACATAAATCAGAATGAAATTGAGGTCCATTATGCTGGTATTACCATGGAAAAAACAATGAAACTCTCCTTCGAAAGAGGAGTTGTGCCCCAAATTTAAGGCCACAGTTTAACACAAAAGGTATCCATTTACAATTTCTTACCAAAACAGCTGTTTTCCTTTTAGAAAACAAACACATATACAAAACAACAACATTTAACAACAATCCAGGAAATTGCTTCTGTTTTCTTTCTTTTTTCATTTCATTTCACTTATTTACTTGATTTAAAAGAAACTGTAGCCAAGACAGAAATGTGTAAATACAAGAAGACGTTTCCTGCAGGAGGGGCTTTAATGGGTACATATTACATATAATTTTCCTGCACTTGCTTTTCCCCTCCATAGCTCATCATGAGCCTTCTCTCATGTTAGGGCATTTGGATCTACCCCCGTTCTTCTTAACAGCCACAATGATCCCATTATGCGGAGGTTCTGTTGCTTGCTTTTTTCATTCCCCTATTGATGGACCTACAGCTTGTTTCCTGCAATCTATAGTTATTACAGCAGCAAAATCATGTCTGTTATGCTTACATGTATATTCTCGGACAATTGCTTTTGATTTAAACTAAATAAAACATCCATTTCTAATTTGACTTATAAGAAAGATAGTTGAGAGATTTAGATCAGAGTATAATTTCTACATGCATAAGGCAAGGGGTAGGGAGTTTCACCGGACCCTATATCTTACCTCCTTCAAGGGGCCCCTGCACTACCCCTCTGTGTCTCCCAACCCCTTTCTCCAGCCCCTCCCAAACACACCTTCCTAAGACCCCTGCTTTTTATCTCACTAAACCCCCAAGGAAATGGCCAGGTCATTAGTGTTGTCTTTAGAACCAGCTCTTTTGACTTGGTTTGCAATTTTATTCACAGTAAAAACTGTTCTATGATTGAAAAAATAATAATAAGCATGATTCACTGACTTCTTTTGCTGTGGGTGTCATGGCGAGGGGTCCATGGCAGTGGCTGTGCTATGTAGGTCAGGCATTAACCACACATATTGAGTGAGGTCACTCTGGTCAGAGTGAAATTTGCAGAACAAAAGTATCCCCTTTACTGTGTGCAACGCCAAAAGGTGCTCAGAAAAGAATCTTTATCTCCTAGATGAAAAAAATATGAAAACCATTTGCTTCCAGCATGTCAAAGATCCTTGCTGTCTTTTCCCCACTTTAAAAAAGAATGATTAGAACATTTGTCTCAGTCCTCCAGCAACAATTATTAGATTCAGAAGCTCCTCTTAGGGTGAACAGGATCTGAGAGCGAATGTCTTAAATCAATTCCTTCTATTTCTGGTGTTAAGCCTCAACTTGTCAGATTGCTTGTGACTCCTTGGGCATTTCAGCATCAATATCAGTACGGCTTTGAGCTCCCAGAATCCGTCTGGCATTAACATTAAGAATATATTTGGATTCGTATGCTTATTTATCTTTTTGGTTTCTTTCCCACCTCAGCAGCCAGCCTCACGCTAGCCAGGAACTGACAATTCTTTTTGAAAAACTAAGCAAATCTTTCAAAACAGTCTTCAAGTCTTGTAGCAGCACGTTTGTGCTGTTACAGCTAAAGAGCTGTCAGGCCTCCAGCGTGCACCTTGATTTCAGCTCAGCAAATGGAGCAAAATATCCATTTTGTGCATGAAATTGCCTGTGTTCTGCATGGGAATCTATGCTCCTCAGCACCCTCTGCACTTAGCAGGCTCTGCTTGGCTTTTCCTCGAGTTGGAAAATTGGGTCTCGAGGAATAGGCTCCTTCTTGCCTGATGCTGGAAAAGCCATCCCTGAGGAAACAGAATTCTAAGTGAGAGTCATGAATTCTCACTTAGAATGTTTTTCTTCAAAATATATTTTTTGTGTGTGATAGAGCCCACAGCTGGCGGAGGTATGATCTAATGTTCACGGACATCCAATATTCTTAAAAAGTCAAAACAGCTCAGAACCCTGACGGGGTGAACTTATTTCATGCAAACAAATAAACAATCCAACAGCAAGAATAACAATCAAAGTAGTCTTTTATGTGCAGTTTGGAATAGTATCAAGAGCCTCAAAACCCTTTAATTTCACTTATTGGGATCAATCCTAAAGAAATAACCCTGGATCCACATTTCCAATCACGTACAAGCTTAGTCATGAAAGCATTATTGAAAAGGGTGGGAAAAAAAAAAAAAACAAATAAACCCAGGAGAAAAAGGTGTCTGTCTAACACTAGGAAACTAGTTAGGTCAATGGTGGTACATAAACAAGATGAAATGCCTTGCACATATTGGCATGAGTTTATAAAAGGGGTTTCCAAAGAAAAGTTAGCACTGATTTCTTAAAGTACATTTTTTGGAAGTGTAAAAAACACACAGAAGAGTGTACAAATCATACAAGCATAGAAGCAGTACCTAGATAAAAATAAATTAAAAAAAAAATTCTCAGCTTCCCAGAAGCCCTCCTGGGCCTCATCTGGTCATTACTTCACCCAGGGAAGCCATTTCTAACACCTTAGATCAGGTGTGTATTTTTGAACTTTATAAATGGAGCCGCATCTAAGGTATTCTCTTGTCCCTGGCTTCTTTCAGTGAATACTTTGTTTTAAGGAGTCATCCATGCTATCGTGAGGAGTTTCAGTTTCCAGATTCCCACTCTACTGTGCGAATATATTGCAATTAAATATCCATTCTGCTGTTGATGAGCGTTTGAATAGTTTCCAGTTTTGTCCATAATGTATAGTGCTGCTAATTGTTCTTCTACAGGCTTTTGATGATCACATGTGCACATTTCTGTTGGGTACACACCTAGAAGTAGAGTTGCTGGATTATTGGATATGTATATATTCTGTATTAGGAGAGGCCACCAAATAGTTTTTCAATGGATTATACCAATTTTTTCTCCTATTTGCAGTGTACAACTGCCCCAGTTGCTCCAAAATTTACCAACTCAATTTTGTGTCCAGTTTTTTTTTTAATTTTGGAAATGTGTAGCTAAATGACAAATATAAGTACAATGATGAATTTGTAAAAAATATGTATATATACATACATTAAAAAAATTCCTGGAAAGAAATACTTCAATTTGTTCATAGTTGGTAGTTTTGTGTGGTTGATAGAATCCTGTACTCATTCAAATTTTCTATCATTTTTCCCCTTATATTTTCTCATCCTCTATGACAAGGAAGTATTAATTTTATAACCCTTATTCCTTTTACCAGGCATTAGGTGAACATATGACATTTAGAGTAAGGTGTTAGAATAGTCGTGTGACCACCTTCCCATATGATGATCATTTTCAAATGCTATTGGCTCTGGGAGAAGCTGTTATTTCACTAGACGTTTCGATGGGCTAACATCAATTTATCCATGTAACCATTCATCCATCTACATACTCACGCACCCATTGATTTACTCATGCATTCAGTAAATGTTTATTAAACACCTACTCTGGGCCAGACATTTTGTTGGGTAGAGAAGAGCCATGGAAGAGATTCTTTGGAGCACTTATATTGCAGAGTTTTGTAATTAAGCATCAGTAATATAACAATATTGAAGATACACTGATACAAATAAGTATAGTATAAATAACAAGTATTTTTTGAGGATTCATGACTTACTAGGCATGGAGCTAAGAGAGTTACATGTAAACAATTATTTAAATCACAATCACCTATAGAACAGATATGGAAGCTAAAGCTTAGAGACCTTAGGAAAGTAGCCTGAGATTGCAAAGCTAGACTGGAATTGAGACTCAGATCTACAGAACACCAAGCCCTGCTCTCCTGATCACCTTTTTGGCCCTGCTGCCTTCTACCCAGAAAGGGGCATTCTGTGAGAAGGGAGCACAGAGGAAGTGACATTGATGAACAATCAAAACATAGGCTTTTAGGTTTAGTCTTAAAAGATGCAAAGGAATTTGTTAGGCAGGAGAAGAAAAAAAGGCCAGTAACGTGGGAAAGTAAGAGTGACTTCAGTTCTGAATGGAGAAAGGGCGGAAGTGAGAGATGAAGGGGAGAAAAAGAGTGGGAGGAACTTAAAACGCACCAAAGGGAGGGACCTTGAATCCTCCCTGTGTAGTTCCCAATTTGGAGACCAGTCCAAGTCTGGCCTTGGATAGTGCCTCTGAGTACCTTTCCCTCCCTCGCATGATGGGTAAACTATTCTCTCCTTAGTGTGCCCACAGATTCTGTCTGCACTCTCATTACCACATTGATACTATTTATTTATTTATTTATTGAGGTGGAGTCTTACTCTGTCACCAGGCTGGAGTGCAGTGGCGCGATCTCGGCTCACTGCAACCTTCTCCTCCGTGGTTCAAGCAATGCTCGTGCCTCAGCCTCCCGAGTAGCTGGGATTACAGGCATGTGCCACCATGCCTGGCTAATTTTTGTATTTTTAGTAGCGATGGGATTTCACCATGTTGACCAGGACGGTCTCAATCTCCTGACCTCTTGATCCACCCACCTTGGCCTCCCAGAATGCTGGGATTATAGGCGTGAGCCACCATGTGCAGCCCACATTGACTCCTTTTATAGCTGTACTATTCAATAGGATGACCACTAGCCATGCATGGCTATTTTTTATTTTATTGGTTATTTATTTATTTATTTATTTATTTATTTTTAGACAGAGTCTCTGTCACCCAGACTAGAGTGTAGTGGCATGATCTTTCTGCCTCCCAGGTTCAAGTGATTATTGTGCCTCAGCCTCCCAAGTAGCTGGGATTGCAGGTGTGCTCCACCACACGTGGCGGATTTCTTGTATTTTAGTAGAGACGGGGTTTCACCATGTTGGCCAGGCTGGTCTTGAACTCCTGTCCTCAAACAATCCAGCCACCTCAGTCTCCCAAAGTGCTCGGGTTACAGGCATGAGCCACCATGCCTGGCCACATGTGGCTATTTAAAATGAAATAAAATTAAAATGCAGTTCCTCTGTTGCACTAGTCACATCCCAAGTGCTCAATAATCAGGTGTGGCTAGTGGCTCCCATATTGGACAGTGTGAATATAAAACATTTCTTATGTTGTAGAACATCCTTTGAAGGATGCTGCTTTTTAGCCTCTCCTGTGCATGGAAAATCACCTGAGGAGAGGAACCATGCTTGAAGGTTGCCCCTAATGCCTTGTATGGGATGTGGCAAGGACGAGATGCTCAGTGTCTTAAGTTAAGTCAATAACTTTAGGACTGGAAGAGAATTTATATCCCACACCTTCATTCAATAGAAAGACTGAGGCTGACACTGTTACTAGTAATATGTCTTTGACCAAGTAACTTTATCCTCAGTGCTTCTCCAGTTTTAAGGTATGTGTGAACACCTGGGGTTTTCAATAACGGTGCAGATGCTGATCCAGTAGTCCTGGGGTAGAACACAGATTTTTCATTTCTGAGAAGCTCTCAAGTGATGTGGATGTTGTTGGTTTGCCAACCACACTTCAAGGTAACGAGCCTCTATAATCAGTGGAAAAGACAAAAATAAAATACTAAAGGACAAATCTGGAAACTCTAGCTCTAGGTATGGAGATTTTTCTGGGATATGAATTCATTTTGTGAACACGAGAGCACATTTAAGCCACTTATTCATCTATTCCTTTTAGGACACTAAGACGTCTCTTTATATTACCGTTTAGAAGATGAAAAAATCAGAGGGAATGTTTAGAAATCAGGTGTCAAAAATGCCACCCCTCTATTCCCTGCCTTTGACACCGTCATGATAACCACAATGAAAAGTTAATACCACCACTAACAAAAGCTTAAAGTCAAGGTATAATTGATTCTGTTTCATTTAGCTAGAGAAATCTTAAAACAAATAGATAAACACACATGTGAAACATGAGTCAGAAGGGAAGGAAAAAGGGCAATGTGACTTTAAGAAACTTCAGGAAGAGAGGTATAGAAGCAACACACTTTTCTGAGGAAGAAAAGTCTCTTTACATGTCTCTTCCTTTTGCAGTATCTCCTTCAAAACCACATTTGACATGGGTCTAATTTCCTTGCTCAATATCATCATTATTAAATAGCCACAAATCACAAGTAACATGTTTATCGTTTCAACATTTCTTCCAGGATCGGCTTTGAATTATGGATTGTGAAAACATAGATTTTGTTGCCTGGGAGGGGGGAAAGAAAATTCTATCAGTGTTCTAGAAAATGAATTTTTAATACCATTTGAAAGACAGGTTACAAATGTTCTAAGGTTTTAACTCTTTAAGACCATTTCCAATGCCTGAAACAAGTATGTTTAATTATGCTCCTGACAGCTCTCCTTAATGCTGGTGAGCTGGAGAGAAAGACACAGATATTTTCTAGAAAAGGAGTAGACATATAGCTCAGGGTGCTGGTTTTATGGGCAAACTGCAGCAATTCCCTTACTCCGTCTCTCTCCAAATTCCATGGCCCATGGAGGAGTCATAGCATGTGCCGTATGAGTCAAGTGGATGGGGATGAAATCTGGCTACTGCCTCTTTGCAGCCATTTAATTTTCGCTAAGTCACTTGTTAATATTTTCTGTGCCTTGGCCATCTGGATGATAGTAATACCTAGTTGTTGGATTATAGGAAATATTAAATTAAAATAATGTATATAAAGTGCCAGACACATGGTAACAACTGTTTTAATTGAGGTAGTAATATTCATAATGGTATTTGGACTTCATCCCAGGAAGGACAATTTGTGAGTAGTGGGACAGGGCATGAGAGTTTTCAAGGACACTGAGAATCTATTCATCCCCTAATCTGCATGGATGACATCTTTTCTATCTCCAAAGGCCTCTGTGAAAATGCATACCGGATGTGGCTGTAACAATAATGATTTTCGGAGTAGGAGTGATGGTGTGAAGAACAGGGAGGACGGTGGGCATCCGAGCCCATTGAACATTATGATTTATATATTGCTCATATGAATTAATATAAGTTCATGTTATTGTGTCCCAATATGCACCAGGCAAAGTGGTAAACACTTTCCATGCATCATCTCATTCACTCTTCACATCAGCCCTGCGAAGTCAGTACTACTATTTCCTATATAGTACAAGGTTTTTCAGCTTCCACACTATTGCTATTTGGGGCTGGAGCGCTCTTTGCTGTTGTATTGTCCAGAGCATCGTAGGACTCTTAACAGCATTTCTGGCTTTCACCTACTAGCTATCAATAGCATTCCTTTTCCTACCACCCTATAATGTCTGCAGACATTGGCAAGTGTCCTGCTGCAGGGGAACAATAAACCCTGGTTGAGAAGAATGAAGTGAAGTTCAGTGATGTCCCAAGATCATCCAGCTAGCAAGTGCTGAAGCCAGAATCAGACGTCAGGAGGTAAAATTCCACGTCCCTAAATACTAAAGCTCTGTTGTCTACTAGGCCCAGAATAGAAAGTGAGGTTCTGTGTTTTCTGGGTTGGGGTAGAGGAAGTGGCCTTTTGAGCAAAAATCCTGCTGTGAGGAGTGAAGGTAAGAAGTCATCTAATAACCTGGACTCATCAAATGTTTCCAGGTATGCATCTACCCCTTAGAAGTTCTTCCCTGATTCTAACAAGGCTGCCTAGTTACAAATTATTTGAAAATGATTCCTTGGGATTGTTATTTTTCTCAGCCAGTTATTGAGCATTCAGGGAAAATCTAACATTTGACTCCAAACCATTAGCTCCTCCTTACTAACAAGACTTGGCAGTAGATGTCTTTTGGCTTTAAAAACAAAACAAAACAAATGTACTTTCAAAGATGGATATTTGCCTTCACTGAGGACTATATCATAGGTTCAAAAGGAAAATTAAATGAGAACATTTTGATTATGCTAAAATATTTGTTCTATGTCCCAAGGAGACCAATTTCACTTAAATTCGTGATTTCTGAGTGATTTGTTAAAATTCAGTCCCGCTTGTTTCTAGAGTCCCATCTCTGTAGTTTAGCTGTGCCTATCACAGGTACATGAGGAAGTCCCTATTACATCGTTGTCTATTGCTTTAATAACAAGAATTTCTCATATATGCCTTCCAGTCACAAAGTACATTCATGTTTATCTTAACGAATCTTGCAACAGCTCTAGATAAGATGTCACAACTATCCCAATTTTTACATATGTGGAAAGTGAGGCCCAGGGAGATTGACATGCATCAGTGAACACCTGGCAGCTATTGGGCTCCAACTCAGGACCTCCTCTAATTCCAAAAGTGTGGATAAGGGATGGGTGCCTGGCATCAGGAAAGATGTGAGTCTGTCTTTGGGGGTCAACTCCATGTGAGTTTTCCTTTGGGTCTCCAGAAGAACCTCAAGAAATGCCCCAGCTAGTGACCACCAAGGGGTTTTGCTTCACAGTCACTAAGGCCTGGAGGTAGCCAGGGGTTTGTGAATGTGTGTCTGTCTTCAATGCCACACACCCTTAAGGGAGAGCAAACATAACTGTATCTACGTGGGTATGTATACAGTACATTAAATTAAGAATGCTGGTACTCGAACTTTATAGAGGGCAACAGACGATCAGAATTGGGGCAAAGGGAATGGGTCCAGGCAGAGTCCCCAGTGAGCCTGAATTGTCTTTAATTATTGTTCAGTATACCATGCCCACCTCCATAACCACCCATGCCCACCTTTTATGCATCTCCAAATGTTCACTCAATCTGCCCATCCAAATAGTGCTTCTTCCTGCTTACTCTCCAGCTCAGCGTTTGTTTTCATTCTTTCCTGCCTCGAAGTTTTCTTGTCCAGAGTTCACGGGATTCTGCTCCACAAACGCAGTGGAATATGGAGCCACCAGGTCAGAGATGGAGAGCATATTTTTCTGATGTGTCCACAGCCCCCAGCTGAGTCCTGGCACATAAGAAGTGGGAGGAGGTAAAATTCAGAGACTGAGTCAGAATATCAACTATGGAATCCAAGGCCTGCCACTCACTGGCCCTGTGGCCTTGAGTGAGCCACTGAAGCTGTCTGTGGTAGGTAGAATAATGGTCCCCCAAAGATGTCCACATCCTAATCCCCAGGATCTGTGATTACGTTACCTTACTTGGCAAGAGGGAATTCAGGTTGCAGGTTGAATTAAAGTTGCTGCTCTGCTGACCTTAAAATAGGGAGATTACCCTGCGTTATCTGGGTGGGGCCATTGTAATCACAAGGATCTTTAAAATTGGAAATAAGTGGCAGAATAGAAATCTGTCTTGTCATGATGCCATACGAGAAAACCATTGCTGCTAGCTTTTAAGATGGAGGAAAGGGTCATGAGTCCAGAAATGCAGTTGACCTACGGAAGCCTGAAAAATGAATAAAATGTTTCTGCTCTAGAGCCTCCAGAAGGAACACAGCCCTGCTGATACCTCACTGCGAGCCCAGGCAGATCCATGTTGGACTTCTGACCTCCAGAACTGAATGGTAATAAATTTGTGTTGTTTGAATCCACCAAATGTGTGATAATTTGCTGTAGCGAGTAGGAAACTAATATACTGTCTATGCCTCAATTTTTTCATCTGTGAAATGGTGACAATAATAGCACCTGTAAAGAATATTGCTATAATTATTCACAATAGCAAAGACATAAAATCAATCCACATGCCCATCAGTGGTAGGGTGGATAAAGAAAAAGTGGCACATATACACGATGGAATACTATGCAGCCATGAAAAGGAATGAGATTATGGCCTTTGCAGTGATATGGGTGAAGCTGGAAGCCATTATCCTCAGCAAACTAATGCAAAACAGAAATCCAAACACTGCAGGTTCTCACTTATAAGTGGGGTGTGGTAGCGGGTGCCTGTAATCCCAGCTACTCAGGAGGCTGAGGCAGGAGAATCGCTTGAATCCGGGATGCAGAGGTTGCAGTGAGCTGAGATTACGGCACTGCACTCCAGCCTGGGCAACAAATCTGAAACTCCGTCTCAAAAAAACACAAAAACAAAAAACACCAAAAAACAAAATATAAGCGAGAGCTAAACAATGAGAACACACGGACACAGGAAGGGAAACAACACACACTGGGGCCTGTCGGGGGAGGGTGGGGAGAGCATCAGAAAAAATAGCTAATGCATGCTGGGCTTAATACCTAGGAGATGGATTGACAGGTGCAGCAAACCACTATGGCACACGTTTACCTATGTAACAAAGCTGCACATCCTGCACCTGTACCCCAGAATTTAAAATAAAATTTAAAACAGAATATTACTTTAAAAAATAAATAAAACAGTATATGTACAGTTCATGGAAGACAACCTGGCTAAGGTAGAGAATATTGGTGTTTATTAAATGTACAACCAACGCCTTGAATGAATGGACAGATGAATGAATGAACTGAGATGTTTGAACCAAGAAATACAAAAAGAGCAAGGATATTTCAATGAAGGATCAAATATTTGCTAACTTCAGATTGAGTGCTTTGACAATTAGCTCCTGGCCATTTGCTGTTCTCTGCAATAGCTGAAAGAACATGGCAGCCAGTCCTTTCCTTGATTTTTCCCTTGGTTTTCCCTATTACGTTTTGGGCAGGTTTGCCATTATTCTCTGGGCTTCCACTCTGACCCTCTTGACTGAAGGGTGGTTCAACTCCCTGGAATCTCTTGACCAATAAATAATGATAAATAATGTAACATTAAACAATTTAAAAATCAGCTCTCTGTAATGCTGTAACAATGGCTGGTGGGATCTTCCTATCACGTTGACCAGTGTGTGGAATGATGGAGGCGGCGTATCTGTGCTGTTCCCTAGATCTCCTTTGCTTTCACATCCTTCCTTTTTGCCTGTGAAAAACAATCCACCCTGAAGAAACTTTGTCTCCATTAAGATGTTTTTTTCCTTCCCTTTTTCTCTTGTTGGCGGTTCCCCTGTCTCAGGCCATCTAGCATCTAACCTACAACAGAACAGCCTGCTCTGTCGTCTCTCCCCAGCATTTTCTAAATATTCGCATTCTTCAGATGCCAGCTCCTTCCTTATTTTCTCAATTCTGTATTTGTTTATCCTCAAAAGCTCTTTTGTAGCAGCCCACATGGATCTGGGAAAACGTGGAGGCCAGCCCTCTTCCCTCGGGCAGGCGGGTGGGAGGGCCGAAGCCCACCAAGAGCTGCATTTTTCACTCTCCACTTCTGGGGCACTTTCCGAGAACAGAAGCAACTGCAAGGTCCTGTTGGGCCAGGGAGCTGACAGAGCCCTTCCAATGTCAGCCATTTCCCTGAGGATCTGGGTCCTGGTGGGTGCAGGCTCTGTTGAAATTGGGGAGATTGTTAAACCCGTAGCTCCCAGTTTTGCAAGTAGAAGCTCTGCATTTTGACCTGGTCCCTCTCAAACAGACCTCAGAGCTCAGGGTGTTTAAAAACCAAGGATCATTCCAAGACCAGGATACACTAAGCATGAACTATGCCCATGAAGTCTACAGTACTCATCCACAGATTAGAAGGTAACTAGAAAGCTTACTACCTTCCCTGCAGCCCCAACTTGGCCTTTGCTCAGGACTTGGAAACCCTGTAGAAGGAAGCAGGAAGAGCTGGAAAGTAGCAGGCAGTGGACTGAGTATGCCTCCTAAGGGTAGCCCAAGGACAAGGGAGAAGAGAAAGAGGAGGGAAAGGTGTTTCCTTTGTCAACAAGAAGGAATTTTCCATCTCTTCAGTATGGGCCACAACAGGACTTAAGTTCCCAAAGTAGGCTGGGATGGGGGCTCACACCTATAATCCCAGCAGTTTGGGGGGCCGAGGAGGGAGTATCACTTGAGCCTGAGAGTTTAAGACCAGCCTGGACAAAATACTAAGATCTTGTGTCTACAAATTTTTTTTTTTTTTTTACTTAGCAGGGTGTGGTTGTTCACACGTGTACTCGCAGCTATTTGGGAGTCTGAGCAGAGAGGATCAGGTAAGCCCAGGAATTCCAGGCTGCAGTGAGCTAGGATTGCACCACTGCACTCCAGCCTGGGCAACAGAGTGAGGCTCTCATTTCTTAAGAACCAAAAATGTCCCAGAGTTGGATTTAGAATCATTTGTTCTTTGAGGGGTGGGGGATGAGTCATTTTCCTGCTTTATATTCTTTAACCTTCACCCACTGCCTTTAGAAGGTGAAACTTGCTTGCTGAGCTCCGTGGTATCCGCAGTATCCATTTCCTTCTACGCAATTGTCATCCAGTTGTTCTAAACTGTTAACGGGTCCCTCTAAACTCTTCATGCCTTTCAGACTTTGGTGCCTTTATAAAAACTCTGCCAGTGAGGCTGTTCTCCTTTTCCTACCCAGATAATTCTTATTCACCCTTCAAGCCTCAATGCAGCTGACTTCTCCTGCTGGGCTAGAGGAGCATCCTCTGTGTTGTCATGGTGGAGCTGGAGGGTGCTGGGTTTGCTGGGTGCGTATCAGGTCACAGGATTCACATATGTTAATTGTCTCCAGCATTTTGCGTACACTAACCCATGTATTCTTTATCACTACTCTGTAGTAATATTATAAACCCATTTTATAGATTAGGAAACTGAGTCTAGAGAGCTGAAGGAACTTGCCCAAGGTTGCAAAGCCGGTAAAAGGCAGAGCTAGGATTTGGCCCTTAGCAGCCCAGCTGTGGTGTGAAGAGTATGAACTCTGTAGACAGCCAGAAGGGGATTGCAATTCCACCAGATTCTCACCAGCTGTATGACCTTAGGCTACTCAACTTCTCTACTTTAGGTGCCACATTTTAAAAATGGGATTATAAAGAGTATCTATTAATGCATGAAGAGGTCATAGTGGTGATGATGGTTAAAAATGTAATGTATCCTAAGCACCTGACATGGAGGAGTCCCTCAGCTAAGACCTCACAACAATAATGTTATTACTATTAACAGTAATTAGTATTCTCCCTTCACAGCCCTAATGACACTAGACCTATTCATCTGCTGCCTCCCCACACAGTACAGGAACCATGTTGTTTTAACCTCTTACACAGTGGCTAATACAGAGCGTAGCAGATATTTGGAATTCTGTAACTGTTTAAGAATAAATGGTTGTTGCTAATCTAACATACTTAGCACACCAGGCATGTCTTGAGCGTTCCATTTATATTAATAATAATATTATTATTATCATTCACTCGGATGGTTTAATGTAGATACATCTCTGATGGGAAAAAGTGGGACTTTCCACTTTTGTCATATTTGATAAAGGGCAGTCACACCTTCTAGTTGATTCAGAAGAAATACTGTGAAGTTTGCCACTGTATCCACTAAAGAGCAACAGCATGGCTCATCCTTGTGTCACACAATTAATTAAGCTGTCTTATTTTGTTGTTGAAGATGGTGGTAGAGGCTGTGAAAATGTCAAATGGGGTAAAAGCCAAAACGGTCCAATCATTTACCCTGCAATGAGAATCACTAACCACAGGGCCAGGGTCAATATTAGAGCAAGTTACATATCAATTGGGAGTCATCAGGGCCAGGGTCAATATTAGGGCAAGTTACATATCAATTGGGAGTTATTAGTGTCTATCCTTCCTAGTGCTGGGAGAGCAGATTGGTCCTCAGCCCACTCATACGAGTGGGGAGCCAGTGGCATGGACTCTGACCGTGAAAAACAAGACGCTAGAAGGATTTATGCTCCCAGAGCTTAAAGGTCAAACCACGATGTGGTTACAGTGTCTGTGCTTTCCAGATATGCTGTCCACAGGGATGAACAAAGTCCAGCTTGCAGGAAGGCCTGCGTTCAAATAACAACCGCGGCTTCAGGCACTCTTCCTGGTCTTCCAGCAGGGCTCTGGGAAATGGCAGAGCAAAGCACTGAGGGGCCCAGCAGGGCTGGTGGAATCAAGGGGAAGGTTGTCACTCCCAGCACTAACTCCAATAGCTACTCTTTGCAGAACACACACTGTGTGCTGGACACTGTATGGAGGGCTTTTATAAGTGACATCACTTAACCCTCACAGATGCCCCCAGAAGGGGTATGGGTGGGTTATTTCTATAATTATGCAAATAAAGAAGCTGGAAAGTTAGAGTGAACAAGCTGAGCAACGTGTGGGCTGCAGAGCTTTCCACCCTCATGCTGCCTGCCTCTGAGCTCAACTGTTGGATGGATATAGGCAGCTGCTTACTTCAAACTCATCCTCTCCTTTCTCTGCTCAGACTGATTTTGTCCAGAACAGCAATGTGCTCACTGCCCTGGGAAATGCTCACTCTCCCAGAACCCTTTGCAGCTAGGGTCACAATGGCACAGGATTGTCGGTGAAGTTTAAGGGAAACCCTGTTGGGAGAGGGTGTGTGCTGTTAGGGACACACTCACTTTCCTCAAAGAAGTGGGACAGGTTCAGCCCATCTGTTCCTTCTCCTTTGCCTGCCTGGGATGCAGTCGTTAAGCATGGAGTGGCAGAAACCCTTTGTTCAGAGGCAGGCTCTGTTGCCCAGGCTGGAGTACAGTGGTACAATCCTAGCTCACTGCAGCCTTGAACTCCTAGGCTCAAGTGATCCTCCCACCTGAGCTTTCCCAGTAGCTGGGACTACAGGGGCTTGTTACCATACTGGGACAATTTTTTAATTTTTTAATTTTTTGTAGAGACAGGGTCTCTTTATGTTGCCCAGGCTGGTCCTGAACTCCTGGCCTCAAGTGATCCTCCCACCCTCGCTGGAATTACAGGTGTGAGCCACCACACCCAGCCGCAGAAGCCTTCTCGCGCCTGTTACGGAAAGGCAAGAAAACTTTAGAGACTTCAGAGACCTCAGAACTGAGATCCTGGGGTGGTTGAAGGGAGGCATGCCACCAGGCCTTAAGGTTTTTATTGCTACAGCAAAACCAGCCACCAGCTAAGCAGGCAGCCCATTCGCGTCCCAAGCTGTGTCCTGCTCTTTAAGTGGGCTCAGGGTGTATCTTGCAAGCTACATCCCAAGGCGTTCTAGTCAATGTCTTTGGGGAGGAGGAAAAAATAAGAAATAAAGCAAATATAAAATGTAGAAAGGTGTAAACTCTAAACAAGTGGAACTTGGCCTCAGAAACAAATAAGCTCTTCAAGGCTTGTTTTACTTCCCGATTATTCTCTCTGTAGCTGGGTAAACTGGTTTTCCTCGCAATGGCCAGCTTCACTGCTGGGCGGGTTTTAGCAGTCAGCTCCGACCCTCTAATTGCACTTATCATGTACTAATTAGCATTTAATAAGCAGCAACCATGTATCCGTTCCTGAAACAATAAAGCGACCTCATCCCCACTTCAAAGTTGAAGAAACTCAGATTAGGATGTTAGCAGCAACAAGAATAAAGGGCCACACATGCCTAATCAGAGTTAATGGCACAGTTAGAACCCAGGGGACCCCAATCTGGAATCTGGTTGCGGGCGAGGAGGCTTCATAATTAGCCACCACGATTCCTGTTGGAGTCACTCACTGTGGTGGAATAATTAACGCAGGCACGATTCCTTTCAACAGGCGCCAAGACCTAGTATCTAGATGTACACTATAAGGCCTGGAAAGATCTTTCTGCAGGTGAGTTCTTGGGGCTGTGAAACTGTGCAGAGTGTTGGGTGGGGACGCCCCCACCCCCGGCCTTGCTGTAGGATACCTGACTTTGGCAGGCAAGAATGGGACTGTGTGGTTTGGACACACTTTCAGAGTGTGCACAAGGCCCGTGCCAGGGATTTGGTGAGCAGCGGGCTGTGTTTTACAATCTTATCCTTGCTCCAACACTGTCAGCTGGGACTTAATGTCTCTGTCTGGGGAATACTACCAAGGCCAGCTGATCTCAAAGTGGGGTTCCCTGGGCTGGCAGCATCCCCTGAGAACTTGCTGAAGATGAAATCCCCAGGCCTTATCCCAGATACAATGAATCAGAGACTTCAGGGGGAGGGACTAGCAGTCTGCATTTTAGCAACACCGCCCCACAACCCCCAAGGATTTTGATAGACACTCAAGCTTAGAGGCACTGGCCTGAACCTAAAACAGGAAGGAGCTCTCTTCCCAGTGTAAGCAGGGAGTGGTGAGTGGAAGGAGAACTTGGGGCCCCCTCTCAGATCGGCCCTTCTAGAGCAAAGACCTCCTCTGTGGTGCTCATTCAATCTCTCACCATCTCACAGAGCTGTTCATGCCTGGGGACCATCCTATAAAGAACAGCTTTCTCATCTGGATGTGACATCTCTCCCACCTTTGTTCTCACTGTTAACCCTCTACAGAATGTTCTTACTCTTCCGGGAAGCCTTCCCAGACTGATTCTCCACTCCACCAGCTCATAATCGCCGGTGCAGATGTGAACTTTTATTAAAATTCCTTGTTACGTGTCATTCCTTCCCTAAACTAGGCCATCTATGAGGACAGGTCCCAGATGTTAGCACACAGTGGTTTGTACATAGCATTTCTTCCATGACCTTCAGTCATTTAGTCAATTGTTTTCCAACTTCTAATATCAATTCAGTAAATATTTTGTGTGTTAATTTGAAGAAGAACTCACCCAGTGTTACATTTTCTTATATCTACCCTTTATGTTTATCCCTCCCATTTTTGGTTATATGTAGAGGGGATTTTTAATTTTCTCCTAATTTTCCCTGATATAAGTATGTCTTCACTTGCAATCTGACTCCCTTTACCATGTATAACAAAGTTTGCTGCACTTTTAGACACCATGTTGTCCCATCGGTATTTTTCCAAACATCTATTTGCCAGATGCTAATAGAAAAATATTAGAGACATTTTTTTAAATCACAAATTGGTTCTGATTTTCTGATATTTATAACATGGGTTGGGATACAGGCTTCAAAAAATCAAAAGGATCTCGTGCCTATTAGAGATGGTTTGTCAGTACTACTCGGAGACCACTTCCCTGGGTCAGATCCTATGTAGCACGGAGGTCAGAGAAGGGCAAAAGTGTGTGTGTGTTGAGGTGTTTGGAAAGATTTCATGAAGAAAGGCGGTCGGGAGGCCAAGAAGCTGTCTCCTTAGGGCTGGGTGTTTGAAATTGTCGCCTTCATATGGTTGTTCTGAGGGAAAGAAAAATTACCAAATACTCAGGCTCATATTGTCTTTAACACAAACCTGAGCCCTGTGAAGGGGGTCTACTCTTATTCTGATTTTACGGATGAGAAATACAGTCAGTGAGGTTGAATCATTCACCCCAGATCCCAAAGGTAGTAGATGCTGAAGCTGGTATTATCCATGTTGTTTGAATTGGTGCAAGCTACTTCCCAACTACCTCAATTTCTCAGGCCAGCAAAAGAAATGTGAAGTGGTGGCCAGGTGTGGTGGCTCATGCCTGTAATCCCAGCACTTTGGGAGGCAGAGGAGGGCAGATTATGAGGTTAGGAGTTCAAGACCAGCCTGACCCACATAGTGAAATCCCATCTCTACTAAAAATACAAAATTTGCTAGGTGTGGTGGCACACACCTGTAATCCTAGCTACTCAGGAGGCTGAGGCAGGACAATTGCTTGAACCCAGAGGGCAGAGGTTGCAGTGAGCTGAGATTGCACCACTGCACTCCAGCCTGAGCAACAGAGTGAGACTCCATCTCAAAAAAAAAAAAAAAAAAAAAGAAAAGAAAAGAAAGAAAAGAAAAGTGGAGTGGCCACAAATGAAGACAGCAGAGTGTCCTGCCGCTATTTGGTAAGTGACATTTCAGAGAGACTTGCTTGGGGGACAAAAAGAAGGACTTATAGCCACCCGCTCCTGCCTCATCCTTTTTACCCTGGAAGATACTAAAGCATGGGGAGAATTTTCCCATGGCCGGCCTAAGAAGTGAATCCTACAATCTGTACACATCGTTTCAGAGAAGATCACTAAGACAAATGTTGAAAGAGTCAACAACATGGTAAAAGTTGATTATCAGCTATTTAATCTCTGTTAAAGGTTTTACAAACAATTTGAGTTTCTTGAAGGAAAAGTAAACTCACCTCTTTGTTATATGCACTTAACAAATAAGCACACACACACACAGACACATTAAGTACAACTTTAAATGTGTCTACCAGATGACAATGTATTTCTAGAAGGCTGCATGGAGATAAGATTCAACATGTATAAATTTGTGCCTATGGAGGGTTTTGTGTCCTGGCTGATCTTACAGCAGCAAACACACACACGAAGAGATATACTAGAGAGTTATTAAGAGGTGCTAACATTTATTAAGCATTTCCCAATGCTCCAGAACTTTGCCAAAATCAAGGCCTCCTCTTATTTAATACTCACTGCCAGCCTCCAAGGGAATTGCTACATTATCTTCCTTTTGCAGATGAGGAAATGGAGGCCTGAAGCAGCAAAACACAGGCTGATGCTTGCAAAGCTGACATTTAAACCCAGATTTGTGAAACGAGATGGAGAGAGTCTCATTCTTTACTTTATGTCATCATGAACCTCTAGAATTGCAAACCATCCATCCAAAAGTAAAAAAGTAAGACTAAAATAAGAAAACACATGTTCATTTGACTTTGTACACCAAGTCCTTACCCACCGGGATCCACTACCAACTTCAAAATTCCGCTGGGCCCACCCTGCATGGCATTCGAACAGCAGGAAAGGCTCATGCCGCTCGGCACTTCTAGACTTGAGGATGGTGCCTGTGACACGGACAATAGGTGATGGCTATGGCAGGTGGGGTACAAGAGCTTTTGGAGGTTCTGCAGAAGTTCCTGTGGCCACCCAGACACAGAGCCATCCCCACCCCTCAACCCTCTATAGGGGCTTGTCAGTGAAACTCCTGCTGTCACAAGGAGCAAGCCTAGCTCAGAGGGAGATGGGAGGGGGAACTTGGAGAAGGCATAGCCCTTGATACCTGGTTATGCAAGTTTCTATGGTCACTGATGGGCACATTCAAGGCAGACAGTGTGAGCAGATGACAGGAGAATGCATAGATTTCAGTGTTCTCTGAAGACTGTCTGGAATATAAAGTCCATTGCATTCCACTGGTGTTTCCTGAGCACGTACTTTGTACCTGGCACTGCACTCATCTGTGGAGCTTGATTTCTACCCTCAAGGCCTGGCTCAGCAGAGACAGGATTGCCTCCTGGTCATGAGCCTGGGCCCTCGCCCAAGAGAGCCTCAATTTGAAACTGGCTCTACTGCTCAGTAGCCCTGTGACTTCAGGCAAGGGACGGAATCTCTATGTCTCTGTTTCCCCATCTGAAATAAGGGGACTCAAAGAGAACCCACTTCATATGGTTGTTCTGAGGGTTAGATGAGCTCATATTTGAGAAGCATAGTACCTGACACATAACATGCCATCAACAAATACTAGCTGCCAGTATGATTATTACTTGTAGGCATTCTAACTCCAATTTCTCTCCCTATTGCTTAGTGGCCTTGAGTTGACTTGAGAAGTTATTTTTTTCTTCCTCTAAGCATCAGGACTTTCATCTCTAAAATGGAAAGAATTGATGCATAGACTAGTTCAGAAGTTCTTAAACTTTTCTGATTTTGGCTGTAGAGTCTTGTTCATACAAAATTATGTGTGGGAATGCCTACAAGTGGAGTTTTAATGGTTGTTTTAGATAAAGTCTCACACTTTATTCCTAGCCTCAAACTTTTTTAGCATCTTAGAGCCTTAGTTTCCTCTTCTGAAAATGAGACCATTCATAGAACTGACCCCGTGGGGTTGTTGCAGTGAGAAATAAAATGGCGCATGTGAAGTGTTTAGCTCCTACAAAATGTCTTGTTTATCCTTCCCGCCACCATCTCTCCTATTTAGAGAGAACTTCTCACCCACTGCTGTGGCCACAGAAGCTCTTCTATGGGAATAGGTCCTTGGGGGCCATCTCGGAAAACCACTGGGTAGATCCTCTCTAACACCCCTTCTGCCTCTACTGGGGCAAGGGTCAGGACTGATAATCGGGCTTCCAGCAAGCAGATAAAAGCACGTGCTTAGAAGTACTGAGAGCTCTTGTCAGACTGAATGTTAGGTTCAGTGAAGGCTGCAGATCAATGGGCTTTTCAATATGTCAATATGTTTCTGCTCACAATCTATCCTACTCGTGTGAGTGTTAGCAATAGCAAGATGGTGGTGCATTTGGGGAAGGAGCTGGGGCAGAGGACACAGAATCTCTACAGGGTTCTTTAAACAAGCATTTTTAAAACATAGAGATCTTTTTCCTGCTCCAGAAAGTTAGATTTATTGAGCTGAGTCAAACAACTGTACATCCTGACCTCACTGTTGCAGTCATTGATCAGCTCTGAAACCCTCCAGCACATTGCATTGCCATTTCAAGAAAGAGCGTGTTCTCAGAATGGCCCATGGGCTACATTCTGGCCACTTGTAGAGAGAGGCATTCTGGGAGATAGGCAACCGATAGGCGAGAGACACTTGGGCACCCAGGGTGGTTCCTAGCTGGGTGCGTATCTAGCTAAGTGAGCCAGACTCTGGGGTGACCATCCCAGAGGATGCTTCTCAATACTCAGCGCAAGAAAGGAAGGCAGAAAAGAAGAGCTTGGTTATGCTCTTTTGGTTTTAAAATTGAGAATATTAACTTTTCAGTACCAGTTTGGATTTGGTAAACATTGTGCACGCTTTGCCTATTGCTTGATGGATGTTGCACACTTCTACTTAATGCTTAATTATGGGCGTGTGGTGCATGCAGCATGTGCTCATGTATGTGTGGGTGGGTCCTGCTGTGCATCTTTGAGTACATCCAAATTAGCTGTGGGGTTCTTTGCTAAAAACATATTAGCACTTATAAAAACACTAATCCCAAGAATGAGGCCTGATTCATGGTCTAAATACTGCCAATGTTTCCTAGACTTGGGTTATGTTTTTAAATTAGTTTTTATTATAAAGGAACCACAAACTAGTTGAAAATATTTTTTTTTAACATCTAGAGGAGGATAAAATAAAAAGTTATCTGTTACCCGTTTCCCAGAGTCCAAACTTTCCCTAGAGGAAATCTCTGCTGACATCTTAGTGAATCCATACATTTAGAGAATTCATATATTCTCTGTACTCATACATGTGCTTATTTATGTACTTTTAAATAAAGATAATCATATTACTTATACCATTTCTCAATTTTGTTAATTCACTTAATAATACTTGACTTGAATTTGGATCAAATTCCTATCAGATTTCAAGTTAAGAGTGTGGAAGTCGTTATGAGCTTTCAGTGAATTTGAAAACTGGGGAAATGGGTCCATGTTGATGCTGTGAAGGGAAAGCAGAAAACACAAACTTAAAATATGAACGAAAATTGAGGAGGGGACAGGCCAGAGAAGAAGCAGCACTAGATCTGAGTGGAGTGAGCAGGATTTGATGCATCTATGCTCAAATATGGGATGAATTGCTTTTGATGGGGGTTGACAAGAAAGACAATAATGGCTGTTCTACAAGGGTGGCCCCCAGTGAACCATCTCCTGGTTTTCACACACTTGTGTGATCACTTCCAAGTGAATTTCAAATGAAATCTGAGCTGGCCTGGCACTCACGTTAGGCTATAGAATGCAGAGGAAGTAATATAATGTTGATTCCAGGCCCAGCCTTTAAGAGGACTGTCACTTTTGCTTCTTACTTCATGAAATGTTCACTCTTGGGAGCCCTGAGTCACCCTACAAGAAGTTTATCTACTCGTCTGGAATGGCCACATGGAAAGAAATAGTCCTGAGATGGCAGGAAGAAAATGAGAGCCATCACAGTGTCTCTGTCTTCAGATGTTTCCAGCCCCAGCCATCATTTGCTGCAAGTGCTTGAGAGACCCTAAGTGAGACCAGCATAATAACCACCCAGCTGAGTCCAGTTAAACCAACAAATTGAGAATAAAAGCTGTTGTTTTACAGATCCTCGTTTTGTAGTAATTTGTTACACAGTAATAAAGAACTAAACACATAGGTCATGGCTGGAGTATGTGTTCTTTCCAGACATGTTTACAACAAGCGTGATACACTCTCAGGAAATAGAGAAATCTGTAAGGTTGGCCATTAAAATCTAAGGCTCCTCCACATGGGTTTTGAAAGTGGTCATCTCCATGATCAACATGTTAGGTATTTAGCTGAGTCTGGCTTTGGAATTCCTTTGATAGAACAGGAAGAGGAAGACTACAATTTTATCTCTGGCCAGCGTCTATTCCATTTATTTTTTGAGACAGAGTCTTGCTCGGTCATCCAGGCTGGAGTGCAGTAGTGTAATCTTGGCTCACTGCAAGCTCTGCCTCCTGGGTTCACGTCATCCTCCTGCCTCAGCCTCCCGAGTAGCTGGGACTACAGGCACATGCTGCCACGCCTGACTAATTTTTTGTATTTATTTATTTATTTATTTTTAAGTAGAGATGGGGTTTCACCATGTTAGCCAGGATGATCTCGATCTCCTGACCTTGTGATCTGCCGGCCTCAGCCTTCCAAAGTGCTGGGATTACAGGCATGAGCCACCACGCCCAGCTGCCAGCGTCTATTCTAAACAAGAATAGAATATAATTCTTTTTTTTTTTTTTTTTTTGATGGAGTTTCACTCTTGTCCAGGCTGGAGTGCAATGGCACAATCTTGGCACACCGCAATCTCCACCTTCCAGGTTCAAGCAATTCTCCTGCCTCAGCCTCCCCAATAGCTGGGATTACAGGCATGCGCCACCACGCCCAGCTAATTTTTTGTATTTTTAGTAGAGACAGGGTTTCTCCATGTTGGTCAGGCTAGTCTTGAACTCCCGACCTCAGGAGATCCACCTGCCTCGGGCTCCCAAAGTGCTGGGACTGCAGGCTTGAGCCACCGCACCCAGCTGCCTACATCTTCTTAAATGGACGGGTACGCTATAGGGAGAGAAATGAACGGACCTCAATCTAAGGGTTTTCATTAATTATATAGCAAAAAGTGAAAAATAAAAAGGAAGACAAAAAAGCATCAAGAAAATCTAGAACAACTCTATATCCTGAAGGATATAATGATTTGTAACCAAATCACTTGTCTCTCTCCTTAGGAGGTTGGTTGGCATAATTAGTTAATTCTTGGAAAGAGTTATGTGTGTCTTCTTTATTAAGTGACATTTTCCTTTAACAAGGAACATAAGGATCAGGAAAAACTGTCATCATCAGAGAGTAATGGGTTTTCTTTTGAGAAGCCCATGTGTTTAATGAGGACAGTATCTTTTATCCTGCAGCATTCCAAAGGTATTTAGAAACTTTATGGGGCTTGAAATGGAGCCACCTCTGGCATGAAATCTGGGAACACCTCTCGCCATTTGAGGACAGGATGTGCAGATGCCAACCGAAACTACCCAGAGCACATAATTACCAGTTGGAATTATCAATTACCAACTGGAATGGGTCCAGGCCCCGGGCTCAACCCCTGTGACAAACATCAAGGGCTATTTAAAGACCACATGTGGTTTGATACCTTTGCTTTGGCCTCATCACCATCTGGGACCCCAGAGAAGGGTATATATTAAATAGATTAAGTCTTCCCTGGTGGTCAATGTTGGGTTTGAACTCATAAAAAAGAGACCTCAGAGTCAGGCCCATGAACCACATTCGACCCTGCTGACCACCTGGTCTGGGGATATGAACGGCAAGCTTTGAAGAACAGAGGATGCTAAAAGCTTTCATGTGGTCTCTTCTATCTGCTCCCATCTGGGAAGCCACAATGTAAACCAGCCAGGTGCCTGGAATACTCTAGTCAAAATACGCAGAGACATAGGGGTGCTGAGAGATGAATGGAACAACTTGAGAGACAGTCCAAACATGAGCCGGGGCACATGCATGACTCACACACATGGCTGGCATGTGAATGTGCCTCTGAGTGTGATCTGGAAGGCATATGAGTTGGGGATCTGTTTGTGAGTTCATATTGGCCATACACGTATGGTTTTGAGTTTGTTTGCTTGTTTACCTTTCAGTTTTATTTATTTATTCAACAAATAGCTATTGGCAGACAGCAGTACAAAGCAGAGCAAAATAAACAAGGCTCAGTCCTCCAAAGCTTAGAGTCAAGTAATGGGCAAGTGAGGGAATCAGATAATTCTAATTCAGTGTGGTGGCAGCATAAAGCATTTAGCTGCAAATGAATTTTCCAGTGTGAGTGCTCATGTCCATCTGAGTGCATGTAAGAGTGCATAACTCTGTGTTATGGTGCATTTGGAAAATAACAGAAGTTTACCAAGTGGTTCCAGCAACTTTTGGCCATTGGAACACTCTATGGTGATGCTAGGTTCATAAATGGAGCCTCAGAGATGTGTGTGAGAGGTGGGAGGCAGAGGTATGAACGGGATCCTGAAATCCAAAATTTCTGGCCACAGTTACTCCACCCCCATCTCTTCCCATGGATAAATTGACATAGACTGTGGATTTCACTTTCAGAATAGAGGGAACAGCATGATTGTTGCTGGAAATAATATTGTGGTCTATAAAGAGATCTAGTGTGGTGTGTGTGTATGTGTGTGTGTGTGTGTGTGTGTGTTTCATGTCTTCAAATGACTTTCTGGATCAAAAGATGATTGAAACCCTTTGAAAACCTAAGAATATAAGGTTTCTGCAGTCAGTTGCCTGCTAGACTGATGTACCTTATTCTGATTTGGGTTAAGTAAATCATGTGCAAAAAGAAGAAAAAAGAAGAAGGGAAGAGTAATGCACATTTATTTCATGCCAACTGCTCTTAGGCATCGATTTGAGCAATTTGGCGTGTGTTGTCTCTTAAACCTAAAAGCCTTCCCAAGGGGGGTGTTATGACATCCTTTTGTAGATGAAGAAGCTGAGGACCAGGTGGAGTATCTAAAGTCACATGCATTTTTATTTCTGGCTTTTTTCTTCTCTCCACCATTGACTAGGCCCTCATCACCTGGATTCTTGTCATAATCTCTGAAGTTGAGACACTTTCTCAATTGGAGCCCCTTATTTGAACCACTGAATACAGAACATGATTTGAATGATGATTTTTCCCAATGCTTCTAAGGATGGGACATAACTAGAACCATTCTCAATGCAGACAAGAGAAATTCATCCAATAATTAGAAATCTTCTAGAATTCTAGATGCAGAAGACTGAATTTTGTTCATTGCATGCAATGGATGCCTTGGAGCTAATACTCTTCTCTTATAAAACTCCAGCTCTTCCAGAGGCTTCTAGAATGAGGTTCCTGAGAACTGCTGGATACAAGCCTATTCCCTTCTGAAAAGTCTCCTTTTGACTTTCATTTGCTTCCCTTGGTTATGTGGGTCTCTTGCTAAAGCCTCCACTTTAGAGACACCTTCCTAAAGTACATCTTCTATTCCCATTAGTCTCTGAATCCTAGTTATTTCCTCCCCAGTAATTATTACAAACATTACTTACGGTGTTTATTTGTTTGCTTATTTGTAATCGATTTCCTCTTATTGGTAGGTAAACTCCACAAAGGGCAGAGGCTTGTCTTTCTTGTTTACCACTGAATCGCCAGCATTTACATCATGAGTGGATAGTACATTCTCAGTAAATTTCAGTGGGGTTAACTAAGTATCAATTAATCATAGGATTTATCAAGTCCCAGTAAGAACTATGCATATATAAAATAAAATAGTTATGTGTAACCCTCCTCCTACACACACACAAACACACACACACACACACACAGAGACACACACACCAGAAACATCCGTGTCTTGGTTTTTGTCTCCTTTTCATTAACTTCCTGAACTTAGCATGCCATGAAACTGGTCTTCCCAACAAGCAGGATCATTAAATATTCAGCCCAGTTTATCTTTGCCTGCTCAGATTACATTAGCCGAAGGCCTCAGCACAGTCTTTTGGGAAGAACAGGGATCTCATGGATGAATGGCAGGAAGCCCACTGCTCGGGGCAGGAAGTGATGGAGAAGGACGGGGCTGAAAATGAAACAGGCCCCCCTCAAGCCACTTAAAGAATGATGGGCGCATCTCCTAGATGTCGACAACATCTGCTTGACTCAGAGTTGGTCACAGTCACTCTGTGTCTTCAGCAGGAGGAGCCCACTGGCAGTTTTCGGAACAGCACACACTAGCAGTTATGCAGGGAACAGACTGCTGGGACAGAGTGAATTTCCAGGTAGCGGGCCTGCCCGGACCTGCACTCCCACCCTGCATTCAGGCACGCATGTGTAGCAGTCCTGTTGTGGTGAAACTGGAATGTTCTGAGCCTTGTGAAACCAGAGAGGTTTTCTATGGGCCTTCATCATGCAGCAATTCCATTTCATTTTTATTTGTCAAATTTTGATTTTGCTCTGATTTCAGTCAGTGCTAAAATGAATATTAGCACACTCCTTTGTGAATACCTAAAAAAGTAGACTGTCTGTAGAAGGTATATATTTATTCATGCACAACACACATATATCTCTATATTGCCTCTTCCAGTGAAGCTATAGTGATATCCTAATAATAGCTAATGTTTCTGAAAACTGTGGCTGATACCATGCAAAGTGGTTTATGGAGTAGGATAGCTAGATTTAGCAAACAAGAATAAAGGACACCAAGTAGGTATAAGTAGTATGTCCTAAATACTTCATGGGGCATATTTATATAAGCTAAACAATTTTGAGGGTTTTTTTAGTCTGCAATTCATATTTATGGTGGAATTTTCTACTTTATCTGGTGATCTTACTTATGGGTGTGTCAGTTTCCTAAGCCTGCTATAAAAAAAATTACCACAAACTGAGAGGCTTCATACAACCACCCAGAAAAAAATGTATTCTCTACAGTTCTGGAGAATACAAGTCTGAAATCAACGTGTCAGCAGGGCCATGCACCCTCCGAGAGTCCATAGCATCCTTCTTTGTCTCCTCCTAGCTCCTGATGGTAGCCGGCAATCTTGAGTGTCCTGTACCTTGCAGTGGCTTCGCTCCAATCGCTATCTCCATCATTACATGGTGTTCTCACTGTGTGTCTGTCTCTGATTCTCTTCTCCTCTTGCAATAAGGGCATCATTCATATTGGATGAAGGGTCCACCCAGTCTCAGTTTGACCTCATCTTGACAAATTATATCTGCATCAAACCCTATTTTCAAATAAGGTCTTTAACTCTGAGATACTAGGGATTAGGACTTCACCGAATCTTTTCAGGTGACACAATTTATCCCACAGCATATTGGTTATCTCGTTTTATTTTCCTTCACAGGATAACTTGATTCGGTTCACTATGAGAAAACTAAGTCCAACATGTTGTAAATAACTTGTCCAAGGCTGCACCGCTGTAAGAGAGAATCGCGAGATTGCAACCCAGGCAGGACAGTCAAGGAGCCTGCACTGGTGCTCCTGATGCTACACAGTCCCTAGATACGTGAAAACTATTCAACTCAAGGCATAAAAACTCAGGGCCGTGGTCTCTGCTTAGAACAATCTCCATGGGGCATGGCCATGGGCCAGTCCTGACCGTCTTTGGCTCTGGGTCCTGATATCTAAAATAAAAAGGTTTATGTAGAGCTGTGCTATCCTAGAGGGGACCAACAGCCACACATGGCAATGGAAAGGCAGCTAGATGGAATGGAGATAGCTTTAGTATCACAAACATACCAGATTTTGAAGACTTCATCCAAAACAAAAAATACGGTAAAAGAGCTCACTAAGAATTATTTAATATTGTTTACATGTTGAAATAATAATATTTTGGATATAATGGTGTAAGTAAAAAATATTGCTAAAATTAATTCCATCTGTTTCTTTTTACTTTGTGGATTTCATATTAAATGTTTTTATTTCACTATTGTTATTATTTTTATTCATCTGTTTTCTTTCCTACTTTAAAATTATTTCATTCATAGCCTGCACTAGCTTAGATCACTGAGCCTCGGACTTTTTTGTTTGTTTTTTAAAAAACTGTCTGTTTAACTATGGAACACTGCATTCAAGCACAACGCAAGATGTCCTCAATAAAAATTAGTTTTATTTATTTAATCACTTATTTATTCAACAGACGTTTATTGATCACATCCTAGACACTAGGTACTTGTCTAAAACTGAGGATTAAATGGGAACAACAGAGATGACATATCTTCCTCCTCTCTTGGACACAGACCCCAAAATGCACTCCCTAGGCAAGGTGTTGGCCGTATCAACCTATGACAATCTCAGCAGCAGTGTGGTGTTGATGTCTACCTATTCTCCACTTATTAAAATCAACTGATCTTTTTAATGAAGAAATAATGAATAGAAACAGGTTTAACTTTGTCGTGGTGTTGAGGCATTTTCAATCTTCAATATATAAAGCAAACAAAACTGTGAGTAGAAGTTAGAAAAAAACACACAAAAGAATGAGCATTTAATTGAGAGTTGGGAAGGCATAAGAGTATTTTAACCCTAAACAATGTCCGTAATAGTAAACATGCATTAATTTGAATCTCTAAAAAACAATATTTATATTTAAACAATTATATCATAAAGCATGCTTGACTTTCTAAAATATTATTTTGAATGTAAATTTGTAATTTTGAATATATAAAATACAATTGGGTCAAGTAAAAGATCTAAGAAATGGCTGCATTTAAAATATTTATAAAGAACATTACAAATCATTTTAACAAAAAAATCACCGCTATCCTATCATCTTAATAGATTTATTTATAGTTTTTCTTTTTTGCAAGTTATTTTTCATCTCCGTCTATTTCTTTTTTGCAAGTTATTTTTCATCTCTGTCTACATGTGCATATTTACATATTGTAACTGTAGTACAAGCATTATTTTGCATTCTTTTATTTATATATCTTTCATCCATCTATCTTCAGAGTTATAATAAGCAACAAATCTCTGCTGACTCATCTGTTTCTCGGGGAATTATCTGAACACCCTGACTCCCTTACTTGGTCAGTATTCCCTTTTTAATCATGAAAGGAATGTTTCTATTTTCTTTTTAGCAATGATCAGAGTTGCGTTTTTACCGTTTTATGCGTGATTCTTTGATTAATATCTGTTTCTTCACTGAAACGGAAGTTCTTTAAAGTATCATTTTTAGCTCTCTGTTATATCCTTAATCCGTGGTAAGTGCTTATTAACCATTTCTTAAATACATGGTACATAACAGCTACATAATATCTCATCACATTGATGTTGCAATATTCTTGATATCATGCCACTACGGTTGTACACTAATTTGGTTCAGATATGTTTCTTGAATAAAACACAGTATAATCAACATCTTTATGCATTTAATGTTGTAAAAAATGTATTCCCTTAAAATAGAAATCACAAGGTCAACAATTATGAAAATTTTATGGCCCTTGATGTATCTAATCATAGGATATTCCAAAAGGGCTAGGCCGATTTATCAACAAAGTATGACTATCAAATGATGAAACTGTTTGAAGCATTTATGATTATAAAGTATATATACGCATAGTATAATTAACTTAATAATATTAAAATTATAAGGAAAAAACTTCAAAACACCATAAGCACACTATTCAAAGATGATCACCACTTATCATTTCTTCCAAGCTGTGTTTCAAATGTATGGTGTGTGTGTGTGTGTGTGTGTGTGTGTGTGTGTGTGTGTGTGTCTAGAGACAAATGCCAGTTTTGTCAGTGCTGAACCATACAATTTACATGGCTGAATACCCTGCTTCTCTTCCTCCAACTGCCATTACCTAATAATAATTTTCAAATCTTCTAACAACTTAATTTTCATGGTTGCATATAACTTTGTTGTATAGCTGACTCATAATTTAAATGTCCTATAAGATTTAAAAATTGTTTTCAATTATTTCCTATTACATACATGGTAGCACTGATCTTTTTTTTTTGTATATACAGTTGATTCTCATTATTTGCAGTGGCTGTGTTTTATAAAGTCACCCTGAACACAGAATTAGTGAATACTGAATTATTCTCTTAGGGGAAATGTGGTTTTTTTTTTTTTCCTGCAAGCCTCTGATCACATTTTCATCAACTGACCAATGCATAACTTTATTTTACGTATTTCTGGTTAGACACCTTACTGAGTTTATATTATTCGTTCATTAACATTGAACTCTGGGCTAGTATTACTCTAACTCTTGCCTGAAAGAAGTTTCTCTAACACGGGTATATTTTCTCCCTAAGGCACATCACAGCCATCCTGCGCTTAGAAGCACCATACAGCACTTCAGCACTGTGCTTAGGGGTCGTTGTCTTTTTCTCTTTTTCTTTTTCTTTCTTTCTTTCTTTTTTTTTTTTTTTTTTTTTTGATAGAGTTTCACTCTTGTTGCCCAGGCTGGAGTGCAATGGTGCTATCTCGGCTCACCACAATCTCCACCTCCTCGGTTCAAGCAATTCTCCTGCCTCAGCTTCCGGAGTAGCTGAGATTACAGGCATGCACCACCACGCCCGGATAATTTTTTATTTTTAATAGAGATGGGGTTTCTCCATATTGATCAGGCTAGTGTCAAACTCCCGACCTCAGGTAATCTGCCCACCTCTGCTTACCAAAGTGCTGCGATTACAGGTGTGAGCCACCATGCCCAGCTGATTTTCAACAGTGAAATCACCAGCAAAAAGCAAGAAATGTGGGGGAAAAAAGTGGCAATGAATTGACTGCACAAAGGACATTGTTTACAATATAGAGCAGAAAGTTGCCTCGTGCCATCTTAGATGGAAAGGTGTTGCATCTTGGGTGACTCTAAATTTTTTTGCTGTTCTGTGCATGTTCACAGATGACCACAGGAGTGCCTTCAGTATTGATTTGGGGATTACAAATAATTTTAGCAAATAGGTGTATTTGCAAGTGCAAAATCTGTGACTAATGAGGTTCTAGACTGTATATCTTTGGGGATATTGGATATTTCTCCTTATGTCCTTGGGATAAACATGAAGTAAAGTCTAACCCTAGCATTCCTTTGAAAGGGTAGAAAAGGGAGCTAGTTGATAGCCATCTATCCCCTTATCTTAGAAAAGCAGGTATTAGGGATGCCTTTTGCCATGATTATCTCAAAGTCCTCATTAGTTCACTCCTTTTAGCCCTGAGATCTGACCTAGATTCCAGTTTCAGATGGGCCACTTCCTATGAAAGTGACACTGAGCCAGTTTCTTCACCATCCTGAGCCTCATTGTTTCCATCTTTAAACAGGTTAACTGTAAGACTCACCTCAAAGGGCTGTTGCAAGGAACAACTGAGTCAATACAGGTAAAGCATGGGACAGCCGCCCTCATCAGATTCAACAAATCATAGTGTGAGTAGAATGGCGTGTCTGGGAGGGCAGTTCTCCTAGAGCCCGAATGTGTGCTAACTATTCGGGACAGCCCATGGGGATCTGTAATTAAGATTTTTATGTTAAACTTCATAGGGCTTTGTACTACCCGAGAAAGGACAAGAATCCATATATCATCTAAGGATCAAAAGTTACCAAACTGTCCCCATTCTGGTTCAAAATCAGTCTCTTTATCAGTTGACTTCAACCTTGAGGCCTCAGACTGTAGCTCAAATTATCAAGTGATACATTCTCTCTTGTCCTCAGCCATAAGTTACCTAAAAAGTCAACTGAAAACTAGTATTGTGATAGAGTGGAAAAATCACAGGACTTTGAGCGGTACTGACCCACATTTGAATTCCTAGTTCTTTCTCTTACTCAGTGTGACTTTTAGCCCAATCACCCTATCCCTCAGAGAGTCAGGTTTTCCATCTGGAAAATGGACAAGGAAATATATATTTATTTATGTAATTTTTTTTTGAGACAGGATCTCGCTCGGTCTCCCAGGCTGGAATGCAGTGGTGCGATCCTAGTTCACTGCAGCCTCCACCTCCCGGGCTCAAATGATCCTCCCACCTCTGCCTCCCAAGCAGCTATCATGCCTAGCTAATTTTTTATTTTTTGTAGAGACAGGGGTCTCACTATGTTGCCCAGGCTGGTCTCAAACTCCTGGGATCAAGCAATCATCCAGCCATAGTCTTCCAAAGTGCTGGGATTACAGGCATGAGTCACCGTACCCAGCCTCGTAATTTTTACGTTTGATGTAGATGTTTGTCAAGTTATTTTTGAAGGTTCTAGCCTGATGGTCAGCACCTTGTAGGTACCATGTAACTGCATCTATTGTGAGATTGCCTGCGTGCGTCACCTGTGTGTTATGAAAAGTCACTCTGAATTTGGTTCTTGTAAATATTTCTGTAAGTTTCCTGTGTATTAATTCACATTTTCCATTTTGCTTTCTCTTTTTCGATCTTTTTTATCCTGACAGAAAAAAAGAATGGAGCTAACTGTATCACAGGACAAAATCTTTACTTAGAATCTGAACCTGTAGCAAGGAGCAAAATATATTGGCATGTAAGACAAGGCATTGCACTGACTCCCATTTCCTTGAAATCTATTTCCAAAAATCCTGAGGGAGGTGAGACTCTCATAGAAAGACAATAGAGGGATGACATGGAATTGTTATAAAATGATGACTGTTCCAGTGCCAAATGGGAATTTAATAAAAAGGATAAAATATTCCTATCCCCTTTCTTCGCAAAACTGATGAAGCTGTTCAACGTAATTATTACAATTTCCCTCCCAAACACTCATGTCTTTGGGGTACTCAATATTCATTTTAATGCTCTGAAGCTAGACTTTATTTTTTTCCTTAAAGAGAGAAGGGAAGAGACTTTTGTTAGTTAATAATTTCATAATTCCAAATTTGAGTTAGATACAATTAAATGTGTTTTTCAAATGATATATATATATGTATGTATGCTTGTATACATACATGCATACATATATGTACCTGCATACCTGCTCTTACCCAGAGAGACAGATTTATCTGAGGGATAGTTAACTAGTTACCTTGATGCTGGAGCTATTGATAAAAAAGTGGTGGTTTTATTATTTGTGTGTGTTGTTTTTTTTAAAGAGAGGGGGAATTTTATCAATGTCAATTTCTTGGTTGTTATATTATAGGACAGTTATGTAAGATGTTACAATGGGGAGAAGTGGGTAAAGGCATAAGGGCCTCCTGTATTATTTCTTATAATTGTATATGGATATTCACTTTTTCCAAGATAACAAAGTTGTAAAAAGAGAGGGAGAGGGGGAAAAAGGAGGACATAAAAATAGGGAGGGAGAGACAGAGACAAAGAGAGAGATGCAGAGAGATGGGCACACACACAGAGAGAGACTGAGAGAGAAAAAAGAATGAGAGAGAGATGGGGGAGAGTAAGAAAGAGAGACACACACAGAGACAGAGACAGACATACAGAGAGAAAAAGAGATAGAAAGAGATAGAGACAGAGACAGAGATTGAGAGAGAAACAGACAGAGAGACAGAGAGATTGGGAGAAGAGGCACAGCCCCTCTGCCTTGGGAAGTCGCACCCAGCCCACATTTGCCTACAGCACGTGTGCCCTCCCCTCACCTGGCTCACATCATCTCAACCTTCAGATCTGAGCTGCAGCGTCCTTCCTTCCTTCCTTCCAGCCATTCTCCTGGCTCCTTCTGTCCTTCTGACCCTGCCTGAACAACCTCAGTCACTTCTATCCACAGCCTCCTCAGGATACCTCCTCAGGAGACCCAGCATCCTTTACCTTAGGTCATTAAATGTTGATTCATCCATCAATATCCACCTCCCTGTGAGGGTCGGGGCTCCAGAGACAGGGCCCATCTCCTGAACTCCTGTTATCTTCACCTGAGCTTGGCCCAGCACTCAGCACATAACGGGTATTTAGTAAAGGTTTCATAGAAAAGAACTTTTTCCTATTGCTTTGTGATTTCATTCTTCATTAAAAATGTTTGGAAAGCTCCCCGATCTCCAAGATAATTTAAAATTTGCATTTTCGCTAACTTTCCAGGAATGGAGACAGTAGCATTTACTGTCTTTAATTCCTCATCATCTAAAGGAAGTGGAGTAAGACCCCCAAACAGAGATGGCCTCACTGGGCCTTTCCACACTTTGGACCCAGGCCACCGGGCCATCTGCGTTCCTCCCTCACATGTCAATGCCACGTTCCCTCCCTGCGCCCGACTCTGCGTACTTGCTCATGTCTTGGTTTCCTTGTGGCTCAGCTCCCTTGGCGTGGCATGTGACTACTCTATGTATGTTCTCCATCTGAATCATGCCCCCTCCCCCTTAAGGTTCAGGTCCTCTGAGATCCCCTCAGGTCTGTTATTCACCCTCTTCTTTTAAGATTCCATAATGCCCTGGACTTCTCAGTGATGATTGCAGGGGTCTGTGACCTGCAGCAGGCAGGGGTTCTGTGTGTCTCAGGCACTGCTTGTGGGTTCTGCAGCTATCTCCAGCTAATGTGGTGCTGACCCCGAGGAATGGGTGTTGGAGCACGCTGGTGAAGACATCAGCACTACTTCTCCAAGGTGGGGCTGCAGGGCTCGGCATGCCTGGTTCATCCTTCTGCACCCTCTGCTTCCAGAGGCGTCGCTTGACTTGCCCCATCAGCCTTCTCCCATGGTCTTGGGATCCCATGATCCACCAAGATCACCATCACACAAAATCCTCATGTTTTGTTCTTGCTGTTGCTCACATGCCCACCTCCCTGCCTGGACTCTCATCTACATAAGGGCCAAGAATATGTTGTACAAATCTTTGTAATCCCAGCACCTGGAATGGTGTCTGACATACAGGAGATGGTCGGCAAATATATGTCAAGCAAACCCACCCTGTGTGTCTTTTCTCTCATAGTTACAGCTGTGCATATCACTATTCTGTGGGTATGACTGAATTAATTTCCCAGCGAGTGGTCTCAGGGATCCTGGAGTTGAGTGTCAGCTCTCTGGCTTGAGTACAGCAGTCTCCATGGATATCACTGTGTATCACACCCACCAGGAAGCCCAGATCCAAGACTCTTTGAGTCAACCAGTGTGACATGAACCTGGGACTACCATACATTTCAAAAGATCCCCACGTTGTTGGTTCTAAGGTGCACTCACGGTGGAGAACACGGGCCCAAGAAGGAGCTAGAATTTACCATTAAGTAACCAAAATGAGCTGAATATTCCTTTGAAGAATTTAGCAAAAAGTCAGGCACTAGATGTAATAGCACAAATACCAAGAGTGAGCAAGCGGGTTTGAAATGGAAATGCAAATACAGACTCTGAAGGGATTTCCCAGGCTCCAGGTGTCCTAGCAAGGACAGTCTGTGGTTTCAGCTATGTGGGGGAGGGTGCTGTAGCAAAGGGGTTCTGGTTCCTGGGTCCTGAGTCCTGGGTCCTGGGTCCTGGGTCCTTAGTCCTGAGTCTTGGATCCTAGGTCCTGAATTCTGAGTCCTGGGTCCTGGGTCTTGGGTCCTGGGTGCTGAGTACTGGGTCCTGGGTCCTGAATTCTGAGTCCTGGGTCCAGGGTGTCGGATCCTGAGTCCTGGTGTTCAGGGTCTTGGATCCTGAGTCCTGGGTCCTGGGTACTGAATTCTGAGTCCTGGGTCTGGGTCCTGGATCCTGGGTTCTGGGTCCTGGATCCTGACTCCTGGGCCCTGTGCCAGGCTAGTAGATAGGCTCAAGAGAAGGAGCTGGAGAAACTTTGAGAGAGAGGAAAGAACGGCTGCTGCCTTCCAGGGTATTCTAGGGGACAGGGTAAAAAAGAAGTAAAAGGAAAAGAGAGAAAAAAGAGAGGGATGAAAAGGAGAAAGGAAAGAGATTTGCAAGTTTGGAAAGCCAAGGGCTGCAGGGTGAATCAGGGTCAGGAGAGAGAGAGGCATTGGAGGAAGGGAACTTATGGGCTGGGCCCCTTTCAGTTTTCTCCAGGCACCAGAAGCAAAGATCTCAGTTTCTTTTCAATTACTCTTGACTGCTGAACTAGGCTTTTTTGAAATGAGGCTTCCTGCCAACATGGTGCCACGCAGGCCCTAAGTGTGTATGTGTCTGTGTGTGTGTGTGTTTATATTTGTTGTCTTGGTATATTTGTGTATATGTCTGTGTACGTCTTTGTGTGTCTGTGTGTCCTTGTGTGTGGTGTGTGTCTGTGAATTTGTGTGATGCATGTCTGTGTAGGTGCTTATGTGTGTCTGTGTGTGTGGTATGTGTCTGTGTGTTTGAATATGTGTGTTTGTGTGCTTCATTGTGTGTGCATTTGTCTGTGTGTATCTGTGTTCATGTTTGTGTGCATTTGTGTGTATCTATCCGTGTGTGTATCTGCGTGTGTGTATCTCTTTGTGTGTCTGTTCCTGTCTGTGTGTGTTTGTGTATCTGCGTATCTGTGTGCCTGTATCTGTGTGTGTGTGTGTGTGTGTGTGTGTGTGTGTGTGTGTGGTGTACCTAGGCAGTCAACACAGGAGAGCATGGGCAACCTCAGTCTGGAGCCAGGCTGCTGAGACTCACACGCTGACCCTGGCATTCCCACCCCTGTGACCTCACAAAGTTGCTCACACCATCCGTGACCCACTCGACTCATTGGTAAAATGGGGATCATTATAGGACCTGCCTCTTGGGATGGTCGTCCTTGTGACATACAATATACAGACATGCCAGGCACACAGGCAGTATTCAAACACAGAAATCATAGGCATCCGAGTATACTCTCCAAGCAGCAACTCTGGGGCCAGGACACCTGTCTTCTCTAGTACCCTAATTTCTTTAAGGTGACCAATTTGCCTCTGTTTTCTCAGGGTTGAGGGGGTCTTCCTGGGACCACAGACTATCTATGTTAAACGTGGAATAGTGCTGGGCAAATCAGACAAGTTGACCACCTTATTTGTCATGTTTCACCCCCATCCCAATTCCCAATCCCAATTCCATTCAAGGGTCTGTAGACAGCAAACATTTAAGTATGATAGGGGCTCTAAGCCAAGAAGTTGCCTAAGGCCTGGGATCATTGTTTAACTCTTCCTGGGGTGCTATTGCTCCAGTGTGTCTGGGCTATCTGTTGCCTAATGCCTTCTCAGAAATGGGCACGGTTGGGTCCAGAGGGGAGGTTGGGAGCAGAAGAGAGGCAAGGATGGCTGGGCCCTGCAGGAGGTGACTCAGCAATGGGTGCAGTGTTTTGTCACAACAGGCCCCCTTTCCCTTGAATGCCCGTGCACCCATGACATGCTCCACCGGTTGCCATGAGTCAAGCAAGATGAGGTTCTCCAGGCTGCCACTCAGTGCAGGCCGGATCTGGCCTCCTCCCTGAGAACTTCCCAGTAGGAGGAGATGGCCCCTCCCCTGGGCTGAAGCTGGAGCTGCAAGAGCCAGGCCAGGTCTGGGGAGAAGTTGCAGCTACACCTGCTTCCAGCTGGCCACTCCGTGGAGAAGCCAGAAGCTGAGTCACTAGAATGACAAGCCTCTGCCATTTCACAGGAGCTGTGAGCCAAGGGAGCTGCTCCCTGAACACAGCTTTTGGGGTGAACCTCCCAGTTTGGGTTATTTCCAAGCCAAAACTCTTCTAAGCAAAAATGTGATCAAGGAGGCTTCTGGTCTCAGCTCCCCAGGGCAAGAAAGAAATGAACGTTAATAACGATTTTTGTCGCTGCCACCATCCCCGCTATTTATCCCTCCTTCACCAAGCACCCACTGTATGCCAAACTTTTTATACACTTTCCATCAGCCAACCTTTGAAATAGCTCTGGGAGATATTTCTTATTATCCACATTTAATACACAATAAAATGAGGACGTTGGGAGATTCTAGATTCTAGACCTTGGACTCGGCCAGGTCTATGGCTGGCAAACCCTGGACTTTTACCCTTTTGTGCACCTGCCCAAATCCTGCCTCTCAGGTCCACCCACCCTAAAACCACACTTGACAGATGCTGAGTCCGGGGTCCTGTTCAGAAAAAAAAAAAAAAAAAAGATAGGGAGAGAATAGAATATTGGATTCAGAGGAAGTATGAATAGAAAGGAAACTAAAAATGCAAATATTGCCTTTGCAAAGAAATTACTTATGAATTCACAGGTTTCTTCCCATGTTTCTGCCTCAGTTTCCTTTTGTATTGACTTAGGGATCATCTTCAATGCAAGCATCCACGTATTTCCCAGAACGCTTTAGGCTCACGGGGTCGGTTAAGGGATCCCTGTATGCTCAGCGGAGGCATTTACCAGATCACACTTCCCTTGCATGCCTTTGCGATACTGTCAGTTCAGCCTTGTACATACATTTGAGTTAATCCACATGATTGCTCTTATTCAACATAGATCTGGTTACGTTATTTATTTGATCACAAAATTTGCTTTAGAAAATCTGAATTTATTTTATTTTATTTATTTTATTATTATTAATTTTTGAGACGGAGTCTCACTCTGTCGCCCGAGCTGGAGTGCAGTGGCGCGATCTCGGCCCACTGCGAACTTCGCCTCCCGAGTTCACGCCATTCTCCTCCCTCCGCTTCCCGAGTAGCTGGGACTACAAGCTCCCGCCACCACGCTCGGCTAATTTTTTTTTGTATTTTTAGTAGAGACGGGGTTTCACGTGTTAGCCAGGATGGTCTCGATCTCCTGACCTCGTGATCCTGCCGTCTCAGCTTCCCAAAGTGCTGGGATTACAGGAGTGAGCCACCGCGCCCGGCTAATAATCTGAATTTATTATCCTCACCCCTTGTTTCCACTCAATTGTTCAGGTCTCCTCTGCGCACGTTTTCTGGAGGGGTCGGTGCTGTCTGGGGTCTGTGCCTTTCCCTGTACTAGGAAGTCCTTACACCCTTCTTCACCTGGAAGTCTCTTCTCCATCCTTCAAGCCCTAGTTCCTCGAGGGAGGCTCCTCTCACTCCCCTTAACCCTGCCTGCAGCTGCCGCAGCAACTTGCAATGACACAAACCCTACTCTCAGCACCCATCTCTGCAAAAGTTTCCAAATAGAAATGAAAGTTAGAGTTGTCTGAGATGTTTCTTAAAAATGAAGATTCCCAGGGCCCATCACCTAGGTGTTTTGATTCCATAAATCTTGTCTGGGGCCAATGAATCTGTGTTTTTAACACACGCTCCAGGTCATTCTCATTTAGATGCTTCTTGGGCCATTCTTTTAAGAGACTGCACACTACTGTCATTACTTATTATTTATATCTCAGTTCTCTGCCAACCTCCACCTACCTGTCATCCCTCAAAGGTCAAGAGCTCTCAGGAACAAGAACAGCATATTTTCATTTCTAAGATGCTGGGACACCACAGATGGTCAATAAACCTGTGATGACTGAACTCGCTATGCAATTTGTCCATAACTACTTAATAAGCACCTACTACGTTCACGGACTTGTCCTAGGCACTGGGGAGAAGCAACAGAAAACAAAAAGGATGAAAATCCCTGCCCTATGGATCAAGCAATGGATGTGTGAATTATGAAGACTAGATTCAGAGTGTCTGAGCTTTAACAGTGATGTATCGGAGGGTTTTCATTAACCAGACATTTAAGTATCTTCATGGACACTATATAATTAAACCCCACAATACGTAAGAGATAAACAATATGAGAGAATGATTGCTGTCATTTTTTTTAAGCAATGAGGAAACTGAAAATCAGAGAGGCTGTGGCTGTGGGGTGCTACACTGTTACTTGCTTGTAGAGTCTGGATTTCAAAGCTGGCCTGTTCCGTTTCTAGTGCTGAGTCCTTGGTTTCCTCTCCTGGATTCCTTTGCTGCAGCGTCACATCCCACAAGCCCAGGCCCATTCACATGATACAGGAGATCTTTCTCAGCAAAGCCCGGGTAGCTCAGCAGCTGAGTGAAGGCATTCATCCGTGATGGCATTCTCCCTAGCAAATTCACCTGTGAAGCAACCTGTGAAAATCACCTGTGGAGCTACCTGCACTGAGGTTCCACTGAGCTGTAAGTTAAATGTATATCGGCACAACCATGTTTCATGAAAAGAAGCCTGTTGTCATTCATCATGCTTTCATCAAGAGGGTTTAGAGCAGAGGAGGTTGAAACAGCTTTCCGTTGGTGCAAAAAAATCTGAGATTAATAGTAAACCTTGAAAATTGGAAAGCATCTGATTTGGGCTTTTGCATCAACAAGCCCAATAAGTTGGAGGAAATTATTAACATATAAATAGACAAGCTTCCCATTAAAACAGCGGTCGCAGACAGTTCTGGAAAAGACCTCTTCATGCAGAAAGCAATTACGATGGGAAATCGAGTCCAATTCAGGCCCATTTGCAGCAAGCTTGAAAAATCAAAATGTACCCACTCATAATCATGTAGACAACCCTGTTATTGGGGTGGGGCAGGTTGACCAGGTCTTTATTATTATTGCTATTACTATTTTACTTTTAAAGAATCCAACTTTCTAAGCTCCAAGTCTTAACTGCCTCACAACCTCTGCTCAGAAGGTTACAGCAAAGGGCAGACACGCATACTCATATACTAGCAAAACAAAACAAAGCAAAACAGCCCATGTGTAAATAAATAGGTTTTTGGTTAGATTTCCAGAGGTTAATAGTGTTTCTAGCTGAGATGCCACTCAAACCAAGAACTTCTAAATAAGTAGCCATTTCCTTTGAGTGTTTGTACCCCCTGACAGTGAGGTGCTTCAGCCCTTGGCCCCTCATTATTTTAGGAGAGCTGGAATGTACATGACCAGAAACTTCAAGACACAGTTGACTCTAGAGATAAAAGGTAGGGCGTAACAAAGGTACAAGCTGCAGGTGAAGACAAAATGATTCCCAGGAAACATGAACGTGTTCCTCTCAAATGACTGTGAAAGGACGACGGGGAAAAAAGGTAGTAGATAAGGATGCTACCATGAGATCACATATCACCCCATAACCTTCTCGGAGGTGTAGGATTTTGGTGAAGTTGCTCAGGACCACATCACAGGATTGGCTATTTAGGGCCTTTGAAGTGCCCTCCCAGATCCCTGGTCCATTCTTCCATGACAGCATACTTTGTTCTGGTTAATGGTTCAAGTTTCTGTGTTCTGTGCTATGCTGCAAGCCCAGTACTGCACAATCTCCAGCTACCTTTAAGGAGGAAGACCAACTCTTGACATTTGACCGAAGGCTCTACCGGTGTTGGCCCTGCCTACTTCTCCAGCAGAACGCGATGCCCCATTTCTCACCTCGCTGTACGCAGCTGAATCAGCCTCCTTTCATTCCACAGTCAGGCCATGCTCCCATGCTCCCCGCCTTTGCGCTGTACGCAGCTGAATCAGCCTCCTTTCATTCCACAGTCAGGCCATGCTCCCATGCTCCCCGCCTTTGCACATGCAATTCCCCCTGCCCGGATGCTGTGCTTACTCTCATCCCCATGTCTACCTCCTTCCACATAACACACATAGCAAGCAGCCAGGTTACATGCACCCATAACAACTGGTTTCTTTGCTTCAGCATCCTTGTCTACAGCTATAAACCAAATTGAGTATTTGGTAAATGCCAGTTTCTCCCACTAAACACATTCGACCATGGTGCTTGCATCATCAGAAGCTAGCACAACATCTCGCCTAAGAAAAAACAAATGATTCCCCAGGCCCAGCTCAGGCCCATCACCTAGTTGGGCTGCATAAGACCTTTTTCAATGAATGGATAGATTACTATGTGGGGTAACTGGAATTCATGACCTGTGTCGTTCCGGTCATCACATTGCCTCTCTGTAACAACATGACAAACCATGTACGGACCTTTCCTCTTTTCCAGCTAAGGATCCTTTTGAAATGAGAAATATCCAGACACAGAAAAAGTGAATGGTGAGGGTTTTGTGTTGGTTTTTGTAGTTGTTGTTTAAATTTTGCTTTGAAGGGAAGGCTAATTGGATACATGGAAAATGCCAAGAACTAAAACAGAAACTGCAGTGGGGACAAACTTTTTCCAACATGCTACCAAAGCCAGTTCTGAAAATTGTTCACTTGTGACATGTTTCCGGTGTCAAGGAATAGATAATGTCTTTAGCCTCTATTTCAATTGTTATCACCCTAGGTCCAGAGGAACTGTACTCCTTGGCTGTTTCTAGAAAGATAAAAACTGGACACATATTTCTGCAAGGCAGCATTGTTGACTCTGACTACGGATACTTGAGCCTCTGGGCAGTGGCAGGTTGGAGTTTCTATTATTTATATTTCACGTTAAATTTCCAGAAGGGTTGTCAGCTGTCATCTGGTTCTCTCTCCTCACTGTGATCTGGGTTTATAACACACAAGGTCTGGGGAAGTCACTGTCCCTGAGGATCGTGCTCAGGTAAGGAGGGTTTTGGTAGGTTTGGCCATCAGAATCATGTGACCCTGAGCACTCCTTACTCTTAGCCAGGCTCTTCAGAGAGGCCTTGCAAGAAGGGCCCCATTCAGCTGGGAAGAGAAGTTTTAGAGCTAATTCATTCATGCATTCAAACATCTTTGAGTCTGTCCCATTCAACAAACACCCTTTCAGAATCTACTGGGCTGGGACAAAATTCCCACCCTTATAGAACCCACTATCTAATGCAGGAAACTGATAAATGGGTTACTAATACAGTTATAGATGTGTTAAGTTTAATAAAGAAATAAACAAGATGATGAGATGGCCATATTCATAGGATTCCTTGTAGAAAAAGCCACAGAGTGCAACAAATGATTTTTATTCCTCCCTGTCTTTTTTCTCTTCTTCCTCCACTTCCTCACTTTCTTGCTTTCTTTTAAGGGATTTCACTCTCTAGGAGTTGGAGCCTATTCTCTTGACAGCCTCTGTCTGTGCTGCTTATCCAAGGCTAATCCAGTCCAGTTCTACAGACTGAGTAAGATAGAGAAACCTCATATACCCAGGCTCTGCCCTCAAGGTGTTTACAGTCTGGAAGAGACAGTCAAACCTACAACTAATTGTAGTAATGCAAAAGGGAGCCAAGCGCATTAAGTGCCACATTGTGGCTTAGGAACTAAATAAGTTGCTAACAGGCGGAGCAGACTGTTAAGACTGTTCCCACAAAAGGAGTAAGTGATAAAAGTTCATGCAGAAAAGCTCTGGTTATGCCAAATCCAAAGCTTCCTATTTGGGCACACTGAGTCTCTTCCACCAGTAGGAATTCCTCGAGACTGGGATCCCCAATGCCTGAAGGTCACTTTCTTTTCCCTCAAAAAGAGTGACATCTAACAAGAGCTTGCTGTTACTAGTGAATTCTCAGGACTTAGATAGAGGGTTCCTTGGCTCACTCAAGATGCCCTCCCATGAGAACATGGTTGGTTTGCAAAGGTAGGGAGAATTTTTAGTTGGTTGTACCAGACACTGGAAAGAAGAATGAAAGAGGTCATGTTTTGATTCAGCTATGGGAATTTTTACATATAAAATGAGCTTAACTCATATTTGCAAGTATGTGTATTTTGGATTACATAAGACAAAATTGTTCGAAATTACTTAAAGTCATCTCTTGGTCTTGAAAACCCCATTGCTGAGAGCAGGCGTATTTTTAAGACAGAGGAAAACATGAGATTCATTCATCTCATTAGTTTCCATTGAGCCATTTCAAACGACGTCTAGGAAACATATGTTGACAGCGTAGTGTCAGATCCACATAACAGTATCAGAGATAGGAAGGCCCCGCTATTTTGAGGTTGCCTTCTCCATTTTGTATTTTGTGTTTTTTTTTATGTTTTCCAAGTTCTCCAGGAGGAACTGGGACTCTATTGTCCTTATTTAACAATATTTTAAAAATAATACTGCTGTTTGTGTGTTTTCCTTTGTTTTTAAACTTTGAACCAATCCAAGATTCTTAAATAAAAAGATAAAGTCCTTGGTCTTTAACCAAGGACTTAATGTCCCCTTAAGGGTTGGAAATAGAGGCACGAAGGCTATATTATCCATTATGTTAGCTTAGCACTTACTATGCCCCAGGCATTAACCTCAAAACTTTACATGCTGTAGCTCAAAGAAATCCTCAAACTACAGTTTTGAGGTAAGTAGGTGCCAGGACTGTCCCCATGTTACAGAAGAGGAAATTGAATCTTCCAGATGTTAAGAGATACTTCCAAGTTCATAAACCTTGTGAATGGTGAACCTAGATTCAGTCCTACATTGACTGACTATCCCTCCCTTGGTAACTATCAGCTACAAGCATTCTACTACCAAGGCAGTTCAGCTCCTATCTCTTATTTCTACCTCTATGAAGTATGGTAAGCCCTGAGCATTGTCCTCTCTATACCTGAGAAAAGCGCTCTGCTGTCTCCAACCTCGTGTCAATTCAAGAGCTAAAGCTTCCATGAAAGTTCTCAGATCTCCTTCCTGATCTTCAAGTTAGAGAGATCTTCAAGATAGATTACATGTATAGGGTTTCTCCCTATCTTGGAAACAGATACGCCAGCCCTCCTCAAGCCTTCAGATGACCGCAGCTCCAGCCAACAGCTTGAGTGGATCTCTTGAGAGGTCCTGAGCTAGCAACATCCAGCTAAACTGAATTCCTTACCCTCAGAAACTGTGTGAGATAATACATGTTTGTTGTTTTAAACGGCCGTATTTGGAGTAGTTTGTTAATGAGCAATTGAAAACTAATACCCCATTCTATTCCTGGGATCTGATACCACAGAGCTGAACCTCTGACAATGAAAGGGTCACTATTGGAATAAACCAGGTTAAATAATGCATGTAGGGTTAAGCCATAGCTCTCTGAATTTGTTCAACTACGGTGTGACTTTGTCAGCGTGAGACACTCAATTCACACAGAATTATTTCCCCTCCCTCATTTATTTGTTCCCTACAGAAGAGAATGACTAATTATATGGGTATGAAGTTTAGAAAATTGGGGTTCAATTCCTTTGTTTGCTGTTTATTAGGAAGTCACTGGAAATTGATTTAACCTCTTTGAGATCTGATGCTTCAATATCAAATAGGGAGGGTAATAGTACCTTGTGGGGTTGTACAATTCCAGGGGCCACCTGGACGTCATAAGGATCCACTTAAATAATGCACATCAAACACTTAACACAGGGGCTGGCACCTAATAAGAACTCAAGTAATAGTACTATCATTATTATCAGTAATAAAAATTATCAAGTTTCCTGATACCAGTCAATAGAAAGTTTCTTTAATTCTAAAGGCTTGCCACCATTTAACATAATCCTGATAGACAATGTGTCATAACAGCTAAGTGTTCTAAAAATGTGTTCTACGCATGGATTTTCTGCATTAGAATTCTCTGAAGTGTTTATTGAAAATGCAGATTCCTAAAACGAATCTCAGAACCACAGAGTCAGAATCTTTGGAGTGAGAGTTGGGGAAGGAGCAGTGGAAATCTGCTTTTTTTAACAAGCTCGTGCAGCATTCTAGCGCTCAGAAAAGCTCCAAGAGCACTGTTGTAGAAGAGAGAAGATTCATCTCGAACTGAAGGGTCCAGGGTTCAAGTCTGATCTCTGACATTTACTAGTCAAAATAAATTAACCTTTCTAATTCTCAGTTTCTCATCTGTGAAGAGTAAGCATAAATCTGCCTTTCTTAGCTCAAAGAGCAATTATAAATATCAGCTGAGATAATAAAAACATTAACTGACTTGTATCTAGTGTGTACATAGTTGACATAGTTGCTATTCCTATTTTGTCTCATTGAAACTCATGACGGTTCTGTGAAGTCAGTCTTCCTCCCTGTTGAAGTTGAGAGCAGAGGTAGCAGAGGTTACATTACTTAGTTCAGGTCACACCATGACGGTTACTGCATAAAGCAAGGTCTTACGATACTAATTCAAGACGCATTTTTCATTCCCTAATGTTGACTAAAATCGAGGTGCCATGTCAATTTGCTGTTGCTGTGCATTTCTTTAACTGTGACTACTGCTTTGTTGTGTTACCTAGCCCAGAAGAAAGAGGCCAAGGGAGGGATTACGTTCTAATTGCCCAGATCACAATTATACATGCAAAGAGCAATAATTATTTTAATACAAAAACTGTGAGGTCATTGAAAATGCATTTCTTTAGCAATGACATTAGAGAAACTGTCAGTCTTGATGCGTCAAATAGTTCTAATTTGTGCACCATTAAACTAACATATCTTAAATTATGAAACTGATTACCTTTGTTCAGTTTTTCTGGGTCATTATTTTGTTTCTTCTTCATAGGGTTTATGCAAGGGAAAAACATTTGGAAAATTGTTTGTATCCCCTACATGCTCCGTGAATAAAGAAAAGAGCTTCAAATGGATGCTTTATATTTCTATTAGTAACATTATCTGCTACTATACTATGTGAATTGGCTGGATAGGTTTTCACTGAGTTTGGAAGGTAAGATTCTGAGATGGTTTTACTTAAACTATAGGATGTGGTGTACACGTCAAATAGATATTTGGGTGCTAAGGGTGTGGGCTCCAAGAAATAATCACACATCTTCCAGAGTAGCTAAACTGAGACCAAGGAGAAGCCTCTGTGACCAGGAAAAAGCAAGCCATATATATTCAATGCATTAAGCAGAGAAAACAAACCACTTTCAAATGTGAATACAGCCCTGAAGTCACAAAGTAACATACTGAACTGCCCGTGCTGATTTGAGATCCAGTTGATTCTCACATGGTAACTCTAGGCTGATAGTTCCAGGATGAGATCTATACTTAGCACAAGTGTCTTCGGTCAGATTCACGCAGGAGTAGACCTAGAGACAAGGATTCGAGTGCAAATGGCTTCTTTGGGATGTGTTCTCAGAGGCACTGGAAGGGAGATGGGCAAGTTTAATGCGGAAGGAAGCATGGAAGCTATACTAGGGTGCATGCATGGAAGTGTAGGATTTTTATGTGAGGAATTGTGGCTTAGTCATAATGGGATCTCTGTGACACTGAGTTGAACACACTTCAGAGTTACTGACCCAGGGAGCAAAGAAGCTGGAAGGTATTTATCCACCAACTCCCACCTATCATGGATGGTCCCAGGGTGTTAAGACACTGGCACGGCTGACATTCCCTGAAGTGGTCAGATAAGACTCTTGAGTGGAGAATGAGGAACGCTTGCAGTTAAATGCCCTTAGCTTCACTGGCTAGATGAAGAATTTCCTATAACCCAGAAGGCTGTGTCATGGCTAAGTTTTTGAGGGATAAGAACTATTATCAATTTGCTTAACTTGAATGATAATATCATTACTAGAGTAATGATCTCTACACTAGTAATGCAGCAATAGCCATTTATTGAGTGACTGCCATGTGATAGTTACCATAGTAGGTCCATTACATATCTCATTTAACCTACACAATCATCTCCTATCGAGGGCATTATCATTCACATTTAACAGATGGGGGTGGTGGGAGATTCGGAAAGCTTCAGTAACAGGCCTAGGATTACACAGTTGGAAAAGAAAGCCAGAATATGACCCTAGGCCTTTGAGCATAGGATACATCCTCTCCACATAGCAGGTTGTGCATATACATTTCTTTAATAGATGAATTGAATATCCATAAAGGGTTCTTTTTAACTTTTGACACTTCAAGTTGGTATCTTTGTTGACTTGCAGCTGTCTTGACCGTTTTCCAAACCTCACTTCTCACCTGCTTGTTTAACCTTCCTAGAAGGCTGAACTGTATTCTGTAATAAAATGCAGATACTTTTAGTCATAGATGAACACGTTTGTACCTTCTGTGTGTATATAAGGCCTCGGGAAATTGACACTGGAAATTTAGGGCCAGTCAAAGAGGCTCAGATACCCTATTACGGACTCTGTATGTAAACACAGTCCCCTGACTCTCTATGGCACCTTCCTTCCTTCAAGTTAAGCGAATGTGCTCCATTTAGCTTTATATAATATCTAGCTTTTTTCCTGTGCTGGTTCACAACAAAGATTATCAAAATTTAAGAGAAATACGTTGGCTCTCCAATAAGGTTTGAACTATGCAGATGTTGCTGGGATAGAATTTAAGAGATAAGCTGTTTCCTACCACAGGAAGCTTCTGCTACTCGTAGTGGGTTCATAGCTGAAAGATAAAAGTTCAAAAAAAAAAGGTTTGAAATGCTATGAAACTCTTTTCCTAATGCAATCAAGCTGAAACTCCCGGGTAACCTGGTCATAGGAAGAAAGATTCTCCAGGGTGATTCAGCTTTTAATCTCTAGGAGTCTCAGCCCCTAGCATGCTGTGTTCATCAACTTGAAGCCATAAGAAAATGAGAGTTTGGAATAGTAAACTGCATAACCACTTCTGTGTACCTCCCGCCCATCCACCCCTAATCCCACTCCCAAGATGCAAGAGGGAAACCAAGGCCATTTTTTCCAAATGGACCAATGTCTGAAATACTGGCTTCTATTTCTGAATAGCTCACTTCTGAGCTTGTTTGCCCAACTCTGTAGTTCAATTAATTTCACGCTTCAGGGATTTGTAGGCAAGTTGACCAGTCTAACGGCAAAAATGAAATTTTATTGGAAAGGGTGTTTGTTGGGAAAACAAAAGACTCAGGGGCTAATTTGGTAATAGGCTGTGGAGACTTTCTTCTCAGGTCATTGGTTCAAATCTAGAACATGCTTGGCAGTGACGGGAAATCATTACTATTTGATGGCTGCCTGACAGGTAGCCAGGAATCTGTTGGTCTCCTGTCCAGCAGCTCTCTAGGCAAAACAGCAACAGTGACAGGAGGAACACCAACAATTACATGGAAACACAGGAACTGAATTACCAAGTTTCTCCCTCAACAACTTGTTACTTAACTGATTAATAGCTTTGTCAATTTAACAGATAATGACCCACCAAAAGATTCCAACGCCTACCTCTTAGGTGTGAAATCTGAGTAAAACCAGGAAAAAAAAAAAACTGGAACATAATGAGAAATGAAGAACTGAAGAACAACAGAAAAAAAAATTACAAATCTTTCTGTCAATCAGAGACTTATAACTGAGCTAGAACATCTATACGTTTATATAAAAAAGGCCAAAAATCTTAAAAGGCCAGAACCGGTACCAGGAAAACCTGCAGAGACAAACCCCAAATAGAGTGACTGCGTGGAAAAAATTGGCAGATTTCTATCCAAAAGGTCCTTATGACACTTACAAGGCTAAGAGCCACGTACGGCTTATTATGGGAAGGTTGGCGCCATAATAATTTCGGCATAGCCATTCTCAGCTGGAACCAAACCACCAGATTGGATCTCCACAGGAGTCCATTCCTAATGCAAGCTGGGCCAGATAGTGAGAACTTGATTCTAAGCAGGGGAATTTCCTTATGTCCATGGGCTTAAGTCAAAACCTTTAAAATTATTTTAATGTCATTTTTCTTTTTAAAGGGACATGAAAGTACTAAGAAAATTTTAGGCCCTGAAAGGGTTTCTTTGGACTTCCCCTCCCTGCTTTTGTAATTGCCTTTTACGGAATGGAACTTTCAATTTATTCTGAATGTTTTACTCTGATATGAGCAACTTGACTCAAGCTTCATATTCTGACATGGGTTTCTTGTACTTCCATCTAAATAACACTCAAGACAATCACAAATTTGAGCTCAACGTGTGTTTATTCCCTTAGATTATAAACCAATGGAGTTTCAGAGAGGTTACAAGATTTATCCAACATGGCTGTTGGCCAAAGAGAAGAGTGTGCTACAATGACTTAGAAATAAATGTGTGAAGCCGGGCAACTGGTTATTTTGCAGAAAGCACCAGAACCTACCCATCTAAAGGAGGCTCATGCCCTTCAAAGTACACCGGTGAGAGACAGCGTGTTGGTTTCTATGTGGGTTACTGCCCCTGGTTTTGCTGCAGTGATATCATGAACAACCCTCCAAATCTGAGTGATTTACAAACACACCAGGTTTGCACGTTGACTGTGGCTCAGCCAGCCTCGGCCAGGCTTCACTTCACGCCAGCTCCAAGTGCCTCTCATTTTAGGTCCCAGGTTGCAAAGGCAGCATCTCATAGGGGAGTGTCCTTCCCATCGCAGTGGGCAGGATCAAGGAAGGCAAGCAGAAACACACGGAGCCTCTTACAGACTTGGCTTGAACTAGCTCTTGATCACATCCGATCACATCCCATTGGCCAAATGGGAAACACGACCAAGCCCAAATTGGAATGGTGGGTCAAGGGGAGAGAGAATGTTTGCTGAACTTTAATACAATCCACCACAGTCATATAATTTAAAGTCCTCTGCTGAAGAGTGATACTCTTTTATGACTTAGCATGTGTACTAACAACTCTAGTGCTAACATTCACGGAGCAACTTTCTGCTTAGTACAGGAATGTGCTAATCAACATACACATCCATTACACCATGTTATCCTGTCAACAGACCTCCAAGGGAGGAACTTACCCCCATTTGACCGAGGAGCAATGACAGCCTTGCGCAGCGAAACCCTGCACTTCAGCCCTAAGACCTGCACAGAGGACCTGGGATTGAAGCCCATGCATTCTAGACCCAAGCCTGCGCTCTTCTGCAGCCCCTGGCTCTGTGCTGAAGACTGGACTGGTGGGAGGAGGGCAGCAATCCCCCACTTATCGATGGGAGATTTGGCTGGGACCTTCCAACCAAAGCAGGCATCACTGTCACTCAAAGAAGGAAGGATCTATTTTGGAAACAATTGGAAGATGTTTGGCTAACAATGGAGGCTAAAGTGACTGATAAAATTTGGTAATCTCACTTGAGGTCTGAAGTGAGATGTGACTATAAATTAAAGAGGCTGACTTTATGTGCCTTGGTACCTGGTTTAGAAGAAAATTCTGAAGCAGTATCCCCATCCAGTCATCATCCGCTGTCTGCAATGGAGATTAGGAATACCTTTACTATCGTGGCTCATGCATTATTAATTGTATATAAAGGAATGAGTCTGCTACTCCAACATAAGTGTTCTGAAGGGCAACTCATTAATATTTTACATGTATTTGACAACTTTTAAGCATCCAGTACACACTGTACTATGCATAGGACATTAAAAACAAAAACAGAGACGGTGTCTGCCTTCAGGGAGCTTACAGTTTATAGGTAAAGACAGACCTTTGCTAGATAAGCACATTACTGGTCCTATAATTACAAGCTGGGTACACATTTTTTATTAATATCTGAAAGAGAGGGTCACAGTTCCAGGAGAGCATATAACCAAGATGAGGAAGTCTTCCATAAGAAGTGACAGAAATCTAAAAAAGGAGAGGGCCCCACATAGGTGAAATGTGTATGTGTGTGTGTGTGTGTGTGTGTGCGCGCGCACATGCATGGACTGTTTCTGTGACTGCGTCTGCATGTGTTCATGAGTGTGTGTTCTGTGCATGCATGTATGACTGTGGAATGAGAGACGGGGAGCATTCTAGACTGAAGAGACAAGATGTACCTAGCCCTTGGGTGGGATGAAAGGAGGACAGTGTTGTCATCCAGCAGGGCTTATGTAAAGGGCTGGTGCCTTGAGTTTCCTCTTTGGCTGGGACTCTCCCAAACCCTCTGTCATGCAGCTGCCTCTGAAGAAGGCCAATTGCCTGTAACTCTCCTTAACCTAAAACCAAGTTCAAAAAGAAAAGATGTCACCCCTACTAAGATAGTCCTCAGCATCTGCTGCAGTCCGTATTTTGCAAAGGGAGACACTCTACAGCTATGACAAATTAATTCCCATTGCCTTACAAATAATTCAGGTGTGGCTAAGGAACTGGACCCTACACAGGTTAGAAACTGCAGTAACAGAACCAGCCACTTGCCATCAGCTAGTGGGGTCAGTCCCTTGCTTAGGGCATTCAAAGCATGTTGCCAAAGGCTCACTATGTTCCAGATGCACAGGAGAGAGAGAAATGACAGGTGCAGCCCTTCTTCCCATTAAGGAGTTCCTGCCTGCTGGAGAAAACACACCCACAAGCATGCCACTAAATACAGTACACTGAGATAGGCTCCAAGAGTTGTGGGCAACACTAAGAAGAGACCCCTCACTCACATTACGGACTGGGATGTCAGAGAGAGATTCTTGGAAGAGTTGAGGGTTCAGAAAACTTACGGACAATTACTAGTAATTCACTAAGCAATGCAGGGGCACAGGTAGCTCTATCAGAAAGAACAGTAAGTACAACATCATGGAAACATGCAATAAATAAATAAATATCCATACGACACACACACACACATACACACACACACATGAAGAACACATTAGAAAACACAATATATCACAATATAAATTAGAGCATTTAGCCTGCAGATCAACATTTCACGTGGAACAAGTTTGTGAATTACTAAGCCTCTTGTTGCTCAATCTGCAGCAATATTGCTTTATGTTTTCCTTGCTAAAGAGCAACTGTGCTTTTTGCTTCCAAACTCATCTCATAAAGCCTCCTTAAAGTGCCACTAGAATTACTACCTAAACTCTTGTCTGAATATTGCATATTTTTGGAATCAGGATTGCATGCGTGGTTGATTTTGGTGTTACCAGCGCGGTTACTGTGTGTGTGTGTGTGTGTGTGTGTGTGTGTGTGTGTGTGTGTGTGTGTGTTTTCTGGGCTACAGTGTCCCTGAGCCCTAGAGGACTTCTGCACAGCACATAGCACCAACAGCTGCAATGGGCCAAATAATAGGATTCCTTACCTCCAACTCTCAGTTAAAAGTCATCTGCACCAAGAAGACTTCATCCAGCCAGGAGTCACCTTTTTTTCTCCTTTGATTGGCCATGGGAGGACTTGCTTCACTGTGTGTCCTATGTACATATATAATATCTCCTACTTGACTGGGGGATCACAGGGTGCCTTGCTTAATCCATTTGGGACTTAGTATAGGGTGATAATTACAGGCAGAGCTTCAAAGTTCTGCTACATTTCTGCCACCAGATTGCAGGCAGGTAATCTTACACGCCAAGCCCTGTGTTCTTCCTTTCAGAATGACAGTTCATCAGAAAATATCTTTTAGGCATTTACCATGTAGCCACTATTGTGCTAGAGGGAAAATAGACATAGATCTGGCATGGCTGATTAGAGAGAGAAAGAAAAACAGAGAGAGACAAAATAGAAGTAAATAATATTTGAAACAGTAAAGGGAATATAACTGAAGATATATTACAAATTTGGAAATTGTGAGAGAGTAAAAGAACCATTTTAATAATAATACATTTTAAAAAGTAGATTAAATAGACAAATCATTAGGAAAGAAAACAAGTTTGAACATTTTCTAATAGGAAAAATTTCCAAAACTTCCAATACAAAACTGAAGATTTCAAGGGGACTTGTAACATTAAGAACTGGATATATATATATTTATTTTTTAATTTTTGAATATATATATTGAATATATATAATTTTGTCATATATATTCTGATTGCATATATATAACATATATTTATACTCTGAGTATATATAACATATATATTCTGATTCAGTCAGAATATAGCTATATCCTATTTTATCAGATTATATATATCTGTATATAACAGATTTTATATACAAAGGGTATCTAAGTCTCTCTGTCTCTCTCTCTCTATATATATGTATGTGTGTGTATATATGTGTATATATATATATATATTTACACATATATACACACACACACACACACACACACATACACTGGTATATATGTCAAGCTAGTCAAGTAAAATTTATAGTTTAATCTTACCTATGAATAAAAACACAAAACAATCCAGAATAACACCTAGCAAATCAAGCCTATTAATGTGTTACCCCAATAAAAAATAATAGTAACAGCAGCAACAACAACAACATATCCTAGTCAAACAGAATTTACCATTGGAAAGTAAAATTAGTTTAATAATGAAGGTAAAAATATCAATCAATACTATTAATTATATTATCAAATTAAAGGAGATTACTTATAATCATCTTGATTGAAATGGGAAAAGAAAACAAAACCACAAATCATGATTTATTTTAAAAAATCAGTAAATTTAAAACAAGAAAAAGAAACAATGAATGAACAATTCTTATAATCTAAGGATAGAATAATTTTCCTAAGCTAACAATGAGTACCTATCCAAAACCTAGAGCAACCGTCTGTTCTTGACAGTTTAACTATATTATTGTTGCATTAAAATCAGGATTGCAATAAGGTTACTATTACACTTTCTGGCTGACATTTTCCTGGAGGTACTAACCAACTCTGTAGGACAAGAAAAAGAAATGAAAGATACAACACAGGGAAACAAAGATAAAAATCTGTAATTTTTTGCAGATGAATGGTTGTTGACAAGTAAAAATCCAAGAGACAATAGGCTACTTAGTATAATACAATTATTAAGAGTTCAAACACGTTACAGTCTGTAACTTAAAAAATGGAGAATGCTTCTGTATACAAATAAGTAGCAATCAGAATGTGTAAATTTAAGATATTATATTCTTAATAGCAAAATTCCATGCAATAAAATAAAATTTAGGCTACTGGGAATAATAAAATAATATAAAAATATGATAGATATGTGTCAAAGTAGATAAAACATTATTGAAGGACATAAAACAAGATCTAAATCAATGCAGTGATATATCATGCCCATGGTCAAAAGACATTGTACCTTTGGGATAGTAATTCCTTCAAATTATTCTATAAACATAATAAAATTTGAACAAAACTAAAGTGTTTGTGAAAGGAGTAGACACATTTTTTTTCTAAAATTTATTTGGAAAACTAAAATGCTGAAGAGGAATTTTACATCAAGTGAAAATGTCAAATGATTCAGTAGAAAGCATTCGGACAGAGACTCTCCAAATAGGGAGAGGGATTAATTTTGATCTCTGCTTCACTCAATATTCAATAATGAATTTCAGTTGGATTAAATATCTCCATATGAAATGCAAACTTTAACTTTTTTTAAAAAATTGAAGTCTAACTTATGGTTTGGCATGAGAAAAGATTTCTTAAATAAAGTGTAACAAGTAAAATCCTTAAATGCAATTTTTAAAATGTGAGACTAAACAAAATGTTAATTAAAAATCCACAAACTGGGGTGAGGCCAAGATGGCCAACTAGAAGCAGCGGCACTCAGAGGCTCCCATCAAAAAACCACAATAAGCATGTGAATCCTTCACCAGCAACCAAGGTATCCAGGTTCTCTCATCAAAATTGACTAGTAGGTTAGTGTGACCCATGGACAGAAGGAAGAACAGTGTGGTGTGGCAGCCCACGTGTGAGTCACTCGGGGCAGGGGGAGCCCTCTCGCCACAGCCAAAGGAAGCGGTGAGGGAGAGTGCGACCCAGATGGGGAAGCTGCTTTTTTCACAGAACCGTGCAATCCACAGATCTAGAAATCCCACGCATGAACCCACGCCACCAGGGCGTAGTGTCCTAACCCTGGAAGGCGCAGATTCTTACAGCCTCTCAGCTGAAATTGGGTTAAGCATACCGAACTCAGAGATGGGGAGGCTGGTGTACACTGCACTTGGGGACCTCCTCTTTCAGCTTTAGGGCCCCCCTCTGTCTCTGTATGGGGGAGCTTCTTCCTTCTGCCTTCTCCCTTCCTTCTGGTCTATTAAACTCTCCACTCTTTAAAACCACTCCATGTGTATCTGTGTTGTTTTATCTAAACCAGCATGAGGACCAAGAACCCTGGTGTTCCTCCACTCATCAGAGCCAAATCAGTATCAACAGCTGAATTGACCACGCGGAAGAAAGGGTATCAGAGTTTGAAGACCACCTTATTGAAATAAGACATACAGACAAGCATAAAGCAAAATGAATGAAAAGGAATGAAGAAAGCCTCTGAGAAATATGTGACTTCATTAAAAGACTGAACCTACGATTAGCTGGAGTACCAGCAGGAGATGAGGAGAATGGAAACAAGCTGGAAAACACTCTTCAAGATATTATCCAGGAGAACTTCCATAATCTAGCAAGACAGGTCAACATGCAAATTCAAGAAATACACAGAACAAGATTAAGATACTCCACTAGAAAATCCACCCCAAGACACACATCATCAGATTCCCCAAGGTCAAAATTAAGGAAAAACTGTTAAGGGCAGCCAGAGAGAAAGGCCAGGTTACCTACAAAGGGAAGACCATCAGACTAAGAGAAGACCTCTCAGCAGAAACTCTAGGAGCCAGAAGCGACTGGGGTCCAATATTCAACATTGTTAAATAAAAGAATTTTCAACCCAGAATTTCATACCCAGCCAAACTAAGCTTCATAGGCAAAGGGGAAATCAAATCCTTTCCAAACAAGCAAATGCTGAGGGATTTCATTACCACCAGGCCTGCCCTTCAAGAACTCCTGAAAGAATCACTAAATTTGGAAAGAGAAAACTGGTACCGGCCACTGCAAAAACACACCAAAATTTAAAGACCAATGACACTGTGAAGAAACTGCATCAATTAGTGTGCAGAATAACCAATAGCATCATGATGACAGGATCAAATTCACACATAATAATACTAACCTTAAATGTAAATGAGTTAAATGCCCCAATTAAAAGACACAGACTAGCAAATTGAATAAAGAGTCAAGACCTATTGGTGTGCTGTATTCAGGAGACCCATTTTACATGCAAAGACACACACAGGCTCAAAATAAAATAAAGGGATGGAGGAAAACATGGAAAGCAAAAAAAAAAAAAAAAAAAAAAAAAAAAAAAAAAAAAGAAAGGCATAGGTTGCAATCCTAGTCTCTGACAAAATAGACTTTAAACCAACAAAGATCAGAAAAGACAAAGAAGGTCATTATATAATGGTAAAGGGAACAATTCAACAAGAAGCGCTAACTATTCTAAACATACATGCACCCAATACAGGAGCACCCAGATTCATAAAATAAGTTCTTAGAGACCTACAAAGAGACTTAGGCTCTCACACAATAATAGTGAGAGACTTTAACATCTCACTGTCAGTATTAGACAGATTAATGACACAGAAAATTAACAAGGCTATCCAGTATTTTAACTCAGCTCTGGATCAAGTGGACCTAGTAGATGTCTACAGAACTCTCTACCCCAAATCAACAGAATATACATTATTCTCAGTGCCACATGGCACTTATTCTAAAATAGGCCACATAATTAGAAGTGAAACAGTCCTCAGCAGATGCAAAAGAACGGAAAAAATAAAAACAGTCTCTCAGACCACAGTGCAATCAAATTAGAACTCGGGATTAAGAAACTCACTCAAAAGCGCACAATGTCATGGAAATTGAGCGACCTGCTCCTGAATGACTCCTAGTTAAATAGTGAAATTAAGGCAGAAATCAAGAAGTTCTTTGAAATCAATGAAAACAAAGAGACAGCATTTCTGGGACAGAGTCTCTGGTAGATGGCTAAAGCAGTGTCAAGAGGGAAATTTATAGCACTAACTGCCCACATCAGAAAGCTAGAAAGATCTCAAATAGACACTCTAACATCACAATTAAAAGAGCTAGAGAGCTGAGAGCAAACTAATCCAAAACCTAGCAGAAGACAAGAAATAACTAAGATCAGAGAAGAATTGAAGGAGACAAAGACATGGAAAACCCTCCAAAAAAATCAATGAATCCAGGAACTGGTTTTTTGGAAAAACTAATAAAATAGTCAGAATGTTAGCAGGACTAATAAAGAAGAGAGAAGAATCAAACAGACGCAATAAAAAGTGATAAAGGGTATATTACCACTAACCCCACAGAAATGCAAACTACCATCAGAGAATACTGTAAACACCACTATACAAATAAACTAGAGAATCTAGAAGAAATGGATAAATACCTGGATGCATACACTGTACCAAGACTAAACCAGGAAGAAGTCAAATCCCTGAATAGACCAATAAAAAGCTCTGAAATTGAAGTAGTAATTAATAGCCTACCAACCAAAAAAAAGCCCGGGACCAGATGGATTCACAACTGAATTCTACCAGAAATACAAAGAGAAGCTGATACCATTCCTTCTGAAACTATTCCAAATAATTGAAAAGGAGGGAATCCTCCCTAACTGATTTTATGAAGCCAGCCTCATCCTGATACCAAAACCAGGAGGAGACACAACAGAAAAAGAAAACTTTAGGCCAATATCCCTGATGAATAACAATGTGAAAATCCTCTATAAAATACTGGCAAACCAAATCCAGCAGCACATCAAAAAGCTCATTCACCATGATCAAGTCAACTTCATCCCTGGGATGCAAGGCTCGTTCAACATACGCAAATCAATAAACGTAATCCAGCACATAAACAGAACCAAAGACAAAAACCACATGATTATCTCAATACATGCAGAAAGGGCCTTTGATAAAATTCAACATCCCTTCATGTTAAAAACTCTTGATAAACTAGGTATTGATGGAACATATCTCAAAATAATAAAAGCTATTTATGACAAACACATAGCCAATATCATATTGAATGGGCAAAAGCTGGAAGCATTCCCTTTGAAAACCAGTACAAGGCAAGGATCCCCTCTCTCATTACTCCTATTCAACATAGTATTGGGGGTTCTGGCCAGTACAATGAGGCAAGAGAAAGAAATAAAGCGTATTCAAATAGGAAGAGAGGAAGTTAAGTTGTCTCTGTTTGCAGATGACATGATTTTATGTTTAGAAAACCCCATCATCTCAGCCCAAAAACTTCTTGGACTGATAAGCAACTTCAGCAAAGTCTCAGGATACAAAATCAGTGTGCAAAAATCACAAGCATTCCTTTACACCAACAATAGGCAAGCAGAGAGCCAAATCATGAATGAGCTCCCATTCACAATTGCTACAAAGAGAATAAAATACCTAGGAATACAGCTAAGAATGAATGTGAAGAACCTCTTCAAGGAGAACTACAAACCACCACCCAAGGAAATAAGAGAGGACACAAACAAATGGAGAAACATTCCATCCTAATGTATAGATAGAATCAGTGTTGTGAAAATGGCCATACTGCCCAAAGTAAAGATTCAATGCTGTTTCTATCAAACTACCATTGACATTCTTCACAGAATTAGAATAAACTATTTTAAATTTCATATGGAATCAAAGAAGACCCCGTATAGCCAAGAGAATCCTAAGCAAAAACGACAAAGCTGGAGGCATCATGCTACCTGACTTCTAACTATACCACAAGGCTACAGTAACCAAAACAGCATGGCACTGGTACCAAAACAGACATATAGACCAATGGAGCAGAACAGAGACCTCAGAAATAGCAACACACATCTACAACCATCTGATCTTTCACAAACCTGACAAAAATAAGCAATGGGGAAAGGATCTCTTATTAAGTAAATGGTGCTGGAAAACTGGCTAGCCATATGCAGAAAACTGAAACTGGACCCCTTCCTTATGCCTTGCATAAAAATTAAGATGAATTAAAGACTTAAATGTAAAACCCAAAACCATAAAAATGCTAGAACAAACCTAGGCAATACCATTCAGGACATAGGCATGGGCAAAGACTTCATGACAAAAATGCCAAAAGCAATTGCAAAAAAAAAAAAAGCAAAAAAATGACAAATGGGATCTAATTAAACTAAAAACCTTCTGCACAGCAAAAGAAACTGTCATCAGAGTGAAACAGGCAACCTACAAAATGGGAGAAAATTTTTGCCATCTACCCATCTGAGAAAGGTCTAACACCCAGAATTTACAAGTAACTTCAACATTATTTCCAAGAAAATAACAACCCCATCAAAAAGTGGGTAAAGGATATGAACAGACACTTCTCCAAAGAAGACATTTATGTGGCCAACAAACATGTGAAAAAAAACTCAACATCACTCATCATAGGAGAAATGCAAATCAAAACTACAATGAGATACCATCTCAAGCCAGTCAGAATGGTAATTATTAAAAAGTCAGGAAACAATAGATGCTGGTGAGGCTGTGGAGAAAGAGGAATGCTTTTACACTGTTGGTGGAAATGAAAATTAGTTTAACCATTGTGGAAGACAGTAAGGTGATTTCTCAAGGATATAGAAGCAGAAATACCATTTGACCCAAAACCAAAGGAATATAAATCAACTACTATAAAGACACATGTACACATATGATTATTGCAGCACTATTTACAACAGCAAAGACATGGAACCAACCCAAGTGCCTATCAATGATAGACTAGATAAAGAAAATGTGGTACATGTACACCATGGAATACTATGCAGCCATAAAATGGAATGAGATCATGTTCTTTGCAGGGACGTGGGTGAAACTGAAAACCATCATCCTTAGCAAACTAACATATGGAAAGAAAACCAAATACCACATGTTCTCATTCATAAGTGGGAGTTGAACAATGAGAACATGGAAACAGACAGGGATACAACACACACCGGAGCTTGTTGGGAGGTAGGGGATGAGGGGAGGGAACTTAGAGGACAGGTCAATAGGTGCAGCAAACCACCATGGCACATGGATAACTATGTAACAAACCTGCATGTTCTGCACATGTATCCCTTTTCTTTTTAGAAGAAATAAAACAAAAATCCACAAACTAAGATAAATATAATTTTTATATTATATCCAAATATACAAGTCGTTCTGACATATTAATAAATAAAAGACACACTAAACAATGGGAGGAGGAAGAGGGAGTAGTTCAATGACAAATGAAATTCAAAGAATAGAAAACCCAAACATTGGATAAAAATATTCCCACCATTTTCCTTGTTGTCTTACAATGCCTTCTAGGACTTAACACCAAACACTGAGGTCTGTCTCTAGACTCGCTGCTGTTTCTGTGGTCTACTGCTGGTCTCTGCGACTTCATCACAATGTTTTGATACTCTAAACCTGTGCTGTCTGGTGATGGGTCACCACATGGGTCACAATGACATGTAGCTATTTAAGTTCAATTAAAGTAAAAATTAACTTCCTCAGTCAGTCTAGCTATATTTCAAGTGCTCAGTAGCCACATGTGACCCAAGGCTACCATATTAGAGTAGCATAGCTAGAGACCATCTCCATGATTGTAGAAAGCTCTGTTGGACAGCACTGCTTAAATGTATAAGTCTTAGTATCATTATAATAGAGCAAGTCTCCTTTCTTTCTTTCTCCTCTTTAAAATTGCTTGGGCTCTTTACTTTTCCAAGTAAATTTTAGAATAAGTAATCAGGGAAATGTAAATTAAAACAACAATAATATTCCACTCTATGGCAAGAAAAATGAATGCATTACATGCATCCAAATAGAGAGACCTGAACATAATGTAAATGCGTGAGAAGAGCAAGTCGCAAAGTGTGTGTGTGTGTGTGTGTGTGTGTGTGTGTAGGTGTGTAGGTGTGTAGGTGTAATGCCATGAAATAATTTAGATGAAACTTAAAAACACACCAAATAGCCATTCTATTTATTTTTCATGGATCATAATAACAGTTAATAAATATTAAGCATTTATTTTTTTCCAGGCTCTGCTCCAGACACTTTAAATGTATCAACATTTGATGATTGCACATACAGTTGATTTACTATCCCCTTTTTTATTTGACTGAGACAGAGCAAAGTTAAGCAACTTCTTCCAGGTTACTCAGCTAGTTGTTACAGAGTTGGAGCTGAGAGCCAGGCTGGCTTCCAAGTCTGTGCTCATAAACACGGTGCCATCCTGGATTCAGACCAAACGACACCAAACATGGAAAGGGATGTTTCTAGACGTGGAGAAAATAAAATAGAAATGGTCTTTGGGGCTTTACCTTCTATATAATATATTTTAGAGAGAGAAAGAGAAGAGGATCAGGGAGAGAGAGAAAGAATGGGATATCCAGCTACTCGGGAGGCTGAGGCAGGAGAATGGCGTGAACCCAGGAGGCGGAGCTTGCAGTGAGCCGAGATCGCGCCACTGCACTCCAGCCTGAGTGACACAGTGAGACTCCGTGTCAAAAAAAAAAAAAGAAAAAAAAAAAAAAAGAATGGTACATCCACAGAAAAGACAGGGGAAAATGTTAACATCGGTCAGATCAGATTGGCCAGTATATGGGGGTCTATCACTTTTTGTTTGAGTAAAACATAAAATACTTTTTAAATTAACAAGTTAAAAAACAAAGGTTATATTAATGGGTGGCATAAGGCTTCCCAGACTTGCTTTTGATCTGTAGTTTGCTAACTAGACTTCTATGTTGCCAAGCGTCACCACTCTCGCTTTGCAGAGTGAGATGTGGAAGTTGAAGGGTTTTTGAGGGGCAGCTGAGAGGGACACAGAACCAGGTGAAAGGAGAGACTGCAGACGAGGTGGTTGGGGTACACCAAAGGGAGGAAGCAGCAGCTGTAGGAGGAGTGGGGTCAAGGATGTTTACAAGAGACTTCCAGAAACCCTGTGGGGTTTGATGTAACCCCCTCTTCCGTTTCCCCAGGAAAGCTTCAGTCAAAGCTACACCACTTTCCATTTCTTCAGCTGTCAGATACGGTTTTCTTTTGGCACGTGGAGAAAAGTTGAGACTTGCCTCAGAGGGACCATGGCCTGGACAGCTGACCAAGTGGGTGCAGTCGTGCTCAGGGTCTATATCCACATAAAGTGACTCTTCTGGGTACCTAGCAGGCCTCTAATGTGGCATCACTGCATCCCACGGAGGTCTCTTCTCACCCGAGGCTTTCTGTCATCTGATGAGCTAGGTGCTCAGGTTTCATGCCCATGTCACTGCGCTCCAGTGGCTGCCAGGTAGCCTCTCCGCCCCAGCATCACCACAGAGAGGCTCTTTGGCTGTCGCCCTGATGCCCGCTCACGTGTGGGGCTTCTTGCACAATTGCTGTCCTGGGAGCAGACAAGTGGGAGTGGCAAGGTGGGGCCCACACGGGCAGGTCTGGGGCAGCTCAACCGTGTGAATGGCAGACAGCCGCCAGGCCTCCAGGAGCTGGGGAGCTGGGCTGCTGCAGGACCAGCGGGAAGGTGGGAAGGCAGGATAAGTTGGTGGTGAAAGGGCCTTTGGAGGGAGGTCCACACTGCATCCTCTGCCTACTGTGAGCAAAGGACCCAGCCCCAGCCTGCTGATTTATGGCTTCTCTTCTGTGAGCTCATCAGTGATTTTGGAGCAGGTTCATAAGAAGCAAATGCCTTGTAAAGGCACAGTCTAGCTCTGGCTCTGCCACAGCCTCTCCTGGGAGCGAAAGGAGGTTTCCCATTCCTGGGGCGTGGTTGGCCTGCACTCCCCTGCACACCAACAGCAGGCCTCACGCCACTTTGCAGAAGCCGGAGACAGAGCTGTGTGGCTGGGCTTCAACATGTGCCAACACGCTATTTACAAGGCGAGAAGCTCTGGAGGAAAATGATAAAATGTTGTTTTTTAGGATATTTTGCAATTACATTAAGCCCTGTGAGCCTCAGTGAAGAATGCAGCACTGTGAAAGCTTCCAGACCTTACCAGACAGGGATTTGGGGCCAGCTGAGAGGTGATACCACCTGTCATCATTTGTTCTTTCTTCTGCCTGGGCTACCTGCTCCCGGACACCTCTGTACCCTAGCTCGAAGCTTTGTCTCATATTTCAGGATCCGCGCAATAGGCAGGATCAGCTAACCTATAGAACACAGCCTCTGGGTTAGACGAAACTCAGTGAGGACTTGTCTTAGTTCAGGTCCTTGGTCCTTACATTTTCTGAGCTTCAATCTATTCATCAGAATGGAAGCCCTCCCTGCTTTGACGAGTTTCTAAAACTGGAAATAAGAGTATTTTCATGTAATTAGCCTTCCTCATTAAATCTGTTAAGGACAATCAAGGACATTAGTTAATTTCCAGTTCTTATAGTAGTCCACATATTGTAGAGTCAACCATGAATTGTTCCTATCAGTTTGTTTTATTTAGTTATGATTAATGAAATTATCGTAGATAGGCACATGTGTTTTTAAAGTCACTTCTATCTCAAAAAATAAATATATAAAGAAAGAGATGAACTACACACACACACACACACACACACACACACACACACACACATCAAGTAGTACTGTGGGAAAATAAATAGGCTCTAGACAGACTGACCTGGGTCCTACTAGTCTTTCTAACATATCTTGACTTTGTGATCTTGGGCAAGTTGATTAACCTCTCTGAATCTGCTTTTGTTTATTCTGGAGACAGTATGCACAGTGATTAAGGGCTTTGACTCTGGAAGCAGATGATCTAGGTCTGAATCTCAGATCCATTACACACTCACTTATTTGTACCTCCGTTTTCCTGGTTGTAAAATGGAAGTGAGACTAGTACTTATCCCACAGAGATGCTGTGAGGACCAAATGAGCAAATGAAAACTCACATGATATAAAGGGCTTAAATGGTTGCCTAACACATAGTTATTAAATGACTGCAACATGGGAATAATAATGGAATCTACTTTAGAGGGTTGCGGTGAGGATGAGATGAGACAATGCACGTGAAGTACACAGCTCAGAGCCTGACACCCAGGTGCTGGTTACAACGGGAGCTGTTGCGGCTGTTATTTTTCCTTCAGGGAAGGAAGCAGAGAAGTTGGACTATGCACAGGTCACACTGCACACTCCTGTGGTGTACTGAGATCCATTCACAATTCTACATCACCAGGATCTAGGGATATAGGGGGGAGGGTGGACACAGAAGCGTGGGAGGAGAGGTGCTAGTGTCCCGGGAGAAGGGTCCAGAGAAGGCCAGGCTCTGACAGAGAGAGAAGCTGCAGAGGCCACAGACAGCAGCTACCTGGGAGGCTGTGCTTATGCTGCACCCAGTGCAGGACCATTTTGCTGATCTCCCTCCTGCTGCCAAATGTTCCAACCAGAGCTCTTTGATCCACTGCCAGGCCTCGGGCAATGGAGCCAAGGTGTGTCTGGATTCATGCAAGGCCCTCGGGTGAGGGACTGTCGATCCCGACAGCCATGCCAGCGCAGGGCCAAGAAAGAATGTCCTGGAAGGGTGGGGATGGGTTGGGCTTTCTGAACCCTCCCACCTCAGGAAGGCAAAAGACACAGATCACAGGCAGCAAGGGGCTGCCATTTCTGATGCTTATACCCTCCACGGTGGCTACAGGAGCCCGCACCAGCAGTGGGAGGAGCAACATTCCAGAAGCTGGTAATGATGCACCTGGGTGGGTCCCCATGACCAGCAAGTGCAAAGCTCCCATTGACAGGATGAGAAAGCAAAGGCCAGAAGAGGTCAGGGAATTTTCCCAAAGTCCACGTTAAGGGAGGGTAGACCTTTCAGTCACTTCATAGTTTCATTTCTCAACCTTGGCACTGCTGCTATTTGGGGCTACATAATTATTCGTGGTGGGGTCCGTCTCATGCATTGTAGGATATTGAGCAGCACCCCTGGCCTCGACCCACTAGATGCCAAAAACACTTGGCAAACAAAAATGGGGTGACAAACAAAAATGTCTCCATGCATGGCCCAGTGTCTCCTGGGTGCAAACTCAGGCCTCAGCTGAAAACAAGCCTCTTGGTGAATTGAATGCTACAGAAACATTAATTGAGGTCCAACTGCATCCCAGGGGTCTAGGCTAGCCACGCACATGCATTATCCTGTTTAACACTGACAACTATCTAGGGAATAAAATTTCTATTTTCATTTCTATCTATGCAGCTTCTCTCTGCACCGATGCAGAAACTGTGCCTGCCAGATAGTAATGATCCAGCCGAGGGCACCAGGCTACAATTTGCAGAACTGGACTGAAGAATGGCTGACATAGCCAGCTGCAGTGGCTCATGCTTGTAATCCCAACAGTTTAGGAGGCCAAAGCAGGAGGATCACTTGAAGTCATGAGTTCAAGACCAGCCTGAGCAACATGGCAAGACCCCATCTCTATAAAAAATACAATAATTAGCAGGGCATGGTCGCACATGTCTGTAGTCCCAGCTGCTTGGTAGGCTGAGGCGGATGGATCATTTCAGCCCAGGAGGCAAGACTGCAGTGAGCCATGAGTATGCCACTGCACTCCAGCCTGGGTGACAAAAGAAAAAAAAAATAGAATGGATGATATAAACTTTATTGTTTACTGTGGGGTTGCGGTGGGGGGAGGCGTTAGTTCGTTCTTCTTTCTCTCAATACCTTTACAAAGTCTCTGTTTCAAAAGAGAGCGCAGATTATGCCTGCTACCCCAAGTCCTGAGTCAGAATTCAAAGGCAAATATGGTAGGGTGATGAGGCAGAAAGGACTTAGGCAGCAGGAGAGCTGTGATTGGTGGAAGGGGCAGGCAGGAAGAGTTTGGGTTTGGAGACACTGGTTGCTGAGTCAGAACTCCAGCTCTGTCATTGCCTGTGTGACTTTGGGCAAGTTACATGTGATTGTTGGAGCTTCCATTTCATTTGCTAAATAATTGGGATCATAATACATACAACGTGGAGTTGTTAGGATGTCACGAGAGAATGCACAAGAAGTAAGTACTCCCGAATTGAGCTATTATCTACCTCAAAGGATTACTGGAGAAATAGAAAAGGGATATAAAGAAACACAGCAAAGATGCTTCATAAAAGGTAATTATTATTATTGTTATGAACACCCTTTGAAATTGGTTATTCATTTTCTGAAAGCCACTCAAAGATTCCGTTCGTATCGCAGAAGAATTGGATAAATGATTTCTTTGATAAACTAGCTTTTCACCTAGGGGATCTGGTTTGCTGATCCTACCCAGATTAGAATGACTGAAAATCAATTTGATTTGACAGCTGTGGAGAAAAGGAAATGCACGTACTAACTGTCAAGCAACGCAGCTCCTCGGTGCGGATACAAAGCAAGGCACGGAAAGGGTCCTGCTGTCTGGGATCTTGCTGCCTGGTCACCCATCACGGGTGACAAGATCCGACCTCCTTCCTGCTGCACTGATGCCCCATGGGCCAGCAAATGCCCACCAAAGGCCAGGCACTGAGGTTCTGGCCTGTTTCTCTGCTTCTGGGGCCTGGCCTTGGAGACTCACCCTAGACTTGCAAACTCTTTCAAAAGTGTTCTTTGTTCCTATGTAGCACCCATAGCAATCACTCAAAGACAGAAATGACTGGGGTCTGAGAGCTGCAGCTGCAAGAAAGAGGAAGGGAGATGAAAGGAAATCCCGCCACCTGCTCCTTGCCACAAGAATAGATGACTCGAGCCCCTGCTCCCTTTTGGCCTCCCCTCCACTGAACCCCCATTTCTGGATTCCCATATTCTTCCAGGTCTCAAATGCTCCAGGCATGTCCAACTGCCAAACTCCTGAAATGAAACATCCTCTGAAGTCACAAGGCATAGATTGGGCCACTGTAGTCCTCCTGTGACCCCAGGAAAGGCCCCTGGCCTCCTCAAGCCTCAGTTTCCATGTTTGTCAAGTGGGGAGAATAAAGCAGCACTAGCACTGCCTGCCTCATGGTTCTACTGTAAGAATCATGGGGCAGGTTGAAGGCAGAGGGACTTCCTCGGCTCAGTGTGCCTTCAAGTGGGAGCTGGGGAGTATTAGCCATGTTCCAGAGCACTGCAAATGCGCTCCTTTAAGAGTAGAGACGCTACCTGTGGACCTCATTTTCACTGTCATTTTTCCATGTGTTCTGATTTTGTCCTATTTGCCACAAGAGAGGGATGGGGTTCTCACTGCGTCAACTCCACAGAGGGCTGTTCTCCCTGAGTTTTTAGCATAAGTAACCCAGGACCCAAATGAGGAATTTGGGTGTTTAGAGGTCCTCTTATGGGTTTATTTTGAACTAGCTGCTAAGAATAATCATTAATCATCATGAAATAAGTAAATTGTGGGATGCCGCCCATGCAGCCTGCCATATGGAGTTGCCACTGTTAGAAGCAGGATCTTCTCACAGCAATATCTGCCCCTGGAGAAGGACATCTGCCATTTGCCTTTTTTGTTTGTTTGTTTTATTCCCTCCTCTCTCTCTCTTTTATCTTCATATACCATCAGTTTCTTTCCTAATCAATAAGCCTCATGGACCATCTACTATTATCTCAGTTTGAGCTATTTTGCTTATTTTTTTTTTAGTACAAACTACCTGGAATTCCTACATACTACTTAGCCTATATTTAAAGCCAGATCCTTCTAAACATGCCCTCCAAGTTTGAAGAATATCCGTTCAACCAGTTTTATTTACACAAAAAGAGAGGCTTGTTTAATTTATAGGGATATGTATTGTAACTATCTGTCTCCACCCTAGAAAAAATGCTGTCCTAGACAGCCCTGGACAAGTTGCTGAACTGTGTTCCAAGAAAGTGCTAGTTACTTGTCATTTATTGAGAATACCCTTTGTTTAAAGAAAACTGAAAGCATACCAGGCATTGTGGTAATATCTTGTTTAGTCATCAGCACCTCCTCCAACAGTTAGGTACTATTATGATTCCATTTTACAGGTGAGGAAAATGAGAGTAGAGAGGATGAGACAATGAGAGTAGGAGGGATGAGGCAGGTTTCTCAGAACCGCAAGCTCATAAGTAAGAGCCAGGGTGCAAATCAAGGCCTTCAATCCACTTTCCAGGAGGCCTGCTGATGAACTCACAATGCTCTCCTACAAAAGGCCTGTGGGCTAGGTGCTGGTATTGTCCTCATTTTACAGAGCAGGGGGTGAGCTCAGAGAACCTTGGGTGTGATGAGTTGAGTAAGGAGAGATGAAAGATGCTCTTGAACCTCAGCACACAGAGGTGGCCTCCAGGCTTCAAATGGATACTTTATATTTCTATTAGTAACGTTACCTGCTACTATATTATGCGAATTGACTGGATAGGTTTTCACTGAGTTTGGAAAGTAAGAGTGTGGGATGGTTTTACTTAAACTATAGGATGTGGTGTACATGTGAAATAGATCTTTGGGTTCTAACATCTTTGGTACATGTGAAATAGATCTTGGGGCCTCCAAGACATAATAACACCTAGGACCAACCACCCTCTCAGCAACTGAAGAACACTTTGTGTTTGATTATGCGTAAGATTGTTTAATCAATCGCTTTTTTCCCCTGTCACAATATTCCACCTTCACGAAGTGTCTTTCATCTTGGATCTCCAAAACAGGAGTAAAAGCTGTAATTAGTTGCAATGACTGTTGTGTTTTTAATAGTTACCTGCTGTAATGTCCATTTGACAGATGAAGGGGCTGAGGCTTTGGGTCAGAGTATGATATGCTAAATGTGGAGATCCAAGACAGAAGCTAGCCAAGTTCCTCCCACCCTGGAGAGCAGGGCTCCCGGGAGCCCTACAGGAAGCCTTGATATGTCACAGAACAAAAAGCACCATAGATGGTTTCAGCCTGTCTCCTCCTGCCTTGAGGCAGGGCTCAAGATTCTTTCTGGATTGAGAAAAATAGTTGACTTTCCACCGCATTTTAAAACAGGTATAATTTGTCCATTCCACTAAAAAATGAAAGGGGGTTTAAGATTTAAGATGCTACTGCCGCATGTACCAACCTCAATTTGCTCGTGATTCATGATAAATCCTAAATCACAACCAGCTTTTATTGAATTTGTGTGTGTGTGTGTGTGTGTGTGTGTGTGCAGGGAGAGGTAGAGTAGGTTGACGTTTGGGAAAAAAATGAAGAGAACTTTCTCCTACTTTCAACTCTAAAAGAGCAAGATCCTCAATGCAACCCTGTGAGTCAAACAAGAGACACAGGATTTGTCCAAAGTCATTACTGGTAAATGGCAGAGCCAGGATTCAAACCAAAGGGCTTCTTCTAAAACTACAGCAGTGTGTGCAAACGAAGAAGAGAGGGAACCCTGGCTGAATAGCCGTTTTGGGGGAAGTCAGGAAGTGGAAACTCGCACTTTGGGGAGAAAAAAAAGCACTCAGCAAAAAGAAACAAGGTGTCTTCTTTGGAGCAAACTAATAAAAATATTTTAAAAATCAGAAGGTTTGTCATGGGAGTAGATCTACGGTCGCTCGACCCGTCTTCAGTTCAACTCCTAGATATGTACTGTAGAAAAACTCTTATTCACATCTGTTGAAAAACATGTACAAGAATATCATATAGTTGTATTAAGTTGGTGCAAATATAATGGTGGTTTTTGCTGTTACTTTCAATGGCAAAAACCGCCATTATGTTTGGACCACGCTAATATTTGAAAACAAACAAATACACGAAAACCAGGCAACTAGAAATGGCCCCTATATCTAACAACAGGACAATGAATAAATGGAATAGAACAGTACCTAGCAGGGAAAATAAATGAACCACATACAGGTACATGCACCAACATGAATTAAACCTAGAAATCTAATGCAGAGAGGAAAAATTGAGTGATGCCAGATAATATAAGATATGGTGACATTTTTACCAAGTTAAAAACAAGCCACACACATACACCTACAGTTCAGTGATATCTACCTGAAAAATACAACTTTTAAGAAAAGCCAGAGAATGGTAAACATAAAGTTTAAGGTAGTTTAACTTGATGAGGAAAAGAGAAAGGACTTGGGAAAGAAGTTTCACCGATACTGGTTTATGGTTCTTGAGACATTGTTTTCCAAGTTGTTTATATACAGTTTCATGACTTACATGTAGATTACATATATAATTGTATATGTCTCAAAATACATATTTCAAGAGAGAAGTTTCCTAGACCAAATGGCCCAAAGGCAAACTGTTTTATTCAGTGAAAATCGGTAAACATGAACTCAAGAAAAGTACAAGGAATATGATATATTTGTGGGGAGTGTTGATGGGGGCCGGGGGAGCATGGGGAGTGGAGAAAAATGGGAAAAAAGCAGGAAAGCTTGGAGAATAATTGTGTGTGTGTGTTTGTGTGTGCGTGTGTCTTGATTTTATTGATTTTATTTCTCCTTTCTCCATAAGATACTCTCAGTTGCTGATGATCTCTTCTTACACCCTGTAAAATATTTGGTTAAGGACCCATGGAAAAAGGGAGAAAATATAGACCTACCCTCCCCAGGACAAAATGCTTGTCCACCGTCAGGCTGATAAATGCACAGGCTGGAGGGAGAACTAAACGTGGTGTCAAAAACCCCAGAGTCTCATTTCTACTCGAAAAGTGTGACCAGGTGGGGGTATTCATGCCTTCGAATAAATGGGGCATCTAGTGATAAAATGTATGTGAGATCAAGTTGTAAGCTGTAAAATGCTATGTTTATATAAAGGTCACGGTGACTTTCACTAGACCCAGGATCTTAAGTTGTGTGCTTCTGCAGATAAAGACCCTAGCCTTAATTTGCTGAGTCTATTTTCCATTTCGTACAAGTCCCATTTTGCTATGTTTAGAAATACCTTTTTAGCTTTGAAAATCAGAGTTTGAAAGAGATGGAAATAATCCTCCCCAAACATTATGACTGAAGCTGTATCACAAAATATTATAATGAAAAGTGAAAAGAAAACTGTCTGGATATCACACAGATCTACTAGTGAATATCATAAAACACTTATGTTTGAATCGTAGGCTTCATGTGATTTTGAATTTTTATGTCAATTAGACAACCAGTAAAGAACACTTTAATAATTAATAATAATAGCAATAATAGCAGTATTGTTTGGTAATGCCAAGAATGTACCACACACACACACTGAGAAACTCCCAATATGACACCCTATTTATTTTCAAAGCTATATTTTGAGGTCATTATCAAGACCCATTTGCCAGTGGGGATTGGCAAACCCACAAAGTTAAATCAACTTGCCCAAGAACACTCAGCAATTAGAAAGTGGCTAAGCTGAGATTTCAACCTCAGTATGTCTGCAGATAAAGCCACTCACATTATAGCCAGGTCCTGATACGTAATTTCCAAAGATGTAACAGCCAGGAGAATGTGTCAGCCAAGCTGAGAATAACCCTATTTTATGAAGGACTTCAATGTATTTAACACATTCAACTACTCAGAGCAATGGATAAGCATTTGGGAGCAGCCAGCCTTCAGCTCCAGCTCTAAGAAGGGAGGGTCACAAAGCCCGGGGTGGAAGGAAAAAGCGAATCCATCCCGATTCCAATTGCCAAGCCACACAGCTCCGTCCAGAAACCCAGAGCTGCTACTATTGGCACAGGGTGTTCAAAAGCTGATGAGGCCTTAAAGGGAGTGGATCTCACATTCTTGCATCCATTGCCTTCCCTCAGCAAGTCCTGTGTGCTCCCTTTGAACTTATTTCCAGGTCTGGTGCTAAGGGACATGCACCGGCGCCCCTCCAAACCAGGCTTGGGCTAAGGTGCTGACCACAGCGCTTTGTGTTGGGTCCACAGCACACAGCCGTGGAAGCTGGGACTTCTAATAGGCACCTCATTGATGGGGAAGCTGTAATAGAGAGAAGAGGTTGCCAAGGTCAAGCAGCACGCAGGAGGCCGGACAAGGAGTGGGAGGGCGTCCGTCTGCTCTGAAGCTCATGATCTTTATAATACCACAAGCAATCCCTAAAAGGCAAGGGTTCTAAACTGGGGGAAACTGGGTTCTCAACCCAGGGAGTTTTGGTCATCATAACTCAGGTGGGCAGTGCTCCTGATGTCTAGTTTGTAGAGGCCAGAGATGCTGCTCCACATCCTTCAACACATAGGTCAGCCCCTGGCCCCAGCACACACACATACCACAAAGAACTATCCTCCCCCAAATGTCAAGAGTGCCAAGGTTGAGAAACCCTGGCTAAGTTGCTGTTAAAGAAACAGAAATGGGAGAGAGTAAAGTCCACCCTAGGAAAGGGGCCTAGTAATAGCAACTCGCCTGCATTCTAAGGACCCAGGCACTGGCCAAACCGACCCTTAGTAAATCTCTGTCATCATCTATGCAGGATTGTTTGAAATGCCCAGAGACAGCCGAGAATACCATTCCCCACCTTAAATCTCTTTCACAAGAGGTCTACAGCTTTGAAGAACTGCCAAAGATAGGGAGGTAGAGGCTGGGGGGCAAAGACGGGAGTGGAAGGGATTATTTATTATTATTATTACTATTTTCTGGATACCCAGAGCAACTAGGGACAGAGCAACACTGAGAGCACCAGGTTGAATCTCTAGGGAAACACTCTGCTTCCCCAGAATCACATCTCAGTGTCCAAAGGGAGCAGGGAAATGTGTCTGTGAAGGGTTAAGTATGTATCTTCTCTTGCTGGCGTGTCTCCCGGGCTAAATGAAGGCTGTTTCATCTCACATGGATATGAAAGACAAAGTGTGCAGATTGAAAACATCTGTACACCGAGTGAATGGACCACATGTCCACGGTGCCATGCCGGGGTTTAGCTAGATCAGTGCCCTTTTTGTTTGACTTTGGAAGAGCAACACAAATAAATACAGTAGGTTCCATTTAAACAAAGAACTCTGATCAATAGAGGTTTGTATAGCTTACGACCTTCAACCGTATGCAGAAATTTGAGGTAAAAATCCACAAATCCCAGATCAATTACCAGATTATTTACCCTCTTCCACCGCTAATGTTCCAATCTGCCTTGCATATTAAATAGCCAGGGAGGAAAAGGATTTATATTGCAGAGAAGAGGGAAGGCTGCATGGATTTATTAGCCGTGGTAATCAAAGCGTGTGCCATACGTTTTCTATATAAACACGGCCGGGGTGATTGTGCAAATCGGCTAAAATGAATTTTCAATTCCAAGACTTTTCAGGCAATGTTACCAGTAGCTTTAATAATCTTTTTCTATTTTTTGAAGGGGCGTTAACCATCTGCCACTAAACTGTTGCTGCATTTGGTTTGCCGTAAACGAAAGTACGTGTTTTGCGGGGCTCTTGGATGGGGGCACCAGGAGATAGCGGCTTCACTCCTTCTTATTCTCCTTGGTAGCCGTGAATCTTTGAGAAAACCCCTGCCCTGTGTTGCTCTGGGCTCAGTTTCCTGGGTATAAACTTGGGCTTTTACCCCCAGCACTTTGTCTGGGGTTACACACTGGCAGTGTTGCTGGGGCAAGTTGTATCATCTTTTGAAGCCTCTGTTTTCTCATCTGTGAAACAGAAAAAAAAAAGCAGCACTGTTTACCTGCTGGAATTGTGATTAGAAGTAAGTAAGATGCAACATATAAATGCATAGCTCACATCGGGACTACAGGAAGCGCCGCTCCACGGGCAGGAGCTACCGTTGTTCTTCTCATCACCATTATTATCAGTGTCCCTTCTCCTCTGAGGTCCTGAATTTCAGCATATTCATGATGATTTGGAACGGGCCCTCTGAGCCTAGGGCTTAGGGGAGCAGCTGGAATGAAGGAATGGAGAACTATTAGGGAGAGGAGTATGTAGTGCCACTAGAGAGGGAGAGAGAGGGAGAATTTTTTTTATCAAGTCATCCTGAAGACCCCAGCAAGGAAAGGCCATGGGAGCCTTCAGACCACTCCACATCCACTCCAACCTACCCATAGAGACCTTCTGGCTTGGATATTTGTTCATTGGTACCTATAGATCTACTCCCTGCAAAGAAATAGCTTGGGCGCTCCACCCATGACAACCTTCTATGGGATGCCGGTATCAGCGAACACAATTTCCACCCCACCCACTACACTGTAAGTCCCTCTGAGGGGTGGGGACCATGGTCATCTCATTCACATCTAATCTCTAGTCCTTAGCCCCATGAAGGATTCATAGTACATCTCAGTTTACATTTGTCAGACAAATGTGTTCTCTGGGATGCCCAGGAATGTCTCCTTTCTCTATCCTGGATTGTAGACTCCAACTTTCTCCTCTTATTCTCAGACTTCCTCATCACTCCCCTACTCTGGCCTCCCAAGCCAATCATGGAGAAAATGCTAGGATTTACCCTATTCTCTGTTTCTCTTCCATACAGCCATAATCATAGGAATGACAGAGGAAGCAATCTGTGCCTAGCCGTATTGAGAGCTTGACATATATAGACTCATAAATTCACATAGCAACACCATTTTTTTCCACATTTTACAAATAGAGGGAGTGAGTGTTAAGGAGATTATTCATAGGCTGCAAAGAGGCTGATAGGAATCCACATGAGGTGTGCTTGACTCAACTCTTAGGCCGGTGGCTCTCAAGCTTGGACAGCATCAGAATCATTTGGAGGGCTTGCTAGAACACAGTTTCCTGGGCCCTCTTTCAGAATTCCTGATTCAGTGGGTCTAGGGTAAGGCCTGACAGTGTACATTTCTAACAAGTTGGGTGGCGATGCTGCTGCTGCCCAGGGATGACTCTTTGAGAAACACTAAAGCCATCGTCCAATGGGAGACAAGTTCAATCACTGACTGTTTTTGCTTTTTTCTTCTTGCATTTTGAAAGAACCAAGTTATTTTCCAATCGTGTTCTACAATTCATCCTCAAGTATGACACTAAAAGTGAAATTCTTATTAACCAAGTGTTGTGATCTTCTCTAGAATCAAGGACAGGATAGTGAAGAAATTTCTTCTAACTTAACTAAGAGGTCTAATTATAGCAGAGGTTAGCCAACCTTTAAAAGAAATGAAGAAATAAATAGCAGAGGTTAGCCAAACTTTAAAAGAAATGCAGTTTCTTGAGTTGTAATTATTCTACATATTATAAAATGTGGAAAGTTATGGGTTGGGGGAAGGAGGACTAGAGGCTTGCATTCCTTAGTAATGAACTACAGAAGTAGTAAAAGCCCAAGTTAGAGTATTTTTTCCAATCTTTTACTCAATAAATATCCTGTCTCCAAAGTATCACAAATTCCAAATTAGCAGCGTGTGGATTCATGAAATCCATTCATTTCTCCATTCATGCATCCCACAAACATTTATTGAAGCCTCTATTCCATGCCAGGCATCTGCTGGGTGCCTGGCCAGGGGAGAGACACAGAGAGTAGGCAGTTCTGGGATGCTGATGTTAAGAGAAATAATATACAGCCCCTATCCTCCAAGAGCTCACAGGACTGTGGAAGATAAGAGTCATAAAGCAGATGTATGAGACTGCGCGTGTGAGTGGAAAGTTGGATAAGGGGCTTCCAGACAAAGGAAATTGTGTATATTTATGGAAGCTCTAGTGGACTGTGTTGGTGCTGCATCCAAATCCTCTGTTCCAGGCCATTCCATTCATCCCCCAGTTGCTGTGCTGACTGCTAAGGGCTCCATGTTACCTCTTCTTGGCCAGCTAGAGCCACTTGCCAAGGAGGTCACAGCACCCCCCTGCCCAGAATGTAGCCTGTTGACTGACTGTTTAACACAGGACTACTTCGGGGTAAGAGTCCTCTCCCAGCTGGACCAATTATTTGATGCAATTCTTACTCCAGAGCTTTTGCTAAGATTGAGCTAGAACTAGACTACAGCAGAGGCCACATCCTTGCTTAGCTCCTGCCCTGACCTCTTCTTCTTAGTAGCTTTTTTCCTACTGAACGCACATCGTCAATAAATCATGTACCTCAACCTAGCTCAGTCTCTGCTTCCACCAAGGAGGTGTAGTGGCTAACTGCATAGCCTCTGGAGCCACATACCTGCTTTTGTCATCCCGGGTCTGACACTTGCTAGTTGTAGGATTCCAGGTAAGTTACTCATCCTTGACTAGAGTTACCAATAGGAACCCAATAGAAACGATGCGTACATTTACCAATAGGTACCTCAGGCGGATCCCCCAATCCCCATCTTTTCTTTGCTCCATCCCTTTTAAAGAGCACCATTGTGTCTATGAACGTGTGTGTACACACATGTACACACACACATATGCACACAAACCAGCCAAAATAAGAAACAACAGGATCAACCAAGTGGCTTGAGGACCCGCAACATGGATGCCCTCTCCCTAAAGACTTAAAAGTTAGACTCTGCAGTGCATCCTGAATCTGATCTAGGGTTTTGTAACTCTCTGAAATGTTCTTTCTGGCATTCGAACAATGTATTCTCGGATAGGCCTGTAAGACCCATCTGTGTCAGTTTAAATGCTTTTAGAAATAAGTCATAAAAACAGCCGGGCGTGGTGGCTCCTGCCTGTAATTCCAGCACTTTGGGAGGCTGAGGCGAGCAGATCATGAGCTCAGGAGATTGAGGCCATCCTGGCTAACACAGTGAAACCCCATCTCCACTAAAAAAAAAAAAAATACAAAAAATTAGCCAGGTATGGTGGTGGGCGCCTGTAGTCCCAGCTAAGCGGGAGGCTGAGACAGGAGAATGGCGTGAACCTGCAAGGCGTAGCTTGCAGTGAGCAGAGATGCACCACTGCACTCCAGGCTGGGCAACAGAGCGAGACTCCATCTCAAAAAAAAAAAAAACAACAAAACAATAATTAGTAAAAACAAACTAGCTTAGCTTAAGCAATAGGATAACACATTTTTTGGTATCACACATATTGTTCAGAACTAGGGCAGATTCCAGGGCTAGTTGATTCAGTGGTCAATGATGTCAGCAACGCCTTGGACTTTTCTTCCATTTTTCTACTCTGTTATCACCAGTGTTGGCATGCATTACCCATATGACGTGACAATGAGGAGAACTGAACTTCTGTGTTCCCACTTGCAAGCTCCAGTCCTTTCATCTTTATGACCTATCCTAGGTCATGTGTCCACCCTGAACCAGTAACAATTCGCAAGAAAATGCCATGCACTGCTCAGATTAAACAAATCAAGACTTGCCCCTAGAGCTGGGGATGGACAGGAGGCAATACAGCAGCTTGACCAAGGAGCCAGAACACTGGCACTCAAATCATGCCTGTGACACTTACCAGTTTTATGGCTTTGTACATATCATTGATTTATCTGTTCCTTGGTTTCCTTATCTGTATAATAGATATAGCAAGATGCCAACTTTGCAGGGTTGTTCTCGGGATTAAATGAGTTAATAGATGCCGGGTACTCTGAACAGTACTTGTCCATGTGCACGGCATGCACAAATGTTAGGTGTCATGCTATTGTGTTGTGTCTGAACAAAAATGGGTGCTGACCCAGCAGTCCCATTACTGGGCATATACCCAAAGGGTTATAAATAATTCTACTATAAAGACACAAGCACACATATGTTTATTGCAGCATTATTTACAATAGCAAAGACTTGGAACCAACCCAAATGCCCATCAATTATAGCCTGGATAAAGAAAATGTGGCACATATGCACCATGAAATACTATGCAGCCATAAAAAAGAATGAGTTTATGTCCTTGGCAGAGACATGGATGAAGCTGGAAACCATCATCCTCAGCAAAATAACACAGGAACAGAAAACCAAACACCACATGTTCTCACTCATAAATAGGAGTTGAATAATGAGAACACATGGACACAGGGATGGGAATATCACACACTGGGGCCTATTGGGAGGTGGGGGGCAAGGGGAGGGACAGTATTAGGACAAATATCTAATGCATGTGGGGCTTAAAATCTAGACGATGGGTTGATAGGTGCAGCAAACCACCATGGCACATGTACACCTATGTAACAAACCTGAACGTTCAGCACATGTATCCCAGAATTTAAAGTAATATAATAATAATAATAAAAACCCTGGGTGCCAATAGGAAAGACAGGACAGCACGTGTTAGCTAGGTGACTGACAGTGTCTGCTGTGTTATCTCCTGTTCAGCTCAGCATTCTGAGTCACAACATCCTGACCATGTGGATAAGGTTTAAAAACCACTTTGTTTCTGAGATGGTTCTTGGTATTCAAATTACCTCCAAGCATTTGGAAATTGTAGCTTTTAGCCCTATTCTCAGTAACATTATCTCTCACCTGAGCTCCACCTGTAGCCCATCATTACGTTTCTCTTGAATTTGCGTGGGGGTGTCAGCTCCAGGAGACGCTACCTCATAACAGGGGGGCTGGGACCCACCCGTCTGCTTGTCTTTCAGGGCTGTGCCACCATGAAGAGGTTGTACTGGGCAGGCCCAGTTTGGTTTCAGAATCTATGAGAAGACAGACTAAGCTAATCATATGGTGCTATGGCAGTCCCTGAAGACAGAAACCCTTTCACTCTGGAGCTGTGGAGGCAGGAGTAAGCATCAGGCTGCCCCGGAAGAATGTTAGAGACAAGAAAAATCAGGACTGATTAATCATGGAGATAAAAGTATCAAGAGATGGTGGAAGTACCTCCTGGTGAGGCTGTTTGTAATGCCCAGTTTAGTTCACTGTCCACAGCAATCCTCAAGCTGGGGAACTGTGCATGGGGACACTGGAATGGGTTTCAGATGGTTGCTCAATTCCTTGCTAATATGCTTGTGTGTGTGTGCCTAGGTCTCTGGACTTTGCTAGTGGAAAGGGCTTCGGCTGCCAAGGGACTCTCAAATTTGGGATGTCCAAAAGAGGTTGAAATCTACCGTACTGGAGTGATCTCCCCACATCAGGAAATTAACCACCTCACTTCTGTGTTCATTTGTAGATGACTTCTCACCTTCAACAGGGGTATGTTAGCAAGCTACATCTCTCAGGTCCAATAATCCACCAACCGGAAGTCAAGGAAGCTCATCACTAGGCACCAACATGGGTCTATGTTTTGCATAAGGGTGAATATTAGTGAGACACCTGATTTATGTAGCCACCCAGGGTCCCATTTCTCAGGATTCCACCCACAAGTCACATGGAATAGCTACTCAGGTGTGGTGTGGCTATCAGAGTCCCTTACCAGTTCACACCCAGATAAATACAGAGATGGATAGTGCATATTTAGGAAATTTATTCGTAATTTGGCACAGTAATTTTATATCTACCTAATCTAATAGTTTTTAAATGGGGCTTGTATTTTGCATGTCTTGTATGTTTCATTTCTTCTAATTATTTTGGTTGTGTTTTATAAAATTATTATTAGTCTAAAATGCATATGAAATTTTTTTTTAAAAAACTATTTTTTATATAGTTTGGGAAGGATTAACCCAAGGAATCTTCACCAGTTTCCTGCAGTGAGCTAAGGGCACAACACAGCTCTGTTCTGGGACCTCTGGTCCCACTCCCACATCTTTTGGGCCGCTGTATGGGGGACAGGGGATAGATGAGCCTGAAGCAGAAACGCAAATGTGAACTTTCTTTAAAGGCTCCTGTTAACTTGAAAAGTCATAGAACTTGCACCACATTCCAAAATATATCAACTTTTGTTTTAATATAAAACCGAGTCTTTTTTTCCTTTATTTTCCTTCAAGACGTCAAACAAAATTTTAACTCCAAGGAGATGCACAAAGAGTTGTTAGTTGGTTAGCTAGTTAGTTAATTAGTTAATTAGTTTCATCCTGTGGTTTTATATGCCTTCAGAAACACCACCATACCCTCCTGGGGAATGGCAGTATTTGTTATTTTGTGAAGCAGCTTTGCAGAAGATATACAACAGTATTTAGGTCTCAATTTCAGATTTAAAAGTAACTTATATTCTTATAATATAGCAGTCAGTGTAGCCTTAATACATAAGAGCAAACCTTTATATAGCATTTATTATGTGCTAGGGAATATTATAGGCACCTCTTCTACATCAGCTCGTATAATCCTGAAAGCGCTCCTTTGAGACAGGTGCTATTAATATTATTGCCATTTTATAGGTGCAATACTGATGCACAGGGATGCTAACTCTCTTGCTCAAGGTCGCACAGCTAGTAAGTAGGTGGTAGAGCTCAGATTTCCACTCACGCAGCCTGGGTCCGGTTCTTGCTTAGACACTGGACTGAACTTCTCGTAGCCTTCCAAAAGGGGCAATCTCACAGGCTGTGTCAACTCAGTAAACTACTAGCTGCATGAAGATAATGCATTTGACCGAGGACCAAAGACTTATAGGGAAGTTACAGTTACACAGAGTTCTACGCTAGACTCTGCTTGGATTAAATTGATTGGGTTCTGAAAAAGCAAAATAACTTTTAATGCACATTTTGCTCCATATTCTGCTACCTAAATGATAGTCTCAAGTTGAGTTGAAGAGGAGAACAATTGTGTTTGGGGCTGTCCGGTTCAAGGCACCCTGGCTAGAGCAATTTACTGGAAAATTTGGGGCAATTTTATAGCCACAAGTAGACCCCATCATTTCCACTAAATTTTTTGGCCATGCCTTATTTAGTCATGGGTGTGAAGATTCAGCCTTTGTGAATTATCCACACGCCAACCCACATCAGCATTTGATTTGGTGTTTCAAGCATCCCATTTGGTTTTGAAATTAGTAGAAGAGGATGCTATTTAGGGGACATGTGAAAAAATATATAATCTGTCTTGTGTTTATGAAAAAAAAATTGCTGTGTTCTGATTAACTACACGTGACCCTGAGATATATCCCTGTGAAAATGACCTCCATTTGCAGCCTGATTTTGATTTGCAGGCTGTGGAATTAAATTCCACCTCATTGGTTTTATGTTTCTCTCACCGTTTGTCCATTCATTCACCAAATATTTATTGAGCACCAACTATAGCCAGACCCGATGCTAGGTGCTTGTGTGGAAGAAGAGGAGGAGACTATTCAGTGATGAATAAGACATGGTCTCTGCCCTTGCGAAGTTCATGGTTTTGTTAGAAAGACAGATATATACCCGTATAATGATAGTGCAGGGTATGTTCAAATCCCAGGCCAACACCTATCACAGATCCCAAATTAATTCATTGTTTAATAGCTTGGTTACTTTGGTCAAGGAAAATACCAGTTTACACTACCTGCAAATTAGTAACTGAACTAGTATTTATTATTTACCTACCTTGAAAATGAAAATAGTCGACTGAATGCCTATAAGGCTGACTTCACGATGTTGAGTACAAGTGGTGACATTTGTCTACTTGATATACTCATGTCAGAAACAAAGCCAACAAGCAAAGACCAGGAAGTATTTCTCTAATGCACCTGCATTTATCCCAGTCTTTGTTACTCCATTTGCTCCCGTCTTCACAAAACACTTCTATATCTATAACAGAATTGCCTTGTGGCAACAATCTCTGAAGATAGGCATTCTCATCTAGGGAGAAGTTAAGTGACTTGCCTAAGGCCACCCAGCTAATTCATGGTAGAAGAGAGCCCTTGAAGCAAGTCTTCTTATTCCAAGAACTGTGTCTTTTCTGGTTCATCGTGCCACCCTAATTATTTACTGAACACCTATTGTACATTCAGTATTAGACTCACTGTATGATTCGACGGCGTAATTTTAATATCCAGATGCTGGGTCTTCTAGGTCTCCTGGCCAGTTGTTTTATGAATGTAGGTTAACAGGCTATTCTATACCCAAGACAGGAATGGCCTTTTACATTACCACTCGTGAAGAACTCATTAAGGAAAAGTAGAAGCTTCCAGAGCTAGCTCTCTGTAGTGCACTCAGAGAGGTACCTTGCCTTCCCAGCCTCACAACTTTAAGTTTTCCTTCATTTATAAACCCATATGATTCTCTGGAGCCATTGGGGATGGTCAAACAAGACAAAACAAAACAAAGAAACACAAACTATTTTTTTCCCTTTTTTTGTTATTGGTTTTGACTTAAATGGAAAACTCAACTCAGCTTTTTGAAAGTCAAAGTGGCCTTTGTGTTTGGAAATTAACTTTTACATCCCCCAGGGGGTAGTTATTACTCACTGGATACTTTTAAATTTAAATGTGATCAATTAATTGATGGTAAAAATTATATTATGTAAATGCAAATTCAGAATTGAGTTTCGTGTTCACAGTGGCCTGAAAACATTTTAAAAGGTCAGGTTAGGCCTGAGGAAATTGGAAGTTTTAGTTCCTGCTATTAAAAAAGAGAAAAAAAGAACAAAAGAAAGAAAAAATGAGTTGGCAACAAACTCAGTAATGAAGACCGGAATTTTTTTTTCTTTTCTTTTTGACAATGTTATCACAATCTAACTGTACCATAGAAACTTCAATGTAAAGGAATCAGGCGAGCTTTTGATCAATGCTTTTTGTTAGAAATCCTACTCTACAAGCCTTATCAAGCTTATAAAGCTCATAAACACTGGAACCCCAAACAACTTGAGAAGATAGAAAGACAAAACCTGAGAGAGAAAAAAAAATAGAAAAGAATGGTGATAAAATGAAATTGAAGAGGGTTACACAAAAGACTCTGGAGCCATTAATTTTTATAGCTGATGCAGCTACTAATATTTTATGAGGTTTGGAAATATCAGTATAAAAAGCACCCTAATATCTGCCCTTGTTCTCTTTCTGTTGTTGTTTTTTTACAAAGATAAGCCCATCGTATTTGTACCTTGAACACGGCCTTATTACAGTTAAATATGGTAGAAAATGTTGTCTCATTGGAATCTTTCCAAGTCAATGTTTTCGTTTTTGTTTAGTTTGATTTTCCACCTTTTCCAACACAAATTCATCGACTCCTTTATGTGCCATTTCTTTCCCTTGTTGTTTTTTTTCTTTCTTTCTTTTAACTTATCAGATCTTATTTCCAGTTAAATCGCAGCAGGGTTTATGTTTACTAGCTTTCCTGGACTGTACTGCGTGCGATGTCTCCATTTAAATGTAGATTTTGACTTTACACTGGAGAGGTAGGTGAGAGCCTTTCCGCTGCAGAATTAACATCAAGGTGAAAATATAAGCTCAAAATAGATGCTATGTTTCCATAAGTAAAGCTGTGTAAGTCCAGTTTGAGTATTCTGAGCCATTTATTCGCAAGTTCCCTTGTACCCCATAGGGGAAAACATTGTACAAATCAGATCTATGTATTTATTGAGGCCATAACACAAAACTTTAGGTTAAGGAAATCAAATGCTGAAGGGTAGCCCAGAAACTGTTACAGACACTGATCCAGTTGCAGTGGGGGGCTCTACCCATGACCTTTGGAATTAATGATAAATAGGACTAAGAAGGTGTATTTAATAACTGTTCACATCTCTTTTCCTTCTTCAGGAGCCATTTGCACTATGAAGAGATGGAATACAAAATATATACTCTAAATAAAGCTTAACCAAGTGCAGAACATAAAGCATTTTGAATCATAGCCCCACCCACACACATTTTTTTAGATTAACTGCAGTAGATATCTATGAAATTCATTTTAAAGACAAAAAAGAAATAATATTTTACCCTCTGTCTTTTGCCCCATTTTATTGATAGGCCATTAAAGAGGGCAGCGAGAGAAGTTAAGTATCCATATTTATATCTAGATAACTTATACTGTGTTTCTTCTCAGCTATTCATGGACCAACCCTACTCCCAAATGACATGGATGTGGAGCTTTTAGCACCATCGAAATAACTCAATGAAAAAAGTACATAACTTTGTTGTGAGCTCTTCCAAAAACCTGCACCATTGAGCCTGTAAGTAAGTTGTCCTTATAGAAGCGTATCTTTTGATTGGGTTTATCAAAAACGTAGTGCCATGCTTCTCTTAATGACCCAAGTAGAACCCTAATCATTCCTTCGGGAAATGTTTCCTAGCCTAAATTATAATGTATATTAGTCCACTACCATGGTACAAACTATGTGGTCTAAAAACACTGTGTGTCCTCTGGACTCCAGTTTGCCCATTTGTAAGCTGAGAATAATAATAGTACTTATACCATGAGCTATTTGAAGAATAATGTCATTAAATGCAGGAAAAGGGTTGAGAACAGTGTCCGGTACAGATAAACACTCAATAAATATTGGAAATCCACTTACAAATACGCATGGATATGTGTAGATACAGAATTCTTTCTTGAAGACTTCAGGAGCCAGAGAGAAAGGAGTGGCTCTAACTAAAGTCAAGTATCATTTACTCTCCTGGAAATCTCGATTACAGGGGTGGAAAAGAACTTCCACAAACTGTAGGCTAGTGATAACTAAATGGTAGGAAAGTAAGGTCAAAAGCAGCAGACCCTGGCAGAAACAGGGGGGCAAGAAGTCAAAAAGATTTTAAAGAGGGCCCCCAGGTGCCTGACTTAGCTCACAGGCTCCGGGATCTTCGGATAAATTCAGGGCTAAGAAAATGAAGATGCCCTTACCACTTTGACAGCCTGACCAAGAATGCCATCCTTTGCACCTCATCTGGTCTAAATACTCAGTTTACAAATGCATGTTGCTCAGCATCATGTGTTATAGATGCTTTATGTTTATTCAAGAACTCAGTTTCCAGACATGCGGTTTACCGCAATAGACAGCTGTTGATACTCTGATCCCATGAGCATTATAATATGTTTTAAAATTGCGACACTTTTAAAACCAGATGTTCTACATAAATTGTACGCAGGGGGAGAAAAGAGAAAAAAAAGAAAGGGGAGAAGGAAAAGAGGACAGGCAGATCTGTCAGTTGGCAAAACACCGGAGCTCCTCAGGCTCACAGAAAATTCACAGCAAAACTAAAGTGAACCCCATAAAGCTTGTTCTGGGTTTTCTTCTGCAGAAAAGATTAAAGGAAAATTGTTTTAGCAGAAAGAAAGCTCCATCCTCAGGAAAGGCAAGCAAGGGAGCTGCAGCTAAGGGAAGGTAAGCCCCTGGCTCTGCTGTGGTTCTGAGGTTCTTGTCTCCAGCTGTTTTCCAGGATACGTGGGGTATGCACTGAGGACTTCACTGGTTCCTAATCTCTTCTGAGGTCCTACGGGTATTGCTCAATTTTACAGCCTCCACTTCTCTCCCAAGAGTTCCTTTTGGTTGGAACAGAGGCTTGTAGGGTGCAACATTGTAGGTATATGTTGTGAGGTCATGTGGTTAAGAGGAGGGCCTCTTCCTTAGACTACCTGGGCTCAAATCCTGACTCCACCACTTAGTGAGCTCCCATGGCTATATTACTTCATGTAAGTCTCGGTTGTCTCCCTCTGTAAAATGGGACCATGATGTCACCTCCCTAATAAGGAAGCAGAAGCATTTAGCATAGTGCTTGATGAACTGTAAACATCATATATTCTAGATACTTTATATGTAAGACCTTTTTACCAATTCAAACTACTTAAGACTGAGTTGCTTTGAGAGGAATTTGGCATCTTTACTTCTCCCCTGGAATAATTGTATAATTTTGGGTGTCCTCAAGTCAGTCCTGGAAATCACGAGTCCACCCAATTGGAAATGACCAGTTTGGAGAGAAGCGGAGTGGTAGCATGCAGTCACGGAAAGGCGGCACCATCAGACAGATCTGGGTCCTCACCCAGGATCTGCACTTTGCAAGCTGTGTGGCCTTTTCCAACAGCCTCAGCTGGCCAGGCCCTGACTTTCCACCTGAATTCTTAGGAATACATTTCAATCTCAGAGAAGGTGTGAAATTAAGAGGAGCCAATTCAGGTTAAGTATCTCGCATACAGTAGACACTCAATCACTTTTATTTCTCTTATTCCATCATCTACATGGCTCCTGAAAATACTTTTTTGTATATTTATCAAATAGCTTCTGCCCAAGTACAGAATTTATCAAATTATATTTCTATTTGCTCATATACCTCCTCTGCAAAAATAAATAAATAAAATAAAGAAATGCAAACAAAAATAATAACAAAGCAACAGCATCCGAACAAAATAAAACAAAAGTTTTAATAGATATACACTGACCCCTGCTTACCTCTCCAGTCCAATCTCATGATTCCACCCCATCCCGACCTCCTACCCAGCCACCCTGAAACCAGCCACCTCCTTCAAAACATCTCCATCTCCGTCACCCTTGGCCTTTGCATTTCCTGTCAGATTTTGGCCTCATACCCTTTTCACTGTTCATATCTCAGCTTAGACTTCAGTTCTAGAAAGCTTTCTCCAATATTTGCCTCATTTCTTTGTGTTCCCTTGATACTTAATTCTTACCCTCATCCCAGCTAAGAGTTCACTGTATTATCTTTTCCCGTTTAATTGTCTCTGTTATTGTACTATAAAACATTTGAACGAGGGGGTGGTGTCCTGTTCACCATGTTACCTTAGCATCCAGCACAATTCTGTTCCTAGAGAATTGAATAAATACTTGGTGAAGGTATAAATACATAAGCGCATGGATTGAAGTTTGGATGGATGGGTGGGTGGGTTAGTGGGTAAATTAATGACAAGGGAGGGGATGAATGGATAGATGGATAACTGGATAGATGAGTGGATAGATGGATGGATGAATGGATTGATGGATGAATGGGTGGGTGGATAGATGAATGGATGAGCAGATGGATGAATGGATGGACAGATGGGTAGATGGATGGATGAATGGATGGATTGATGGATGGTTGGATGAATGGGAGGATAGACGGATGGATGAGCAGATGGATGAATGGATGCACAGATGGGTAAATGGATGGATGAATGGATGCATTGATGGATGGATGAGAGGATGAATGAATGGATAGATAGATGGGTAGATGTATGGATGAATGGATGGGTCAATAGATGAGTAGATGGATGAATGCATGCATGGATGGATGGATGGGTGGATGGATGGATAAATGAGTGAGTGGATGGATGAGTGGAAGGATAGATGGGTGGGTGGATGGATGAATGGATGGATAGATAGATGACTAGATGAATGCATGGATGGTAGATGGATGGATAGTAGGTGAATGAATGGATGGGTGCATGCATGTATGGGTAGATCGATGAATGGATGGGTAGATGGGTATGTGGATGCATGAATTAATCACTTAGGACTGGAAAAGTGGGCATCTGACGTCAGCTACATTTTCTGTAGTTTAGTTGTAATGTCTGCCAGCTGAATGTGGCCAGGAAATCAACAGTGATAGTGAATTGACTATGTGATCAAATCTTTTCTTTGTGGTAACGACTTTCTCTTTCTGGTAAGTTCTGAAGTCCTCCGTGTGGCCTACTTCGCTGTCACAGGTCAGCTCTGCTTACTTCTCCAGCCTCATTTCTCATACACCGTTATCTCTGCTCCTCTTCATCTGCGAGGTCTCCCTGACTACCATCTCTTAGCCATATCCTTCTTCCACTTTTGCCCGCCTGACTCCTACTCATCCGTTTGGGCTGAGCTTCAGTGTAGCTCCTTTAAGTGAGTTTTTCTTGACCTGTAACCACCTTCTCCCTAAGTCTCCAAACTGGATTAAGCCTCTCTGTTATTTGTGCTTACACCTGCTTCTCATGTTCAACATAGCAGTTACCACAATTCTAATTATGTGGGAATTGGTGTGATTATTGGTTTAACGTCTGCCTCCTCAACTGCAGTGTGAACTCGAAGGACCAAGTTGATAGTATTCACTGCTGTAACACCAGGGCATTTCTGGGGTCTGGCAGAGTATGTACTTAAGAAAAAACTCTTATTGAAATTAATATTTCAGGGGTTGGGGCCTATGAATCCCATAATATTATTTCTAAAATGCAAAATTGGTAGTAAATGGCATGAATTAATATAAACGTACTAGATGTTTATAGCACATGTCCCCCTGGTCAGTCAAATGTGATTGATTAGTCACAGGGATGGCTAATACATGAAATATGAAATCTCAGATTTCATATTAGTTTTTCAAAGAAGTCCACAATAGATCTCCACCTTGGAAAAATGAAGTGAACATCCACCACTCTGGCATCTGAGAAAAGCCCATATTATGAAAGATTCTTGAAAACTATCAGGGCCCCTGTCCACAGTCCCAGACAATGTTGAGGTTTGTGTTTTCCATCTGTGCCAGATTCCCCTTGACAAAAGCGTCCTTCACAGCTGTATGTTACACACGAAGAATATTCTGGGTCACTTGAAGTCATCAATGATTCATGCCTGTGGAATCAATCTGTCACCAAGAAAGACATACATGGAATAGAGCAATGTGCATAACAGATTCCCTCCTTCAGGGAAGAAACTCTCCAAAAAGTTTGGGGGAGAAACAGACCTTAGTGGTCCACAGGACAGATGTGAACATCAGCCTCAGCCATCACCAGGGTGTCAGGAGGAGGGAGAGGAGAGGGAGAAGAAAGCAGCTAGCTCCTTTTAGAATGAGAGTATGCAACCCCAGGGTGACTAGATACCAGGTCACACACGTCACATAAAAGAGTCAATGACAGTAAGGCAGCAGGTGTTGTTTACTATGTGCCAGACACTGTGCTCAGGGCTTGCCAGGCATTCTTTATCCACTATTTACTTAAATTCTTACAATCACCCAGTGAAGGCTGGTACTGTTATTATCCCCCTTTGTGTAGGATCAAACAGAGCCTTCCTTCTTTTAATAATGGGGAAATGGAAGCAGGATGAGATTAAAGGTCTTGCCAAAGGCTACATAGTTACTAAGTAAGTAGCAAGACATAATTTGAATCCATTTCTGTGCAATACTAAAGCCTATGATCTTTCTTCTGTCTGCTATTATGTCTTGACCCATGCCAAAGTTTCTGAAACTCACAGAAAAAGGAAAGCTTTCTGGCAACTCAGCAAAGGCAATTATGAACAAACCCAGACTGTACTTCGTAAATGTGTATGTCTGGCTGGAGTGGACCGTGAGTGTTGGGGAGGAAAGTCAAGCAGGTTAGAAAAGGCTGACTTGGTCAAGGAGCATCTCAATACTTACAGATGGGTTCTAGCTTCCATCCTCTTTGCAACAGGGAGCCCGTGACCCATTCTGAGTGGCACTATGGTTTGTTAAGAATTCTTTTTTGGATTGAATTGTTACAAGAGGATAGAGGCAGTGAAGCCAGCCAGAAGGCTGTGCAATGACTTATTTGAGTAGCCCCAGACTCATCTGGTTATCCTTTCACAGAGAAACCCCTGTAATTGCCCAAGACTTTGGCATCAACTCCTCACCAAGACATTCAAGGCCATCTACCTCTTTAGCATTTTCTAATGGCTGTCCCGCCACTTGACACTTTAGACCACTGATCTTCTAGGTGTTCCGATTGGCTACACCTCTGCCCAACTCAAGAGCTTCATACATGCTGCTTCCTTTCCTCTAAAATACTCTGAAGGTTCTTTAGAGGACCAACTCTTATCTGTCTTATGAATCCTTCCAGCTGCAACATCAGGTGCGCTTCCTCTTTGGGCATCTTTCTGACCCTTCCCTTCTGGATGGCCCTCTTCTATGTATACCTACAATACCTTGACTTTTGCTTTCACCTCATTTATCGTCACTGTATTAGTTAATGAAATAAGTGTGCAGTTACCTCATTAACCTCCCTCCACCCCATCATTCTCCCTCTCTCTGTATTTCTTGAAGCTTTATGATGTCAAGGATGATGTCTCTCTTTTTCATTTTCATGTCATCTCTCCTTAGCACAATATTTGTTCAAAGAATGGATGAATGTGGTGAGGATTCAGAATGCTCAAGCTGAAATGGTGGAGTGGGAAGAAGTGGGTTTTGATTGGGATGAAGTGGGTTTTCATCAAGATGAGTGAAAAAGGAAGGGTATTGAGCCTGGGCTCAGAGCACAGCCTTTTGTTCCACAGCCAGCTATGGCCAGCTGCCAATCTCAGCAGCAGGAAGTAGACACTCAGTGATTAGCAATTAATTCACCTATTAAACTAGCCAACTATATGAAAGGCAGAAAGAAACACCCATAGCATGTGGCTAGCAGAAGACACCTCCAATCACCACTGCAGCCATGTCTACGTGCTTTTCGGTCTCTTGTCTATCTTGACTGACGTAGCAAGCCATGTCAATAGCTCCATCTTTTTGAGGTAGGAACAGGAATATATATGTTAATAATAATATGAAACAGCCAAATTGTCTCTTCCCAAATATCCAAATGAAGAGACACTTTCAAATCCAATAAAGGAGAACAACATTTCTTGAGTTGTTGCATGATAAAAAAAAAAAATCTCTCTGTTACCTTTGTATTTGAATGATAAAATGACTGGCTGTAAATTTTAGGTGTAACATTTTCTTTCCCTGAGGGTATTTTACACATTGTCCCACTGTCTTCTAGTATTGAATTATCACTGACATAAAGTCTGAAACCAGTCTAATTCTTGTCTCCTTATAGGTGACTTAACTGGCTTGTCATGAGATTCTCACTTTTTCTTTGCAACTTGAGAACTATGCCAAGATGTCTTAGTATTGGTTAATTTCTACCAATTTTTCCTGGAGCACATTATGCTCTCTCTTAAATTATATCTTTGAATTTTTTTCTATTTCACTTATGTTGTTGAATCCTTGCCTTAGACATACAATTGTGTTATATTTAATCTTTTTTGTCTTCCAGAGTCATTAATTAATTTCTAATCTCTTTTAATTATTTCAAACCGTAAATTCATAAGTATTATATTTTAGGAAAACATTCTTGATATATGTCATTAAATATGTCTTTTCTTCTAAATTTTTCTTATTTCTTTAGTGTAGTTTATAAATATCAGCTCTACATATTCTTAACATACATCAGTTACGTCAAATATGCTTGTATTACTTTATTCCATTGCTATCATTTTATCTTGAATCCCTTTTAATTTTTGCCTTTTACTATTATTTTTATCTTATTTATTTATTTATTTTGAGACAGACTCTTATTCTGTTGCTCAGGCTGGAGTGCAGTGGTGAGATATAGGCCTGGCTAATTTTTTCTATAATATATTTAGTAGAGAAGGGGTTTCACCATGTTGGCAAGGCTGGTCTCGAACTCCTTGCCTCAAGTGATCTGCTCGCCTCAGCCTCCCAACGTGCTGGGATTGCAGGCGTAAACCACCATGCCCAGCCTATTATTAAATTTTAATCACTTGTCTCAAGTCAGTCTTTCTGTTCTTAATAATTTGTCAGCAATTCTTCCTTTAGTGGCTTACAAATCGGTTTCCAAAGGTATTGACTTCTATAAAGGCCTTTTATTTTTCTCAGCCTTCCTGAGTTTGGCCATCCCATTTCTCATCCGTTTCTACTATTTTATCATTTATGTCTCAAGCCCTTATAGGTCTGTTTTGAGGTCATTCTCTGCTTAATCTCTTGGAAGAGTTGACTAGTGTGTATAGTTACTAATGCCTGGTTCCCTTGAGACAACCTTCTCACTGGATCACACTGCTTGAGAACGTCCTACCACAAGATGCAGGTGTCTTGATTTCCCACTCAGGGAATGGGGAGTTGGCAGGATTTGGATAGAAATACTATGCTCAATGACACAATCAGGACTGTCATTAGCCGAGATATGTACTAGAGCCTTCCTGAATGGGTACACCTAGACCAGCAGCATCAACACCACCTGAGAGTTGTTAGAAATGCAGATTCCCAGGTTCCACCCCGCCAGTCCCACAATATCCAAGTCTGCATTTTAACAAGATCGCCAGGTGATTTAGGTGCACATTAAGGTCTGTGAAGCCCTGTCATAGGACACTACCACAGCAAAGATATTGCTTTAGAGATTATTCACTCCTTTCCTAATGTCCTTAAAAAATGGTTTTTACCTACACTCTGTGAAGAATGTCTTAGAAAGACTGCTCTCAGCTGAGAGAGAAGGCTCGTGACTGTATTTGAAGTTCCAGAGTTTGTTGGTATTTTTCAAAGTGTGAAAAGTTGTCAGCTGAGATTTACTGCCTATTTGAAGGGGAGAATGGCTGCCTGAGTGAACATGCTGATCAATAATTCAAATTAAGAAATCCCATTTTTAACACTCACACCACACCAAACTGATGGCTGGGCCCATGTTGTAATTATTACAAACTTCAGCTATTAGAGATTCCACTCTGATTCCTGTAGCCAAGAAAAGAGAAAGATGAGAAAAGCCACTCTGCTTCTCTTAAGACATTGTGCTACTTTAAGACATGACCAATGGTTGGTATTATCCCTGCAGAAATCTTTCACTGTGGGCTGTATCATATTTTTAAAAAGTATGTACTGGGTCTTCTTTAGTGAAGATGGAGGCACTGGGTTGAGAGTAGAATATGAAGCTCACAAACACAAGAGACTGCTTCCTGAAGATCCAAATATATCTAACATCCTAAATGTGGTTTTGAGGTGCTCAAATCTCTTGGGCTGTGATTTGTTTTCTGAAAGGACAGTTCAAGAGAACATGGTTTTGCAGGGCACCATGAGAAATGTGAGTTACACAAAAGAAAGCGCTTCCTCACAGCATAAGACAGAAATCAATGAGAGGTTTGTCTATGAGTGCCTCAGCTTCAGGAATGTCTTTACACACCTAATGGATGGCCAGGTGCATCAGAAGGATATTCTCACTGGAGGCTGAAGGATACAGTTGACGACCTTCAGAGGTATTTACCAATTTTTCTGAATTGTAGCTATGTGACAAAGCCAAAATATTTTCTAAATTTTTTGAGAAAACATAAACCTGTGGTTCAATGCTTGTAACACAAAATTCAGAATGTTGATTCCACTGACTTCAGTACCCTTTTCAGAGGAAGTGGAGAAATTGTCCATGAAAGTAGAGTGTCCTTTTGGTATCTTAGAGTTCACTGCTTCCCAACCTTCAATCCAATTTCTCTTTCTTGATTCACACTAGATCCTCATACTAGATTAGGGTCCAAGTAGTGCCCATATTCTTAAAAGTGAGATGATGTAAAAGTGGGAACATTATATAATTGAGGACCTAGTATGTTTCAATCCAATTACAATGAAATTAGACCATCCTCTAGGATGGTCCTCTGATCAATTAAAAATAAATGGGATTGAAGGTTGGGAAGCATACTAGAGCCTCAATTATACAATGTTCCCATTTTTATATCACCTCACTTTTAAAAATGTGGGCACTGCTTGGATGAAAACCTTTAATTCTCTTAAGGGACTTGGAGGCAGATACTGTTATTATCCTGTTTTATGGATAAGATAAATGAGGCTCAGAGAAACTAAGTCACTTCCTCAAGATAACTTGCCTCAACTTCTAAATGTCAGAACTTGAACCCAAGCAATTTAACTCCAGATTCAGAGCTTTCAGTCACTACATGAAGCTGCCCCTCAGCTAACAGTATTGAGTGCCAGGTGCTGTACTATGTTTTTACATTGATAAGAATAGAATATACAGGTGCTGAGAAGGTCTGGAGTGGAGCTGGAGGAAAAGTCTTGAGAGTAGCCCTTGAAGAAAGTTAGGAGCCCAGATAGGCATAAAAGGTAGAAAGCACCATTATCCAATATCCTGTCATAGTAGTAGTTAGACGTATTTAGATACTACACATATGCTGGCCGTATTCATGTTCTGTATATCATGAGGAATGCTTTCGTCTGCAAGTAACAGAACACTTGATTCCAGAGGTACACACACATGAAGATTTAGTGTTTCCTTGTTGCATGAAGTCCAGTGGTAGGTAGTATCAAGCATTAGTCTAATATAATGGTTCTCAACCAGGGATAACCACCTCATCCCTATGGGACATTTGGCAATGCCTGCATGCATTTTTGGTTATCACAACTGGGGGATACATGTTTTGGTTGTTGCTAAATGCTACTGGCATCTAGTGGGTAAATTTCAAGGATGCTGCTAAACATTCCACAAGGAACAGGACAGCTCTCCAGAACAAGAATCATCGGCCCAAATCTCAATAGTGCTGAGGCTGACAAATCTGGATCCAGTAGTAAATATCATTAAGGCCCATCCCTCTGCATTTCTCTTGGCCTTTGCCTCATGGCCTCAGATGGGCTGCTGAATCACATCCTTATTCCAGACCAGAAGATAGCGGATGGGAGAAAAGGTACCTATCATGTCTTTGTCTTTTCCATTTTTCAGAAAAAAAACTGCCATCTCAGAACCCTGAGAAGACTCCACTTCTAAATGATGGCCAAAACTGTGCCCCGTACCCCCCCCCCCATAGAGAATTTGGGATGGACAATGTCCTGCATAGGATCTTGCTGTCCCAAACAAACTCAAGGTCTCTTAGCAAGGAAGAAGACTCCTGAGCATCCCACAGTTAGTGTGTGCCATATCAGGCCAATGTGTTAACTGCTATTCTTCATGAATGCAGATGATTCTTTTTCCAATCAGCCCTGGAGAAGCCATACAAAGTGCAGTGACCACACCCACTTTAATGGTGTTAAAGCAGGCTCCTAAGTCTGCCAGCACCTCTTTACCCACATCCCCCCAAAGAAAATGTTTTTAAAGTGTCTTTTCCCATTGATAAATCATCTGAGCAGAGACAGATTGAATTATTTATCTGGACTCTGAAAATCAGGATGGTTTATTCTCAATGCGGCTGCAGTCCAATTTTAGAAAATGTATTTGTGGAGCAATAAATAACAATATTACTCCCAGCCTCCTTTTATTGCTGTTTAAGTCATTCATTCAACAAATATGTAATGGGCTCTGATCATTAGCACTAGGCTTGAGTACATATCATAGATATGGTAAAACTTCTAGAGTATAAGCTTTTTGAAAGCAGGGATTGTATTATCCTAATATCCATCATAATATCCCCAGAGCCTAGCACACCAAATGGCTTATGGTCAGATTGAAATATATTTATTAAATGAACGCATGCATGCAGCATTATCTTCAAGAGGATTATATTCTAGTTAAGTTGGTGGTGGTTACAGAAAGTGTATATTATAATAATGTACTTCGTTTTTTTTTTGTTGTTTTTAAGACAGACTCTTGCTCTGTCACCAGGCTGGAGTGCAGTGGTGTGATCTCGGCTCACTGCAACCTCTGCCTCCTGGGTTCAAGCGATTCTCCTGCCTCAGTCTCCCAAGTAGCTGAGACTACAGGTGTGTACCACCACACCCAGCTAATTTATGTGTTTTTAGTAGAGATGGGGTTTCACCATGTTGGCCAGGATGGTCTCCATCTCCTGACCTCATGATCCGCCCACCTTGGCCTCCCAAAGCGTTGGGTTTACCGGCGTGAGTCACCACACCCGGCCATATTGCATTAATATTTTAAGAACATATGGATAATTTCATTTAAAAAGATAAACAATTCATTATAAGATTTTCACATTTCCTCCAAGTTCTACCAACTTGTGAGCCTATGATTTCGGTTCAATATTTCTGACTTGAACGAATATCAAGATATGCTTTCTTTTGGAGGTTTCACCACATACCAGAGACAGAGGAGAAAAGAAATGGTCGATATTCAGACTGCCCTCAGAGTATTTTACAGAGGCTACCTCTCTGGGTAAATCAGAGGAGCTTCTTGCTGCCAGCAAATGTGCTTCCATTTCTTCTACTTCCTGCCCTCCCACGTCACCCTTTTCAGCCTCCACATTCTGGCGTGGCATTATCCAGGAAGCTGTAACCTTCTTACTGACAGCTGAAGGTGGGACACAGCCTGGATTTCTCACACAAAGCTTCCCCCTGGGGATGCTTTTATGACGTCCTTTGTTGGGGCAGCTTCTGTGGAGGAGGGAACCATAATTCTCTCCAGATTAAGAAGCAACATGCAGGTGTGAGGAAGGCTCCATTGCCAGGGATGAATTCACCAAGTGAATGACTCATGACTCAGATCCAGCCTGGTCACTTCACAAAGTTCTTTGTGGACCATGTGGCCTAGAGAAGAACTGCTGTCACTCCCCACCCCTGTATATGCTTCTGTCAGCACACTGATGAGACTGTGGCGCTGGGGTTTATCAGGTCCATCTCTTGCTGTTATTTGTGAGCTCTTTTGTTCATGTGTTCATCCCACCCATATTTATTGAGCACCTACAACGCGTTTGCTGTGCACTACATGGAATGAGACAAACACAGGAGTCCCTGTCCTGATGAGTGTTATATGCAGGAAGGGAAGGCAGTGAATGAAATACTAGATTGTACTAAAGGGCAATTGGAAACACAGGTGCACACTTGGATGATATTGTTCTCTGGCGACACTTAACAATAGGTCTGGCTTATGGACCAACTCAGGGTAGGCTCCACGAGAAACGTGTGAGCCAAGGACAGCGAAATCATGACAAAGGCTGTCTTATTATCTGTCTTGTGTCTCTAGAGCCTAGTAGGATACCTGGAACAAAAAAAAACATGTGTGTTAACAGGACTAAATAAATGACTCTCCCACCGAGGTGTCTTCTGGATCCTGCTCCAGAAGGTGGAGCTGAGACCTTCACCGTTCCCTCTTCTGTATCTAGAGGCCTCCTCACCCACCTTGTCTTGCACAGCATTCCCCACCCTCTGCAGCGATGATACTTTGCAATCACAAAGTGAATCATGTCACCCCTGCACAAATCTCCCTGTGCTTCCCCATGGCAGGTAGGGAAAGCCACCTCTTTTGAGCTCTCTCTTTCCATAACATAGGTCTTCTTCTGGATTCCTGAATTCGTCACACATTCTTTCTATTGCAACTTTGAACATGCTGTTCTCTTTGCCCTATGCCCTTTCCATTTTTCTTCACCCAGCGAACACCCTTGCATTCTTTCAGAGCCCAAACATAGAAATCCTTTTGGTTATGCTTTACCCAACTCATCTCATCATAGGTAGGCTCCCTGAGGATTGCATCATGACTGTTCATGAACCTTGCATTTCCACTAGTCTGTGGGAGCCTTCTTCAAGAATGCAGGCATTATTTTAAGAACCTTTGTTTCCCCAGCACTCTGTTTAAAAGGCCAGAGGGACTCAATGAATATTTCTAAAATAAATTGGGCATTTTTCACTGCCTTCCAGAAATATTCACTATAAGACACAAAATAGTAAGCTTTTTGTTTTCTAAAAGTGGTAGTTACCATTACAAGCAAATTTTATTGTTATTTATGAAATGTAGAAAATGCTTTTTAGGAGCAGCATTTGGCTTTTGTTTATACTTTATATGCTGTACTTCAAAATGAATATTCAGCGTGGCAGTGCCCATGCCAAGGCTTCTTGCCTAGAGAAGATCTTCCAGGTGTCTTTGAGGATCACCAAGGCAAACAAACACATTTCAAGAGCACCTTATAGACAGTTACCCTTCGTCTCCCAAGAAAGTTCTTGCCAAAGGCTTTATTCTCCAACATTCTGCTTGAAAACTGAAGTAGGAGCAATTGGATTGCCCTTCTGAGTGACTTTCTCAAGAAGATAAGTCCATAGAAGTAAGCAAGCCCCAACCTCACTACTGAACTAGTTTGAGACAGCCCTAGAGAAAAGATCCCCAGAGAATGCATCAATTAATTTGGATATTTTCTTTATTGGTTATCAAGAAATGATATGCTATGTATATGTACTGTACTGTGTATCACTGTGATCATTTTGCAAGGCCAATTTATCATTGCCATTTGCACCTTCAGTGGAAGGATGCTGTCGCTGCTGAGCCCAAAGTTCTAATGAACTTAAACTTTACAATAGCTACAGGAAATTAAGCAATGTGATTTCAGAATACGCTATCCCATTCATCAAGTTAATGCCAGGGTTCCATGGACAGGATGTTCAGGGATTGATACATCTTTTGAAGCATGTAGTGACTCAACAAAAATAACTTTGATAATTTATATAGTTGACCATGTATGACACATATTTGCCTGAAGTTTCCAGCAAGGTAGCAAAGAAGTTGTTTTTGTTTCTGATTTTAAACCCACTCCACTTCATCAGAGAGTTATTTGCAAACAGAACTGTTGCCTGTTTCAAGTGGCAATTCACAATGTTTTCAAAATGTTTTCCAATGAAATTGGAAGAAAGAATTATTATTTGATGCTGAGATCACTTTTTTTCCTTAGGTTTAGACAAGAGCCGTAAGAAAACTTAAGAAGATTGGTGAATTGGGATTAGGAGAATGAGAGACTTTCTCTCACTAGTATTGTTGTGTCGTAGTCATTTTTAATGCCCCAGATCTCAGGACCATCATCCATAAAATGAAAAGATCAGATTGAAAGGTCTTAGAGTCTCACTTCCACTCTATCTGATTATATTTCAAATGAGGGTAGTGACAAGATAAAAAGTTACAAGTTGAATAACATAACTTCCATCCACACCATGCTTTCATCCCTTGTGAGAAAGGGTGGATAAAAGTCGAGCCTAGTTAACTCAACCTAGGACTCTCTCACCACTATAAGAGAGTGAGAAATGTCTATCCAGATCTTTTGTCCATTTTTTCTGATTGGATAATTACATTTTTTTTCTATAGAGTTGTTTGAGCTCCTTATATATTCTGGTTATTAATTCCTTGACAGATGAGCAGTTTACAATTTTTTTTTCCTATTCTGTGTGCTATCTCTTAATTTTGTTGGTTGTTTGCTTTGAGGGGATGGATACCCCATTCTCCATGATGTGATTGTTTCACATTGCATGCCTGTATCAAAACATCTCATGTACCCCGTAAATATATATACCTACTATGTACCTATACACATTTTAAAAAATTAAAACAAAAAGAGCTTGTAAAAAATGAGGGAGAGGTGCAGAAGATGAATAGGGAAAAGAGCTATCTGTAGTTTGAAAGCACTAGGCTGGGGCTAGAAGGCTTGAATTTGAGTTTTGATGTCCCCTTAACTCTTTTTATCAGCTTTGGTTGCTTCGTCCATCAAAAAGGCATCTATCACCTCCATCCTCCTTGTCTTGGGATGGGGGAGGTTCTATGAGCATTAAATGATGTAACAGACCCGAGAGAGCTAAACCAAAAATGATAATCAATTGTACACATGTTAAGCATTATCACATTTATTAAGCTACAAGCTCCACTGACTGTTTATGCCAGAGTTTACCATGGTGGGTTTTTTTTGGTAGATATTTGCTGAATGAAATAATAAACATATTTATTCCAAAATCCGATCACTATTGGGTGAAGAAGACTATTGGTTGTGATTGGGGGATGAGTTCTCCTGAGGATGGTAAGAAGAAAAAAACTGGACGTAAGAGTCAACCCACATGCAGCGGTGGCAGCCCTGGTGATTTGGGGAGTATAGTCCTTCAATCCCCCAGAACGGTGATTCTTCCCAAGCTACCCCCAATAAACATGCTAGCTATGTAAAACCAGTGTGCCTGTTATGCAAGCACTGCTTCTTGGCTTTTCTAGTGCTTCTACAATAGTTGCTGTATGAGCCCTGAGTTGCTCCTGCAAAATTCTGAAGCTGCCAGTCCCCAAAGGGTAGTAGTCCCTTTCCTATTACTCAGTGATGGATCAAGGAGCCTGCCATGAAATCTTCCTGGTATTCTTTCAAGAAAGTAGAGATGGGGGTATATAGTGGAGGCCCCCTAGGATCTGAACTGAAGAAGCTCTGTGATAAGAGACGGAAGGGTGAGGAACTCCTCATTTACCTATAAGGTTCAAGTCACAACTCTAGGGGCATTCCCTTGACTTAAACAGTACTTCCACCTTACGCTGGGTGGCCTGTAGCATTCTTTCTGTGGCTATCGTCCTAGATAGAGGGGAGGAATTATTTTGAGTGTAAGGAAGGAGGTGGCATCACTCAGACACCACCAGACCAGAAGTCCTATTTCATAAAAGGCTTGGGCGTTCCCTGTGGGAGCTCCCTCTGGACTGTGATCCTGTGTGAGGAGAGACCCCACTTCCTCATCATGGTAAAGACCCAAGAGCAAAGCCAAAGAAGAGGAAATGACTGTGGGTCATATTCAGGGTGGAGTACAAACAAACAAGCTGCCCTTACCCAAAATGCTACACATTCCAAAGACAAACATTCTGTTGTACCTTTTTAGAACCTTAGTTTAAAACTGCACATGTTTTGCTGTTGAAGGACTAATTACTTGGTGACCAGAAGGCATTTCTGTGCCTATTTCTTTAAGACTTGATCCAATCCAGGATAAGAAATGAAATAATATTTATCACCATCATGTTCACATGAGAATACCTACTTTGAGTGCTTGGTGCAAGTCAGGCCATTATAGCTACTTTACTGGCATTGTCAATGAGCCTTGCAACAATCCTGAAAAGTAGATATCATTATCATTTTACAGATGAGAAAACTGAGGCTCATTTTGAAACACGGTTTCTCAGCCTTAGCATGACTAATATTCTGGGCTGGTTAACTCTTCGTGTTGGAGGCTGTGTTCATTGTAGGATGTTTAGCAGCATTCCTGGCCTCCATCCAAGACTCTGGGAATGAGTTTCTACTTTTGCTGTTGATGTAAACACCAACCATTTTGTATAAAAATTACACTTTAATAAAGCTGTTAAACAAAAAAGCAAACAAACAAACAAAAAAGTCACTAACCAGGTAGCACTGTTGATCTTTGACAAAGAGGGTTGAATCTAAATTGTGTTGAAAAAATGTAGCAATCAGCATTAGATAATTAACCCAGTGACCGGTTTTTTGGTAAATTTTGAGCCAAATTTCGCCTTATTATGTTAGCCTCTTGCTGAGATTCATATACTAAAACCCTTAAAGAGGATCTCAAATACCAGAGTGATCATTTTCATCAAATTCCAAGAATTTGTCCAGTCTGATTCCGCTGGTGATAATGTTAACAATATATCTTTTAAGAGTTCCAGGCATGAATTATTTGCAACAGAAGTTTGATGGCAATAGCACACATTATACATTAGTTCTTAAAGCTGAATAATGGAAGGCTTGTGCAGTATGGGTCGATAGAATTTGGATTTCTTCAAATCATTTTCACTTTGCTCTCCCACTAAGCAGGCAGTCCTTCTGTGAGGTCAGTCCACTGCTGTGACAGCAGGTTAGTGCCCTCACCTTCTGCAATGCAAAAGAAACAGTGATACACCCTTATTTCAAGACCATGCCTTCTGTGTCCCAGGCACCACCCCCAGAGCTCTAGAGAACGGTTAGTAATTAATTGATGAGAGTTGGTTTTCCAGACACGTTAGAACATGTGCTCCTATTGCTGCTTGGGTAGGAAGAGTTGAAGTGGAAAAGAGGATGTCAGATAACACTCTCTTTGCCTAAAGAAAAGGAAAGGAAAAATATATCAGGGTAATAAGGCTGAGAGGGTGATAGTCACTTCTGGAGTTCCCCTAAATGATCGTGACTTTCCCGCCCTTTACTTTTTACATATTTTCCCCCGTTCTCTGTCCACCTCTGCATCATCTTACTCTCCATCTACAGTAATAGACTTTTCCCTTGGGCTTCCAACAGGTTTTTTTCACTGCTAAATGCCTAGCACCTGGAATAGTACCCAATATATAGTAAGTGCTGAGTAAATACTTTGGAATGACCGGAATGTATGTATCTTGGATAGGATGAAAGGTCTGTAAGTTGATACAACATGTCTCCACTTCTGCATGAGAAGAATGATGGCATCCACTTCCCCAAAGAAGGATTGGAGTGGTTCAATTGGATATTGCTGTCTCCTCTGGACCAGGCCCTATACCAGGCTTCCCATATGCCACTGGCTTGTCCATAGCTTGGGCACCTTGGGATGAGGGGCTCTGCCCTTGTGTAATTATCTGTGTTCTAATGGGTGAGATGCAGGCCATCAAATGGCACCTTCTGCTTAAGGACCAACCTTGGGGCATTGTTATATGGACATGACAAGCATTCAGATATTCTGGACACTTGTTTAGAACTCCAACAAATTTGTATAAATCATCTATTTTGTGCTCAGCACTGTGCTAGTTGCTACATATGTCATGAGAATAGAAAGAGTGATTTAAAAATGTTTCCTAGCCCGGGTGCAGCGGCTCACGCCTGTAATCCCAGCACTTTGGGAGGCCAAGGCGGGCGGATCATGAGGTCAAGAGATCAAGACCATCCTGGCCAACATGGTGAAACCCTGTCTCTATTAAAAATACAAAAATTAGCTGGGTGTGGTGGCACGCAATTGTAGTCCCAGCTACTCAGGAGGCTGAGGCAGGAGAATCGCTTGAACCCAGGACGCAGAGTTTGCAGTGAGCCAAAGTCACGCCACTGCACTCCAGCCTGGGAGACAGAGAAAGAGTCCTTAAAAAAAATAATATATAAATAACAAAAAATGTCTCCTAGGCAAGAAGGGAGGATTAGAAAGGAACACAAGGAAACTTCTGGGAGTGACAGATATGTTCATGGTCTTAATTTTGGTCATGGTTCCATGGGTGTATTCAAAGGTCCACACTTATAAAAATTGTACCCTTTAAATGTATTCAGTTTATTGTACCTCAGTTACATATTAATACAGCTGTTAAAAAATGAAGTAAAAAAGATGCCTTCCAAAATGGTGAGACCATTGTTTGTCGGGATGAATGCTTTCATACCTCTCCCATTCCATAGTGTTTGTTTGAATGTTGGATGAGAACAACCTTGGTCTGAATTATAACTGCTGGGAAGAATGGGCCAAGTCAAACAGATGCTCTTTAATAAGGAACAATGTGAAACTTCTTTTATTTGTGACTGAAAAGCTAATGACACAAGTATGGGATTGGAGAAAAATGTCTAAATACAGAAAAATACATAGAAGAGATGGAGAATGTTTAATTGACAGTAAATTCAACAGTGCACTCTGATTGCCAGAAAAGAAAAAACAGTCAGATTTTAGGATGCATAATCTAGAAGAAGGAAGGAGATCATTTTGTTCTCTTGGGTTCTGTATTCAGCTGGAAGATTGTTTGTTTCTGGTGGATCATGAATTAACAGGGACATTTGGGTAGGATTTTTAGAGGAGACGAACCAGGATGGTAAAAATAAAAAGATTTAAGATAATGTAGCATGAGGAACAGTGGAAGGAGCTAAGAATATCTAAACCAGAGAGTGCCTTCAAGGACCTGCCAACTCCTGGGGGAAGAATACTTGGCAGGTGCCAGGCACCCTGTGAACCATACATCACATGGCTTAAATCATTAACCCTGCAAAACAAGCCTGTGAGGGAAAGTGGGCTCAGTGTAGTCATCAAATATTTCTGGCTCTTCACCTTCTGGGTCATGTTAGGATTGCAGTTTAAAATCAGGCATAGTTGAGTAACTTTCGTTGGCCAGGAAATGTCAGTGCACAATTTCTGGGTGGAGTGCCTATCAATACAGAGTCACCATCAGTGAGCTGGCCGAGTGAAGGTAACAGAGGTCAGGGCCTCACCCTAGCCAAACTAATGTAAGACTTTTCTTCTTGGTCACTTTGCAAGCCAGGGATCCCCTGACAGTAATGCTCGACCTGGTCCTCACTCAGCCAAAGCTGGCATGCCCCCACTTGCCTGTATTATAACTTGTACCCACCTTCAGTGGTTCCTGTGCTCTTGTACCATGCCCAAGAAGAATGAGGATATGCTGGACATTGAAGGGTGAGGAAGGCAGAGAAGAATTTTATTGAACAATGAAAACAGCTTTTGGTGGAGAGGGGACATGTTGGTGGTGGCCCCCCTACCTGAAGATGGGAAAGTTCCTCTGTGTGGCTAGATCCAGAGCCTTTCATGGACTCAGAATGGGGGGTGCATGCTGATCGGTTTGTGAATATGTAGAAAAGGTTAAAGCAAAGACCACTCAAAGTTGGGCATGACAGTATAGAAAACCAATTAGAAAAGGTTAGGTGTATATGAAATAGGTGAATGGCAGGGACCAATGAGAGAAAAGCACACTAAACAGGAAGACAAGTTCTCAATCCAGTCGGAGGATTTAATGTGGAGCTTGGCTTTCAGGCTCTAAACTGTCTTCGGCTTGGAGATGGAGTTTCACGGGGAACCTGCCCCTACCTGCCTAGGCATTTGGCTGCCTCCTGTCGCTATCAAAACTACAAAGACGAGGTGTTATTTAAACTGGTCATTTAGAGCTACTAAGAGTTACGATTGTCTGTTACTGCAGCAGAGCAAAGCTCACCATGATTGACAACTGATGGTAACTTATATCTTCATATTTTGAGCGAGTAAGTAACTTGCCTAAAACCTGACATTTGTTATCCCGCATTTGTTAACCCTGGGTGGGATCGATTGCTTGGCGGGTGACACTATAATGACCACAACCAAGTAGGATTTAACAAGGGTATTCTATTACTTGCAAAAAGTGAAGAGGACACTGCGAATAGTTCCCAAAGCGGCACCTCCCCCAGCAAAGGTGAAAACAGGGCTTTTATTCAGCAGGTTAAATGAGTCATTGTATGTAGAGGTAGGGTGAAGGCAGCACGCATGCTGTCGTAGATCATGTTTCCACACACATTGCATGAATAGAACATGGTGAATAAGCTCCTCTCTGAGCAGGGTTTTTAGTGTGGCAGTGAGGAGCGTTGGCCAAAATTCATCTCCACTTCTGGATTCAACCAGTTTTTGTTTTTTCCAAGGCTAAGCTTCTTCTTGGAACTTTCTAAAACAACAACAACTCAGGGAGTAACAGTTACAAGTAGATACTTTTACACAGCGCGTTCCCAAAAACCCAGAGACCCTGGGTTACACTTTCAGTCTGTGATGAGTATTCCCATGAATCAAGCTACAAACTGCATGCACTTCATCAAAGGCTTCATTTAATCAGTAGTCCTGAGGGCAGAAGAAGGAGCAAAACCAGAAGTTAGAAGAGGTCCAGTTTTTGGTTCAATGTTAAGAAATCACTTTTTAACAACTGCAGTTATCTGAAATGGAAAAGGTTGCTTGGAAGGTTTGTATCTTTCCATCTCTGGATGTGCTGAAGGAGAAGCTTTCTAGCTTCTTTTCTGGGACGTGGTGGTGAAAATCGAAGCATTGATAAGGTGTTTTTGCTGAAAGTCTTGTTAGTTTCCTTCCAGCCCTGATGTCCTAGGAGACTGTACCTCTTAAGTGGGAGAGATTCCCAGAGGGCATTTCATAAACAGGTGCTGACTGCAATAAAACATTCTCAACTAGAGTGGAGAGAAGGGCAGTTCTTTGCAGGGTCTAAGTAACTGGTATATTGAATCAATGCTGATTTCCTATGCACCCTACATAAGTTCAGCAGAACCCAGCTGAGTCCTCAAATATTAATTGCCGGGAATGACTTGTCTGCTCTAAGGAGTGATGCATAGCTTGGGGTCCATCTTTATTGAGTAATATCACCCACAAGCAAAATACATTTATTTCTTTTTTTTTCCCTGACCCCCCCCCCCCACCCCGCCCCCGCCACACACACACTGCCCCTCCTCATGCCAGGTTAATAAACACCAGCGTTTTGTTGTGAGAGGCAATTCTCTCTGCATTTTAGATTCCGTCTTCTTTTGGTGGGATACTAAGACCCATGCTCCCCCAGACTAAAACTCTCAGCTACATAAATCATAGAGCAAGGGGATTTTTATGCAAAATAAAGCACTTTCCATGCTTTTTCCCTTGCAATGATTACATGATTTTCCCCTGAAACCGAACAATGTATGTTTCATAAATAGATCTCTCTCTCTGTAAGAAAACCTTGGAAATAGATTATTTGTTTGGTTTGCATTTTGTTTCCCAGTGTTGCAGCAACCAGAAGCCGGTTCTCATAGACACACCACAAAGAGGAGGAATGAGAAGGGCTGGAAGTCATCAAAGAGCCTGTCCTTTACTTAGGGACTTGCTGTCTCTGAATGGCATATTGCTTATTATAACTTGGATCGTGAGACAGTCAGAGAGTGTTGAAAGGGTCCATTTCTAATCCTGGGGTGGGGGATAGTTCCCAAATTATTGGTGAGAAAAAAAGGAAGAAATGTATATTTTAACATCTGAAATTTCATAGCATTTCTAAGCAGATGTTTATTTTTAATAACCTCATGTCATTTTTGAGAAAAACTAAGAAAGTTTAACATTTGAGAGGTATTACCAATCTCTGCAGAAGGTACCAAACTATAGGAAGTCTGTGGCATTCTTCACATAGTAGCACGTGTTAAATACACAGACTGTTGAACAAAAAAGACAATGCGGATCCCTTTGAAAGAAATGATACATTTAATATCAGGGTTGCAGGTGGTGTTCGATTGCAAAATACTTCTAAAAGGTATTTATCCTCCATTTCAGAGAACACCTGTGGTGCAGAAGTCCCCTCCCACTGTCAGAGATGGAGATGTAGATTACATCTCCTGGCTCTCTGACTTAGCATGGCCAATGGCCATGTGAGAACCAGGGCTCCATGCCCAACTTCTCTAAAGAGACTAAGTCATTTGATTCCCAGGACAAAGGAACTCCAACAGAGTGGACACAGCCCAGCAGGGAAATCCTGACATCACACAAAACAGAGACAACCTCATTCTTCTGGAATGTGAGGGGTTTAAAGGATAGCAGAGTTGAAAGTTTTTAAGTATCACTGAGAATATGGTAAATAATCTGATCGCCTGCAGTATGTGAAACATTTGATGTGAATTACAGGTGGGTTCATTTCAAAAGATCCTCTATGTCTCAGGAAGGTAATATAGCCTCGTGGCTTCAGATCCTGGAGCTCTGAATGTCAGACCTCTTGAACTCAAATTGCACTTCTCCTACATGGTACCTACACGATAACTTTGCAACAAAATGCTTCTTTGAACCTCATTTAACTCATCTGTAAAATGGAATAAGAATGGATGATTGTCAGAATGTACACAATTCTTACCTGATAGTATACACATTATGGTCATACCGTCAGCACTCTCATCAGTGCAAAAATAGATTTCCTAAATATTTTGACTGGCCATCCTTTGCTATGGCAGTGACACTAAGTTGAGAACCCATACACATTCAAAATTACAAAAATTCTAGACATGGGAATAAAAAGCATCCAGGGTTTAAAGCCTGAGTTCTCGAGTTCTCTACATGCAAGTGCATTAGCATGTGTTTTGACACGGATGTTAATTTTAATGCCTGTGATTGAGAGAAAGGGCAAAAAGCAGGGCAACTAATGTACATGGCAAGTCCAATCCCTGTTACACAGCATGGTTAGCATGGTTTTGCCTTTCCATCAACTCATGGCCAAGTCCCTGTGCTTGACAAGCCTTTGAGAATGCAGGGAGGGATTCCAGGACCAAGACATGCTGTCTGGTTGTTCTTGATAAAGGGTCTCTTGGAATGGGGCGTAACTCTAGTATCTGCTATCCGAACCCTCCTCATTCCTTGCGCCATACTTCAGCTACCTCTGGCCATAGCATTCAGGCTACTTTCCCTTCACTTCCTGGACTACACGTTTTAGGAGCAGCTGAAGGGTCTAGGTATCTTTCTCATCCCCAGTGTACAGAACACCAGCAATGTATGTGTGTGAGTGTCAATCGTTAGGTGCGTAATGAATGAATGAATAATGAAACATTGCCTTTCCCTATTGTTGAACACAGCAAGCCATATTACATGTATTGATTTAATTACGTCTTTTTAGGCAGCACGTATATGCTGGTTTTACTTGGTGTCATATCCTCAGGCTGAACACAGTGCCTGGCCCATGGTGGATGCTTAATAAAGGTTGTGTTGTGAATGAATGAAGGAGTGAATAAATGAGTAAACCATGGACTGGCTCAATAAATATTTAATGTTCTAGGCTAAATAAAACATTTGCCATCTGATGACTTGGGTAACTTGGGGTATATGCATCAGCTTATTAAGTATATGGCAAAGAATCAGTCATTAAGCTTGTCTTGTTATAAAATAGGATTTGAGGGCTGCAATAAATGCAGAATTATGCATGCATGAAATAAAACTTTGGTTGTAGGCTTTCTGTAGCAATTCCATTCATCTGAGTTCCATCCTGACTTGAGGGTCTTTTTTTCAAAGCCTGTTTTGATTGTTTGTTTGTTTGTTTGTTTTGTTTTTTCCATTCCCCATCTCAGAGGCAGACCTGTAAATGCCAGTATATGTTTTTCGTAAACGCTTTCTCACAAAAAGATAAAAATAAAGCATGATCGGGTGTGTGATTATTTTCATAGACACAATTCAGGCTTTATTTTATAAAGCAGAGAATGTACAAGGGGCTTATCAAACACAAATGTCAGGACATCCCTAAGTGTTGGCAAGGATGTGAGAAGAACTGTCATACATTACTGCTAAGAATATAAAATGGTAAAACTACCTTAGAAATCTGTTTGTAGTTTCTATTAAAATGAACCTTACAACTGCACTATAACCCAGCAATTCTATTCATAGGAATATATACCCATATATTTGCATATGTCCAAAAATACATATATAAGAATGTTTATAAATGACTTACTTATCTTAGCCAAAACATAAATAGATGCGGTGTTTCCAGAAAATGGAATACCATATAGCAATTAAAAAGAACAAACTACTGGTACAACAGTACTGTCCATGTATAACTTAGTCTGGAAGAATCCCACACATATTTTGTTCAGTTAAAGAAAGCAGACAAAAACTGTATGTGTGTATGTGTGTGTGTGTATGTGTGTGTGTGTATAAATGTACACATATATACTTATATATGTATATATATGTGTACATACATAAGTATATATATATACACTCTTTGTTATATGTATATATGTATATATATATACACACATATATAAAACATTCAAAGACAGGCAAAACAAATCAATGATGATGGACATTTAAATAGTGGTAGAGGGAAGAGTACAGTGGTGGAGGGAGGCACATGGTAGCCCTCTAGAGAGTGGAAATGTTTTCTATCTTGCTCTCAGGGATGTGTACATGGGTAACCTGTCTCATTAAGTTGTATACTTAAGATTAGCATACTTTACGTACACCTGGCTATAGGTATATTACTCCTCATTTAAAAAACTAAATAAATAATGTCACCTGGACCAGTGGCTCACACCTGTAACCCCAGCACTTTGGGAGGCTGACGCAGGTGAACTGCTTGAGGTCAGGAGTTCAGGATCAGCCTGGCCAACATGACAAAACCCCATCTCTACTAAAAATATGAAAATTAGCTGGATATGATGGTGCGTGCCTATGATCCCAGCTACTCCGAAGGCTGGGGCAGGAGAATCCCTTGAACTTGGGAGGTAGAGGTTGCAGTGAACCGAGATCACACCACTGCACTCCAGCCTGGGTGACAGAGTGAGACCCTGCCTCAAGAAACAAATTAAATAAATAAATAAATAAATAATGGCAACAAACGTCAGGATACTTTTGCTATACCAAAATTGCTTAATTCCTTCTTTCATAACTGCAATCTTCTTCTTGGTCCAATTTAAATAACAACAAATGGCCTTGGTTAGATTTCCTAGGTGTTACGTTAACAAAATCAGTTCATCTACTCTGATGTTGGTAACATGGACCTGTTACTGCAGAGGACAGTTGTCATATGCTGCATCTAGCTTTGACCCAGTAGCCATGTGACTTGGGTTGGTATTTTGGCTTTGCTGTATATTATCTATGGGACCTTGGGCATGTCACCTTACCCTATTCAAGTCTCAGTCCATTTATCTAGGAAGTGGGAGTAATATCAGTATAACCTCATAGGGATGAAATGAGAAAATATATGTGAAAGTGGTTAGCTCAGTGCTTGGCACAGAACAAAATTTACCTAGCCATGGTATCGAGAGAATTAATACCAGTATTTGTGCTAGCATAAAGAGCAATTGCAAAGGTAGTAACAGAATTACTAGAGTCACATTGACCTGTGCAGACCATAGCCTAGACAGCTGTGTTTTGAGCTACAAGGATCACAGTGAGGGGAATATGAGTGCTGGTAGTTCTAATGATATTGCGGCCATATCATGTCAAAATGGAAACCTCCATTCTGGCTGGGAAAAAAGGGAATGTGGCCTGTAAGATATTTGCTCCTGGATCTGGAACAGCCCATAATTAAGGTAGGGCATTTATCCATGTTCCTGGTGTCACCAGACCCCAAAATAAAGCCAGATGTGCCATGTTCCTGCCTGCACCCCCACCTGTGGTTCAGTGGGCAGATGGATCACATAATTCTCCATAATGATTCTCCCCCAGTGGCTGCCACAGGACAGTGTGTGATTACTGTGCAGAAAAGGAAACCAGGGGTTAAACCTTGGTGGAACCCATGTCTGGTTAGATCATTTATGTTGGTAATTACTTTCCGTCACCACAATGGAGTGTGTCTGGTTGTTCATTATGGGAAAAGTGATTTGCTGTGGTGTCCACATGGAGAAGGCTGTATGACTCATAGGTTGGGACCCAGATCAGGGAATGACAAGTCCTGGATAGGGCTGATTCAGCCTGAGATGTTGCCACGTTTCCTGACAAAGCTTTAACACTCAGAGGTAAGAAAGGCGTGCACTCAATTAGCACTTAGAAGATAGATGGATGATTCTCCCAGCAGGTCGTACCCTTAGCAACAGCAATGGAAGCTGCCTTTTGTGTAGTACTCACTATATGCTAAGCACTTATGTGCAGTGTGGCATGATGACCTCGCATGGTCATCTATTCTGTCTGTCTAGGCACAATTCATCCCCACTTTAAAGATGATGAAATGAAGGATTATAGGAATGAGGTCAAGCTTGTAGGTAACAGAGCCAGATGTCAAACTCTATCATGCAGGATTCTCAAGTAGGTGCTTCCCAAGAGGACCTGGCTGACTCTTTGAGAGTCTAAACTTCTGCTGGCTCTGACTAGGCTCTATACTGAGGCTCTCCTTAAGGATGATCAGATTGCTTTACTCAAAGGAACTTTGTCTGTATTGGGCCAGTTATCCTTGTCCTATATATCAGCTCTCAATCTCCAAACGAAACATTACATTTATTCATGCAGGGTTGTAAGTTGATGGTGGCTTCTGGATTTTTCCAAGAAGGCTGACCACACAAAGAAAAATCTTCAGGAAAACGCAGATTCAGAATAACTCAGCTTTTACAGGTGAAATCTCACACACATTTTTAGATTCCTAGAAGATCCTAAGATGGAAAGAAGAGATATGAAACCTTACGTTGGCTCCACCGAAACACAAGCTCACATCTCAACGCACTAAAGTACCACAATAGTTTGACACTAAGACAGTATCCAAAAGCTTTGATGACAGAGCCCAATAAATAAAAGTAGTTACAATTGGCTCTTATGCCTAGTATACAAGATGTGTTCAGTGAAGTGTAGTAATTGTTTGTCATTCTGTAAAAGATAGATAGGTATTAGTTTTTATCTTCTGCAAGTGAGCCAAGAGCCTTCTTAAAATAATTCAGCTTCCAGACAAGACTCTATCCCCCACGAGAGTCCCACACACCATTTTGCATGGAGGGTAGATTCCACCTTTGCCCATGGGCATCAAGTTCTCCTGGACCAAGTTGAAACCCACTTCTTCTACAGAATCATGGGAGCAATGTGTCTTCCAACCAGAGGATAGAATCAAGCTCTTCTTAATGATATGGAAGACTGGAGGAAAAAAACAAATGCACAAGCATTTGATTGAGAGGAACTTATGCCTAACTTGCAATGGAATTTATTTATTCCCATCCACTCTGGGGCTGCTAGGAGCCACTGTGGCTGGCTGGTGTAGGGATATTCTCCACCAAGCCATCTCCAGGGGCTGCAGACATGCACTCACAGAAACAAGTTGCATGCATACAGAGGGTGCTATGGTGGCCTGAGATTGTAGCAACTGTGCATTGAGAGACACTAGAAGTTGAAAAAATGGCAGGCAGGGGTGAGTTGCAGTCACATGTCCCAGATTCACATCTGGTTAGAATATTTTTAGCTCAACACATTTCTCGTCACTGAAACTGAGCATGAGCTGTCACATACATTTCAAGATAGGGCCAGACTTGACTCTGTTTCCTATTTTTCAGCAGCTAAAGGCCCATACTTCAGAACTCATTTGGGTGATTATAGGAATGATGAAGTCATGACAATTTCATCATCGGGAAGGCCTGCCATGTCTTGTAAGTGATTTGATGTTTACATAGATCGGGCTTGGAAAATAATAAACTCTCAGGAAAGATATGGACACATCTCCCTAAGTCACAGAGAAGAAAATGCTAATTGCAAGGAAGAAACCAAAGCAATGTGTCCCCAAAGTTGCTCTGTGGAAGCCCAAATGTAGCTACCTTTCATGAAAAGACAATGGATGCCTATCATAGCATCATTTTAGAGATCCTCAAACTATATCAGCAAACAAAAGGCTCTGAAGTCCAGCAGTTATAAAACCTTCATGGCAGGATTTCCAAGTCTTTGCTCATGAAAACGTTTTTTTGCCCAAGGAACACCTATTACCTGGAATGACTTCTAGGAAATGCTGGGCAACAAAATGGCTTGTGTTGTTGCAGACGTCCAGAAAAATATTTTCTCCTAATTTGCAAGTCCTTAGAGGTGCCTCCCAAACAAAAGTCCTGCTGAATAGATTCTATCTGGCAATAATTAGTTCACACTGATTTTCAGAGAAAGAACCAAGAGGCTGGAGTTAAATCACACTCAAAAATAAAAGAAATCCCACTTCCGGGTATATCCCAAAGGAATTGAAATCAGTATATCAAAGAGATAGCTGCACATTAACGTTCATTGCAGCATTATTCACATTAGCTAAGATATGGAATCAACCTAAGTGCCCATCAACAAATAAATGGATAAAAGAAATGTGGTCTATATAAACAAAGGAATACTATCAGCCTTTTAGAAATAGTAAATTCTGTAATTTACAATAACATGGATGAACTTGGAGGATATTATGCTAAGTGAAATAAGCTAGGTAAAGAAAGACAAATACTGCATAATCCCACTTGTATGTGGAATCTAAGAAAGTTGAGTTCAAAGAAGAAGAGAGTAGAATGTTGGTGACCAGAGACTGGGGAGGGGTGTGGGTGGGGAAAAGGCAGATATTGATCAATGGGTACAAAGTTTCAGTTAGACAAGAGGAATAAGCTTTAGTGATCTATTGCACAGAATGATGACTATAATTTTTAAAAATGCATTGTACATTTCAAAATTGCTAAAAGGATAGATTTTCAATGTTTTACCAAACAAAAAAATACACATGTGAAGTGCCAGACTTGGTAATGAGGCTCATTTTATTACAAGGTAGCCATATCAAACTATCATATCTTACCTTATACATATATACAATTAGTATTTGTAAATTAAAATAAATATAAAAAAAAATGAATGCTTAAAATATGAAAGAGAAGTTCTCAACTTTCTTGTGATTGCCATTCAAGTTCCTTTCTCGGAAAGGAAGTCAAAACTCCAGGTAGAAGGCCAGCTGCAACCTTCAGAAAGTTCTAAGCAGGGCCTTGGTCACTGACCGTGGTTCTAAAGTTGGAAGAATAAGTTTCTAAGTCCTTTTTCCTTTCTTAACTTCAGTGTAACTTCTAACAACTTCCTTAACCTCCTCAACCCTCCCCATCCTGATCTTTAAAATGAGAAAAATACAGTAATACCAGCAGCACCTACTTGTTTGATTCTCATGTGGATAAAAGGAGGCAACAGAAGGAGAACTGTGAGCCTGTTGTTAGCATCCATCCAATCCATGGTGGCTATTAGGACAATTGGCCATTTGTGTTACTCTCCAGTGTTCCCATAGCAAGCTGCACTGAAACCCTTTAAATGGTGAAACTTCATTATTTTTTTCCAGGGCAATGAAGAAGGTGGCAGCCAGACTGAAGGGAAGAGGGGCTGCAAGACTTGGAGTTGGTGATGGCAACCCTGGAGAGGAAAGGAACATGGCCAAGAGGTTGGGATTCATGCTAGATCAAGAAGGAAGAACCCAGAAGCAGCCCAGAGGCTTCACAGCTACATAAGAAAAAAAAGGGGGCCAGGCACGATGCCTCATGCCTGTAATCCAGCACTTTGGGAGCCTGAGGCGGGTGGATCACGAGGTCAGGAGTTCGAGAGCAGCCTGACCAACACAGTGAAACCCTGTCTCCACTGAGAATACAAAAATTAGCCAGGCATGGTGGCACACGCCTGTAATCCCAGCTACTCAGGAGGCTGAGGCAGGAGAATCCAGGAGGCGGAACTGCGGTGGGCAGAGATCACGCCACTGTACTCTATTCTGGGTGACAGAGTAAGACTCCATCTCAAAAAAAAAAAAAGGATGTGACTATTGCCAAAACCAACTTGTAAAACATCACCATGATATGTCACCAAGCTACCTACGAGATGCTGGGCATACCTTCGGTGGAAGAAAGAAACAGCTATACAACTTTGGGTTGCTTCATTTTTCTCTTGCATTTCTAGTTCAGGTTGGTTTTGGTGTTCTGTTGTTGTTGTTGTTTTGCATTCCAAAAAAAATAAAAAATAAAAAGAATTGCTATCATGTGAGCCTATGGGTTTTTCAAGAATATGTAGCCTGCTCATTGCTTATATTACATGGGGCCTGGGCATGCAAGCCCGAGTGAAAGGAGTACTCACCCCTGCTCAGAGTCCACGAGGGGTGCTCAGATGGGCACTTGGGAGGTGGGTCGGGGCTTCACTTGTGTGTGGGTTTTCCATGGTGCTGTAACAAATGATGAGAAACTGGGTGCCTTTAAACAAGAGATGGAACCGAAGTGTCGGGAGCTCGTGCTCCCACTGAAGCCTCCAGGCGAGAATCCACCCCGGCCTCCTCCAGCTTCTGGTGCTCCTGGCCTCCTTTAACTCCAGGCAGCATCACTCAAGAACACAATGAAAATAGTATTATGAGACCCATTTTACGAATAAGGAAATTAGAGCCCATATTGATTAAGCAATTTGTAAAAACGTGCATAGATGTTTAATGGTGAGAGTGGAATTTGAATTCATGCATGAGTGGCTTTAAAGTTCGTACCCTTAAGCACTAGTTCAGCTGTTCTCAAACTTAAATACGCATAATAATAGCTTAGGGGAACTGATTCAACATAGGTTTCCAGCCTCAGAGGATTTGGAATCACTGGTATGGAGTGGAGCCTGAGAATGTTCATTTTAGCAAGGAAGGTGATCTTGGCGTGATTCTTAAGAATTACACTCTGTACAGAAAGTTACACTGCATGCTAAGCTCACGCCCAAAGTAGGGCGACCAGCTGTCTTAGTTTGCACACAGAAAGTCTCTCATGCCAGGGAAACTGGGATAGCTGGTCACCCCGCAGGCCTCACTTGAACCTACACAAAACACTTTTAGCACAATGCCTGGCACATGGTGGACCCTTGAAAAATATTTGGGGAATGAATGAAGGAAGGAAGGAATATAGCTCCCAGTGGAAGCCTAGGGTTGACTGGCTTGGCTTCCCTGCAGCAAGAGATTTGAGGAAAACTTCAAAGGCTAACTCAGAGGGACAGCTTCGCCTGCTGCCCTGAGGAGCTGGTCACAGCCTTGGAAAAAGTGGTACCTCATCATGTTCCCATTTGTGCTGACGTGTGCAGGCGACGCTTGTCCTTAATGCAAAAAGAAAGGAGAAGAAGGCTGCAGTAAATCTCTTCTGTCATGATTACTCTTCCTGCCTTTTCACTGTCTAAACCCTCTAAACCCTCAACCCTCCCTTTTCCCTTCTGCAGAGAGACCTGTCTACTGAGCAGTGGGAGGTGAGGGAGGGACCCTGGCATCGGGAGAATGAATTCCGTTCACGCTCAGCCTCTGACCCATTGGTGCTTCTTCTTGGCAAATCAGTGAACCTGTTGGGACCTGAGAAATGGCACTGAAAAGCTATGGGGATTGAACTCCTTTCTTTTTTTTTTTTTTTTTTTTTTTTTTTTTTGAGACGGAGTCTCGCTCTGTCGCCCAGGCTGGAGTGCAGTGGCGGGATCTCGGCTCACTGCAAGCTCCGCCTCCCGGGTTCACCCCATTCTCCTGCCTCAGCCTCCCAAGTAGCTGGGACTACAGGCGCCCGCCACTACGCCCGGCTAATTTTTTGTATTTTTAGTAGAGACGGGGTTTCACCGTTTTAGCCAGGATGGTCTCGATCTCCTGAACTTGTGATCCACCCGCCTCGGCCTCCCAAAGTGCTGGGATTACAGGCGTGAGCCACCGCGCCCGGCCTGAACTCCTTTCTTATGTCACAAGGTTGGCCTGTGGTATGTGCGTGTGGACAGGACTATGCTAAACCAGCAAGGCTCAGATAATAAAATGCAGTTCTCTTAAACATCCATTCATTCATCATTCCCTTATGCAATGGGTGGCTTGAAGGCCGTGTTCAGAGCTAAGGCCAGCACAGGGCTTTTGGAATCTTACTAGTTCAGAACTTCTGTTCCTTGAGGAAGACTAGCATGTAACAGATAATCATATAGACCAGATACATAATTATAATCATTACATCATGACGTGTACTAGAAAAAAAAAAAGACAGATTCATCAGACCACCTAATATGGGGACCTGACCCAGTCTTGTGGCTTATGGAAGATTTCCCTGAGGAAATAACATTAAGATGAGGTCACAGGTTGAGTTGGAATTCGCCAGGTGAAGAAAGGGTGGAATGGCATTCTAAGACAAGGAAACAGCAGGAGCAAACACGTTGTTACAAAGGATAGCACAGTTTTTCAATCCATCCATTTTTTTATGTTTCCCCTCTTGCTCCCTCTCTCCCTCCTTGTCTTGTTCTCTCCTTCTCCTCCATGTCATTCTAACATCTTTCTCGTTTTACTTCTAACGTGGTCAATATACATTCATCTGCTTACTATTGGTGTTGTTAAACAGATATTATTGCTGGATCCCCAATTGGCACAAATGCTGTGATGGACTTTCCTTCCAAATTTCCATCTCTAAGCATGCCCCAGCATAAACACTGGCATTCAGTGGTGTGAAAGAAAATACAAGGCCACAAAAAAAACTCCTCATTCCATTGAGTTTTGCATTACATTGCAAATCACTCAAAAACACTATTTCTGGTACTGACCTTGAAACAGCTTCCGAGGTGTCTTGGGCTGCTGGTGGATCCTGAGGTCTTCAGGTGGGCAAGGCAGCCACAGTTGAGTTGGTTCAGCTTGCAGATTTGGTAAAGAGCTTGGAAGACATTTCCCCTGGAGTAGAAACAAGTGGCATCCTTCCAGGAGAAACAGAACTCTTTTCACGTCGTTCGCTCTGATTTGTGCTACATTAAAATAAACCTTCAGTGTCAGCTTCTGGTGCGAGCCTTAGGACTCTTCTAAATGCATCATCTTCACAAAGACATTTTCGGTGTTAATCAACAGAGCGCCATGGATTTGACGCTCTGGTATTGGAGTACAGGTTTTGCAGTTATTTATTTACTGAGAGGGAAACAGAACAGTGGTTCCATTTGCCACTCCTAAATTTATTGTCAGTCCTTCTGCGTGGGGTAAAATTGTTAGCCGTCTTCAACAGCTCTCAGAAATAAGCATTCCAAATATATTCGCCTACTGTACAAAGATGTGCTGATGCCACTCCTTGCAATTTTGCCAGAGAGGATGGGAAATAGTAGACGTAACTGGTAGGAAATCAATCTTGGGAAGAAAACAAAAACCTAGGACTTTTGCAAAGGCTATGAAATAGCAGGAATTGCAAAGGTGCTTCCTGGCACAGCCTACTTAAAAATGCCCGGGTTAATCACTACAGGCATAAAACAGAAGAGAAGGAGTGTTCCCATATTAACACAGTGGGAAAGGGCAATAGGATGAACTTTCTGTGTAAGATGGTCCCAACCAATGATCAACCAATGGGCCCACCAGCGCTTCCATCTGCATCCACTACCTGGCAACTCATACCCTTCTCTCTTCTCTGCCAAATGAAAGAAAAATGGTCTGATACCGGCCAGAAAATTAGAATTGTGTAAACTGAAGCAATCTGGAAGTCCCCAAACCTTTCTGCCCGAGGGAGAAACTTCCCAAAAACAAACAGGAAGTGGAACAGGGATTTGCAACTATTTTACCACCCAAGTCAAAGGTGTGCTGGAGTAGAATTGCCCCAGGTCACGGGAGCTGATTGGAAAGATCTCTTCCCAACTCAGCATTCAGTAACCTCTTATCGGCAGCGTGAAATCGGCCATGATTACCAATCAGGACTAAGCTAATTTATCAGCACACTTCTGCCTAACATCTACGGTTATCCACTTCCTACCCCTAGATTATATAACTATTTATTCATTCATTTAATTCATATATATTGAGCCCTTATTAGGTGCCAGCCCTCTGGAATAGGAAATCCAGTCCCCATTTTACACATGTAAAAGCTGCAATTCAGAGAAGTGAGTTGACTTGTCCAGAAACACTTAGTGCCAGCCCTCTCCCAGGCACTAGGAATACAGGATGAAAAAGACAGATTAGGTCGCTGCCTACGTGGATTTTAGATACCATCCCCTTTAAAATCTGCATTTATTATATAATTATTCATTTATTTTTCATTTTTAAGAAATGGCATGAAAGCATGTAAAACTGCCCAGTGGAACTTCCGATCAGTTGAAAGACGCAATGTGGTCACAATGAACTAAAGTCCTGTCACAAAAAGTAAAGGCATTTTATATGGCTTTGTGGGTGTTGAAGATGTCTAAGTGTGTGTCTGATTTTCGTTCATATTGCCAGTCACCAAAAAGAGTCATAGATAAGCCCTCGGGGTAGGACTCCGAGTTTCCATTTTATACATGTGAAATGGGAGCGGTTACACCTTTAAGAAGTGGGAAGTGCCAATATCACATCTTTAGGAAGTGGAATGGGAATAGTGATTGACACCAGAGACCCCCAAAATGAGGCTACATATTCCCAGGTAATTTGTAAATTAAAAAGTGCTTTAAATTGTCACCACCGATTGCCATAATTATTAGCGGCTGGCATTGTTATTACTACCACCTAAAAGCATAAGGTCTTCTAATACCAAACCTGATCCTGAGCTTAGCTTTCTAGAAGAAAGAACCAATGTTAAATTTTTAGGTGTTGCTGCCTCCATAGCAGCCCTCCATAGAATTTCCTGGAGTGGTAGGGAGGCGATGGGGGAGAAGGGGGGTTAGACAGCCAGGATTTTCTGAGGGCCAGTGCTCTGCAGTGTCTGAGATGATAAGCAGACGGAGATTCCATTAGCACCACTGATCCAGCATTGGGCTTTAGCCAACAGCAGACCCATCACGAGACCCCGGGCCAGAGATGAGCAACAGCTGCTAGAAACCGAGGCTTCTCTCCCCATCCACACAGTAAACCACTCTTCCTAGCGAAACAAAATGTTCTCATTTAAAATTATTTATTTATTTTTTAAAGAAAGCCATGCGAGGCATTAAAGTTGTGCTGAAGTTGGTTGTGTTCAAAAACTCCACAAATGATAACAAATGTTTTTATTTTATTTCATCTTATTTTCCAAACCATATGGATGTGCCAGCTCAATGCATCACCGCTTGTTTATGCCACAGCAGCTGTCGGCACCCTGATAATGCTATATAGCATCACTCAAGTGCAAATTGCCAAACCAATGGAAATCATCTCACAAATTGAAAAAAAAATACAAATGAAAATAAAACCCCACTTCAAACAAGATTCCAACTGTAAACTTCTGCAAGAAAGAGTGTTGGGTGGGGGCGGGTGGTGTGTAGAATCCTATAAGTAGTTTTAAAATTCAGTATTGTTTTAACCAGGATAAAGTGTGACTCGTCTGGTTAATCACAACTAGTATTTGACCTTTACAAAGGTACAATTTATGTTTCATGGCCAAGTGCAATTTCGTGTTTTCTTTTTTTAATTATAACACTATGATTCAGAAGTCAGCCGCAAGAACAGAGTTTGGAAACTTGATTCCCTATAGGTTTTAGGCACTTTTTATGTATTTATTTGTTTTGACCATGAAAAAGTAACCACTCATGACAGGGGTAAACAGCCAAAGACACACATCTCCGCCTGGTGTCCTAGAATCACCCGAAACCTTTATTAAAGTCAGTTCACATGTCCAGCCCCTGCGTCCTACATAGATGAGAATAAGTTAAGCAGAGGATTACACTACAAAGAAAAGTCCTCCAGCTGGAAGGAAGCGAGCTCTGAAAGAACACATAGAACGTTGCGCTTGTGTTTGGCCTCTGTGAGCCAAAATTCTACCTGCTGGAACTTCCTTTATTGTCAATATTTTATGCTTTCATGCTGCAGACAGCTAGAAAGAAAGAGGAAGAGAAGTCATAGGCACAGCCCTTCAATGCAGGAGGCACTATGCATGATCTCATTCAATCCCTGACTTCAGCGATGTAGGCAAGATTTTGCCCATTTTATAGATGCAGAAATGGAGGCCTGGAGTGGAGAAGTCACTTGTCCAGGGTTGTTGTGAGTTGAACTGTGTCACCCAAAATATGTGTTGAAATCCTAACCATTAATACCTGTGAATGTGACCTTATTTGGAAATAGGGTCTTTGCAGATATAATTATGATCCAAGTTAAGATAAGATTGTACTGGAATAAGGTGGGCCCTCAACCCAACGTGGCTGGTGTCCTTATAAAAAAAGGAGAAGAGACACACACACAGAGGCAAATGTCATGTGAGATATGGACATGTACAGAAAGAAGAGGACAGAAGGACACATGTGAACACCATGTGACAATGGAGGCAGAGGTTGGAGCAATGTGTCTACAAGCCAAGGAAAGCCAAAGATTGTTAGCAACCACCAGAAGCTAAGAGAAAGGCAGGAATCAGACCCTCCTCTAGAGTCCTCAGTGAGAGTGTGGCCCTGCCGGCACCTTGATTTCAGACTTCTAGCCTCTAAGCTGTGAGAGAATAAATTCCTGCTGTTTTAAGCCACCTCATTTGTGGTAATTTGTTATGGCAGCCCTAGGAGATTAATACAAAGGTTAATATGGTTCAGACATCTTACAATGGCCGGATATCTTTTACTCAAAATGAGAAAGAGAAATACTCTTGGCTGGGAGCAGGGGCTCACACCTGTAATCTTAACAGTTCAGGAGGCCAAGGCAGGAGAACCACTTGATCCCAAGAGTTCAAGACCAGTCTGGGCAGCATAGTGAGATCCAGTCTCTGCAAGTATTTTTAATCAGCTGGACATGGTGGTACTCTCCTATAGTCCCAGCTACTCAGGAAGCTAAGGCAAAAGGACACTTTGAGCCCGGGAGTTTGAGGCTGCAGTGAGCCATGATCCCACCGCTGCACTCCAGCCTGAACGACAGCGTGACCCTGTCTCAAATAAATAAATAAATAAATAAATAAATAAATAAATAAATAAATAAAATATATAGAGAGGAGCAATTTCTATGCAGGAATTTTGGTGCATTTCAAAGAATTTCAAAGATAAAGGAGAAATATATGACAGGGAATGGGAGAATTAAGGAGCATTCTCCATAGCTGTATTCATGACTCGGTATTGAGAATGCCTTCTCCATGCCACGTGTCTCACCAGGTATTGAGGATTCAGAGCTGAGTCCATGGGCCCTGCCTTGGAGAGCTTAGCGTTCGGTCTACAAGGCTGGGTAGTACTGGAAATGCCAGTGATGGATTTTACAATGCAGCGAGGCACTGGAGGCATTCTCACTAGAGAACTCACCTTTGCATTAGACTTAAAAGGATGAACAAGATAGTGCATGATGGAGAAGGCATAGAAAATTGCCAAGCAGATGGAGCTCTTTGAGCAAAGGCCTAAAAGCAGAAGGTTGCTGGGTTTAGTAACAAAAGAAAACCAAATTACAGAATTCCAAGCTAAGTTTGAATTTCAGATAAATCATGAGTTTTTTTTTAGTATAAATATTTGTTATGCAATAGTTGGGACATGACTTATACTAAAACAGTATTCATTGTTTATCTGAAATTCAAATTTAATTTGGCATGCTATATTTTCTCTGGCAATCTGATTGAAGCATGAACAGGAGCATTGTGTCCAGAGAACCACTAAGGGTTCCATATAACAGGGGGAAAGAACAAAAGTGGGCAAAAGTCTGGCAGGAAAAGAATCTGAAACAGCAGGGGAAGACCAGGTCTTGAAACGGTTTCCATGCCATGCTATGGCAGTGGAGAGACAACATTGTGGTTAAGAACCTGAACTCTGGTGCCAGAATGCTTGGGTTTGAACATCACCTTCACTGTTTACTCATGATATAAACTGGATCCTCAGTTTACCCCTCTGAAACTGAGTGATAAAATAGCATCCAATCCAGACCATTGCTGTGGCAAGTAAATGAGTGGGTACATAGTAAGCATTCGGCCATGTTAAACTGCTTTTTTTGACACTGGGCACATGCTCATGTATAAAAGCAAGAAAGAAATGCTTCTATCCAAATCAAATTGTTATCAGAAGTTGATAGACAAATATTGAGAGCACATACTGTGTACTTGGGATACAAATGTTTATGATAAATTCTTTGCTCTCCAGAGGTATGCATGTGTTTGGATACAAATTACCTAGAATATCAACTATGACAGTAGGTTCAATTATTTTTAAAGTACTTGTTGCCAGCTATGATTTGTTGGGCACTTTCTACGTACCAACTCCACAGCCAAATGCAATGGAGTCTATCAACTCTGACAAGCTCTTTACAAAATTATCTGGTTTAATTCTCATAAGAATTGAGTGATGTTGGCATCATTATCCCCAATTTATGGATGAGCTAAACCAGAATGGAGATGGAATCGTAACAATAGGAGTTTGGATGCCAAACGTCAGTGCAGGCAGGAGCTGAAGACATCTTCTTCTTAATAGAATGGGGGATGTTTAAGGCAGAATTTGATGGGTATGTGGAATTAGATTAGGTGACAGGAAGGGTGGTGATTGAGGAACAAGTGCAAGTAAAGATCCCTGGCAGTGATTCACGCATTGGGGTGGTGAGGCAGCACTGAGGAGGAAGGTTGATTGATGCAGAAGCCACGTGTTAGCAAAGAGAAGACTGGCATCTTTGCAGGAGGGCCTCCATTGGCAGGGTGAGTGGTTTTCTGTGGCTCTGGTGATCTGCTGCAGGTTTTACAGAGAGGACAGACAGACTGGATGCCTGAGCTAGTTCTAAATGACAATCTGGAAGCAGGGTGGGAGCCAGAAAAGTCAACCTCTTGCCGAGACTCATCCCTGGCCAACGGCTTTCTCAGGTTGATTTATTTCTCTGGAACCAGTCTAGCCAGTGTGGGAGCTCTGGATTCACTAGCAGTGAGCCAAACCTGTGAGTGCCCAAGGCCTGATATATCTACTTGCCCTCCTCTCAAGGGATGTGACATCATCCAAGCACCAGAATGGGTCATTTTGATAATGCGCTACCTGGCGTCATTTGGCAAGAAAAATCCTACCAAAGAGAAACTGCACCCCAGTCCGGGGACCTATGAGTAGTGGGTTTAAGGAATGAAGAACCGTTTTGCTCACATGAGAAATATGTGGGTCTCTTCAAAGGCAAAATGGTTTTACAGGAGGATAGCGTTCTTTGAAATCTTAACATTTACTTAGCAAACAAGGTTTACTCCTCATTGCATGTTGCAGTTCAGATTTTTTCCTGGGTTTAAGACTTAAACCAATTAGTGTGAACACATAAATCTCCATATTTTTCAACACATGTTTATTCAGTGTCTATTTTGTGTTAGTTTATTGAGTATCAATTTTATGTCAGGCACTATGTTCGACTTTTACATACTCTTTGAACATTAGTACATTCTCACTTAATCCTAATGGCACCAAGAGTTAACCCTATTTCATAGATAAGAAAACTAAGATTCAGAGAAGTTAAGGGACTCATCCATGATTAACTAGCCTGTAAGTGACAGAGCACAGACCTTGAATACAGGTCTCTTGACCCTAACCCTTACCTTTTTACCCACTTTTTATCTTTACAAAGGATTAAAAGACAAATAATGTTCTCTATTTTCTAGATGATGAAAGAAGAGAACTATAGCCTGATTTTTTATTGACTCAGAGAGACAGAAAACCCTCTCAGAATATCCTGCTCTTCTGAACTCTATCAGCTTAGAGATTCATCCTGAAGTATTCCTATTGCCAAACACATAACACACATACACAAACACACACACACAACTGAAGCTATAAAAACATCTTTACTCTTCAAAGGGGTCCCGGAAACAGCTTGAAATCAAAGATGCCAATCTTTTAACACTTTGTCCTAAGAAAATGTGGTGGGTAAAAATCATGGCAATGGGTTTCGGGTAGTGAAGTTAACAGGTGTCTCTTACTCTACATAGTAATTTCTTTGCTAGAAGTTGCATGTAAATTGATTCTTGCTTAATTCGATGTGATTTAAAATTCACTTGCAAAACTTTAATTGAAATTAGTTCTACAGCATCTTGGTTTATAAGATGAATAGTCCTTTTGTAATCTGTGCATTTACAAATTGTGATTCCTTTAAATTGTGTTATAGGAAACCTGTGACTATCTATCTGCTAGAGAGGTTGATCATTTATTTTTTCCTCTTCTTGGAAACAACTCTAACTTAAGATTGGTCAATCTCAAAACATTAAGAGATGTAAGTCTTCTAAGTCTCCATGAGGCACGTAATATAAACTCTTTTAAAAAATTCACTTGCAGTTAGGTGTAGACATTCCAAGTTCTTGGGTCTCAGTGTTCCCATCTAAAAAATTAGATTAAATATTCTTTTCATTAACTTATATTTCTGTCAAATGCTCTCACATCTCCCAGGCTCTCTAAGTCAGAGTTTCTGGATACAGAAGTATAGCATAGCCTAGAAACGATGAAGAGACTCCTTTTCACACACATGAAAAACGATAAATTCTAACTAGGAAAGAGAAATGATAATAAACAGATTACTGGAGCCGCCTGTTTGCAGAACTTTTATTATTCAGACAAGAATGTCAAGCTGCATAGAATTCACTCATCAGAGTCCTTACTGCAGACTTAAGCTGCATCCAGAGAGAGCCAAAGAGTCCACGAAAATAGCAGCCATTCAAAGATCATCTCCTTTCCTGACAAAAGCTCTCACCAAATCAGGTGCAACAACAATGTATGTCGACATAATAAAGGCCATATATGACAAGCCACACCTAGCATCATGTTCAACAGTGCAAAGCTAGAAGCTTTTCCCCTCTAAGATCAGGACAAGACAAAGATGCCCACAGTCACCACTGGCATTCAGTGTAGTACTGGAGGTCGTAGCCAGAATAGTTACACAGGAGAAAGAAATAAAAGGCATTCAAATCAGAAAGAAAGAAGTACAGTTGTCTCTACCTGCAAAGGAGCAATAATTTGGGGGTGGTAGTGCTAATGGTGATGATGGTGATAAAACTGATGATGGCAATAGTGGTCATGGTGATGGTGATTTTGGTAGTAATAGTAGTCATGGCAATGATGATGTTGATGGTGGTGGTGGTAGTGATGATGATGGTGCTGGTAGTAGTGATAATGGTGGTGGTAATGATGATGGTGGTAGTGGTGGTGGTGATGGTGATGGTGGCTGTAATAGTTGTGGCAATGATGGTGGTGATGATGGTGGCTGTGATGGTGGGGATGGTGGTTATAATAGGTGTGACAATGGTGCCAGTGAGCATGACAGTGCTGGTGGTGGTGGTGATGGTGGTAGTAATGATGGTGATGGTGGTAGTGATGGTGGTGATGGTGATGGTAGTAGAAATAGTAGTTGTAGCAATGATGATAGTGAGCATGATGGTGGTTGTGGTAGTAACGGTGATGGTGATAGTGGTGGTGATGATGGTAGCAATAGTAATTGTGGCAATGATGCTAGTGATGTTAATAGTAGTGGTGGTGGTGGTGATGGTGATGGTGGTAGTAATAGTAGTTATGGCAGTGACGGTGGTGATGATAATGGTGGCGATGATAATGATGGTGATAGTTGTTATTGTGGTGGTGATGGCAGTGGTGATGGTAGTGGTGGAGGAAATGGCATGGAAACTGTTATTTTAATAGCCTTGGAACTAATACATACTCTCATTCACTGCCCTTGATTCAGCTTCCACTCTCCCAACACTCAACCTCTAACCAGCATCCTTCTCTTGGTGTCTCCATACAACAACCCACCTGATATAAGTCTATCTTGTCATCTCCCTTTCTCGTTATTCCTCTTTTCAAATCTAATTCTCCAAGCAGAGACCTGTCTCATCTGCTCCCACTGAGTCCAAATACTTTATTAGTGCCCCTGTATTTCTATTTCTGCCATGTGCACTATTTTTTCTTCTCCTTTTGATCTTTTGAAATGACTTCATTGATTCTACCATCTTTTATTTACTTTCAGACCTGTCTTCTGTGGATACCATCATATCGGAACAGTCTTCTTCTTTTAAATGGTCTCCAAAATTATTTGGCTATATGGTGTTTCTTTGGAATAAGTCCTAAAATGGCGAAATGTTTTCTCTTTCTGAAACTTAATGTCTGTCATAAAGGCCTTTATGCACTCCTAAAAGCTCCCCTCTCCAGTTCCAGAAGGCATCTGGACTGGCGTAGTCCACCTGTCATGATATTGTGCTAAGAAACTATTACTGCTTACATATTCTCCTTCATGTTTTCTTTTCTAAAACAAATAGCTGAACCAGTTAGAGAATCCTAGCTCCTCCAGTACATGCAAAATGCCCTTTCTACTCTCTTCTATTAACCGAAGTTTCTTTGGACTTGGGTCTTCTCTTATGTCATGAGTTTATACCAATACTCTGTGAATCTAGGTTTAGCATATACAGTTGTTGTCTATGCCGCACTGTGATCTTGCATATGTTAGATTCTCCTCATCCAAAAATCACTTTTAAGGATGGCTGTTGGAGTAAGAAGTCAGTGGGTGACTGAATGAGCAAACACTGATTCAGTGCTGTAGACCTAGCACAATGGTCCGCATCCATTGGGCACTCAGTATTTGTTGACAGACTGACTGATTGACTGAATGAATGAATGAAAATGAGGAACTCAGAAAGAATGAGAAGACATGTTCCAACCATTCTCCTTGAGATGATCAGAAAAATTGTTACAAAGGAGGTGAGGCGATTTGCTTTTGGTGGCTAGAATTTGGATTGACAAAGAAGAAATGGATAAGGTGATAGGGTCCCTAGGAGGAACAAATAGGATATGAGGATGGAGGTAAGAAGCAAGTCTCATCTCTTTCCATGAGAATATTTCCAAATACAGTCTCCTTCTCTTCCTCCTTTTTCTTCTTCTTCTTGGATAATGGCTCTTTTCACTTCTTTTTTTTTTTTTTTTTGCCTTTTATGTATTTATTTATGATTGTTTTAACTTTTATTTTAGGTTGAGGTGTTTATGTGCAGGTTTGTTATATAGGTAAACTGCTGGTGGTTGGCTTTGGTGTACATATTTTGTTGTCACCCAGGTGATAAGCATAGTACCCAATAGGTAGCTTTTTAATCCTCACCCTCCTCCCACCTTCCACCCTCAAGTAGGGACCGGTGTCTGTTGTTCCCTTCTTAGGTCCATGTGTACTCATTGTTTAGCACCCACTTTTAAGTGAGAATATGAAGAATTTGGTTTTCTGTTTCCTGTGTTAGTTTGTTTAGAATAATGGCCTCCAGTTCCATCCATGTTATCGCAAAGGACATAATCTTGTTCTTTTTTTATGGCTGCATAGTATTTCATGGGATATATGTGCCACATTTTCTTTATCCTCTAATCAAATCATGCCAAGGCCACTGACTCCTAGAAGGTGCCTGGAGTGAATAAGGTGGCTCTAGCCATTTTCCCGTGGTTTCTCACAATCCACCAGGACTCAGCCGTCACTTGCCTGGCCACATGCACAGTGGTTCTCAGGGGCCACTGTCAGTGTTTTATATTCCCACAGTCTCTGGCCCCATTAGCATGGTGACAAAACCTCCACTGTTGGTTCCAGGTGGTGACCCCTTTTTGGTTTCTATCACATTGCTAAGCTCCTGAAGAACAGGGAACCCCCGGCAGAGAACTCTTCTCTTCACAGGCTAAGGGAGCAGAAGTTGGTGAGCAGATTAGCTCGTCACTCAGCAAGGCAACAAGGAAAGAGCTTTGCTGTCTGTTCAGACCGAACGCACCCAACTCATACTGTCACACTGAAAGTTTATCTCCCCAACTAGTTGTACATTCCTTAGAAGCAAGGACTCTGTTTCTTTCAACTCTGTACTCCCACAATGCCTAACACATGGTTTGAAAACAGTAAATATTTATAAGAACAAATTGGTGAAAGCTTATCCCTTAAGCCGGCCTGAAATGAGTCATCATCAATGGTGCTTAGGATGATACGGTATTTGAGACTACAAGCTTTGGACCCAGAGGGACCAGGGGTTATGTCTTGATTCTGATCCTGTTGAATGACCTTGACCTTGACAAGTAATTACAATTTTAAGTGTCAGCTCCCTCATCCACGCAGTAAACACACCAGAACCTACCTCACAGGGTCAGATGAGGATTAGATAAGACAATATACTTAAAATGCCAGATAGCACCTAACATATATCAAATGTTTAGTAAATATGGCCCACAGTTATTCCTTATGTTATGGCTTAAATATATAGAGTATAATCCAGAAATACCCATAATAAGGCCATTCCCCTGTTCAACTTCACAAAGATGCTCAAGATCAAGGCGATCTAAGATGACAGACCCAGCAGAAATGGAGGTCCCAAATGATGATCTTGAGACCTCTCAGACAAGCAGAGGTGCAGGGAAAGGTAAAGTACATGGAGTCGAGATCTGAAAAAATAAGAAACTTAGGCCCCTCTTAAATTACCTTTACCCAGCATTAATCACAAAGGATGCAGCTTAAGGTCTATTTTTACACCAACACTAGAGGTCATCGACAGTGGACATTTCAGATTTTTTTTCTCTACTTCTCAAATTACTCAGGACTCAAAGTGGAAAAGACGACCTGTTGGTTTGCTGACGGGATATTTTAGGCAAAGTCATGGGGCACTGACTTTTCTCTCCTCAGGACAAAGTAAAGTGATGCTTTGTCAACCACCTGGCCAATTTTGTTGCTGTCGACAGTGGATCCTAATAACATGGTCGGCAAAGTAGGCTGGGGGCTCCTGTGTGATCTACTTTAGCTCCTGGATTCCCTATACAAGCTGTCTCCACTGATCAGATATAATCGAATAATGGCTGAAATTCTGCATCTCCGTGGGCCCTACTGGCCATTTCTTTATGACATGACCAAATTGGCCATAGCGCATTCAATTTGTTTTAATGGCCAACACAGATGCAATTAAGCGGATTGACTGTGCAGTGATCCAAATTGTCCATTAAGAAGGTGGCCGAAATAACTGGACCAAAAGCCTGTATCCCCCATCCACTTATTTTGGGATGTCTAGACTTGGCCACACCTTTAATTTTCTTAAAACCCCTGTTAACTAGCTCTGTTTAATGTTGATGCTACAGTGTTTTTGAGGATGAAATGAAGCAGGTTTGAAAAAATAAAAAGATATTTTTAGGGTTATTCTAAACCTTCTGATCTGAATAAAGTAATAGGAAGTAAGCACCTCATTCGAGCTCTGAAGATTTACAAGGATATGAGAAATTAAAGGCATTGGTGCAGATTGCTACTAATACTCGTTTTATGAGGAGGGATTTATCTTCTCACATTAGCAGCCCCCAAGGTTTCGATCTGTCTATATAATATGTACCTGCATTTGAACAATTGACAATTGACTTCATCTGTTCCTACTTTGCTAATTCAATCTGTGAAGAATAACTACTCTTGCAGGAATTTTAAAGATGAAAAACACATCCATTATATTATTGAATACAATTGATCTTTGAGTACCTGTGTATGGTAAGATATATGCATTTGATTCCTTTGTACAACTATCAGACAGTCTATATAGGCAGTCTCATTTATTAGGTAGAGGCAGAATGTGTCTGCTAAGGTATTTTCAACTAGATACTTAGCAGTACAAGACCAGTTATTGCTAACAGAAATAGGCAAAAAAAAAAAAAAAAAAAAAAAATGAAAAAAATCAATCTGATCTATCTTGAACTTTCATGTTTAAAGTCTCCATTTTCCATTTCAATGAGCATTTTTCTTTTATATATGTGTCATCAATAGTCATGGGCAAAATCCAAAAAGAGATGCATCAAAACAGAGTAACAGCAAATAAATAAATGCATCTCAGCTGCCTTCCAAGCAATATATTTCTCCCATCATTTGCTATAATTACTAGTATCTTAGATCAATACTGTGTTTTTTGACTTTGAAAACACATTTTCACTACAATCTCATTTTATTCTCCAGGACTTCTTCTAAGTCAGGCGTGGCTATCCCCATTTGGCTGATGAGGGAAGCACAGCAAAACTGAGGGGCTTACCAAGATTACATGGTAATTAGTGGCAAATGGAGGAACTAGGGCTGCTGCCTTAGAGCCTTGGTCCCCCTCCTGAGAAGGCAAGGAATGCTCTGTAGTCACACTGACTATCTAGGCCCAATTCTCTTATAGACTCAGAGGAGGATGGTTCATCTCAACCATACTATCCCCAGTGTCTCAATTCTCTTGATCCCAAGCACTTTTCTCAGAGGCAATATGGTGTCATGGTTAAAAGTGAAGTATCTGGATTCGAATCATATCTTCACTTTTCTTGGACATAAACTAGAGATAACAAAAGCACCTACCTCATAGTGTTGTTCTATACTATCTCCTGACTGGGCTTATGAGTTCTCTCCTGTTGACCAGTCTATACTGATTGGGCCACTATGAATACCCAGCATTCAGTAAATATTTGTTGAATGATTAAATGAGAAATAAACAGGATGAAAATGTCAACCGCCTGTCATATAGTCATAAATACTCTACAAATATTCGCTATTGCTAATAAAAGTCTTTGTAATAGATTATATCAGAAAGACGGAGCCTTAGTTTCTTTATCTCTAAAATGGGCTAAATAATATTGCTCTTTTAGGGTTGTCAGAACTATTTTAGAAAGATCTATACAGGGTGCCTGATATGGTATTTAGTCTTAGTGCTGCTGAGCTGTTATTATTACTGTTGGTGCTGGTGGTATTTAAACACTTTGGGATCCCTCTAAGATTTTACATATGTAAAGAAAGTGAAAGTGGAAAAGAAGCAATTCAAAAAGGCTATTAGTCATTGGGCAAAATTAAAAGAAAGAGGCATCAAAATAGAGTAGCTAGCAAATAAATAAATATATCTCAACTGCCTTCCAAGCAATATATTTGTCCCACCATTTGCTAAAATTATTAGTATCTTAAATTGATACTGTATTTTTTTGAGTTTCAAAATACATTTTCACTGCAGTCTCATTTTATTCTCCAGGACTTCAAAGCGTTCACCATATACCACATATTTAATGTACAGCACAATAACTAGTCTATGTGGAAAATACCTGTTTTGCAGGTTACAGAAGCTGAGGCTCAGCCCTGTGCAAGGTCATGGCCGATAGAACTTGGGTGCCATTGTGCTTTTCTCCAAAATCTTTGATTTTTTTGAACTATATGTCCCTCGACTAGTGCTCTTGCCCTTCCCCATACTGAAGCATATTCTTCTCTAGGAATTTAATGCAGAGGCAAACTTTGAGAGCAGAGGCCATGTGAGGCTATTGTAGTTGCTCCCCCATTGGTTTGCAGGTAAGGCAAGGACTAGCATCAAATATCTGACATACAGCAGAGGCACAGTAAATATCTGCTGGATGATTAATAAATTCCTCCTTATCTGGGAAGAAGATCAGAGGGGTAGAAGTCTCAGGGCCTCCTCACCTGCCTTGGGTATCAAGCAAACCCCAGAGGCTCCATGAGAACTCAAGACCACAGTGGATCTCTGTCATGCTATTGCTACTGCAAACACTTTTCAGGATATATTTCATATTTTCTCTCAATTTAGAACGAGAGATTTCTTTAGCAGCCCTACATTAATACCTTCCCTTCTGCTCTGCCCCACAGCTCCAGCATTCAACAGCCCCCAGTAGACCCCATTTGTAACACACGGCAAATTTAATGATACTTGCGAAATATGAACCACCTCCTCAACTCTTCTATTTTTTTTTTATGGTGACACAATTAGCCAGATGACGAAGCTCTTTAAAATGAAAGAAAACACTAAAAAAATATTGATTTTTCTACAAAGCCATAATATTAAAAGTATCATTCCAAACTGAAGTGGGGACTAATTTAGAGGCAATGCATAAATCTAAAACTATCTGAGTATGGTGACAATTTTTTTAAAAAGCCTTAAAAAATTACATATATGGAAACTTGTCTATCATTAAATTACTTGGTTTGGATTTCCACTAATAAAATATAAGGACTTGTTACTATATTAGGCAAGTCACTCCCATTATTAATTTGTTAGATAAATGGCTCCTCTATCTTGCACCTTTAAATGAAATGGAATTCACTAATCCTAATTGCTTTGCCTTCTACTGGAATTTTTTCCCATTAGTTCAGCATGTTTTTTTTTTCTTCTTCTTCTCTTTTCCACTTGAAGAGGGGAGCCTTCTTCAACTTAAAGCCTTAGGGTATACTTTATGGGTTTATTAATTATCAGGTATTCATCAAAGGGGTTAATTAAGCAATAACTTTCTATTGACTGCAGTATACAAAGAATTAAAGGCTTGAATTCACCTGCTGATTAAACACCTAGTGACCGTGCCTTCATGTTCCTCCCTGTGGTTGGGTGAAATAAAAATCTTTGACCAGTTCTGGTCATGGGTTGCAAGGCCACTCAGGAGGACAGTTAAAACCAGTTTGTATTTACAACTCACGCTACCTTGAGATTGCCCAGAAAGAGAAAGGACTTCTGCTTCTCAGGGTTTCCAAGGAGAAATTTTGTCCCTAGCATCTTTGGCAAGAATCATCATTTTTTTCCTGCAGCATGCTTTTCAGCAATAGAAGGTGAAGGATGATTTCCTTCCCCATCTCTGAGGAGTTTTATAAAATTAAAACAAGTCAACATAATAACCCCACAGGGGTGATAGTAGTTTACACACCAATCTTGGAATTTTTTGAGATCATTTCAAGTTCAAGGTACATCTAAGCTTCATGCCCAGTGGTTGCAATTCTCCAGATCAAACTAGTGACAGAGGCATATCATACTTTCAAGGAAGATGGGCTCTTTGAAGACTGACCAACAACTCATCAAACAAGGGAAGAAGGAGATGAGTGTTCACTCAGAAGTTTCCACAAATTCAGCTTTTAGGAGGGAATAAAATAAAGCAGCTTTAAAGTCATGGTCTTCGGATGTGCTAGGATGTTCTTCTGAGAAGAGAAAATAAAAGCACAGTTCATGAAAAACCCATTCAACAGATGCTTCTGATTCACGGCCAACCCTACCCCAAAATTATGTGGTGATAGGAAGAAACAGAAAACTGCGTCCTTGGGTCCCCGGTATCATCCTTTCCTACTCCTTCCTTTTCCAGAATAACTCAAATGTGATGGTACTTTATCCAGGAGGACCTACAGCATACAGTAGGGTGTTCACAAACATGGATATGGAATGATTTGCACTTGGATTTGAGCCACAGTTCTCCCATTTATTAACTGCGTGACCTTGGGCTGGTTATTAAGTTATCTGAGACTCACACACATACAAGCCCATTCATTCCACATAAAAATTTCATAAGGTAGATATTTCTCTAGTTTCCATATAATTGATGAGGAAATGGAAGAATAGGGCATTTAAGTGGATGATCCAAAGCCACTCAGCTATCTCAAAGGTTGAAATAAGATCAAATAAGACGCATGTAAAATCTTTGGCGCAGGACTGGTCCTACTAAGCACCTGATAAATGTCAGAGGTTGCTATTATTATTACATCACTCTTGTCAACTTAGCCATCTTTTTCTTAGCTAAATATACTCTAAAAGAAATAGGTACATACAGGGTAACCATATCTTTTTTTCTTAAAATGTAACAGAAATAAATCTATTAAGTTTTGCATGTAATTTTGACCTCACAATACACACATACGTACACACACACACACAAATGCACGCATACCCACACAACTAATCTTGCTCATAACTCTGTATTTTATAAAATGTGCAAAGCATTGCTTTTAATGGCAAAAAACTGCAATTACTTTTGCACCAACCTAATATCAAAAACACGTAGAGAATCCATTCTCTGTATAGGGAGATGTACATATATAAGACCACATAAAACTATTGCAATACACACCCTCGAGAAATGACATCATGGTACTCACAGTGGAGAACAAAAATCCATATGCTATAGTGACTCTCTTCCAAAGAGTACAGTATAGAAGGTAGGGGACATGAGTTACTGTACAGTGGGAAAACCTGGCAAACAATACTTCAGCCAGGTAATCCAGGTCAATGGCAACAATTTCAAATCATGTTGATAGTATGTGCCCTTGATGTGGTGTGATGAGAAGGGCATTTTACCTCTGGAGTCTTTCTCCCAAGATCCCTTAAATGCAGTTCAATCATGAGAAAGTCATCAGAAAAAATTCCAGTGGTGGGACATTTAGAAAATAACTGGCCAGTATGTCTCAAAACTGTCAATGTCATCAAAAGCAAGGAAAGTCTGAGAACCTGTCCCAGCTCATAGTAGTCTAAGGAGATACAGCAACTAACTGGAATGTAGAATATTGGATTGGATCCTGGAATAGAGAAAGGATATTAGGGGAAAAAACATGGAAATCTGAATAAATTAGGGACTTTAGTTAATAACAATGTATTGATATCAGTTTGCTGATTGTAACAGATGCGCCACACTAATATATTAATAATGAAAACTGTGTGCAGGGGGAGGGAAACAGGTAATATGAGAACTCACTACTATCTGCCCAATTTTTCGGTAAATCTAAAACTGTTCTTAGTTTATTAATAAAAAATATAAAAATAAATTTTTAATAAACTTCAAGAATGCGTATAGCAAACAGAGGCCTGCCTTACTGCCCACATGCCAAGCTCTCACTACCATGACCAGGTTAAAGGGGGGCCCCAGCCAGCCAAATGTTCAGGAGGAGAGTTCTTTTGCATGTTCATTCACTCCCTGAGACTGGAGCCCATCTGGCCAGTAGGAGCATCCGTAACCTAAGGGTACCTTTGACATTGGAAGTCCCCAGAGCAAATCTTGGTACCTTCTGAGGAAGGCGGTCCTTTAAGGACAATGCTGGGGACATAGTGAATCCATGACTTCCAAAATCAAGTCTGTGTCCTTTGGTCAAACCTCCCTTCTCCATTTCTAAGTAGGTTGGAGAGGCTGAGAAAAGAGGCAACACTCACTTATGCATTGAAGTATCCTAAAAATATGTATTAACTGGTAACCCTGTGTCAGTCTCTGATCAGAGCAAGTGCCTCGCTTCAGGGAGCTTAAAGTCTCCTGAAAAAGAACAGGGAGGTGGCCCTAATACAAGGTAACACCAAAGCTCTGCCTTATAAAAGACCCCAAGACAATGATCTGTGAAGGGCAGGACGGGATTATAAATCCCCATGTGCACTAAAGGGAAGGGTCTAGAAGGTCAATGTTTAGATATGAGGTCGCAGTGGTGCACAGACCTGGAGTCTCTCCCATGAGCTTGCAGCCCTCTTTCTATTTGCCTTGTCCCGTCTTTCCGGGATAAAGGCAAGCCTAAATTCAACATTTAAGAGAACAAAAGAGAAGCAGTGTGACCCAGAGACTACAAATGTTTTTCTTAAGCAACCACAAGGGACAGGCTGTTTGGTGAGCACACTCACCAGATGGCTGGGGCTCGTCAGCTGCTTCCAATCAAATCTTGCACCACTGAGTTGGTGCATCCCACACACTCAGCAAGATTCTGCTGAGGTGGGGGGGAAAAACACCCTATTTTCTCCATACCTAGAAAGTGTGCTCTTGGGGTTTGCAGGGCAGAATCCAAAACTAACAAGAAAGTATCAGGAGAAGGCAAAAGGAAACTGAAGACAGCACCCTGTTCTGGGCCATGTGTTTTGGTTTAAGTTTATGATTTTGGAGTAAAGGCAAGGAGAGAAACTGGTTCTTCAAGTCTGTGTGGGCAGAGAGAGGCAAGAAAGGGTTGGAAGAGGAGATGGAGGGAGCTGGCTGGGAAGAGATTAATGAGAAAGAGGGAACAAGAAAGAAATTAGAACATCTAAAGATAATTTGCAAAGATCACAAGGTGCAGAAGCTCAATTTATGACGATTAATATTATTTTGTAAATTAGATCTTCTTTACTTAATTTCAGATATGGAGAAAAACAAAGGCTGAATTTATTCATTTATATATAAATATGAATGTTGTACATATGGATATATATTCACATGTGTGCATATAAATATGCAAACATACAAGTATATACACACATATATATAAAATAGGAATTTTGGAAAACGCACCTTAGTGGAAATTTTAAAATATATATCCAATACCCTACCTCCTTAAAGACCAGAATGTTTCCTTTTAAAGAAATGACTGTTAGAACAAATGTTCTTCCATGAAGGGGTTTCAGTGAGGAATGAGATGCAATTCTAATCATTGAATATGATGATGTTTGACTTTTAGCACCTCCCTGTCCATGCATCCACAACAAAATATAGCTCCTGAGTTTAACCTATAACCTAGACAGCACATTGGGCTTTGGAACACAGAACTCCCACAAAGATTCCAGTAGAAACAAGTGGACATTAAAATGCTGCCTCTAACAGACACTCCCTCTCAATCTGTCTCCTTCTCAATCTGAATGATGAGCTTTTCAGATTTTTCCTAGAAACAGAACATCTTTTCGGGCACCGGAACGATGCTTGCTGAATTGGACACCCCTACATAGTTCATAGGCTCTAAAACACAGGGAATTGCAAAAACACCCAGGTTTGCTGAGGACATTCAGTGTCATGTAGGTATGCACACCTTGCCACGTCCTGGGGCCACCAGGCTTGTTCATACCTGCTTATCCTTCCAAGATGCAAAGCAGGCAGATCTGTCCCTACGAGACACTTACATAAAAGAAAACGCCACACTCTACCTGGAACAGAACACATGCCCCATCCCAAGCTATTCCAGACAGCAGGGATGGAAGAGGCCTTATTGGAGTTCAACAAAAGGCTTAGTTTTTGCCTTCTTCTCCTTTTCCTCCACTAAATCACGGGAATATAAAAATTAAGCCGAGCAATCTCTTACAAATGCAAATAAAAATTATCACTTAGATTATATACCTCCTGCTATCCAATGCTTCTTCCAAGCCCAGTATAAAAGCACCATCAGACAGGATTTGAGCACTGGACATGCTAAGGTTGAAAGTGTCTTAGTATGGCCGGACACAGTGACTCACACCAGTATTCCCGACACTTTGGGAGGCCAAGGTGGCTGGATTACCCGAGGTCAGGAGTTTGAGACCAGCTTGTTCAACATGGTGAAATCCCGTCTCTACTAAAAATACAAAAATTAGCCAGGTGTGATGGCAGGCTCCTGGTAATCCCAGCTACTCAGGAGACTGAGGCCTAAGAATCGCTTGAACCCAGGAGGAGGAGGTTGCAGTGAGCCGAGATGGCACCACTGCACTCTAGCCTGGACAGCAAGAGCAAAACTCCATCTCGAAAAAAAAAATTGTCTTAGTATGAACTGGACACTTGTATGTATGAACTGGAATATTAAACTGGAAAGAAGAAGAGTGGAGAAGAAGGAAGGAAGAAAAGCGCTGCTCTTTCCTTTACTCAGGATGGAATACTGCCTTCCAAATTGGTCAACTTCTCTTTGCCCAGGAGTGGCTGGAATCTGTGTACTTTTACCACCTATGGTTTGATGGTTAGAAATCTGTCCCTAAAACTTGATCAGTAAGCTATAATTTTCCCTCTCCAAGATTGCTCCATTGTGTAGAGATTTTGCTTGCTTGTTTGTTTGTTTATTTGTTTTAATTCTGATGAGATGCTAAAAATATCATGGGACTCATTGTTGACAAGGGTTGCTAAGTGTTTCTAAATCAGGATTTCAATGGATTTTGCTGCCATTATATGTGAGCTTTCTCTGAGAAAGAAGAAGTATGATGAAAAGGGCCAGGATGCAAATATACTATCCTGTTTATTTTATTTTAATTCAGTCAAGACTTTCCTCAGTCTTTTAAGCCAGCCAAAAGCATTTTAAATATTACAAGATCCCAAGTATCTATATTATCATTCATCAGTGGGTTACTAGCCCTTCACTAAAGTGATTCATAGTATATAATAGATGACCAATAAATATAGACTTGGAGGAAAAAGGGGTGACTGCATAAAAGGATGACAGAATTAATGGTAAGTGGTTTCAAGGTTCTGGCTAGTTCTTTCTCTCTTCAATTCATCACTCAAAACTCTATTTCCTAGAAAAATGCACAAATTATACAAGGTGAGCCTGATTGTAGGCAATCTCTAGGCTGTCTCTGGCTTCTCTCCCACAAACTTTTCTTAAATAACCTGTCAGAGTGCTTGCTCCTGGTTTGTACAGAGCATGTAAGTTGCAGGAGTGTTTCCAGACTCCTCTGATCAGAAACATCACCTGGGATGCTTACTAAACACACAGCTTCCCAAGTTCCTCCTATGGATTGCAACTTCGGTTGCACATTAGATTCAACTGGGGAGCTTTTAAAACTCCTGATGACCAAGCTGTCTTTCAGACCAACTCCAGCAGAAATTCAGGGTGTGGGATTCAAACATCAGGAGTTTTAATGCTCCCCAGGTGATTCCCGTGCGCAGCCCAGTGTGAGTACCACCGTAGAGACTGTGAATCAGCAGATCTGCTTTGAGACCTCAGAGAATGTGCAACAAACCCCAGGTAATATTTGCCAGTTTCACCTAGAACCAAATGGTTTAATCAACGAAGCCATTTGCTAATAATTGTTTTATTTTTTATTTTTTCTGAAACGCCAAGCAAATCATTAGACTTATATTTTGGCTAGACTGAGATTTTTAGTCGACATCAAATAAAATTTAAATTGGTCCGCAATGTCAAAGGAAAGTAACACATCATCACAATAAAGCCTCAAAAAACTTGAGACAAAACTGAATTAAGAGCAATTAATGACCCAAAGTTAGCTTAATGATGACCATAATAGTTAACTTCTGTTTGGTAGGACAAGACTCATTTCTTTAATCTATATTGTCATTAAAATGGGCTACCATGGCACCATGATAATTTGAAAGGTTTAATATTGCTATTTAGGAATGAAGAATAACAGAGTTTACATCTTGGCTAATCCATTAACAAGTTGAGGGACTCTATGCAAGTTACTCCACGACTTTGTGCCTCACTTTCCTCATCTGTTAAGTGGAAATAATGCTGCCTACATTCTCTCAATATTATCCAGAAGATTCTCTTAAATGAGATGATATAGACAAAACAAGAGCAAACAGCAACCACTAATACATACTGGTAACCTTCCCTCGTGACCCCATATGGTTATTTATTAAGTCAATAACCTCTCTTCACAGGAACTGATTACATAATGTTTTATGGTATTTTTCTGTTCGTACAGAAAAGCAAGAAAGAGCCCTGGGTCAGAAGTCGGGCAAAGTGGATTCTAACCTACATATCACTACCACCTAGCTGTGTAACCTGTAGTAACTTAGCCTATTTCTCAGGGCCTCAGTTTCCCTCAACACCAAATAAAGTGCTCCAAAATTTGGAGATGGTTTCAAAGCCATGTCAGAGTCCCTTACAACTGCCACAGAGTGTGATTATCTTTGTTGGTAAACTAAGTGTCAGGGAAACACTCAGGCTTTCTTCTCATTTATTTCAGACTTTCACGCCATTGGTGATTTACTGATCATTTCATCTCTTAACTAAGAGAATTAGATCAACATAATCCAGAGAATAAAAACTAGGCCAATCTTTACTAGAAAAGAAGATTCAGATTTCAGGGTAACACAGATGGAAGAACATGTGGCTTTTCTGCCAGGCCCAGTGGAAGTGTATTCAAGGTTTGTTCCCTCCAGGGATAGCCGGCATCACACCAACCTCACTCACAGTCCAGTGTTTACAGGCACTCGAAAACCTCCTAAGAGTGTATTTCATAAAAGCAGGGCCTGTCCAAATCCCCTGTAATGTCTCCAAAGTGAAAGGATAGAGTCAATAATCAGGACTGTATCTGTGTGTTGTAAATGCCCCAAACCTCTATTCCCTCTCTGAGTTCTCACAGGCACGTGTGCATGCACACACACACATAAACACAGCCATAAATATATACACTCCCATTTAATAGACTGGAGATTCAAATTACAGTTATAGTGTCATAAAACTATCTGTAGGGTGTGTGCAGAAGTCTAAGTGTGTGTGTGATGTGGGTTGGGGTGGCAAGCTTACAACCTTCCTCCTTCCCTTGAGGTTCGACATTCTCAAAACGTGAGATTCCTCTGGGACATTTAAATAAGCTGTATTCATAGGGGCGGCTACATAATTTGCAGACCCAGTGCAAAATGAAAACACGGGACCTCTTCTTCAAATCGTATTAATAACTTCAAAACAGCAACAGCAGAGCAGTAAACCAAGTGTAAGACCTTCTAAGTACAGAATCTGTGCATTTGGGCTGGTCACACACCCACAAAGCAAGCTGGGGTTTGAGGATAACACATAGAGAGAGTCTGGATTCGATTTTTGCAATATACACCATTTCTTTAGGAAAGTTCAAACTTTCCCTCTGAAGGCTCTAATCTAAGTCTGCTGAATGAATTGACAAGAAATTAACAGGAGAAAAGCCATAACAAAGCTATTCAATCATAGTTTTATGTGACATGGGAGCCCTCAAAATGAAGACCGCAAGTCCCAGATAAAAATAGATACCCCGGGTATCTGTTTTTACCCGGGCTTAAGTTTGATGAAGCATGGATAGCCAGGTAGAAATAGGGTTAGACAAAGAAGAGTCTGATCTAATAGCAAGAGACTGAGGCAGAAAACCCAGCACGGCCTGTCTGTTCAAATTTTTCTTAGCTTCTCTATGTAGCACGTCTTCCTCTCCAGTATGGGGCAGGACCTACAACCCACAAGGTAGGTCAGAGAATTTCTTTATGGCCATTTCTGAAAAGTGCTTGCAGAGGTTCCTGGCATCATGAAACCAGAGTGTCTTGGGAATCAGACTGGCTTGGGTTTGAATCCTGTGTAACCATGTACTAACAGAATTTCTCTGACACTTCCACTCACCATTTTGAACTTCAATTTCCCATCTATTAAATGGAGACAGGGCAACCCACTCTCCGAATTACAATTAATTAGAGGATTAAATGCAATAAGGCATAGAAAGCAAACAAAATTCGAGGTCAAAGCCCGGTACATAATAAATGTTCCAAATTGCCCTTCATTTTGGGCACAGATCTTGCAGATCAGTTCAAACAAAAACACACTATATATTAAAAGTGAGGCTATTGTAATTGAAGACCAAGAGAGATTCGGAAACCTGACAAATCGTTTTCAACCTGTCCGTTCTTTTGCCTCTAATGAGACTTCTCCTTTGGGTGGGAAGAGATGACCTTCTGAAAAGGCCCTCCGTCCGCGTCAGAATTTGGCGACTAAAGCATGCATGAGCTGGGAATGGTGACAAGTTGCAAAGGGAAAGGGGGAGGGTAGGCAGGGTAAGAAAGAAAACTTAGGGCTGGGGTGTGAAGGGTCTCTTGGTTTGTTTTCCTGGCTGGGACAGCGAACTTCTCCGCAGCCAAGTTTCTGGAGCGGGGCCGGCCGCTTCGCGGCTCCCATTGGTCCGGCCGCGGCTGTTGCTAGGCGGATGGACCAATGGCGCGCGAAGGGCGTCTGGGCTCCTCCTCTTCTGGGCCGCGGCTGGAGCCCGGGAAGCGGCGGCGTCCGCGCTTCTCCCGGCGGCTCTTTCTCTTCTTCTTTTTTTTTTTTTTTTTTAAGGCGGGGCGGGGCTGGGGGCGCGGCGTCGCGGAGCTCGGGCCGGTGGAAGGTTTACCTGCTAGGCTCGTCCCACCTGTGTGGAGCTCCCATCGCCCTCCAGCGTTGCGCAGCCTGAAGGGACAGGACGGACAAGCGGGTATTTTTTCCCCCTCACGCAAATGTGTATTTTGTGTTTTAATAATTTTATCAACTCGGTGAACTCTCGCGAGAGCACTCGCTGCGTGTCTTGCCTCTGTCGTCCTTCCCAGTCTCTAACCGGCCCCTGGGCCACCTCTCACAATTGAGCCCCCAGCCCTTGAACACACGCACACACGCACACACGCTGAGCTACCGCCAATGCTTGAGCCCCCAGCCCTTACACACACCCATACACGTGCACAAACACACACACACGCTGAACCAACTTCAACACTTGAGCCCCCAGCCCCTAGAGAGAGACACACACACACACGCTGATGCGGGAGCATTTAGCACAGTTTCCTTGCTGAAAAAGCAGGACCTCGGTTTAGAAAATGGAAATTGCCCAGGAGGAAAAGAGAGCTGAGATATATGCAGCCCCAGGTACTTAGGGTTAGTAATAATATTGTTAATAATACTATCGTTTCTGAGGGGTTTCTACCAGATACTGTGTTGAGTAGTTGCCATGCTTAATCCTATTTAGAGCTTGGTGTGCCCATGGGTAAACAGAGGCACTGAGCAGGGGAGGCAGAAGCAGGACTGGAAACTGTCTGTGTAACTTTGGAGCTCTTGGTTCTATCCACTTACTGGTGTGGTTGCATGGCTGTACAACTGCCCATGTGGTTATGGCCCCCATCTGGGGATAGGTCTCAGTAGAACCTACATCGCCAGGGCTATGCCAGCCTTATGCAGTCCTATGCATAACTACCAATTCTCAGAATGAGCATGTTTATCACCCTTGGCCCATCCTGCCCCATCACTGTATTTAACACTTGCATCTTAGGTGGATCTTCCTCAATAATCCTGGAATGAGTAGAAAAGACCCATGTTCTGTGTGTTTGGGGAACATCTTATCTTCATCCTGCAACACACATCCACCTCGGCAGCTTCCCCTCAACTAATGTGGGAACCACAACTCAGAGAGGAAAGTGACTGGATCAAGGCTACTCTGATCAAAGCTGGTCACTTCCCACATCTGTGAGACAGCAGAGCCAGTTCTCTGCTTGGTGAAGCAATTCCGTAAAAGCATTTCTCTAACAAGTGACTGCAGACTTCACGTGAACTCAGCTGCATACTGGAAGTCACTGTGATTCTAATTTTATGAAGAATTATCAAGTTGAGCATATTTAAAACTGTGTGGGGCTTTTTTTCTTATACAGTTTCCTTTTTTCTTTTTTTCAAGGTGCCTCCTTCTAATTCATCTTCACCATTGTGGTTGTCAATATGGCATGCAGAATTATCCCTCTTTCCAGGTGAGGACGCGGAGACATGGAGACACATGTAGCCCAGACACATAACAACACAGTAGGCAGGCCCAGTCTTGGAGCACAGATTCTTCCTCCCCCTCCCCACACCTTAGCTAGCTTCTTTGCTCTCCCTGAGTGCCTATGGCTTACAAGTTATCCATTTACAACAAAAGGTTGTTTATTCAGAATGTAGGGACTGGGAATACAGAAGCCAAAAAAAAAAAAATGAAGTGAGAAATGAAATCCCTTCTGTTTTGTTGTTTGGAAACTGCCTGGGAAGTGGCCTGCCAGCTAGGAACAGGGTTGGCTGGTGAAGAAGCCCCTGGCATGACATTTTTCTGCTTAGCAGATGCCTGTGTGCCACCCTCGCCCTTGCTCTGAGCCTGGCAGTCAAGGGAAACGTGTCTGTACTCACTGTGCTATTGTCTAAAAGGCTCAGCAGAAAGGCCCCAGCTAGCTTCCTTCTTCCCTTCGCAGCAGGAGAAGACCTAGGCATGCCCACCTCCTACCCTAACAGACAGCACCTAAGAGATGGTTCTTTTGATAACTTAAAGGAGATATTTTTGAACGTCAACACAAGACAGTATCGCCCAGCAAGGGAGAGGTTTTCGACTCCACCCATCCCCAGAGACTCACTTGGTCTCAGAGAGAGAGTACTGTCTCCTTTCCTTAAATCCCCCTAGCTTAAAAAGCCTAGCCAGAACCCTGCCTATAATCTTTCGCCGTAAAGTTTATCTTCTAACTTTTCTTTAAAACCTATGGAAAATAAAAATCGGGATTGGAGCAAAGCAGATTATTCTGTTTGCAGAGGCTGATATAATTGCTGGCTGTTTTCCCTGGGATCGCACTGTAACTCTTTAGGCAGCCCTGAATTTTAAAGGATGTTTGCAAAGCAGCTTTCTTCCTGAACACTGTCCTAAATCCCTCCTGTTGTAACCCTCCACTCCCTCTGTTTGCCCGGCTTTGCCCGGTGCAGTGAGACGCCTATCCACACAATGGTTTGTCTCTCCTGCTTTCAGTTTTCTTTTCAGCCAACAGCCTCACAAGCATTCTTTCTCCCTTCTGCAAGTATTCCTGTGGAGTGTGTTCTGCCTCTCTGCTAGACGCTGGGATATAGGGAGCCAACACAGACAGGGCTTACAGTCAAGTGGGAGAAATAATACCCAAACTTTCACAAACCCCAGCTTAACACTACTACAAAGATGTATGTTCATGACACAGTGACAACATACGCTAAAGGGACTTAAACCCAATTAGAGCAATCAAGACAGGCTTCATAGAGGAACAGACCTGTGAGGTCTCATAGATAGACAGAGGGTAGAAGTTGGAGATGAGAGTAGATAGAAGTAGAGCTAGCACAGGCAAGTGCCCTCTGCTGGGCTTCGCATCTGCCCTGAGAACAGTTAACAGAGCCTGTTCAGGCCAATCCACTTTCCATGGATGGGAAATTACTTTTTATGGAGACTGGTAAAAATTAGCTTCTCTAAGAACACTGGTCTTTCCCTTGAGACAAGAAATTGGGACCATATGTTTAGGCCTGGTCTTGCTAGGTGGGTGTACAGCTCACCAAAAGAATAAAATCAACACATTTTTCACTGCTTCCATAATCAGGGAGTGGGAACGTTGGAGTCCTACTGATTTTTGCCTTGGCTCAGGGTAGCTTATATTATTGAGAAAGGCTAAACTTTCAGTGCTCCTGTATTGAAAGAGTTCAGATTCAAATTTAACTGAGATTTATTAAGTGCTGACTAGGAACCTGGTATTTCCTAAGTATTACCCCTTGGAAGCCTTACAAGAATTCTAGGAGGTAGAATTTTTCAACCCCTTTTCACAGATGAGAAAACCAAGGACTAGAAAAACCCCTGGATCCTCATCCCAAGTATTTGTCATGGATACATAAGAGGATAAAGTCTTCTTTGACAGCTCACCAAATGAATGTTTTATGTCACAGGCTCACAAAATGTCAGGTTCAGACAGCATTTCATACAAACATTTTTTTTTCAATTATTTGCCACTGTTTGATCTTTAACATCCTTGACATGTCCAGCCTCAAGTTGAATCTCTCTTCTCTTAGGAAATTCACTGCCCTTTTGATGAAGCCAGTTTGACTTTCAGATCTTTGATTGTTCAAAAAAGCTTTTAGCCTTCAGACTTCCAATTGGCTCAAACAGGAAACATAACCATTTTAGGAATGTTGTGGATATAATGTTTAAGCAAAGGTAATGGGCCTAAACAGAATCAGGGTACTAACAGCAAAGCTCATTACTTGGTGATTATGCCAATTTTGCAAATAAAGGAAGAACTCAGAGTAACTTCATAAACACCATAATCTAAGTGTTTAAGAATCCCTGAGGGCTAGGCTCATCTCCTCTTGACCCTACAACCTCTCCTGCGTTCTTGGGATTCTAAATTGCAATATTAAGTCATTGAATTGACCATTCTTCTCCATGGCCTAACAATGGAAATCCTTCTATACCTAATACCACCAAATTGCTGCTCTGAGGTTTACCTTTCCACACTTCTATGCTGGGGTTGGAGCAGAAAGGGCCATGAAGTTGACATATTCGGAGCCAATGATGAGCCAAACCTAGAGTCAGTTTCCTAACTCCACCGGCAACCTATGTTCTGCTTCATGTTGCTTCTCCAGTTGGGTGCTCCCTTGATAGATACCAATTGGATTGCACCTGTCTTAAGTATCAATCACAGCAGTCCCCTCCACCACTACCAAATAGAACCTCTCTTAATTCATCCATCCATCCAGCAAATATTTACTGAGCTCCCACTATGTGCAACAGTGAGGGGGTGAAGTGAAAAAGCAGCCCTGTCTCCACTTTCATGACATGTGCAGTTTTGTGGAGGAAAAAAGATAATATTTAAAGGGCAAGTAGTGAAATGCCAAAGTCCAATGATTATGCATAATCAGATTTTCCCTTCAAAAGTTTATCTTTGGTTCCTGAGAATAGAATGGAAGACAGAGAAGCAGACTTTAATCTCAGTCCGTTGCTAACAACATTGACATTTTATGACCTTTACTAATTTTTTTCAAGTACCTATCAGGCTGTGAGGTTATTGTGTATGTTGGCTTGTTTACCACTTGATGATCTTCCTTTACTGCATTAGAATGAAAGTTCCATGAAACGAGGAACTTTTCTAGCTTACTCACCTCTGAACCTCCAGCCCCTATCAGAATTTCTGGAACCAAGTAAAAACATCATCAGATTTTTTGAGCTAACACATGACTTTCTCCTTAAACCTGACTGAGGCAGGAGCGCTAGAAGCAGCTCAACATCCAGGTGAGCAGGAGTTTCAGCAGGCAGCTTTCGCAGCCCTTACCTATCTGGAGCTTCCTGCTGCCATTTTGTGTTATTGTCATTCCAAGAGCTCTAGTTTACTCTTTAGCAATTCCTTGGGGATTTGGAGAGAAGGCTATTTTTGTTTTAATAATTTAATTACTGGTTAATTATTACATCGAAGTTCAGAGATAACTTCTTGAGTCTGCAACTGAAAACCTTTTTTTCTACTTTCTCTCCCTGACCATCCACCCATCTCTTCCCAGAAATAGGTGCCTAACATAAAACCCATGTACTTGGCAGCTGGTCATGGAAGCATGTGAACCTTATCCCATGCTAATCAAGGAAGGGAGAAATGGAAAACTTGATCCCCAGGTGGCTTCATAGGAACCAAAAAAAAAAAAAATAGAGGAGATGCTGGCATTGTCCAGTGCTGATAACATTTTCCTTTTTTAAAACAATCATTATGTTTGTGCTTGCAGCATGCTTTGTAATCACTTCTGATCACCATTCTTTACATCAGCACAGCATTTTATCCATTTTGAGGAAGCTGCAGTTGAGGTCAGGAGTGGATGAGGGCCTTCTCCTTGAGATAGGACAAACAGCTCTAAACCTGGAACAGATCCACATCCACAAAAGTCTCTGCTGTCCCTGCTACCATTTCCTCCAAGGGTTAAATCTCCCACATGATCAAGTGCAAAGGGGAACATCCACTTTCTGAGTAGGATTTGCACATGAAGAAAGAAGCAGCATCTCCAGGAAGTTGTTGTCAGGGCTGGAAGCGGGGGCTATGCTCAGAGCCCAACATCCACCCCATCTCTATAGTGTGGCACTGGCAATTAGGGAAGTTGTCTGTCATCCCCAAATCCCAGACTAGGAGGGGGGCAGTTAGATGTCACTGGAGGAGACAGAAGATGGATGGTCCTGGGAGGTTCCTCTGTCCTATCGATGCAGACACACCCGTCTCTCTGTCTCATTGCTTACATCACCTTCAATTTGACCAGATGGACATCATGGGAGGATTTTCGTCTGGATCAGGATTCTTAAAACACTAGCAAAAAGAGCTGGCTCTTGGGAGAAATGAGGATGGGGCTATTAGAAGTTGGGAGCTGGGGCCATTAGGAAGCAGCCAGGCTGTGTGGAGGCACAGGGGGATTTCTGCTCAATAATGGGAAATGTGAACACAGGTTAGTGCTGTGATTACAGCATCCTGGAGCGGGGGCCTGAGAGGCCAGGAATAGATTATGACTCACTCAAGCAAAACGTAGGGGAAGGGACTAAGGTTGCCCCTCCAGAATCTGAGAAAGGCACCCCTGTGGGAAGAGATATTCCACTCCAGGGTGTGGATGGGAAGGGTCATTTCAGAGCATCACACTGGAAAGTGGCACGTAAGTATTCGTGGACCTGGGAGAACTAGACCAGATTGGATCAGTTCAATGAAAGCACAGAACAGAACTCTTTAGAGAGCTTGTAAAAGCATCTACTAGCCCTGGAGTGGCAAGATCACTGAATTGTGGAGTTTTCACCCTGTTTCTGGGGGGTAATTTGGCAACATACATCAAGAGCCTGGGGGAACAGACTCAAAAACACAGATTTATTCCAAGAAAATGTTTAGATATACACATAAAGATTTATACGTAAGAAAGTACATCCGTGGGATATTTATGTGGGTGAAAAAATGACAAATAATCTAAATGTCCCACAACAGAGGAAATTACTTAATCAATTTCAGTGCCTTCCTACAATGGTACTTAGCAAACCTTTAAATATAAAATTATGTTTTCAAAGCAATGTTAATGACATGGAATAATGATTATGACATGCTAAGTAAAAAATGCAGCTTACCTTATGAAAGCGAATTGGATATAATCCCAATTTAATATAGGGAAAAAAAAACCCAAAAGGAAATAGGCCAAACTGTTAACAGTGTTTATCTGTATGTAGCAGAACTAGGGGTAATATTTTTAAACGGTGTTCAATGTTTTCTAAAGTATCTACATATTAATATAGATTGATAAGTATGTGTGCATAACTAATATATATATTAAATACACATTAGTTTTTCTCCGCTCCTTATCTTTCTTGCCCTGCTTATTCCTCTCCACACCAATGTTCACCACTTGACATACTATGTACTTAGTGGTTTATTTGCTATATTTCACTCTTTGCTCTTTTTGTCATCATAAAAATTAAATATTCTTAAAATATTTTAGAAGAATAATTGTAATTGCAGGAAGGCTAAGCTTTCCCCATTTTTATAACTATGACAAATCGAGACCAGGATACAGGATATATTAAGCTTATCCTTTGTCATGGGGGCTGCTTAATGACAGCCATTAGTTTCAGTCCCAAATGGGGAAGTAGAGTAAGAGGCTACCCCAGCAGTAGAAAGATAGGATCGATGACCCCAGAGTAGAAGCTCTGAACCCTGCGATTCCACTAGGAAAAAGACTAAGTCCTTAGGATATAAATTCCCAACGTAAGACCAGTAGGTACCAAGGGCTGACTGAGGCAATGAGAATTTAGTCAATTCATCCACAATGTCCAAGTTCTCCCCTGAATGACTGTTGCTCCAATCACAATCGACCCGTGACACGTTTTGCTTGAAGGCAGGAGTTTAGATGTTGCATGGTATACTGAAAAGGGTCAAATATATATGTTGATTTAGAATCCTGATTTCAGTACTTCTTAGCCATGTGACCTCACTGAAGGTATTTTAACTGCTGTCCTAATCCTTAGTTCCCTCACCTGCAAAGTAACACTAATCTCCCTAAGTTATTTTAAGTATGAAATGAGACTATAGATAAAAGTTCTCGCACAGGGCTGGGTATAGGGTCCTGCCCCAAATTCACCCTGGCCACTGTTCTGAAAGTCTAGTTTTCTAAGAACAAACCCAATCAGTAATAGCTTCATACAACACATATCAATCTCCACATTGGCTTAATCATGATTTAATGATTTCATAATCTCATTGCAGATTGTAATCAGGACATAACGGGATCTTTGAGCAGGGAATTCCTCTATTTCAGTGTGGTGTGGGGACCCCCAACATCCCGACTCCCAGCAGGGCTTGTTAAAATAGGGCACAGGTTAACAGTGAGGAGTTCCTGGCCTCACTGGACATGTGAGTCACAAGGTCTAGGGGTGAAACCAGAGAATCTACACTTTTAGAGGGTCACCAGGTCGTTCTTTTGCGCAATAGAATTTGAGATCCACTGCAACTAATGTTTCCAAGAACCGGTAGAGGTGCTCATGACCTTTTTTAGGTCAAGGCACAAACTTTGCATCCTTTCTCCTCTTCCAACCCGTAATTGTTTTTGTTAGGGTGATGTCTAAGAGAGTGGCCTTGCAGAAAGAATACAGTCATTTTCCATGTAGTATTTGCGATCCTTCGAAAGATTCTTGTTCAGTGGCAAAACTGTGACATGCTGAGCCTGGCCTTGCAGGGCTGTGGTTAGCCATACAGTAGTCCTGAAAGTCCAGGGTTCAACATGGGTTCATACAGGCTGTGCTTTGGTTTCAAGATTTGTACAAATGATCTCACTGAAATCAGAATCAAAGAAAGAAAAGATTTATCTTCATTTTCATAGCTCCCCACAAATTAATGTTTTTCTCTGTTTCACCATATTTCTTCCTTGCAGGCCTTGAATACTTAAGTTTTATAAATTCATAATCATTACACTGATATGCTTCTGAGATACGGGTCTTTTAATTTCATGATCAATATTCTTTCTGCTTTCCCTTTTCTGGTGTTCCTCCCACGCTATAGAATTTCCTTGTAATAATTAATTCTTAACCTTTATGAGACTTTGCAGTTCTCGCAGCATTTTCATGCCCATTATCTTATTAACAGAATAATTTATTTAGATAGCTTTGTTCCTTCTCATGAAAAGTATCTCAACAGAGATTCACCCAGCGAAGTGCTTAGAAGCATGAGCTCTGGAACCACAGACCCAAGTTTAATTCCTGCCATTTAATAACTGAGAGAATTCAGACAAGTAATGTAGCTTCCCAGAACCTGTTTCTCTTGTCTCTACCATGTAGGTAGATAATCACAGTACCCACCCAAAGTGTAGGATGAAACGAGATAATCACTTGTAAAATGCTTAGCGTGATGCCCAGCATAGAGTAAGGGTTCCATTAATGTCAATAATTATTGTCATTATCATTGTTATTAAAATATTAGATAAAGACTTTTAATGACTATAGGAAGTAAGAGGAAACTAACTTCATTTGACCGGATGTGACCCCCAAATCTAGCTTACACCAATCCAGTTTTCAGCCCAGAGTTCAGGAAAGAGAGGACAACATTTTAGGCAATGCCCATCACTGATTGTTTGTCTAAAGGAGAGATTATGATTCCATATTGTAGAAGTAACAGCTTCACCTGGGACAGAGAGATAACTTTTGAGTTTTTACATCAGACTTGGATATAGCTGGTTAAAATTAAATCCAAATTTTTCATAGCTTAGAAATGTTTGAAACCTGCTTTTCATAGTTTTCACATGGTTCTTTTTAGACTGGGTATGAGAATGAGGAGAGGGGGTTCTTATTGCCAAGTTTCTCATGGGGAAGCATGTTCTTGCCGGCCCCAGCAAACTTACTTGGTTCCAGGAGTTCAGGCCCAGGTAAGCTTTGGACAAACACCTGAGGCTCTGGGAGGCTTAATTGAGATGAGCCTGAACTTAAATGTTTTATGAGGTACGCCCATTGCTAATTTTCTTGGCCAAGTTTGAGTCTGTCTCACTCCTGCTAGCATCTGACAAACTCAAGTCTTCACCATGAAGCCTTGATTGATTTCACCTTACTGTTTCTTTGAGCACAGTAGACTGTGTGTCTGTGTGTGTCCTGGGCACCCAGCACTGAGACCTGCAGCCTCCTATCCTTTCAACCTGGGAGTCATTACTGCCTTTGTGCAACTTGTCTGGAAGTTCCAGAAAAGCCAGGCCTCATGTCTTCTATAGCAAGGTCCTCAAGGACAAGACCAAATTCTCTCTCAAATATAACAAGTCTGGTGAACAAGGGAACGTGAAATCCAAGCATCTTACCAAGCTTCCATGTGACTTGGGAGCAAAACAGCCTGTTTTATACAGGAAGAAAAAAATACCCCAGCTAGATAAAGCCCGTGGGGGTGATCTGAGAGAGAAGCCAATTACTCTACTGAGATTTGCCATCTCTTTTTGGTTTCAACAAGCTTCTCCCCACCTAAGTTCAGAGTCATCTGGAAAGCTTTTTCTCAGCTACCTCCAACCTTCAGACTGTATATCCCTCAGTTGATTTATTTTTTGTTTATATCAAGGATCACTCATACATATGCCGACAATATTATCAGAAAACTTACACCCAGAAAGCTTGAGTGGAACAATACGTATGGGTCCATGCAATTTTCAGAATGTTTTTCAGGCCAGCAGGAAACAAACTGAAAAGGCACCAGCCAGTTAGATAACAGCACACTGACATTTCACTCCTACATGTGTATTGCTGTTTGGAATGTTCTAGATATTCTAGATTAGTTATGTTCCAGCCAGAAGAAGAATCAAAGCCTAGGAGCTCAATGGCAAACATTCAATATGGGAAACCATATCATAAGGTACAAAGACATTAAAGGGTATGAGGAAGCAACCCACAGATTTGCAGCAGCTAGATTCTCCTAGGGCTGGAGAGACAAAAGGATGTGTCTTCCTCAAAACTCAAAAGCCAGAGCTGTGTGGCAGCAGCTTGGATGATAGAGGCTTTCTGGGTGGAGCTGGAATTCTGGAGGAGAGACAAGCATTTGCTGGAGATGCTGATCAGAGCATAACAAGAAAAGGAAAAATATCCTGACTACTCTCTTTCTCTCACATTCCCACTGCAACCAGTGGTTCCCATTGGCTAAAGCCAATCAGGAGCCAGTTCCTAAAGGAATGGGGGAAATATAGTTTTCAGGATTCAGTTTTCCCAAGGAATAGGTCTAAAAATAGTCAGTATACAGCCAGCACACAGGTACGACCAGTGCCATTGTATGTAATTTTTATACTTGTTACCTAAAATCAAAGTTACCGAAGAGCAAAGTACATTTTTTTCTTTTTTTTCCTTTTTTTTTTTTTTTTTGAGATGGAGTCTCACTCTGTCGCCCAGGGTGGAGTGCAGTGGCACGATCTCAGCTCACTGCAATGTCCGCCTCCCAGGTTCAAGCAATTCTCCTGCCTCAGCCCTCTGAGTAGCTGGAATTATAGGTGCCCGCTACCACGCCTGACTAATTTTTGTATTTTTAGTAGAGACGTGGTTTCGCTATCTTGGCCAGGCTGGTCTTGAACTCCTGACCTCGTGATCCACCCGCCTTAGCCTCCCAAAGTGCTGGGATTACAGACGTGAGCCACTGCGCCCAGCCAAGCAAAGTACATTTTCAAGTGCATTAGTATGTGTTGTCTCTATATTACTATCTTCACATGTTGCGGTAGATACTTTATTCTCATATTGTCAATACCTAGTGCATACAGTAAAGCCTCCATCAATGTTTCTGATTTAAGAAGGAACACCAAGTCTATGAAGAGCACATTTTTAACTCTAAGGAGAGACAGCAGGAACGTAGGTGGTGAGTGGACTCCTGGGCTGACGGAAAGATTCCGTGAGATGTTAGATTTATATATGCCTCATAAGTGTAAGGCCCAGACAAATACACACATTGTCAGTTCTCTTTGCTCTGTGTGTGCCAGTAAAACAATCCAACATCTTCTTTTTTTCAGGGTGATGTTGACACATGTCAAATACATTAACATTCCTATTGAAATGACTCATTTACAGGGAACAGTCAGCTCAGAAGGATAGGAGGGGAAGAGTGAGAAAAGCATTTTACAATTGTTCAAGATTTTATGAGCAGCACGTCTTTTGTTTTTTGTTTTAAAGACGGCAATCATGGTATTACTGTTATCATATCATTATTTTACATCATCACGATGGTTGTTGCTGTAATTTGTATGTTGCATTAACTGCACCAACTTAGAAGTCCAAAGGAGGTCACCGAGCTAGAAACTGGACGTGAGTGACAACACCTCGCCTGCCGGGCTGCTGTAGCTCCCCACGCTTGCTAGGTTCTCTCTCTTCCTTAGTATGTCGAAAGTGGCGGTGCCCTAAACCTTCTCTGGCATCTGTGTGGCTCCTGCCCCGTCCTCCTTTCTCTCACACTCTGCTGAGACCTCTGCTCACCCTTCTCAGGTGGGTGCTCATCCCACGAGGATGAACTCTGGGGTTAGGTTTTGGGGAGCTGCCCTCCCTTCCCTTCAAAGCCTCCTCCGCATAAAGTTAGAACTTTGCTGTTGATGTTGCTTGGTTGAGTTGCGTTTTGTTTTTAGGAATATTTGACTGTATCTGGGGCTGTAAATGAAAGGAAACAAGAACCTATCCATTTTTGCAACTCACGGTGAGCCTGTTTAGAACACCCCCACCCTAGGCCTAGACCCTTCCTCATGAGGTCTTCACAGAGCTGCCTCGCTATGTGCATTCTAAACTTCTCCATGCAGGGAGAGCAGCTTCTCTCTCTAGGAAATAATCTCAAGCATGTCTTAGTCCCAGAGTCCATGCCTACTCACCATGGGATGCAGAGGCAGGGAACTGTGCTTCCTGCATCATGTTTAAGGCCAGCTTTCTATCTCTCCTAGTATTGACGTCAATCCTGGATGATAGACAATGGGGATTTCCATTGTCTTCAAGAAAACACGTCTCCTCCCCCATCGTCCTCACCTGCCACCCACACATACACACATAACGCTAAATAGGTGGTCAGAATGCACTTGTCTGACATCCAGGCAGTTCTCCAAGCCTGAGCCGTTAAATGTTCAAGAACTCTGCCCATAGATTATCAACACAATGGTTTAGGGTGGTCTTTGACCAGGATGGTCGACTTTCTGTTTTTCACCATGCCTTTTCAAGATGACAGGAGCATTCACCAGCCATCTTCTGCCTTATACATTATAACAGAAACACACTAATACCACCAAGGACAAGCCCTGGTTCACAGGCACAGTGCAAATGGAATCTCAATGGAAAAAAAAAATTCCACTTCTGTTCCACCACAAAATATTGATAATGAAAACAGAGCTATGGCTCAGCCAAACAGTCCATTTTAAGTTACCAAACTTCTAAAAATGTGTATTCAATTTCATGACTCCTTACAGGTTTTCCCCAAGGACCCTGGACAATGCTGGTTTTTCCTATGTGCACCACCAAAGGGCCTATCCAGGTAATTTTTCTCAGACGAGAAAATAGGGTACTATGTCCCTAAAGGGGTAGTCATGTTTTCAGCAGAAAACTGCTTGCAGATCTGAAATGATAGAGCTTCCAGCTTTGACAAGACCTAGGCAAGGACTTGAAGGGCAGTTTTAGTCCTGACACTTATACATCACTGTTGCTCAAGTCTGGTGGCTTCAACAAGTGGTTACCCTGCTCGGTAGTGACCCACTGTGGCCGTTGGCCCTGTCTTCACTTGATTTACCCATCGCATGCTTCCCCACCTCCCCCTCATATGTACACGCCATTGCAAGGCCTCTGCACATGTGATCTAATTTAGACCAGCTGCCTTCCCTGTGTTAGTCCAGATAAACATACCCCAGGAAAGTGCTCCATCAACTTGCCCGTGTGAGAAGTGCAACTGCAAATCAACCTCTCAAGCCTGGAACATTCTCTCCTGTGACATTTGATATGTCTTTCCTGCTTGAATGCTTTGGGTTTTTTGATGTTGTTGGTGATGATTTTCTGTATATAGCATCTTCCGTATCTGTGCCATCTCTCCTACCAAGAGATCACAGGATCTTCCCTTGAACTTCAGCTTCAGCTACTTGGAGAATAACTGTCTATTTCTTAGAAACCTCTGTAACCCCTACACTGAAATCTTTATGTGCCATAAAGCTTACAGTGGAAGGAAACCCATTACAAAGAAATCCTGAAAATTTTGTGATATTGTTTGACTGTCTTTACATGATGCAACAATAGACAGGGTTTTTAAAAAATGGATTTGTGGTAGAAAGCAAAAGGAGAGGGTGTTTTTAGAAACTGTGACTCGCCTTGAGAAACTGTTCTTCCACACAGTCAACTCTGTTTTGCTACCGTCTTGTTTCCCTGGGATTGCAGGGTAGGTTTCGCTGATTTCAAAGCCTCATCTCTTTTCACGTTACCACACTGCGTACCATTTAGTTGAGCAGTTGTTTGACAGCCATGTCTTAGTTCTGTGATGCATCACTCAAATCAAAGTTTTGAATTCTGTGGTCAGTTTACCCAGAAAAACAGCCAGGAACAAACAGCCTCAAACTACCCTTCCTTCCTTCCTTCCTTCCTTCCTTCCCTCCCTCCCTCCTTCCTTCCCTCCTTCCTTCCTTCCTCCCTCTCTCCCTCCCTCCTTCTCTTCCTGCCTTCCTCCCTTCATTTCTTTTGTCCTTCTTTTCTTACTCCCTTCTTCCTTCTTTCTTTTGTCCTTATTGTCTTACTCCCTTCTTCCTTCTTTCTTTTGTCCTTTTTTTTCTTTATTTTGTCACTTTTGGTAATTTACCTGGGTATCTTTTTTTTTAATTTTTATTTTTTATTATTATTATACTTTAAGTTTTAGGGTACATGTGCACAATGTGCAGGTTAGTTACATATGTATACATGTGCCATGCTGGTGTGCTGCACCCATTAACTCGTCATTTAGCATTAGGTATATCTCCTAATGCTATCCCTCCCCCCGCACCCCACCGCACAACAGTCCCCAGAGTATGATGTTCCCCTTCCTGTGTCCGTGTGTTCTCATTGTTCATTTCCCATCTATGAGTGAGAACATGCGGTGTTTGGTTTTTTGTCCCTGCGATAGTTTACTGAGAATGATGATTTCTAATTTCATCCATGTCCCTACAAAGGACATAAACTCATCATTTTTTATGGCTGCATAGTATTTCATGGTGTATATGTGCCACATTTTCTTAATCCAGTCTATCATTATTGGACATTTGGGTTGGTTCCAAGTCTTTGCTATTGTGATTAGTGCCGCAATAAACATACGTGTGCATGTGTCTTTATAGCAGCATGATTTATAGTCCTTTGGGTATATACCCAGTAATGGGATGGCTGGGTCAAATGGTATTTCTAGTTCTAGATCCCTGAGGAATCGCCACACTGACTTCCACAATGGTTGAACTAGTTTACAGTCCCACCAACAGTGTAAAAGTGTTCCTATTTCTCCACATCCTCTCCAGCACCTGTTGTTTCCTGACTTTTTAATGATCGCCATTCTAACTGGTGTGAGATGGTATCTCACTGTGGTTTTGATTTGCTTTTCTCTGATGGCCAGTGATGATGAGCATTTTTTCATGTGTCTTTTGGCTGCATAAATGTCTTCTTTTGAGAAGTGTCTGTCCATATCCTTCGCCCACTTTTTGATGGGGTTGTTTGTTTTTTTCTTGTAAATTTGTTTGAGTTCATTGTAGATTCTTTACCTGGGTATCTTTCAACTCCTATCAAAACTTAATTTGCTGTCATCTTTTACCTAAGCACATGAAAATTAATCTTCTCACAGAAGTGGAGACATCTGTGATTCATTTCCTGAGCTTCTCCAGCTCCTGTCGAATTGCTTTCACTTCACCTCTGTCCCTACCAGCCTGAGCCCAGTCTAGGAGAAACCTTCAAAATCACCTCCACAAACCTTTTCTCTCCTTTTTCCTATGAACCCAAAATATCAAAGGCCTTTCTAGAGAGAATGGCCATTTTCCCCTGTGTATGCCTATTGTCCTTAAATGATTATTTCAAACGTGCCCTTTAACTCTCAAAAGTGTCCTGATTTTCTGACAAATTATGCAGCCACTCAATTCCTAAGAGATCTTTCAACTTGGCTTAGACCCCAATTTCATGGCTTGGGGCAAGCAAGCTGAAGCCCTCCCCGGGATTTCCCAGAAATCCCTGGGTTCCTGAGGTTCACTCCCGCTTGCTTCTTTGTGCCTCCCTGAATTTTCTTTTTCTCTCCTACCAACCTGGATACAAAATTCAGCTTTCATTGCATGACTCAAAATCTCCACTAATGTAGATCTTATAAGCCTTTTGATATACTTTATTTAAATTTTGAGAGAGTGCTGGGAATAGCCACATTGTGGTTTATAAGCCCCTCCCAGTTGATGTTTCTGGTCCTCTCCCACTTCCTGGGCCTCAACCTCCCTATCTCTCCTCCTCAGCTCAGGAGCAATAAACACATTCCTGTCTGCCCCCTACAGAGCCTTGCTGTTCATATCAAGCCCCTAGAGGCCTCAGCTCATATCCTAAGTACTTGCCAAGAAAGTTTTCTAAATAACTTGTTCTTCCTGAAAGAAAGCCTGGTGAATTCATTTTTCATCATGTAATTAAATCTAACTACCTAAATACATTTGATTTCATTGTACTTATCTTGGTTGTCACTGGCATGTGGACAAGAGTAAACTTTGGCAGAAAATATGGGAGAAAAGAAGAAGTGATTAAAACTTAAAAGAAAAAAAAGGCATGGTACAGGAAAAAGGAGAGGAGAGGGAAAGAGAAAGAGGGAGGAAAGGAAGGAGAAAAGGAGGGAGGGAGGGAGAGAAGGAGGGAGGGAGAGAAGGAGGGAAGGAGGGAAAGCAGGAGGAAGAGACCCTTTGTTCTGCAGTTTAAGATGTTATCCTCCTGAACAGTGATTTTAAAACTTTTCTGTGAGTAGGTGTTCCTGGGAGTGTTTGTTAAAAGTTTAGATTTACAGAGTCTCACACTCAAAGACCTCGACCTGGTAAGGCTGACAAAAACCATGCTTTGAAAACTGTTCTGGAACATGCCTAAGCTTAAGGGAGATAGCAAGGTTATATGAAACTAAACACAGCTAAATCAGAGAGGATCACAATTATTTTTTCTTTCACCAATTTATTTGAACTCTACAGAGATCATCCTGTCAGGCTTGATACCTCCTTTTAGCCTTAGAATATGAAGTCATCTTGAGTGACAAAAATATAGAACACAAGCATTAGAATATCAAGGTCCTTTGCAAATCTGACCTTAGTTTAAACAATGTACATATTAGCCTTATCCAGTATCTTTGTAAACAGACACAAAGCCAGATCATCCAGGAGAGCATTGGCCAAATTACTGGGTTGTTTACTGAGCTTCTTTGAAAGAGCATGTCAGGGAAATATTAAATAGTACATGGAAAGTACCTAGTATTTTGCCTGAAATCAAGTATTATTATGTTGGAAAGGACAATGATTTTTCTGATGGAGACAGCGAATGACAAGCTTCTCAGCACATGATGTCCAATGTATTTAAATGATATCCTGATTATGAGGAGTGTCCCTAGTCTAAGTGGGTGGCACTGACAAAGTTGACATTAGCTGGTTTTGAAGGGGCCATCACAAAGGCTTTATGTGACCCTTGCTCTACTTGCATTCCTTCTGCAGTTGTCATCCAAGCAATTGTCCCCTGCTCCTTCATACCCATGCTATCCCTGGCTCCCTCCCTCCTTCATTGCAGAGCTGCAATGGGGCAGACAACACAGGTGATCAGAGCTCACCAGTCAAATACGAGGAACAGAAGACCATACCCATAAAACTCAAAGACCTAACACATGGGCATCAGAATACAACTGAGAAAAGAAACCCCACAGTAAAGAGTCTGTATGAAATTAGTCCAGTGCGCATTGTGAATGCCTTGGAAAACCTTCTTGAAATGGACACTTCCTGGTCTGCCATCTTGCTATCTGATTCTCACCATACCCCCAATGCCATGTCTAGCTCATAAACTCTGCTTTCTTGGTTTTCCCGTCTTTGCTTTCTACTTAGAGCTGGCTTCTGTGCTACATTCTTCTATATATCTGCCCATAAAGGGGGAAGATCTGTACCCCTCAGCCAGAGAACTAAATTCTCTTTTAAGGAAAATCCAAAGACTCCCAATAGCATTGTGATAAGTCTTCTGTTGATGTGTTTTTGTCTCCACACCTCCTTCAAGGCTCCTACAGGTTTGTTACCTTCATTCTCCAGGAAGTGGAGAGCCTCCTAAGACCTCCCTGGGGGTCCTTAAGCAGATCCCCTCTCTCAGTTCTCACAAGTGTGAGAGATCACCAACTCTCGTTATTTTAAGATAATAAAGTCAGGTGTTGTTCTTCATGCAAAAGAGAGGTTGAATGTCTTATCTGGGGCCAACCAGTGACTTTGTGCGAGATCAGATCTGGATGAACAACAGTTCTATAAAGGACCCGTACAAAGGTCAGCTCTCCCTGTATTCACTTCTAGTCTCCTGGTACTAAAAACAAGTTTGAGCAGGATCTTTTTCACAGGACCTTGCTCACTCAGAGGCCACTGGGCAGATGACTTCATCATCTTTCATGTAGATATTAAATTTCAAAATCCCTAAGCAATCATATGGGAATACTTATTTTGAGTCTCATAATTCATTGCACATACATTCATAATCACAAAGAGAAATTTCAAAAAACCACTTTTTGGTGTGAACTGAGCTTGATATGTTTTGAGCACTATCTGATTCACAAGAGTTACTTAAAATAGATGAATGCAAAATGATGTACCCTCCAGAGGGATTTTCATACTGGCTTGCTATATAGCTGTTTGATAAACTGGACTTGCATTAGCATTTTTGGGGTCATATTGAGAGGGCTCAAAATATACCTATCCTCATGACATGGGCCCTCCCCTTGACCAGGAGTGTGAAAAAATGCACCCACAGCCTCCATCATAATGTTTAACTTGACTTGAGATCTTTCCCTCAATACTGGGGATAGTCTAATGTGACATATCTGCAATTAAAGGGTGATGTCAGTTGACACCATGCCACAGAGACCAGTTAAACATTGTTCCTTAGAAAATAAGAGCAGGATTCAATCCTAAAAAACATTGGTAGTAGTCCAGAGACTGAGTCATTTGGCGCACTCGGAGCGTCTCAGCTAGCTGGAACACGTCAAGAAGCACAAGCTCCCTTCACACCATGGAAGCAGGAAAGCAAGAAGTAGGAAAATGTAATTTCAAAATAACATACTGTTCTAGGCATCTACTATTTCCCTCACAATTCAGGTCTAATCTTATTCATGGGTATTAACCCTGGTACTGCAGTTCACCACCTCTGCTGGGTGGAAAAAGTGAAGAGCTGCACTTCTATATTCTTTCCATATTCAACACAATGTTAGGTGCTTGCATTTTTTTCTCTTCTTTGCTTCTTGCAAAAGAGCTGGGAATTGAAAGATTAAATCTACTTTGATTTATGGGCACCTCCCATTTTGATGGGAATACTTGGAATGTACTATATACTTGTAAAATAAATGACTTAATGGAAACTTAAAAGTGTACCCAAGTGACTCTGTGCTCATGTTTGCTGGATTGAAATTTCATGCAAAAATAAAGATATCTAGTATGGAAGAGAGATACTATGGCTACCCCTCTAGGGGGAGAATGCAGTTAACTTCCTGCAGGAGTTTTTTTATGGCTGATGTAGCGAATTACCAAAAACTTGGTGTCTTCAAACAACAGATTTATCATCTTAGAGTTCTGAAGGTCAGAATTTTAACATGGGTCTCACTAAAATCAAAGTGTCAGCAGGACTACATTCCTTTGAAGCCTCTCAGGAGAACCCATTTCTTGCCTTTTTCAGCTTCTGGAGTCTACCTGGATTCCTGGGCTCATGGCCCCTTCCTCCATCTTCAAACCAGCAATGGTGAGTTGAGTCTTTTTCACATCACATCTCTCTGTGATCATCTTCTGCCCTCTCCTCCATTTTTAAAAACCTTTGTCGTTAGATTGGACCTGCCTGAATAATCCAGGATAATCTTCCTATTTTAAATTGAGTAGATGAACAACCTTAATTTCATCTGCCATCTTAATTCTTTGCCAAGGAAAGTAACATAGTCACAGGTTCTGAAGATTAGGGCATGGAAATCTTGGAAAAAGGGCACCATTTTGCCTACTGTGATTTCCAACTTATCCTATGAAGTAAATCATACCACGTAAATTCCAAATGCAAAGGAGTTCTTTTCCATCTGTTTTTCTACAAAGAAAAACAACTGAAATTGGCTTCATACAACAATTACATGACTAAACTTCCAGTTATAAATTTATAGTAGAAAGAGAAAGGTGTTTTCTGATAATGCATTTTGGTTAAGAGCCAAAGAGTCTTCACTAAACATTTGCTGAAAATACTGTTATAAACAATGACTATTAAAGTTAAATAGTCATCAAGTTAAGTAAAATTCAATTTAACTTAAATATTTATTAGGAGTGAAAGCCAACATAAATGTTGAAAACTCAAATCCTTATTTCTCAACTGCCTCCTCATTTTTCCACAATGTATTTCTGGCTGTTCGGAGGTAATTTCCTAGGTTTTATTAACCTGTAACAGAAGCAGTTTACAGCTGAATCCATGCCAGAGAAAAACTCATTTGCAACCCGATGTCGCAGCATCCAGGGCCAAAGGGATTGAAAGAAAAAAAAAAAGCATGAACTCAGAAAACCTAGTTGCCTGGAAGCTGCAACGGGACTAGAAAAAGAGGGCCACCCCAAGAAATGTAGGTAACCTGATCCATTAGCAACATGTCAGCTTTTCTTTGCTAAAAATTTCCAGATAAATACAGTATACATTTAAAAAAATTATTAAGTGACTAATTTATGCCTAGCATGGTTTCAGCTACTGAGAATACAGTCATGCTGTGAACAAGGAAGACCAGGTTTCTCCCTTTGTGGGGTTTATATTCTTGTAGAAGGTGTTAGACAACAGAAATGTAAATGCTGAAAATAATAAAACAATTTAATTGTGAGTTTTAACAGCTAGGTCTCTGTCTCTGTCTCTCTCACACACACACACACGCTACTAAACCCATGACACAAATGGAATCATTAAGGAGAATTTCATACAGGACTATTCATAAAGGTATGAGTAGGTCCACAGTGGACAAAGGAAGGATGGTGCAGTACCCCAGAGCTAGCAATTGCAGGGAGCTGTTAGCAGAACCAGGCTTGAAGGAAAGGACCACCCGATTCAAACCCAAACTTCAGAAGCAGCGCGTCCTTAATCCATGGCAGCCCAGGAGGAAGGGGACTGGGGACATCATTATTCTGATTCATACTCCTATTGCCTGACTGCCCTCCCCCAGCTAAATCCAACTGGAAGCCTGAGATTCAGGGAACCCACTACTGCAGTCCATAAGGATCAGCCTCCCTTGGCACAGAAGAGGATGGGGAAAGGTGGAGCCTGTATAGCTAGATGAGCAAACCAAAAACTTCCAGCACGTACTGGTATGTGGAGATGCACTGGAGTAACAAAATGGGGTCTGGTTGGGTATGGGATGGTGCACTGAGATTATTTAGGCGGAGTTCAAGAAAGATTTCTTTTAGAGGGTGACATTTGAGCTGTGGCCACAAAACAAGAAGAGGCCACCAAGGTACGGTAGTATGGGCAAAAAGGACCAAGTGCAAATGCAAAGGACCTAAGGGAGGAATGAACTTGGTGTGTTGAGAAGGGAAAAAAGTTCAGTATGGGTGTAACCTAGTCAGGTAGGAAGCAAAGTGTAGATGAAGTCAAAGAGATAGGTGGCAGCAATGTCAAAAAAAAAAAAAAAAAAAAAAAAGCCTTGTCTTAGGTTGGGGCTCGCCATAAGAAAACCACAAGATGAAGGTTTGAGTACAAACAGCTATTTGGGAGGGCACAATAAGGTGAGTGGGAAGTGAGAGAGGGAGGGGAAAGATTCCAATTAAGGGTGTGTTATTGACCTGGCTACCATATGGGGCTCAATCCTATGGGGCTGTACACAGCACGTTGCACACTGCTTCCTCCGGAGAGAAGTGGGCTTCTTACTCCTCCACCCATCTTAGGCTCCCTAAGGAGCCTAAGATTAAATTTATTTGTACTTCCTGGCTCTTCTGAAGAAGGCACAATCCCCAGGTGAGGAGTTGCAGGTGTTTGCAGTGGGATGCTGCTGGGCAGGTGTGATCAGGAAGGGTAAGTGCTGGATGACAAGGGTCGGGCACCCTCAGAGTCTGCTAAATGTCTGAAAGTCATTTGGACTTTTTCTAAGTGTGACGGAAAGCCATCAGAGGTGATAAATTATTCACATTTGCTCTCTAACTGGGCTGAGTCATTAGAGTATAGGGGTATGAATGGGTTACTTTTATTATTATTGAGATATAACTCACATACCATAAAATGTACACTTAAAGTGCACAATTCAGTGCATTTTACTGTATTCATAGAATCATGTAACCATCATCACTATTTAACTGCATTATGTTTTCATCACCCCCAAAAGGAACCCCATACCCATTAAGTCATTCTTAAATGGTCATATGGGGAAGATGGTTAATGATGGTCTCAGTGTCCATAAAGGAAATATTGGGATAGAGAAAAGAGTATTGGCTCCTGAGTCAAACACCCGCAGCTTTTATTACTGTACCTCTTTCCGGCCCTGTATCTATAGCATGTTGCTTCCTTCCCTGACTTCAGTGTTCTTATATATAAAATGGAGGTAGTAGTGTCTCGGTGTTATAGTTTTTCTGACAATTGCAAGCACTCTTGTGAATAAGAGTGCCTGCCCCATAGTCAGCTCTGACGCACTTTAGATGCTATAATCATCACATGTTATATACAAATTGGGTTGGGGATGTTTGCTTCAGATAGGAAAGACAGTCCCACGAGAGTGTAAAGTCCTATGTTTGGGAAGAATGTAAGACTTAGAAACAAAAGAGTAATAATAAGTTATAAGGGAAGTTTTGGTGAGTTGAGGCAGGAAGCAAAACTTCCTGAGAAGGGCTGGTTTGGGGTGCTGTTTGGAGTGTTGTCTTCCAGTCAAGAAATACAGAGATAGAGTGACAGATAGCAGCAACCCCAGGCAATATGGAACTTGCACACCCGAGACCAGAAGTTGCTGGTGACCCATGGAAAATCACCTAGCTTTGTCACAGACAAGGTGAGCTCAGAAAAAGTGCTCTGGCCAGGGTGATGGGGAAATGGACTGATATTAGGAAGAGGTATGAGGTCACTCAGGGAGCCAGGGTGGGGCAGGGCGTGACTCAGGAGGGAGCTAAACTCAGTAGCTGGGCTGTTTACCTATCATTTATAGGCCCGCATGTATCCCCTTCCATGAGTCTAAATACGTGGCTTGGCCAAGAGTGGTGTTGCAAATGAACTGACACTGAAGAGGGGGAAGGATACAGAACAACGTGGCAAAAGGGGTGACGTCTACTCCACAGCACTTTAAAAGCAAACACAAAACTCTATCCCCAAGTCAAGGAGTAAATACTATCAGTTTTTCTCAGATGCTCTGAGAATATTGTAATTACATCAAGTTCCCATACCTCTGACTACCACAAATAATCAATGACACTTATTTATAGAGTCCGTACCAACTTTATCATGCCCTGCCCACCATTCTGGGAGCTTGTACAATAAATGATTCATAGTTATGAAGGGTACCCCATTTGGCATATGGGAAAACTAAGCACAGAAGTCTAATAAGTTGTCCAAATTCTAAATAGAGCTGGGATTTGAACCCTCGAAGTGTAACTCCACAGCCTGCACTCTTTGACACCAATGAAATATCAAGATGGGAGTATTTATCTAAGAAGTCACAACACAACAAGGTGGACGGTGCCAAATTACCCATTTTTACAGAGACGCCAAGATGTTAGACTCTCATGCACTCACATTTTCTTCTTCCTCCTCCTCTTCTTCTTCTCCTCCTCCTCCTTCCTCCTTTCTCCTTCCTCCCCTTCTTCCTCTTCTTCTTCTTCTTCTTCTTCTTCTTTTCCTCCCTCTTCTCTCTCTTCTCCCTCTTCCCTCGTCTCCTTCTCCTTCTCCTTCTTCTTCTTCTTCTTTCTTCTCCTTCTTCTCTTCTTTTCTTTCTGGTTAATTCCTTCAGTGTCCTAAGTACATAATATAATATAATTGAACAACAGAAATAGAACCTACACCCTGGAATGTGGGCAGTAATAAAAACACCAAAATCAACCATCCACCCTTCCATCACGGCCTCACTGGCTCCTCCTGGTGCATTCTGGAGCCTACAAACCAAATTAGGAAACCATTCACTTCTCAAGGCTGAAGCTCACCCCTTAAGAAAGACCTCAAAGAAGAGACACAGGAGTAGAGATGTTGAGCAAACATTCAACAACCCTGCTTTGAACGCTCCGTATCCCCTAGCTGGAAGCTTTACAACATTACACCAATTCTGAGGCAAGCGGAGACGGTGAACATGTACCCCTGAGGCTCTGGGGACATCACCACTAACTGCCATAATTTTGGCAGTTTCATCACATAATCTGACAGTCCCAGTTTCAACTTCAAAATCTTGCAGGTTTTGCATTCATCTTCATAATGTGGCTATAAAGTTATTGTTTAACAGTGAAGGTGCAGCTGGGCGTGGTGGCTCACACCTGTAATCCAAGCACTTTGGTAGGCTGAGGCGGGTGGGGCACCGGAGGTTGGGAGTTTGAGACCAGCCTGACCAACATGGAGAAACCCTGTCTCTACTAAAAACAGAAAATTAGCCAGGCATGGTGGCACATGCCTGTAATCCCAACTACTTGGGAGGCTGAGGCAGGAGAATCACTTGAATCCAGGTGGCTGAGGTTGCAGTGAGCCAAGATCATGCCACTGCACTCCAGCCTGGGCGACACAGCGAGACTCCGTCTCAAAAAAAAAAAAAACAGTGGAGGTGCTTTTTTCCAAATGGCCTGGGATTGGGTTGTGGCTCCAACAATTTCAGGTTGAATAGATATGAAATTTAATTTCTCTATGCCTCAGTTTTTTCCTCTTTATTAAATTATAGAGATGGTATAATGTTGTTGTGAGAAAAAAGGTAATAAATACCTGAACCCCGCTAAGATCAAGGTCTGATGTATAGTAAGCATTCAGTACATGTTGTCCTTTATATATTTACCCAAGAAATAGTAAATAAATGTTAATAGAGACTTGATACTGTCCTGGGTTTTGGAGAGACAGCAATTTTAAAAAATTGAAACAGTTAAAGAAAAAGAGTCCCTGTCTTCCTGGAGCTTACAGTCTAGTGGTAAGAGATTATAATAATCTCCGATCTCATGAACAATTTAACAGAATGATGGTGTTTTATATTTTTACTAATAAAGCAGCCAGCCTCTACCCTCTTAACTTCTCAATCTTCTTTGAAGATTGATAATGTAGAAGGATGCCCAAGTTTTGTTTCCTGCATTCCCATACTTGCTTGCTGTCTGCCTCCATTTAAGGAGCCGGGGTGCTAGGGGACTTCGGTGAAGAACAGAATCTCTACTAAGTGCCTCAAGAGCAGGATCACGGGACCTAGAATCAGACTGCAGGGCTTCAAATCCTCACTCTGCACTTTCTAGCTATGGGACCTCAAGCAAGAATCTTGACCTCTCAGTTTCCTCATTTGTAAAATGGAAACAATAATAATAATACTGATAATACCTATTATATATCCGAAGGTTGCTTTGATTACCAGTATTAATTCATTTTGCAATCACCAACATGATTGCAAAATGAACCAATATATGTAAAGTTCTTAGAAAAAGTTTTGGCATAAAACCAGTTCTCAGTGTGTATTAGCTTCTACCATTTTAATTATTATTGTTTTTATTATATATCATTATAATTATTTTTATATATTCAATGCTAACCATGAAGTGTGTACTTAATAAATCTTTACTGAACTAAATAGGAGATGGTGCCTGGCATGGAGATACTCATGGTCTAGTGAGAAGAAAGACATGAGGATAACATACAAACATCCAAAGCAAGCTGATGAGTGCTAAGGGTGGCCTGAGCCAGCCAAGGCCAAGCGCACTGGTGGCACGATTTGCCTTCCCTCCCCACGGTTCATGCTTTGTCATATATTGAGAAACCAAAACTTGTGAAAGTCTCCTTCCCAATTCAAGGAAGACTCAATAACTCATCTTCCCACATCAGGGAAGATGATGTGGGAAGATGAGTTATTTGTTTTGTTTTGTTTTGTTTTGTTGAGATGGAGTTTTGCTCTTGTTGCCCAGACTGGTCGTGCAATGGCACGACCTCAGCTCACTGCAACCTCCACCTCTTGGGGTCAAGTGATTCTCCTGTCTCAGCCTCCTGAGTAGATGGGATTACAGGTGTCCGCCACCACACCTGGCTAACTTTTGTTTTTTTTTAGTAGAGATGGGGTTTTACCACATTGGCCAGGCTGGTCTCAAACTCCTGAGCTCAGGTGATCTGCCCTCCTCGGCCTCCCAAAGTGCTGGGATTACAAGCGTGAGCCATCACTCCTGGCCAGAAGATGAGTTATTATTTCAACTTATGTTATAAAGTGTGATAAATTTTTTATTATGTATTATATAAATTGTGATATTATTTAACAAATTGTGATGAATTTCATATAATATAAAATTTACCGTTTCAGACAGTTTAAAGCGTACAATGAAGTGGTTTTTAGTATATTTTTGATGTTATACAATCATCACTACTAATTTCAGGACATTTCCATCCCCCTAAAAAGAAATTACTTACTTCGCAATTACTTCTTCTCCATCATCCACTGGCTACTACTATACTATTTTATGTCTTCCTGGATTCATCTATTCTAGACACTTAATATAAATAGATTTATACAGTTTTTGGCCTTGTGCATTTGGCTTTTTTCACTGAGTAAAATGCTTTTAAGATTCATCCATGTTGTACTATGCATCAGTGCTTCATTCCTTTTTATGACTGGATAATATTCCATTGTATGGATAGTCCACATTTTGTTTGCCCATTCATTGATTGGTAGACATTTGGGATTTTTTCCATTTGTTTGGTATTATGAATAATGCTGCCATGGCATTTGTCTACTAGTGTTATATGGATATATGTTTTTATTCTTTTGGATATATATTTAGATGTGGTATTGCTTAGTCATATGGTAACCCCATCTTTAGGTTTTTGAGGAAGTGACAAAATTTTCCACAGTGGCCGCTATATTTTACATTCCTATCAACAGTGAATGAGGGCTCCAGTTTATCCACATTCTCACCAATACTTGTTATATTTCTTTTTTCTTTTTAATTATAGCTATCCAAGAGACTGTATACTGATATGACATTATAGTTTTCATTTGCATTTCCCTGATGATTGATGATGTTAATCATTTTTTATGTGCATTTTAGCCGTCGGTATACTTTCTTTAGAGAAATTCCTGCTCAAATCCAAGTCCATTGCATGTATTTTAATTAGATTGTCATTTTATTGCTGAGTTGTAAGTGTCCATCATAGATTCTGGATTCTAGACCCTTATCAGATGTATGGTTTGAAAATATATATATTTCCTTCCATCTGTGGGTTACCTTTTTTACTTTCTTGATACTATCCTTTGATGCACAAAGTTTTTAATTTTGTTAAAGTACAATTTATATATTTTTTCTTTTGTTGTTTGTGCTTTTGGTGTCATATTTAAGAAACAATAACATAATCCAAGGTCATAAAGATTTATATCTATGTCTCCTTCTAAGAACACTATGACTTCCGTTCTTATATTTAAGTCTTTGATCCATTTTCAGGTTCTTTGTATAAGGTGTGAGGTAGAGGGTTCAAATTTATTCTTTTGTCTGTGCATATCAAGTTGTTCCAGTACCATTTGTTGAAAAGACTATTCTTTCCCCATTGAACGGTCTCAGTTACCTTGTTGAAAATCAATTGACCATGGATATTTAGGTTTGTTTCTGTATTCTCATTTCTATTCTGTTGATCTATATGTCTATCTCTTTGCTAGTACCACAAAGTTTGATTAATGTAGCTTTGTATTACATGTTAATATTAAAAGTGTGAGTCCTTCAACTTTGTTATTCGTCTGGACTTCGGTTATTCAGGGTTCCTTGCATTCCCATATGAATTTTAGGATCAACTAGCCCATTTGTGCAAAAAAAAAAAAAAAAGCAGTTATAGTTTTGATAGCAGTTGTACTAAGTCTATAGATTAATTGGGTACTAATGTCATTTTAACAATATTTTCTAGTTTTCCAGTTCACTAATATGAGATGTGTTTCTATTTATTTAGGTCGTCTTTGATTGCTTTCAAAAGTGTGTTGTAGTTTTCGGTGCATAAGTCTTGTACTTTCTTGGTTAAATTTATTACCAAGCGTTTTATTCTTTTCGATGGTATTTTAAATGTAATTGTTTTTTAAATGTTGTTTTTGTATTGTTCATTGCTGGTGTACAGAAGTAGAGCTGATTTTTATATTAATCTTGTATCCTACAACTTTCCTAAACTTGTTTATTAGCTCTAATAGTATTTTTTATGGATTCTTCAGGATTTTCTCTACATAAAATCATGTCTTCTGCTAATAGAGATAGTTTTGCTTCTCATTTCAATCTGGGTGCTTATTCCTTTTTCTTACCTGACTGCTTTGACTGGAACTTCCAGTATAATATTGAATAGAAGGTGGAGAGAACAGACATCCGTATACTGTTTCTTATAAATAAAATGTCCAGTCTTTCACTGTTAAGTATGACATTAGTTGTGTTTTTTTTTTTAAATAGAAGCTCTTTATCAGATTGAGGAAGTTCCCTTCAATTCCTAGTTTATTGTGTGTTTTCATCATGAAAGGTGACAGATCGTGTCTGATTCTTTTTCTGCATCTATTGATATGATCCTGTGGCTTTCTCTCCCTTTATTCTATAAATATAAGGTATTACATCAATTGATTTTTAACAAACCTTGCATTCCTTGGATAAACTGCACTTGGTAATGATTTATAATTCTTTAAATAGGCTGGTGGAGTTGGTTTGCTAGTATTTTTTTGGGAATTTTTGTGCTAGTGTTCACAGGGGATATTGATCTATAATTTTCTTTTATTGTGATTATTTGTCTGACTTTGGTACCAAGGTAATACTGGCCTCAGAAAAAGTTCAGAAGTGTTCCCTCTTTTTCTATTTTTTGTAAGGTTTGAGAAGAATTGATGTTATATTTTTTAAATGTTTGGTAAAATTTACCATAAAGCCACGTGATCCTCAGCTTTTCTTTTTTAGAAATGTTTGTTGGATTGTTGGTTGGTTTTAATTATTGACTTAATATATTTACTTGTTATAGGCCTATTCCGATTTTGTATTTCTTCTTTAGTCGGTTTTGATAGTTTGCATGTTTCTAGAAATTTGTTATATCCAAGTTATCTAATTTGTTGGTATACAACTGTTCATAATATTCTCTTTTAATTCTTTTTATTTCTGTAAGGTTGGTAATGATGTCCCCACTTTCATTTATTATTTTAGTCATTTGGATCTTCCCTTTTTGCTTGGCTAGTCTAGCTAAAATATGCCAATTTTGCTGATCTTTTCAAAGAGCCACCTTTTTGTGTCATTGATCAGGGTTTATTTTTGAAGGGAGGTTTTCACTTTATAATATCTGCTTGCAATTTGAGGGAGATTATATTGGTTTCTGCAATCACAAATGTACTGTTCTCTAAAGTGCAGTGTTTAACAAGTGATGTCTCTGTATTTGATGAATGGAGTAATACATGTACTGACTTACAGAGAAAATTTTCCCCCTTTTGGTTAAATGATGTTGGCTACATTCTGACAGATGAAAACTTGAGCAGTTAATAAGGAGAAATTATTGCTAAGGACACTGAAATGTGTTACAATCATTTTAGTGCTTATATTTTCTGCCAAAGATAAGTTAAACCAAATATAAATCTGCAAATGTAAACAATTACTTTATGTCATCTTATTCTCAAATTCTTCCTCAATTTTTTATTTTTTATTTTTATTTTTATTTTTTGAGATGGAGTCTCGCTCTCTCACCCCGACTGGAGTACAGTGGCATGATCTCAGCTCACTTCAATTTCCACCTCCCGGGTTCAAGCGATTCTCTTGCCTCAGCTTCCTGAGTAGCTGGGATTACAGGTGCCTGCCACCACGCCTGGCTAATTTTTGTATTTCTAGTAGAGACGGGGTTTCACCATGTTGATCAGACTGGTCTTCAACTCCTGACCTTGTGATTTGCTCTCCTCGGCCTCCCAAAGTGCTGAGATTACAGGTGTGAGCCACCGCGCCTGGCCAATATTTTATTCTCTAGGTACAGCACTACCTTTTTTTTTTTTTCTTTTTTTGTTTTTTAACAGAAGGCCCATTTCATCTTATCCCACAAACCCATAGAAATCTCCCTTTGGGAGGTAAAACCAGAAAAGAAGTCCTGACAAATAGCTACACGGCCTTCCCTTTTCCAGATCTGAAACTTTACACAGCCTGTCTCCTCTGCCTCATGACCTGATCTATATCTAGCAAATTCCTATCCATTTTCTTACATCTTTCAGAATAGAGAAGGGTCAAGAATGCTGGACTTGTTTTTGCCAGAACAATCTTTATGAAGAGCATAAAGCAGGTGGACCTTGATCTACTAATTGCAGAAAAGCAAATACATGGTCTTGTGCACGAGGCAGGTCAGTCATGCGTGAGTGATGGTCTGGGCAAAGGGTTAGTGACAGGAAAAGCTGAATTGAGAACCAGACATCACAGGATAGCTCAAGATCTGAATATAAAGTCTAAAATGACCTTCACCTCCCTGCCAGATACACACACATGGGTGCACGAACACGTGCCATACACAAGTACACATACAGACCACGAAGGCCTTCCTTTCAGTCACACAAAAACATATGACTACCTGTGATCTGAAACCACTTTCTTTTGCATTTGTCTCCAAAGGAAATGGAAATGAAAGCAAAATGGAAGGACGTGAGGTCCTTATCCTTGGAGATCCTATGGAGTCTCCACAGACATTCCTTGAAGAAATCAGGTATGATGGATGCTAATGCAGAGCCTGGCGTTTAGCAAAAGGGAGTCCTACATTTCGTGAGCTGGATTATGTGTGTTTGTGTGTGTGTGTTAGATCGTCTACATAAACAACCACCAGCAATTCCTCCCATTCCTGTACACTCATGCCACTACTTCTATCAAGAATAGGAGTCTCCTTCTCTTGAATCAAAGCTGTTCCTGTGATTGTTTTGACCAACACAGTGCAACAGAAGTGATACTGTTTCTTGGGAAGCCTGAAAGTTTTCACGTTTGCCTTTTGGAATCCAGCTGTTATTGAAAGAAGCTGGATAGACTACTTAAAAAAAAGAGAGAAACAATGTGGAGAGAAAAAACTCATTTGCTTACTTCTATAAGATCTTAGGTGGTTTGACTTCTTAAAAACATGGCTTTCAATTTGAAATAAAAGTAAAATAGCTGTGTCTGTTAAGTGCTAGATAGGGGTGCAACTGCACACTGGTCTGTGAAGTCATGTCTGCATAGCCTACACACAGCTTCCAGAAATAGGCTTTCAAGACTTGGTTCAAGATGCCCTTAAATATGTCTTTGTTTTCAGGATGATGAACATAATGTTTCTTAGAGAAGCAGAAAGTCAACACTTGGGTCACATGTTCATCTCTTCTAGTCTTGAATACTTCTTTGTATGGGGAGCTCATCAGCTTCCAAAGCAGAAGTTCTACATAGAGACTACTCAAATGTAGAGTGAAGTTCCAACAGAATTCCAGCAGAGCCACAAAATCAATCCATGTCTCATGCGCATTCCATTCTCTGTTCACACTAATCACTCCAAAGGAGAATTAAGGGACTAGGCAAAACTCGTTAACTTTCTCAGGTCCTCTGGGTAAATGTCAAATGACTGTGAAAATGGGACTCTAGTGAAGGAGAGAATGGGGCTCTCTGGAGTCTGACTCATTCCAGCTAAGAAGGTTGGGACTTTTGAGGAGGATCCAGGTTCCTTGACTTATTTATCCAGATTTATTCCATTCTTACTCATCCATTTGCTCATTGCATAAACATATATCCATTATTGATCAAGTGCATGCATTGGGAAGTATCTTTAAATACATTAATGCTCATCTTCAAAACACTGTACAGAGTAAGTATTTTTATCCCTTTTACAGTAGATTCAGAGAAGGACTTTGCAACAGTCACACATTTAGCCATGGCCAGAGTCAAAAATCTTACAAGGTCTTTGTATTTCAAAGCTCATGTTGACTCTGTTACCCTTGTGTTACCCAAGTGACATTAGACTGAAACATCTAGTTTCACCTATATTACAATTTGCTTATTTAAAAAAATTTACTCACTCTTTATAAATAAATTTATTTTAATAAACTCTACATGGTTAGCAAGAGAAAAATCATACATCGTTTTAAATATCATAGCAATATTACTGACCACAAATGGAAAGGAGCAATGAAAATGAAGCTGAATTGTTGGGTTTTGGTTAGATAAGAGGCATTTTCAAGGGCTTGAGCCTGAAGTCTGTTCTCACTGTTATAAAGGGAAACTAGCAAGTGGTACCCAGAGGTATTAGAAACATATTGACACACAGCTGAGACTTTTCCCCCCTATTATTTAAATGAGGAAGAATAAAAGAGAATTCAAAGGGCAATGAGTTCTCAACAGGCGTTAGCGACCTTCCTTTTGTGCACCTTCTAAAACCACCCCCATATCACTGTCAAAGAACTGCGGCTGTGTACGGTGTTTCTTCTCTCAAGAGTGCCTTGAAAGATCTTGAAGAGACAGACAAAATCCAGACAAATGCCATGCAGTATGAAAAGTATAATGTCATCATGCTCTCCAAACTTTTTGATCACGAACTCTTGTAATAAATTTTTGAACCTATGCTCTCTACATACATTTATAGTCCCCCTTTTAAAATGAATATATGTGCAAGGGCATGCCAGTATTTTACGCATCTTGTAAAGCGAACAAAAGTATAATTTTTTTACAATAAATATTTTTTTTTCCCAAATTACTCAAAAGAAGGCCATGAGTTGTCCCATTTGGGAGACTACGGGTTAAGGTGGAAAGTGTAGGGAGCACAAATGGAAGGCACCCAGCTCACCAAAAAAGATGAAATGGAGGCTCAGACAAGGCTCTCTGATGGGGGGTTCACATGAAATGATCCTAGTGTCAGCAAGATAGACAATTCAGAATAGAAGGGGCCAACCCAAGTGGGCATCCATACACATATACACAGGCCACAAATGAGGGAGTAGGGAAATGAAATGGTAGAAAAAGGGGAGGAAAGAAAGCAGAATCAGTTCCTGAATGGCTTTGCAAACTGAGCTGAGCCAAGAGGCAATGGGGAAACGTTGAAGGGTTTTAGCAGGGAGCAATCCAAGCTCCAGAATATCTTTCCTCCATTCTCAAAAACTCACACATGGGTGCACAAAGCCACCCTCACCCTTACACAAACAAGGAAAAGAACTGCCTGCCTACCAAATGATTAAATTCACAGCAGTCATTTCTGCAGTCATTCAGCACACATTTATTAAGTGCCTACTATGTGCTATTTGTAGTGGGTAGTCAGAAGCGAACAAAACATCATAGAGCTTTCAGTCATGTGGGGAAGATAGACTAAAAGGAAGTAAGTAATCAAATTCATTCATAATCAAATTGCAGAAAGAAATAATGTGACTATGAGAGAATGGGAATAGCAATTGGCAGTATCCTGAGGTGAATGAAAGGGTATTCATTGAAATCCTTTCATTGAATTGAAGCAGTATCCTGAGGTGGGCTTCTCAAGCAAGGCCTCTGGGTAGGAGACGGGTAAGCCAAGATAAGAGTGAATTAAAATAACCAGTCTGTAAAGGGGTTGGGGAGGAGTTGTCCAGGCTCTAGGAATGTTTTAGATGAAGAGACCATGAGAATACAAAATCTTTGCATAGGTGGGGAAACAAAGAAGCCTGGAAAGCTGAATTAGAATGAGGGAGGATGAGATCACAGATGGTTTTATAAGATGGGCAGAGACTTGATGCCCAGGAAGCAATGGGAAGGCAATGAAGGTGATTGACTGGGAGGAGTGAGTCTTGCATTACATTTTGACTTTAAAAAATGTTTTTAAAGAGATGGGGTCTTGCTATGTTGCCCAGGCTGGCCTTGAACTTCTGAGATCAAGGGATCATCCTGCCTTAACCTCCCTAGTAACTGGGACCACAGGTGTGCACCAACACTGTGCCCAGCTCACATTACATTTTGAATAGCTCCATCTGGCTGCTGGGAGGCCTGGTGATTTTTGTTGCTGGTCTCCTTCAGGGGAGCTTGCTTGGCAAAAGGTGGTAGTCATAAATGAAGAGACAAGTAGACATTTGAGTAATAATATGGACAGAACTTGGTGATTGTAAGAGTGAAAAGAGTAGAATTTGGCAAAAGATGCAGAACTCAAGCACATGATGTCCAGAGAGCCCAACTGCATAAAACAAGGAGAGCCTCAGCCTGCAGACAGCATGGGGGCAGGACTGTCTCATGTCACAGCAACAGGGCATCTCACTGCTTCTGGAAGGAGACAAATCTCTCAGAGGATCCGGGGTGTCCTCAAGTCCAAACTCAAAGGGTGGCTGGTTACATTTTTCTTTGTCTCCAAAAACTTATGCATGCTTGATGCTGCTTTTCAAAACAACATTGAAGAATTAAAAATTATAATGAAATCTGGAAATGTGGTACTGATCAGGGGTGTTTTCTTCCTTCATCACTGGGGTCTGGAGTGACTCAGAGAGAGCTCAATGCAGGCATGAATTATCTTTTCCATCAACACTATCGCCCATAAGGAAGCCACATCTGCAGCACTACTCACCAACCAGTTTTGGGGACCACCTGGGAAAGGGGTGGGGGGGACTCCAGCTGATTACTCAGGACAGACCACCCTTTGGTAGGAACTGCCCCCAGGAAGCTGATCTAGCCCCCAGTGTTTGCTTTTTCCTTTGTTTTCTTCTTCTTGCTTCTTCCATTGATCCTAAGTGAATAGCAGTGCTTTGAGCTCTCTTGGAGAAAAGGGAACTGGCATGTTTTAAATAAGAAAGCACTTGCTGCAACCAAGTCCCTGAGTTAGTGACTTTACATGGCTTATCTGATCAGAGGTTCACAGCAAAGTTCGATGTGGGAAGTATTACCCCTGTGTTACCAACAAGAAAAATGAAGTTCAGAGATGTCAAGAGAGGTATCCAAGGGTGTTGCATCTAACAAGTGGTAAGGCCAACAAGACCACAGATAATAAAATCAACAGTGTCCGTTTTGATAGTTTTACCATGGGCTAAACCAGGGTTTAAGTGGTTTACACACACCTACCTAAATAATCCTCACCCTCAGTCCTCAGTAGGAGGCAATAAGGAGGAAAGACCCCCTATGAGGAAGGTGTTCCTATTATCCCCATAGCCCGAGGTCATCCAGATAATAAGAACTGGGATTTGATCTCAGCCATTCTGGGTCTTCTCTCTGCCCTAGATTTGCTCAAATTTGTGCCCTTTTCATTGTACAACTTTGCACACAGAATCACTTAGAAGACAGTAATTCTAAACCCATTATGAGGACCTCAGTGGGAGTCAGGAATGAGAGATAATTAAAGAAACACTTTCTATAATGAATGTCACATGGGCCCACTGCCTGGGTTTGCATATGTTTGCATATGTCAGCCACATGGGTACATTTCAAGGGACAGATAGCATGAAGTCTTGGAGGCTTTTCATGTTTTTATGTGTGAGCTAGAACACATGGTTGAAGCTTTCTGTCCTCAGTTCCCTCAGTGTTAAAAAGAGGCTAATTTCTTCTACATGAGATATATCCATGGAAGTGTTTTATAACATCTAGCACATAGAGGCATAGACACACAGATTTCAGTCCCTTTCCCACTTCTAAGGAATCAGTGTGTCAAGAAAAGAAAAGTGGAGGAGAAAGAAATGGACACACAGGTTTTCTTTGGGTTCAAAATGGAAACACTTACTGAAGACACAGTGCCTACAAGGGAATTCAAAATGGAGATATAAGAGAACCCAGAGGAATCAGGCAATGATTGTGATAAGAACAACTAGAATAGCAGAAGAAATATTATAGTGAAAGAATCTCTTATTAGTCAGATTGTAGGGAAACAAAGGGTCTGGCCTGCCAATTTTTTTTCTTTTTTACAATCTGCATATGCCTCACCCAGACACACGTTAGGCCACCCACAACAAGTATAATAGGCTGTCAGGCTAAAGAGAATCCCTTCTGGGGGGTATGAGTTGGACACCCAGATGTTTGCATATTGACTTATTCAGAGTAGAGATAAACAGGGACGTAGAAAGAGAATGTCCCCAGCCTCCACTGGGGAAAACTGGCCACTGAGCAGCATAGACAAGAGGAAGGAGTAAAATCCAAGTATAACATGGGAAAGAAGATATTGCAGAACAAGAAACCAGGAGGGGAGAGTGTGGAGGGAAAAGACTCAGGGATGTGAGGAAAATGAGTGAGGTGTGCAGGATTCAGGGTGGGTTTGGGAGGGTATGAGTTTTGCGGAAAAAAGATATTAAGGAGTTACTGAAAAAAAATGGGATAGAATTGTAAATTCTCAAGAGTTTTCCCTTTGAGTCAAAATGAAGTGGTGGGGAGCAGGGCATTTTGTGATACCCGTGATTACTGCTCAGTGTAGGATGTCCTCAGGGTAAGGACTGTGTTTCATTTGCCTCATGGCCCCTGCTATCCAGCAGGATGTGGACACACAGTTGGCGCTGTTAGTGCTGAATGAATCAGCACCTATGGTAGGAGGGGAGTCATCTTGATCCATGGCCCCTGCTATCCTGCACCATGAATGCAGGGAGCCCAGAATCCCAGCAGCAAGGTGAGGGTGGAGGTGGTTGGGTGGGGGAGACGGAAACCCCCCAGTAGCCAGTGCTGTGTGCTGGAAGGAGAAGCCCTTCATCTCTTTGCACTGCCCACAGGCACCCAGTCAGCTGAGGGGCGAAGCTGTGTGCTCTGCACTAGGGCAGGAGAAAGGAGGAGAGGTAGTAGTGGTGGGATGTTCTCTCTCCAGGGGTGCTGAACCTGCCCAGACCTCTCTCAGTCTCATGCCGAACCAGACTATGTGGCTTTCCATCCCTTCTCCCTCCCACAAATAGATCCTTTTGTTTGCCTTTCTTTTAGTTTTCTCAGAGTCAACTTGGACTCCCAGTGGTCAGTATGGGCTCACCAAGATGTTAGTCTAACACTATCACAGACTAGAGTCAGGGCAAAGACTAAGGGCCAGTACTGAGTCCTCATTATGTACCAGACACTGTGCTAAGGGTTGTACGTGTCTTCTCTAGGCTTCATAATAACCAGAAAAGATGTTGTCCAAGTCCATGATGAATTGCATGAAGATCAGAGTAGATTCACAGCTTGCTCAAGATAACCTCGCTAATAAATTTGGTCTTTCTGGCTCTTAAATCTCCTCCTATAAAACCACGTGGGCATTCAGCCATTTTGATATTAGTTTTCGGGGTGGTGATGGGGTGATAATGGTAGGGATGGGGAAGGTGACAATAATCATTTCTATTATTTTATCATGATAATACTGACATAATTATAGATGAGAAAACTGAGACTCAGAGAGGTTAAATCATTTGCCCAAGATCACAGAATTGGTAGATGCATCCTTAAAATACACCAGAAAACTACTTAGAATGTGCCACACTGCTGATACACAGACATAAATAGAGATTGAAGAGTGGAGGGTGATGGGTTGAGGTTTAAGGCATACATTTTCCTCCTACACCCAACATGTTGCATTCAGACAAATTACTTGTCTTTATGCTAACCAGTAGTTAGGTATGCTGTATGGCCTTACTGCAGCCATTTTTGGGGGCTGTTTCCATGTGTATTTATCTTATTCCACCACCTTGGGATCTCACCGTAGTGGGTTGGAAGGGAATGAACAAGTCTGCCCAGAGACCCAGCTTGGAGAAGAACCCTTGGTAGCAGAAAGTAAATCTCAGCCTTTTAATATCAGTTTTCATTTCTTATTGATCCATTTTATTTTCCTTTTATAGAAGAGGAGCGCCCCTGCAGTCTAGCTCATCAGTGGACCTTTAAATGTTTCCTATTGATCTGTGAAACTATTGTCTCGGTCTGCATTACCCCTTTTGGAGACACCCTTTGCTTTTGGGTCATGTTCTGTATTTAGCTTGCCTTCCCAACATGGCTTCTTTTCTCAGAGCAAATAGTAGACATCTTGTGCTCTAGCTTACAGATTGATCTGTTGTGGTAATGCTGCTGACACCTGTTTTGGGGCTCCAGGACATCTTCAATTCTGAAAAGCAGTGGGCAATGTTGGTAGAGGGGTGAGGGTGTAGTGAGGACCCAATGGCCTCATTCCAAAGGAATAAAGTAAGGTTAAAAACAAGAACTGCCCTTTAGTGAGCACTTTCTCCTTGCTTCATCCTCACAACAACCATGGGAAGAAAAGTTATACAGATGTAGAAACTGAGGCTGAGACATATGTAGTTGTTTGTGCAGACATACTCAGCTTTGAATTGTTTTTCTAGAGCTTGTCTGTGAAATCCTTGTCTCCAAGATGAGAATCATGATAGAACATTCTAGGGGCATTCTAAGGTTCCCATTAGGTGATATATCTGAGGCCCTTTATAGAGTGTCCAGCACAGAGGGCGTACCCAGTAGATACTTGATGAACGAAAAGATACCTCTTTCAACCCATTACAACAAATTATAAAATTCATTTGTCTCCTCTACCCCCGTCATTAGAGGGAAATCCATTATTCTTTCTAAAACTAACACTTTCCATGAAGCGTATCTTCCAGATTATTTTTTTTTTTAAAGTATTTGAAAATAGCTAGTTTAGTGCCTGGCATACAGTAGGTGCTCAATACATGTTGGTTATTTCATTTATTCTTCCTCCCCTGGCTCCTGAGAAACTCTATGACTCCTGTCTCCAGCATCCTCAAATTTCCTTATCGTTTACCTTCAGACACAGTCTTCCTAACGTTCTTTTTTTTCTTTCCAACTTTTATTTTAGGTTTGGAGGATACAAGCACAGGTTTGTTACATTGGTAAATTGCATGATGCAGGGGTTTGGCATATAAATTATTTTGTCACCCATGTAATGAGCATGGTACTGAATAGTTAGTTTTTTGATCCTCATCCTTCTCCTGCCCTCCACCCTCAAGTGGGCCCTGGTATCCATTGTTCCCTTCTTTGTGTCCACGTGTACTCAATGCTGATCTCCCACTTACAAGTGAGAACATGTGGTATTTAATTTCTGTTCCAGCTTTAATTCACAAACACTATTAACCTCTCTCCAATATTTTTTTCAGCCATACTCCTTGAGCCTTCATCAGCACAAACTTTCTTCCTCACAGCTCACTCTTTTCTTCTCAGCTCCTAGGAATTGCCTCTGACTTCTCCTAAGCTCCTATCTCTTCAATGTTCTATTGACCTATTCATTTCTTGACATTCATACTTGTCTTTCTCAGCCTCTCTCTTGCCTTTTATAATGTTCGTTATCCCCTCTTCCTTGACAAAGTGCTCTCTTCTCTTGGCTTCTGGGTCATTTCATTAGTTCATTCATTTATTCACTCACTCCACCATTTCCATGTGCCTTTGTGTGCTATAAGAGGCACCAGAATTAAACATAGCAACTATTCAAGGAGCATTGAGATACGATGGTATACTCTGAGCTTTCTTCTCTCTTCTGCCCTTCTGCCTTCTGTCCAACCCTGAAGGATCCTTTCAGCCTCCCTACAGATGTCATCTCTGCAAAGACATCCTGATCATCCTTAGACTGGGACCATTGTTTCTTTTTGTCTTCACTGTTCCTATTCATTCAGCTTACTTCAATCATTGCCTACATCCCTTGGATGGAAATTCTCTAGTTTTGCTTCCAGCTCACACTGTGTGTTCCTTAGAGGTATGGAATAGGCAAGGCTTGATAAGCATCTACTGAGTTCAATGGAATATTGCCAGTAACTCCTTCACTTTCTCCCTTGCTTACTCTTTTTTGTTCTGTTCCATAAACGGAGACATGTCTTGAGAAGTTCAATCTTTGTCTCTTCATGCTCTTTACGTGGTTTGTTTATTATAAAACAAGCTGGAAAAGACATACTCTATTTATTCCGTTACGGTCTTCAGCTATTATCTTGTACACAACCATACAAATAGAGTCTTACCATTCTTTCTGACCTTGGCCCTCATTTTCCAGGGCAGCACTCATACATCCTTTAACCAGGAATCTTCACCCCGGTCAGTTGTGTCTTGCATTCATTTCTCAAGGCTGCTATAACAAATTATCACAAATTGGGTGGTTTAGAACAACAGAATTTTATTCTCCTGTAGCTCTAGAGGCTGAAAGTCTGAAATCAAGGTGTTGGCAGGGCCGTGCTCCATCCAAAAGTTCTAGGAAATAATCTGTTCCATGAAAATCTCCAAGCAGCTAGTGGTGGCCAGAAATCCTTGGCATTCCTTGGATTGTAGCCATTTCACTCTGATATCTGCCCTTCTTACCTCTGTCTGTGTCTGTATCTTTACAAGGACACTAGTCATTGGATTTATGGATTTATTACCCACCCTAAATTATTATGACTTCATCTTAATTTCATTATATCTGCAAAGACCCTATTTACACATAATCTCACATTCTGAGGTTCTGGGAGGACATGAATTTTGGGAGGACACTACTCACTCTCCATTCTTCAATCTATCTTGCTACCAAAATCACATTACCCAGTCACTGCATGGTCATATCCTTCCAGGCCTCAAAAAGCTAAAAACAACTTTGCATGTTCCCACTTTCTTGACCACCATAAGGTACCTAAGCAGTCTGTTTCCCAATCATAGTGCACATTAATTTTAAGTACTTAAAAGAATTATGACCCTGATAAACTGTAAACTCTATGGGAATAGAAATCTAGTCTGCCCTTTTTATTCCCATTTCCAAGCATGCTGCGCAGCTTGTGTGTAGGTGTTCAATTGCTGTCTCTTGAATGAAGACGCGGTGAGTTGAGCCTCAGTTTCAAGTCCTCTACCTGACTTCAAAGAGTCCTCTATTACCTGTCACTGCACCATCAGCTCCCGTCAGCATTTGCTGAGCAAAAATTAGGTGCTCTCAGTAGATACTTGCTGGTTGATGGATCAATCCATCAACCAGGTTTCCTGCTCTGAAGCGTTTTTAATCTGGGTCTCCAGAGGGGTGAGGTAAGGGGCATAAGAGGGGCAAAAGATGGACAGTAGAGACACTTGATCAGCATTCCCACCTTAGAACTTCTGGGACTTGCGCAAGGTTTCAATTTGCCTGAGAATCCACTTGTAGTCCTTCAAGGAGAGATAAAAACAATGACCTTTGGAGCCATGGAATGTGGGGACCAGCACATGGACATGAAGATTCATATGAAGAGTATGGTATGAATTAAGATTCACGTTTCTCTGCAGAGAATGTTGGAGAAAGGCAGGGTGCTGACTTAAGTTGGAGAGATGCCAGTAACCTGCATTCTCACCTGGATCACCAATAGGTCTGTGCCAGTAAAGAAAGTTTGTGAAAGTTACACTGGATGGCCACACATCTTCTAATACACACCACCTTGGCGTGACTTGCACCTGGGTCTTTAAAAAATGATGTTCTGAGACTCTGGATGAGGTTGCCCCTAGAATGAAGCTGAGACTAGTGGAAGCAGCTGTTTCTGATGTAGCTAATCTTTCTGTCAGTTGGCTTCTGCAGAAAATGTTAATGTCTATCTAGGATGATTACAAAAAAACAGAAAGAGCAGAGGAGAGGTTGGGGTACCAATCACTTTACTGTGAAATTTGGTCATAGGCCATCACAATTGTTACCCACACCTGAGTCAACTCCCCTCCCCACCTCTACCCCAAGCTGATGTGTCCTGAAGCAATGAACTTCAGACATCTAGTAAGTCAAAAGACATGTGCATCTACTGTTTTATTTTTCCGTGTTGGTTTTTCTTTTGTAAGTGTCCTAAGTCACCCATCCTCTTAGCACTTATTTTTTTCAGGGATTACAGAACTAAAGCTGGCTTTATTTTGTTTCAGTTCCCTTGTATCCATTTCAATAGAATCACTAATACCACTCATTTTCAGATTTTGTGTGCTTAATAGATTGGGAATATGAGGTCATGTGTCCAAAAAGATAATTATCATTCTGGGCAATGATTGAATGGTTTCATTGTCCTCAAAATATACTGCAGGCAAAAACGACTTTTGTTATGGCATTACCTGATGTGTGTGTGATTCCCGAAACTTCACATGACTCAATTTGCCATTCTAGAATAACAAAAAGTTAACTTTGCTACAAGGAAAGTGGAATTTTAATAGCAGATACGTCTGTATTATCAGGAAATGCAAGCTATGCAAAAATTGTGTTCACTACTAGTTTATCAGATCCTGGTGAGTGAGAGTTTATCACATGTGCCTATAAGTTACTGAATTTATTTATTTCCAAAATTCTCATCACTTGGAGCTGGAGGGATGAGCAGCACCTCCCCTGGCTTTCTGTAGTAAGAACATTGGTTGACAACACTTCTTTCACAGCCTCTTTTACTTCCTGGAGGCAGAGAGAGCCTCAGCTTTGTGCTCTCCCGGTGGAATGTGGATGTGAACTGAGGTCACCATTCCCACAACTCTTTGAATCCCAAAAGGACTGACATAAAGGATTCTTGGAAAGAATGTCCAGCTTCAGGCCAAAGCAGGAAATAGGAAATGCCAAAGACTAGGTGCATAGATTAAATCATGACGAGCAACCTAGAGCTTTCCTTTTCAGTATTTCAACTCATCATGTTGCTGCTGAGCTCAACATGGAGGTGCCAAGAGTGGCCCCACTTAGAGGTCTGCCTCATCTGTGTGGCTGTGTAGCTTCCATATGGCTCCAGACTTCCCACTGCTTCTGACCTAACCACAGCAGCATCCAAGACAACAGGGCACCATGGACAGGGTTTATGTTGCCATCTCTGGCCAAGCATGTTTCATTCTCTATTTGGTTTCTATCTCTTCAACATCACCTTCAACTCTCATCATCAATCTGCATCAATGTAGAGTTAATCTTCAATAATAATCAAAGATGAGACCAATCAGTCAAAAGACTGGATGTAGAAACTGAAACTTTTGGGTATGAGTCTCACTGCCTCACTTACTAGGTGAGTGAACTTAGGTAAGTGACTGAACACCTCCAAGCACTCACAATCCTAAATGTCCTCCAATAGAAAACAGGTAACAATACCCACCTGACACAAGCTGAGATTCAAAATGCCTGTACCACATGCCATAATCCAGGGGCAGGGTGGGAAAACCACCTTTGCTGCTGGAACTTTTGAACCATGTGCTCTCATTGCAACGACAATCTAAAGTAAAATTGGCGAAGCATTTTCTGCACTATCCGTATGACCCTTTATATTTAAAGAACTGCCATTGCATTTTAATGCCGATGGTTGCAAAGAAAGTTTGCAAGATCTTATACTAATTTGTTTGGCTCTACTAGCGAAAAAGGAATAAAAGGGAAATAAATTTAAAATTATGCACTGTTGTCAAATCAATGCCAAGTAACATCATGATGCCCAGTATAAATGGGGAGCAATCATGGGACACTTGAGTCATCATACCACGTGTAGGCTTGGTGAATGGAAATGTCCTGTACAGCAGCATTCAATACCGCTTTTGCGTAGTAAGTTTTGAATCAGTTTCATCAAAACTATATCATCTGTTGCATTTAAGTAAAATTTATATAGCTTTGTTTGCATTCAATTTATTAATTTATTTTGTTTTATAGTTTCGTAACAGCAATAAGCATTGGGAGGTAAAACAGAATTTTGCTTTCCAAATATTTTTTTAAAACATCATACTAAAAAGAATATGTCAGATTTTATTCTGTACTTTAAGTGGAATCTGTGTGTAACTAAATTGGGGAAGCATTCTAATAACATACTTGAACTTCTACATAGTAAATCACCCAGAGAAGATACATAAGAAATGCTGAGTTTTCTTTTTGGAGGTGTGTGTAATGGCAGTGTATCTTCCACATGGTGAAGGATAGGAAGGATAAAAAAAATGAATAGTCATAAATCTGTCTATTCATCACTTTTTATGTGCACCTAGTAATATGCTAAGGATGTTGCTTAGATTGCCTTTCTAATCTTCATAACTATTTGAAGACATAGGATATTCTCCATTATATTACATTGCCTTCCTGCCTTCAAGGATCTGACAGTCTACTCAGGAAATGACTCATGCATAGAAATCATTCATTTGAGGTTATGAATGTTAAATGCTAAAAGAAAGGTACGTGAGAGCTCTAAGAAGAGAGGGATCTGTCAGGGTGGGTTGTCTGGAAAGTTTCATGAATTGAGGGTCAGATATGGATTGATAGCATTGCAGGAATGTTCCATCTGTCCCTCCAGACTCACTGTTCCCCTTCTGCACCCTCCTCTGAAACCCCAGGAAGCACCTTTCATAGATGATAACAACAGTTTCTCTTGCTAACTACCTGGTTTCCCTTTGGGCTCCACCAAAGGGATGGCATCTTCTTGTTCCACAGAAGCTTGGAAGAAAGTTTTCTCCTTTCAGAGGTCATCTTCTTCTGGAAGTCTCTTAGTAGGTTTCATGGTCAGATCACTAGTGGGACTGGATGTCTAGAATGGAGGGTCCCGTGAGAGTTCCACAGCAGTTTCAAAATGATTTGCATGGTGTTGCTTTTCATACATTTAGCCTCTAAGCTGCGTGCCAGGCAGAGGTGTATCCATTGGTGTCCCCTCAGGAAATGCAGCTTTATCATGAGCATGTAACATGGGCACATAAGATAGCCGCCTGCCAATATCAGAAAGTTGGTTGAAATCAATCAGAGGAGAAACCAAGCCAAGATCTTGGCAAAAGCATGAGGAGGTCACAGGAGTGTGGGAAGACAGGAGTCAGGCTATTTATTCCTTGGCATCCCCCTTCTTGACAAGTTGGCTGTTCTCTCTACTGAAAGCCAGAAGCTTGGGGGGGAATGTACCTCCTCAACCCCTATCCATGCCACTGTATGTTATTTATTCCTCAAGTCCCGCCCTCACCTCAGTTAAATATCCCTTTAGTAAACTCTCCTCCCACTGCCCAGTTTTTGTATGTATCTGTTTTCCTCTACCCACTGCCTGATACACAGAGGGATGGGGTGATGGAGACCCCATACCAGGGATCTCAGGTGGGCAGCGCGTGGGGGCTTATCTAGGCAGGTACAAGGTGTATGTTAAGGTGCAAAGGATGGTGAACACTGAATAAAAATAATAATTATTAGTATTGGCATTTGCAAGCCTGCTTTTACCTAACTGGAAACTAGAATCTTTAGCTCCATAAGTTTGAATCCTGGAGAGACCAGAGCATTGCTACTTCCATTTTCCATAGGAGGAAACAGAGTCACTGCTTAGACCTAAGGCAGTTTAGCTATTAAATGGCAAGGTCAAAATTCAACTGAGGTTCTATCTATCTAATTCTGTCTCTGGATGCTCATTCAGACCTCTTTCAACCTCTCAGTGACAGAAACAGTCTGATGAGAATAAGATAAATACGTGGCTCAAGTACCCAAGTAAGTATCCCAGTCTCCGTTTAGAGGAGTTAAAAGGAAGAAAAACCTTAAACCCACCTACCCTTAGATCACAAGGGTCCTCTCTGAGGCCACCCTTTGGAGGAAGGGCTAGTGGAGCCATCTCTTTTGTACAAGGAACTTCCTTGAGCTCCTTTAAACTGCAGAAAGCACCCCGCCATGTTAACTGGAACGCCCTTTCCAAGTGCAGCCAGAATCAGATTTTAGAAACTCTCTGGGCTTCTCTGAGTTAATAACTGTCTATCTTGCACCTGGCTGGCCTGCACGCCTCTGGGTCCTGAACTCTGGCCAGCAGCTATATCTGAGCTGGGGCCCACCTGCTCCTTGGAGAGTTGAAGCCTCCAGAATGAGCACGCATTAATGTGATTTCCTTGTGGTTAGGATGCTGAAAAGGCCTAGTGTGGCTCTAGAAGAAAATCATGGCATCAGGCATGCAGACCTGGCAAAGAATGTGCTGGAAAACCTGGCTGTGTGACAAACTTTTAGAGAAGGGAAGAACTTGCATCAATAAAATTTATTGCATTTTTAAATGTTTTTACATGTTTGTTATTAAATTTCTGGGAAAGATAGTACAGTTTAGCGAAGGGGGTGAAAAACACTGTCCCCCATCTTGAGTATAGCCTAGGAATATTTTTCTATATTTCTGTATAAATGCATATACACATTTTTTATTGTAAAAGTGTACATCCTGTTTACTCAAAGTGGAGTCCATGGACAGGTAGCCCTGGAATCACTTGAGAATCCACTGGAAATGCGTAATCTTGGGCTGACCCCAGATTTACCAAATGAGAATTTTAGCAAGATCTCCAGGTGGTGGAAGGGCACATAGACTATAAAGCTGAACAGTGTCCAATGGTGTGAATGTGCCATGAATAATTTCATTAATCTCCTTTTAGCTCGAAAAATTATGCTTTGTCTAAATTTTCATGATCACATGCTACAATACAGTGAAAAGTGCTACAAAATAGTCTTTTCCATTCAACTTTGTACAAACAATAATGATGGTGATCACCATTGTTACTATGATTTATTAAGTGCTAATTACTTGCTAGGCCCTGTGATGAAAGCTTTACAAGAATTCTCATCTCATCCTTATCATGGCCTCCTACAAAGGGGCTATCTCTCATTTAGAAGTGATGTTACAGAGGCATATTTTAAATAAAGTATTTCAAATAATTATGATATTTTAAATATTGATATTACTATGACCGATGATAACGGTGATAGCATGTATTGGTCACACGCTACAGAGACTGTAGTAACTGCTTTATGTTCATTTTCTAAATCTGAACTTCAAAGGCTGAAGAGGCAAGTGTTATTAAACTCTCAAAATCAAGGTAAACAAGCTCAGAGGTTAAAAATCTTGTCCAAGGTCACATCTCAAGATCACAGTAGAATCCCAGTCTGGATGTGGGCTTGCCCGTTCCTCCACTCTCAGTCATCATGGTGCAGGAAGAGGAATGTGCTAATTTGCTTTCAGTTCTTCAGTGCATCCTTGGGGCCTCACCTCTCTGTCACTGTTGAGCTCCTAAGCAGGCCATTCTTCTCCCCAAACCTTTGTGTGTGAATAGAGAAGGGGATTCACTATTCACACTGCACTGCCTCCTTGGGGGGATGGGCTTAGAGAACAGAGGATTTGTTCCTAATCACACATCTCCACAGCAGAGCTGCAGGCATCGGAATCCTCAGACATTCAGACTGGCCAGCCGTGTGGCAAATATCCCAGGACTTTGCTGGGAACAATGGGCACTGAACTGCAGGTGACCCGACCTGCTAATCGCTGCCTGATTACCAGCTAATCAGTGCCTTGTTTGGGACACTGAATCCCAATTCCCTTTGGACTGGGCTGGGCCTTGGCAGACAGTCACCTGGTTAATGTGGCAGGGGCGAGGCAGAGGGTCATGTGCTCCAGTGCACGGAGTGGCCAAAGGCCGCCTTTGGGGAAATGGTCACAGGGTCAGTCTCTCCCTCTGATCCTGGGCAACTATAACATTTGTCAACAGCATGGAAGTGAATCGAGGTGGAGAAGTAAAGGCCAGTGCCTCTTTCCTGAAACCTATGGAAAAAAACAAGTGAATCGACCTTTAAAGGCACAGAGAAAACGGAAGTGTTCTTTTTTCAGAATTTCTCAAAAGAAAATATCATCTGGGAGGGTGAATTAACCACCGTCAAGAATCCCATAGCTACCACCTCCATAATCAATATCATCACCACCTCATCACTCTTATCACTTCTGTCATGGTAACCATCACCCCACCCCTATCCTCACCATCACCACCACCTCCACCACTACCACTACCATAACCATTACCATCATCACCACCAGCAACAACGCTTCTATTTCCACCACCACCCCACCACCAGCCTCACCACCACCACCACCACCACCACACCACTACCTCAACAGTTGCCACCCTCTCTCCTACCATGGCGTCCACCACCACCACCACCACCACCACCATTACCACCAGCACCATCACCATCATGATCATCATCATCCCTCTCCCACCATCACCATCACCACCACCACCACCACCACCACCACCACCATCACCATCATCATCACCACTGCTGTCACCATCACCACCCCCTCCCCACCATCGCCACCACAATCACCACCACCACTATCACCGTCACCATCACCACTGCTATCACCATCACCACCCCCTCCCCACCATCACCACCACAATCACCACCACCACTACCATCACCATCATCATCACCACTGCTATCACCGTCACCACCCCCTCCCCACCATCACCTCCTCCACCGTCATCACCCCACCCCCACCTCCACCATTACCACCACCAGCACCATCATCACCATGCCCTCCTCACACCTCCCACCAACACCATGTCCCTCATCACCACCATCACCACCACCACCATCACTACTTCTGGCCCTGCTGCCACACCACCACCACCACCATAGTTATCATTACCATTACCAACACTGCCATCACTGCTACAACAATTACTACCACCATTATCACTATTATCACCACCCACACCACCATCACCAGCACCACTTCTACCACCACCAACACCATCACACCACTATGAGGACAACCACCTTCACCAGTTACTTATCATCATTAATTTCACCACCACCAAGAGCAGTGAAAACAATACCATCACTGCTGTTCCCACCACCATGACACCACCACGATAGCTGCCACGCCGAACTCACATTGCCATATCCCAAGGAAGCAGTTTAGAGTAGTATTTTTAAAACACTGGTTTGAGAGTCAGACCAATTTAGGATCTATTCCAAGAAGTACTAGTTGTTTGAGTTTAAATAATCAATTAACCTTTGAAACTTAATTTCCCCCCCACAAAAAAAAAAGAATAGAAACAGTAATAGAGCCAGCTCATAGGAATGTGGCTCATACTGAACATTTAACACAATGTTTGACCCATAACTCAATGAAAGTTCACTATCTTTATGATCATTATTTCTGCCCCAACTCCTTTTTAATACACAGCTGCTCCCCTAGCATTTTTGCTTGAAAATGGGTGAGGAAAGGACAATTTATCCCTTTATTTCTAAATGTCATGGGACCCTCTAGGCTGCCTGACATCCCTTAGAAGCGGGGGTGTGGTCATGGCAGTATGAGCTGAAGAAAGTTCCAGATTTGGACTCAGCTGTCTGGGTTTGAATCCAGATCTGCTTTTTAAAAGCTCTCTGACCTTCAAAATGTGTCTGTCCTCTCAGAGACTTCCTTTTCTGAAAAATGGGGAATGATCATCTTTTCCTTGAAGCATTTGGGGAGGATTCTATGAGATAAGATAGAGAAAAGCCCCAGCAGATGATGGGCAGAGAGTAGGTACCCAATGCATTGAGTAGACTTTGATTTGCTGGTATTTCAGTTTTGAATAAATAATTATAAGGAAGTGAAAAACGTATGCACTGCTCTAGAGAACCTTCTACTGGGGAATAAAATCAAGTCTTTCTCTCTTCCAGATGGAGCTGAGCCTGACACTCTAACCGGTTCTCTGGGTGTACTGCAAAGGTCTAATAAAAGGCACCTTTGCCCGGTTGCTTCAATTCTAGGAAGCTGTTCAATGTTTGACTATATTTCTCCATACTCATTTGAAAACAGTTCATCAGGTTAGTTCAGTTGAATTATTGCTCCTTGGGAGTTTTCCAAACCCTGGATTTCCTTCGGAGAGAGCTAGATTCTATTCCATTCTTGGAATTCAGCTCCTTGCCCTTCTCTGTGACCCCGGATCGCGAATGCAGTAAAAATAAAAATATCCTGCTGCCTCCTGCACTAAGAAAGGACTCCCTGGCCTCCTGCTTAGAGATGGAATCTCATCTCTTGGGATTTTCAGAGCAAGAATGTTAGACAAGCTGTCCTTTTTCCTTCTTCATTTCTACATTTTGGTCACCGACATTTTGGTAGCAGACACTAGCAATAATGGGTACTCCTAAAAGTATATATATGGTAAGAAGAAGAAAGGGAAAAAATATTCTATCCAATCACATTTGGTTCCTCCATACCCTGTATGAAGTGTTACTTAGTAGATTTTGTTAACCACGGTGAAAGAACTTTCAGCACAATTCCATCCATGGTCACTTAGCACAGACTACATATGGGGGAGTTAAGGGAGGCAGTGAAGAATTCTGAACCCACATAAACAAATTCCCTAGAATTAACTTTAGCAAATGCAGCACCTGGCTGGGGCAATTCTCAGATCTCCTAGGGAACACCAGGACAGGTAGACTGTCAGCCAGAGATGCAGTGTTTCATGTTCTGAGTTTTCTTTCTTGTAAAAGTCTAGATTCCACTACCAAGTAAGAAAGAAAGGATGCAGGAAAGAAAATTTATTAGCAGGTAGTCCACAAAGTGTCTTTCGAATCGTTTCAAATTTCACTTCCACCTCTATGGTCTTGAGTCCTTTGTCAGGGTGGACTGACCCCTCGAATTCCCCACCTACCTCTGGATAGGATCTAAAGTCTTATTTGAGCCAATTGCTACATCAAGGGTTTTATTGCCATTTAATTCTCCAAGCAACCCTGATTGCTTTGCCTTTTCTTATTTTTTTACCCAGTACTGCATTTTTAAAAAACTTCACACTCTGCTAATCAGTGATTCCAGATAATTGCTTCTAACTGCCGCATGGTATTCCATAAAGGGCACCTCTTTAATTTACTTTCCCATTTCTGCAGCTAAGGACCCCCTGGTTGCCTCTGTGGCCCAGCAATCACAGGTCTTGGCTGCATGAAATCCTCTTAGATTCCCTCTTCTGGACCCAAGGACCCAAGTGGGGATTCTTTGGGATATTCTGAAAGGGAACTACTGATTCTAATGTACATGGATGCTCAATTTTTGTGAGCTTATTCTTTAGATTGGCTTCACTTCTACAATCCTAAGAGCTGGACGTGAAAAGTCATGTGTTCTGACATCTTAGACTTGGCATTATCCAACTTGCCCATTTTTACCAATCTGATGAGTATAAACTTATAGCTCATTGGATTTGGTTTGCTTTACCCTGATTTTGAGCTTTGTATTATTATGTGAACCATTTGGATTTTTACCTCTGTGATTTACCTGTCATATTCTTTGCCTCTGTTTATTTTTGCTTGTTTGTTTCTTTTTTTATTTTTATTTTTGAGACACAGTCTCGCTCTGTTGCCCAGCCTGGAGTGCAGTGGCGCGATCTTGGCTCACTGCAACCTCTGCCTCCCGGGTTCAAGCAGTTCTCCTGCCTCAGCCTCTTGAGCAGCTGGGACTACAGGCACACACCATCGCACCCAGCTAATTTTTGTATTTTTAGTAGAGACGGGCTTTCACCATGTTGGCCAGGCTGATCTCAAACTCCTGACCTCAGGTGGTCCGCCCACCTCGGCCTCCCAAAATGCTGGGAGTACAGGCGTGAGCCACCATGCCCAGCCCTTTTTCTTTTTATTTCTTTTTTTTTTTTTTTTTTGATAGGGTTTTGCTCTGTTGCCCGGGCTGCAGTGTGTGGTGTTATGCTAGTTCAATGTAGCCTTGAACTTCTGGGCTCAAGCGATCCTCAAACCTCAGCCTCCTCAAGTAGCTTGGACTACAGGTGCACACCACTACACCCGGCTAACCTTTTTATTTTTATTTTTGTAGAGACTGGATCTCACCATGTAGCTCAGGCTGATATTGACCTCCTGGCCTTAAGTAATCCTCCCACCTTGGCCTCCCGAAGTACTAGGATTGCAGGTATGAACTGCCATACCCAGCCCTTTGCCCCTATTTCTGATGGATTTTTTGATCCTTTTCTTGTTAACTTACAGGTTACCCTCATATATCCTATACTGGCTGTTAGTCAGTTGTAAATGTTGCAGATATTGTGTTGCAATTTTTCAATTTTTAACTTCATCTTTACAATCTTTCATTAAAAAGAAATCCTCAACTTTTGTGTCATCAAACACTTTTTTTTTTTTTTTTTTTTGCTTTATATTTGGTAATTTTAGGTCTTTAGAAAGTTTCTCCCCACCTCTAAGTTGTAAAAATACTCTTCTAAATTTTCTTTTGTTAACCATATAAGCTTTCCTCTCATACTGGATATCCTATGCATCTGGAGTCCACGTTTGTGTACTATAGAAATATAGATGTTATTGGGCCGGGCGTGGTGGCTCACACCGATAATCCCAGCACTTTAGGAGGCCGAGGCGGGCAGATCACGAGGTCAGGAGATCGAGACCATCCTGGCTAACACGATGAAACCCCATCTCTACTAAAATACAAAAAATTAGCCAGGCATGGTGGCTGGCGCCTGTAGTCCCAGCTGCTCGGGAGGCTGAGGCAGGAGAATGGTGTGAACCCAGGAGGCGGAGCTTGCAGTGAACCGAGATTGTGGCACTGCACTCCAGCCTGGGCAACAGAGCGAGACTCCGTCTCAAAAAAAAAAAGAAATATAGATGTTTTTGTTCTCCATATGGTGAGCCAATTTCTCAATACCATCTACTAAATAATCTAACCATTCCCCATGATTTTTAAGCCATGTTAAACATATTTCAAGTCCTCATTTATAAAAAGGCCTGTCTCCTAGGCCTCTGTTCTGTTCACTGGTCTCTGTTCTCAAGCCAGAAGCAGACCAATTTTACGATGATGGTTTTGTAGAAGGTTAACATTTTGTAGGATAAGCCCCTCCTCCATATTCCTCTTCTTCACAGTTGGCCTAGCTCTCTGGGGGGACTTTACTCTTCTGTATCCATTTTAGCATTAATTTTTCTGTGTTCCACAACAAAAAATTTTAAAAAATACATCCAGCTGGAGTTTTTTTTTTTTTTGCAATTTCATTGCATCGCGTTTTCTTTTCATCCTTTAAATAAAACAAGACGTTTTTCTTCAGATGTTTTTCAGGTGTAAGCTGAGTCTTGGATATGTGCTCTCATTTCACATTGTAAGTCAAGGTGAAGGGTGTAACTCCAGTGAGGGACACTGGCACTTTTCTCCTGACCAGCACTGTCCCAGGGCACCCAGGAAGCCTTAGCTTTGGTACTGGGTTGGGATAGTTCTGTTAATGCCTGATCCCTTCTTGAGTAATGACTCTGCTCAGGAAACTGTGCCTCAGGGCTCAGATTTCCCTCCATTTAAGCTTGTGGCTTCTTGGCCTGGAGCTTGTTTCCTTCCCAAAATGTTTGTTAGTGCAGTGGCTTTTTATGGCACTTTATGGAAAAATTAAGGGGTGGGGTTGATGACCGTATTCTGCAAATCAGCCCGTCTTTAACCTTCGTTTACTGGAATTTGAGTCCTCTGCATACCTTGTTAGCAGAAAAAACTTCAAATATATTTTTTTCCATCCAAGCTCACAATTGGAATGTTCTTTACCTCTTAACTCAGGCCAGGACAAATGTGGCCCAGGTTCTGAAAAACAGCCTCTTATTTAAAAGGCTTGTACAGCAGCCTTCGCATAACATTTACGACTGCAGTTATCTACACATGGATCTAGAGGGGGCCTGGCCTGTGAAAATCAGAGGACAGAGGCCACTTCATCCTGCAAATTGCTCAGGCGGGCAGTGTTGGTGAACTCAGCCCTCACTCCCCGGAGCCCCTTTCTAGCTTTAAAATCATTCCTGGGGAACTATTGGATTAGAAAGGAGCCATTCAGAAGGTGGCAGTTTCTCTGCTTCTGGAAAAGGGGGTTAGGAGACTTAAGATACAACCCAGTCTCAGATAAAGGGTGGGAAGTCAGAGATATTGGCCGTGGTACTAGCAGAGGAACAAAGGCCAAAACAAGGTCTTCCAGACATGTCATGTTTTTCTTAGAACTAGGGCCTATATTACACACAAATTTGAGATTATCTCCGACATTTATCTAAAATTAACTGTGGTTTTCAAAAGAAAAACATTTAGGGGAGGATCAGATAAGAAGGAGGCCTATTTATAATACTTGCCACGGGGAGGGAAAGGGAAGAGAAAAAGCAAGAGCAAGAGCAAGAGCGAGAGCAAGAGAGAGAGAGAACGAGACAGAGATCCTTAAAATGATACTGAACATTCTTGCGACACCATAAGCCATAACTCTGACTCTCTTTCCCTGCCTTTTATGAATAACAGAAAAGAGAACTTTTATCCTGATCCGCTGTAGTTTCTTAGAGAAAATCCTGCTCCCAAGTAGAATGCTGGATTTCCATCTCATTCTAGTTATAGTCAGAATTGGGTTACAATCATTCTGAACCACTGAGTGTGGCACAAGTCAAAATGTTTGTTCCTAGAGATTGAGATATTAGTCAGTGATGTCTGGCTCTGAAATGGTTATTTATAGATTGGAACGACCTGGAGCAGCCAGCAGAGTGACAAATGAGGAAGAGGACAGAATCTAGCTGAAGAAGCTCTGGAAGATACCATTTGAAGTCTTGAGTGCTTGAACTCACAAAGAAAGCACATGAGTACACACTAGCACTTGAGCTCTTCATTTTAAACAGAATAAAGAATGTACTGCTATTATTGTCATTTTACAGATAGGGAAATTCAGACTCACCAGGGCTACTCAGATACAAAGAAAATGAGCCAGAATTTCAAGCAAGCCTGAGCTTAGAATCTACACTATTTTTTTTTTTTTTTTTGAGACATGGTCTTACTTTGTCACCCAGGCTGGAGTTCAGTGGTATTAGGTTGGCACAAAAGTAATTGTGGTCTCTGCCACTTAAAACTAGAGCCCGAAACTGCAATTACTTTTGCACCAACCTAATGCACTTACCAGAGCTCACTTACGCCTTGACCTCCTGGGCTCAAGTGATTCTCCCACCTCAGCCTCCCAAGTGGCTGGGAATGTGGGCATGCACCACCCTGCCCGGCTAGCTTTTCTTTCTTTTTTTTTTGTGGAGACAGGATTTTGCCATGTTGTCCCGGCTGGTCTTTAACTCCTGAGCTCAAACTATCCTTCTGCCCTGGCCTCCCAAAGTTCTGGGATTACAGGCATGAGCCACTGTGCCCGGCCCAGAACCTATGCTCCTAACTGCCACACCAATTGACCTCTATTCAGCCATTTTTATTTCTATAGCACTTGGTATAATTTCACTTTGCACACAGTATCTATAGATAATCATTCCAGGGCATGTAATCGTCATAAGATTATTTATGTTATTGCATGTGTATTACTGCATGTAATCTTCATGTGTTATTGCCTCTAACAAGTTATGTATTTCCATGTAGTCTTCATAACTGTGTATAGAAGACCATTTTAGAGATGGAAAACTGAGACTCAGAAGTGGTAATTGTCCTACTGGTCAGAGATTTAGCCAGGGTTTGGATTGTGGAATGCAGAGGACCACTTACTTTTCACTAGACCATAAATGCTCCTCACCACTGAGGCATGTCAAATGCCAGATATCTCCAGGAACCTTAGGCTACGTCTCCATTGTTTTTGCTTTTTCCCCCCTTAGACACAGCTTGGCAAAGAACAAATGATCCCAAACACCAAACAGCACACTTGGAAACATTTAACCCGCATACTTTCAGACTTTCTGGCATGGACCAACCTCTTGTCTTACCTTTGTTCCTGGCCAGAAAGAAATGGCATGAAAAGATGGACAGTTTTTATAACCTCTTTGAGCTCTAAACCATGTTTCCTGTGCACTTAGGAGATCTTAATAGAAACCAAGTACTTCTTTTAGGCATCTATACTCTTAATGCCGTAAGTCAAGTCAAGTACCCAGGTGGTTAAGATAACTGTACCAACAGAAACATTTTTAAAAAATATCCTAACACAACATGAAGTGACCATCGCGAATTCAAAGAAGCAGGCATATTTCTTAAAGGTTGAAAAGAGGTGAGTCTTTCACAAGATTCTAGCTCAAGGCCATATTTGCACAAGTATAGTCATTCCTCTAGCAAGGTTTTGTTTATCTGGCCATTAAAAAAAATTAAAACAACTTTTACTTTCGGCTGTTTGAACAAGAACTGTTTTTCCAGCTGTGCAGTCTAAGGAGGATACAAGAGGCCTGGTTTGGTTATATTTTTTCCAGAATAAGAAAGTTTCCTACACAATTCTGCTTGGGCTAAACTGCATACAGAGCAGTTTATTTATACTGTTTTATCGCACACCTGTTTGGATATGGGCTATTTTCTGGTATTTAAACATACCGTTTCTTGCCAATTGCTTTATCTTCAGAGTCCTATGGTTTGGCTGCAAATGTTTGTTATTAACTCAGAAAGAAACACCAATTGCTCTATGAACATTATTAGTGAGGACTAAGATAACTTAATTGTTACTTACTTCAAACATGTTATCACTGAAGAACTTTATCCCAGAAATCCATTCAAAATAAGGTAGAGGCCATTTCACTATACTTAAAGGGAAAAAAGGAGTTAACAAAGCCTTTTTGGAATACAATCTTTAATGAAACACTGTTTTTCTAAAAAAAGCCACCTGCTTATTTTGAGCTAGTATGTTGCAATGGAAGGAAAACATTGCCATTCTAGTCAGTAATGAGCTATTTTACCCACTAAGGAAGTTCTGGGATACACAGATGGCAGCCTGAGAATTTGGGCAAAAGCCCTGACTCCACTCACATGACTTTCTCTGAATCACTTAAACTCTAGGTACTTCTCTTATTATATCAGTAAAATGTGGGTCATAATAGCTATCCAGTAATTAGATCGTTTAAATCAACCCATCAATATTAAATAGCTATGATGTGATAAAGTTTGGTCTTGGCCTTGGGGTATAGAGATGAATGAGACAAAGTCTTTATATCTAGAAATTCACATTTCATAATGCTGCACATAGTAGGCCTCTCTTCTGTGTTAGGGGAATCTGAATATTTATGTGTAGATTCATTAGTAGCTAACTATAAAGTTAAAACGGAACCTATAGAGTTGCAATCTAACTGTTTATGTGAAGGGGTTAGTTTTATCTTGCAGCTAAAAAAGCAGACTAAAATACTAACTTAACAAACTCTATTAGTAGTCTATAACTGTGTAACAAACCATCCCCAAAGTATAGTGGTTTAAAAAAATAGGCACTTACTGCTCACAGTTTCTGTAAGTCAGAGCCCTCGGGTGGTTCAGTTGGGTGCTTCTGCCTTAAGGTCTTTCCATAGGCTGCAATTTGTTTGCTGGCCAGGGCTGCGGTCTCATCTGAAGGGTTAACTAAACGGAGATCTTCCAAGCACAGTCAAATAGCTGTTGGCATTGTTCAGTCCTTTGTGGAGGCTGCTGTACTGAGCACCTTAGTTCCTGGCTGGCTGTTGACTGGAAGGCACTCCCTCAGTTTCTTGACATGTGTGCCTCTCCATAGGGCAGTACATAAAGAGGTAGCTAGTTTCCCTGAGTAAGAGGGAGTGAGCAAAAAAGAAACCACATTCTCTGTGTAACCTAATTTTAGAAGTGACATTTCATCACTTTTTCGATCATCTGTTTAGCAGAAGAGAGCCAGTAGATCCAGCCCACACTCATGGGGAGTGGATTACACAAAGACAGGACTATCACAAGGCAGTGATATCTGGGGCCATCTTAGCGGCTGCCTACCATACAAATGGAAGCTACAATAGGTAAAGACCCATCAGCAGCCTCAACCCTATCTCAGTATAATGGGGTTGGTTCCATAGAGTCTCCACTTTCTGACACAGCGGGGCAGCCCCCTCCACATCTCCATGAGAAGCTTCTGTTTCACTTGCAGGGCAAATCTTCTGGGATATAACCACAGTGACCTCCCCTGAAACCATTTCATGGGGGTTTCTTCAAAGAAGAGCCATCTCTACACCTAGCAGCTCCCATCGTATCCTGAGATGATGGCATTGGGATAACACAGGCCCAGGCCTGTGGTCCTTGGGGTCTTCTTCTTTTCCTCTCCCTTCAGCATGGATCTCTTTTATCTTTTGAAGCCTCAGTTGTAAAATAGAAAGGCTGGACAACTTTTACCTCATGGAGTTGTGAGGATTAAATAACACAAGCAGTTAACAGAAGTGCATATTGAGTATTTCAGGTTGCAGGTCCACTATACTCTAAAACTCGCCCCTGCTTTCTGGATTTTAGAATGTTACCAAAAACACAAATAATCACTGCTCGATAACATGATTATGAGACAAATAATCATAAGGCAGAAATATGAGCAGGGATTATATGGGCCAATCAGAATGGATTTTGGCTGTAACCTCAGATCAGGGGTCTGAAAGTCCACTATGGTGCCAGAGAATAAACTTTTAGTTGCTTGATTTTGGAGTAATGGGGAATGGGCAAAAGGGAATGTTCCAAAGAGGGTCCGTGTGGTCAGGGCTTGGCACTGGGGGCTCAGAGCAGTAATAAATCATCAACAATTACAAAAGTATTGTCTTCAATGTTTTAACTGGTAAGCATACAGTGAGGGACACAGTTTTACTGATTGCCATCAGCTCTGAGAATGGGCATCGTAGAAATACAGGGGGAAATGACCTGACTTGTTTGGAGGATTTGAGAAAGCCTTCTCTGACAGAGACTTTAGCATAAAACAGGAAGATAAGTAGAGGTTATAAAGGTGAAAAGAAGGGGGAAAAGCATTTTATAACATGGGAACTTCCTGTGCAAAGACCCTGAGACTAGAGAAGGCATGACATATTCCGAGATCCGTGGACAATATGGGTACACTAGAGTAGGGAGGACAAGAGACAGACTGCGGCGACTCTAAGTCACAGGAAGGATTTGGACTTTGATTTTACAGGCTCCAAAGAAAACAAGCCACTGAAGGGATGTAAGCAAAGGCATGATAGTATCAGCTTTTCATTCCAAGGGATCATTCCAGCCAAAGATCCCAGCACATAATCATTGTAAGAATTATTATAATTTTTCCCTCTTTCCCATTGCCATTGCAAACACAAAGACACAGTTAGTTAAAGAACACATGGGCTCTGCTGCCTGCCCTCTTGGGGAACACAAAGTCCCTGCACCTTTGGATTCAACCCACCAAAGTCTGGGTCCAAGTCTCCAGAATTAGTCAGGTAGCACAAATAATAGAAATCCTATCCCCAATCCCTGCTGCCCTCGTTTGAGTAATATTTTAAAGGTTCTAGCACAAATCCTAATGTTATTTAGAGAATTAAAAACTTGATTGGGCCGGGCATGGTGGCTCATGCCTGTAATCCCAGCACTTTGGGAGGCCAAGGCAGGCGAATCACGAGGTCAGGAGATCGAGACCATCCTGGCCAACATGGTGAAACCCCATCTCTACTAAAAATACAAAAATTAGCTGGGCATGTTGGCACACAGCTGTTGTTCCAGCTACTTGGGAGGCTGAGGCAGGAGAATCACTTGAACCCGGGGAGAGGCAGAGGTTGCAGTGAGCCAGGATCGCACCACTGCACTCAGGCCTGGCAACAGAGTGAGACTCTGTCAAAAAAAGAAAAAAAAAAAAACTTGATTGTGTGTAATAAATCTTGACATAGCATCAGTGAGGACAGGAGACAGATCTAGCATTCTTGTAGACCAATATGCCATTCACGACACTTACGATATTTTCTTTAATCTCTACCACATCTTCTTGAGGGTAGAGTTATCATACACACTTCTCAAATAATTAAGAAAACAAGGTTCAGAAAGATTGTAAAATCCAGGACACTAAACTAGTGAATGGATGTTTATTTCAAAGCTCATTTTCCCACTTGGAGTAGAGTTTTTCTCAGATGACATTGGTGTATAGCCCAGTTTCTCAGCCTCGGTACCATTCACATTGAGGGCTGGATACTTCTTTTTTTGTGGGGAGCTATTCTGCACACTGTAGGATGTTTAGCAGCGTCCCTGGCCTCTACTCACTAATGCCAGCAGCATTACCCCCATATGTGACAACTAAAAAGATCTCCAGATATTGGCAATTTTCCCATGGAAAGAAAAATCAAGCCCTGGTTGAGAACCACTGGTATAGAATTTACTCCTCCAGGAAGGTGTTTAACTAGAGATGGCTAAAAATGGTGCATTTCACTGTGTTTTTTCATTGGCTAAATCAGGTCACATGGCCAGAACCAACATAAATGGAGCAGGGAAATACACTCTTCCCACAGAGAGGAACTGTAGGTCATACAATAACAGGCAACGATATATAATCTTCTTACAATACAAATAGTTGGAAAAGATAGTAAAATTACTGATTTCAGGTGTGATTCATGCTATAAGAGAGAGTATAGTGTGCTATGCAAATGATATCAGAGAGAAATAGACTAATCTGGATGGTCAGAGACATCTCTGAAGAAGGGAGTTTTAAACTTAGACCCAGAGGATAAGCCATTGTTAACCAGGCAAAGGTCAACTGTGCATAAAGGTAGTGTTTCTGGCAGAGGGACAAGCATGTGTATAGGAAGATGTAAGTACCTATGATGATTTCTCCAAAAAACTTAGTGGTCTCAACCAAAAGTCCTGATTTCCATTAAAATATGAAAACAACTATTATTAGTGGTGTTATTTGTTTAATATTAACTGTGTGCCAGGGAGTGTGATATAAATAATATGGAGTCTTGGCCACAAGATGCTCACAGTCTAGTTAGTTGGGCAGTAAACACACCACTAAATTGTCAGCTAGTAAGATATATCAGAGGAATGCACCAGGAAGTGGGTGTGTTGGAAATTTGGAGACTGGCTAGAGACTTGTAGTCTGGGGAAGTAGAGGAAATAGAGCTTTAGTTTAACTGGAAGGCTGGTGTATTAATTTGTTCTCACACTGCTAATAAAGACATACCAGAGACTGGGTAATTTATAAAGGAAAGAGGTTTAATTGACTCACAGTTCAGCATGGCTGGGGAGGCCTCAGGAAACTTACAATCGTGGTAGAAAAGGAAGCAAGTAAATTCTCCTTCAAGTGGTGACAGGAAGAAGTGCAGAGTGAAAGGGGAAAAAGCCCCTTATAAAACCATCAGATGTCATGAGAACTCACTCACTATCACGAGAACTGCATAAGACTAACAGCCTACATGATGAAATTACCTCCCACTGGGTCCCTCTCATGACACCTGGGGATTATGAGAACTACAATTCAAGATGAGATTTGGGTGGGGACACAGCCAAACCATATGAGTTAGGTAAAGATTCAAAGAATCAAGGGAAAGATGACAACATTTCTGATGTGAAAGGTAGCAAAAGCAAAGATGGGGGAAATGGGCTGGAAGGAGACCTGTGAAGCAAAGAAAAGAGTCTAAGAAGGAGGAGAAAAAAATTCAATGAGAAGACCACTGGCAGGTTTAAGCTGTAAATGCCAGTCTAAATTTCAGGGTTGAAGCTGATGGGTGACAGCCAATGGAGAAAAAGGAAGGAGACTTACAAAGTAAAAACAGTGTGTTCTAGGACCTGCCCCTCAAAGTGACATCCACGAACCACCAGCCTCAGCATGTGAGATTGCCAGATCTCAGGTGACCCTGCAGAGCAATGAACAGGGAATCTCATTTTCACAGGACTTCCAGATAATTCTAGTGCTTGTCATAGTTTCAGAAACACAGCACTTGAAGATCAATTTGAATAAATTAAAATAAGAAAAGATGAGGGAAGCAAATGAAGTGTCTTCTGCAGGCTTTTAGCATGAACTTCTAAGGATCTTGTTTGTGATTAACCAGAGACATGAGAAGAGACAAGTGGTAAGGATGAAGAATCAAAAAGGCCTGATACCTGCACAGTTAGAGTAGATAATGCACAAACAACACACAGGGTGGGCAACTGGGGGAAGGAGGAAGAAGAATGCTGGAACCATGATAGACGCAGGGAAGTCAAGGACAGGGTGGCATGGAGGGCAGCTGATATTTGGAGAGAGAGTAAACAATGGCCTTTTGAACACATTGATGAGAAATTTCCAGGACAGCCTGACCACGGAGGTCTTCAAATGATGTCATGGAAGATCCAGTGGAGGGAAGGGCAGCATGCATTCCCCATGAAGGGAGGACCACTCTTTGGGTCTCCACTCTATTTTCAGTTCCTACAGCAGTATTGGGCATAGAACTGGCACTTAAAAAAAAGAAAAAAGTCAATCAACCAGGAAGGGAAGGGTAGAGTGACGCACAAACCGCCTGCCTGCAGGTAGCCTTGGGAGCTTGTTATAAAGGCACCTCCAGGACCCACCCAAGCCCTACTACTTCCCCCTCTCTCAGGGTAGACCTTGAAATATGAACTTTTACCAAGCTAAGAGATTCTGAGACTTTCTCAAATCTGAGGCTTTCAATTATAAAGACAAAGAAATCAAAGCAAAGGAAGACTCAAGATAACAAATTTGGATGATGCCCACCAATAGGAGAACGAAGCGTTTAATGAATAAAGAGAAGTAAAGTGAAAGCAAAGGTGGCTAAAAATGATCACAATCCATTTGGATCTCCTCAGCATTCAGTATCTTACTTTTTCTGTAATGCATTCATAGTTGTATTGATCCACTTCTTGGGGGTAATAAGCTCCATAAGTTTGCTACCTGGTAGAGAAAGCCTTATTTAATTTTCTTTTGAGCACCAAATGAAATCTACCTTTATGAAATAAGTTTGACATGCAATGATTAAGCTCCTAGTGTGTACAAGTTGCACTGAGGTCAAGGGATATAAAAATTAGTAAGATTCAGTTCTTGCCATGGACACACCCATTGCCTATGTGAGAGACTCACAATAACAGCAGCAACAACAACATCAATAGTCCAAGTGCTGAGAAATGGTCAAAAGGTGGATTGTGTGAGGGCAACCAAAGCATCACGGAGTAGTGGAGTAAGCCTCTTCAGCAACCCAGGAAGGCTTCTTGGAAGTGGCAGCACACGAAGAATAAGCAGGAATTTGCTAAACAGAGAAGATAGGTACAGAGAGAAGAGTTTGGGAGAGAAAGCTGAGATCTGATCCCTGTGGTCCCTATGGGCATTTGCCCATGGTTACTGGGCATGATGAACCCGGACAGGCAGATGAGGATGGAGAAGAGGACTTAGGATTGTGGGTGGAGCCCAGCAGACTCCGCCTGTTGAGAGCCATCAAGGTGGCACACAGGTGGGGCTGGGAAGAGGGCTGCCCCTTCCTCCCACACCGCCAGGGCCTCCAGCCCAGTGTCTTGGAAGGCAAAGCCTGGAGAGAGGGAGTGAGAAAAGCAAATTCTGGCACCCCCGCCCTGTGACTCACTCTTGGCCTTTTGAGCTCTAGCCTTTGCCGAGAAGCCTGGAGGTGCTCAGGGAAGCTGCTGGGAAGTGAGGCCTAGGCTGGCCAAAGCCCTCCTTTTCCGTCCGACACACAGGGACAGGCAGTAGACAAATGCTCCTGAGGCTCTAAGATGCCATCAATTGCAGGAGAAAGTCAAGGGACATGCATGCCAGCTGAGGCTGACTGAGGGCTGAGGGGTCAACTGTTATAAGATGGGGAAACTGAGTCTTAGTGAAGGAACAGAGTTGCCAAGTCCATACAGTTAGATCTGAGCCAAGCTTGCAATCATTTCCAGGCCTCCCAATATGTATCCAGTGTCTCAAAGAGCATCTCCTTTTGTGAAATGAGAATAAATGAGGCTAACATATGAATTCAGGCTTCAAGCTATTTTGGTTGACTGAATGGTTTATCCCAGAGGCTGGTAAACTATGTCTCATAGGCCAAATCTAGACATGACCATCTATGTATTGCCTGTAGCTGCTTTCACGTTGCAATGCCCAGTTGAGACTTTGCAACAGAGACTATACTGTCCACAAAGCCTAAAGTATTTACCGTCTGGCCCTTTGGAGAAAAAAAATGTGTCAACCCCTTTTCTAACTCAATGCTTCTCAGATTTAAGCATGCCTGAGAATCTGGTAGGGAACTGATATGAAATAGTTGGTGCATTTACAGTAGGACCTAGGAATCTGAAGGTAATAAGAGTCTTAGGGATTTTGATGTAGATAACTCAAGACCACTCTTTGAGAAACTTTGGCCTATCGTTGGCTCAGGAGAGGCAGGGCTGACTCTAGGAGCGTCCTGGGCTTTGGGGACCAGGTCTGCAGTTCAGGCTACACCAGGTAGGACATAAAGGCTTCTTTACGGACGTCCAGAGCTCCTCCAGCTTCCACAGAGAAAAGCCCCAGCAGGCCTCTGCAGGGTTACTCACTTGGAAGGCACAGAGTACTGGCCACAGAGGAATGAACCTCTCTTATCAGCTATGTGGCTCTGGTGGAGGCATTTTCTCCCTGGGCCTTAGCATTCTCATCTGTAAAATAGACCACTCAAATCCTATTTATTCAGATGTCTTTCTGTCCTATGGTTGCTAATCTTTTTTTTCCTTTCTTTCTTTCTTTCTTTCTTTCTTTCTTTCTTTCTTTCTTTCTTTCTTTCTTTCTTTCTCTTTCTTTCTTTTCTTTCATTCTTTCTTCTTTCTTTCTTTCATTCATTCTTTCTTTTTCTTTCCCGCTTTTTTTTTTTTTCAGAGTCTCTGTCACCTAGGCTGGAGTGCAGTGGCGCGATCTCAGCTCACTGCAACCTCGTCTCCTGGGTTCAAGTGGTTCTCCTACCTCAGCCTTCTGAGTAGCTGGAAGTACAGGTGTGTGCCACCATGCCTGGCTAATTTTTGTATTTTTAGTAGAGATGGGGGTGTCACCATGTTGGCCAGGTTAGTCTCGAGCTCCTGATCTCAAGTGACCCACTCACCTCAGCCTCCCAAAGTGCTGGGATTACAGACGTGACCACCATGCCCAGCCCAGCTGCTGATCTATTATAGTGAATGACACACTAATACCAATGTCGCTGACATCCCCATAACGTTGGCAGAGTACCAGGAAGTGACGATGTGACTCGGCATCTGCTTTCTAACTCCTGGTCTCAGGGGCCAACAGACCTCATGAAAAGAGACTAAACGGAAAGTTGGGGAAAAGGGAAAGTTGTTGAGAGAAAAATGAATAACCTTCACTGCCAACAAGCATTTATTCACATAACTAACCATTAGACAGTCATCTTTTGTTGAGAACATGTGATAAACCTTGTGAGCATAAAGAATTACTACTGGCTCTGCATTGAGGGGCTTATCGTACTGAAGAGCCATAATCATTTTGGCATTTACAATACCCATGGCTTTAATTTGGCTCAGTGGTTACAGAAAAGAGAGGAATACTAATGTGTTAATTTGAAACACTTAAATGTGTTCAATGTTATTTGTATTAGCTAAAAAAATTTGTGATAACTTATACACCGAACGATAGAGGACTGGTGTTTAACTAAATGAAAAACTTTCAAACCATAGAACCATCAAAAATTACATCTACTGTGAGGTCTCCAACATTGGTGTTTTACTGACACTGGGAACTGGATCATTCTTTGTGGTGGGGAATGCCCTGTGTATCATAGGTTGTTCAGCAGCAGCCCTGGTCTTGAACCACTAGATGTCAAAAGCAAAACCCCTACCCACTACCTCTAATTAGTTGTCACTAACTGTAACAATTAAAAATGTCTTTACACATTGTCAACTGTCCCCTGGGGGATAAAATTGCCCCTTGTAGAGACTTATTGGTCCACGGAAAATTTTGAATCATCCTAGAAATTACATACACTAGCATAGGCAAGAAAAAAAAAATGAAAACTAGGCATAGAGTATGATCTTCTCTATAGAAAATAATAGTAGAAGGATGAGGAAAAGAGAAAAGAAAGGGGAAAAAGGATAGAAGAAAATGAAAAACTTAGTGACACAGAAAGGACTGAAAGGAAATAGCCCAAAAGCTTAAAAATAGCTGCTTCCAAGTGGTGAGATGATAATCACTTAGATGTTTCTATAAATGTTCTGAATATGATTTCAATAAACAGGAAGAACATGTAGAGGAAACAAGTTAAAATACTGAGAACTTGCACAAAGATAGATATTATTTCTGATTTACTTAGGTGTTACTTATATTAGCTACAAAAATTTGTAATCACTTACACACATTCAACAATAGAGGGCTGGTGTTTAACTAAATAAAAAACTTTTGGCTGAGGCGGGTGGATCACTAGGTCAGGAGTTCACGACCAGCCTGGCCAATATGGTGAAACCCCGTCTCTACTAAAAATACAAAAAGTAGCCAGGCATGGTGGTGCCTGTAGTCTCCGCTACTTGGGAGGCTGAGGCGGGATAATCGCTTGAACCCAGAAGGCAGAGTTTGCAATGAGCTGAGATCCACCACTGCACTCCAGCCTGGGCAACAGAGCAAGATTCTGTCTCAAAAACAAACAAAGAAACATTTCAAACCATAGAATTATATGTAACCATCAAAAATTACATCTCTAGTGAGGTCTCTCAACATTACCGTTGTACTGACTTTGGGAACCAGATAATGCTTTGTAGTGGGGGCGGCCATGTGTACTGAAGTTAAAAGACTGAGAACATGCACAAAGATAGATATTATTTCTGATGTATTTAGTTATTTATATTAGCTACAAAAATTTGTAATAACTTACACATCCAAAAATAAATGTAGACTGAACCACTAAAATCCTATTTATGCAAGTATCTTTGGACTTCACGTTTCTGAAAGTTGCGTCTTCGTTCGGATCTATCTGGGGCTTGGTGTTGATGGGCCCATGTCTACGCTGTGGAATCTCACCGGCTGGGAGGACATCTTATGGTTCTACTCACAGGGAGGTTTTAAACTGAGACCCATAGGCTAAGCCATTGTTAACCAGGCGAAGGACAACTGTGCATAAAGGGAGTATCTCTGGCAGAGAGACAAGCATGTGTGTGGGAAGATGTAAGTACCTTTGATAATTTCTCCAAAAAACTTAGTGGTCTCAACGAAAAGCTCCTATTTCCATCAATAAAATATGAAAACAACTATTATTAGTGATGTTATTTGTTTAATATTAATTGTGTGCCAGGTAGTGTGATATAAATAATATGCAGTCTTGGCCAGAAGATACTCAGAGTCTAGTTAGTCGGGCAGAAAATACACCCTTAAATTGGCAGCTAGTAAGACGTATCAGAGGAGTGCACCAGGAATTGGGTATGTTGGGAATTTGGAGACTGGCTAGAGACTTGTAGCCTGGGGAAGCAGAGGAGATAGAGCTTTAGTTTAATTTGAAAGTTGGTGTATTAGTTGTACTGACAGGGGAGTTCTCCCTATCCTCAACTTACAGTGAGTTTGAATAAAGTCACATTGATCTTAATGTAAACTTTTGCTCTTTCATCTCTATTGACATATCATAGAGACCCTAAACCTTTCTAGAATTTGCCCCAGTAATTTCTGAGAGGCTCCAGGAGATGTCCTATGGGATCATCAAGTTGTCCTTGGGACTCTGCCTAAATGCTATTGATGATCTTCGTCCAGAAAGACATTGGAAGATGGCACCTAACCCACAGTATTGTTGCCTCTTCATGCTCATATCTGCACCAATGCTGCCTCCTCCAGCTGTTCCTGAGGCAGGTAGGCCCTGAGATGCCATACTACTTCATGTCGCAAAGCTCTCATGCTTCACTGCCTGGACCAGCTGGTAGAAAAAAAAAAAAAAAAAAAAAAAAAAAAAAACCTCTGATTCTGACTCTACCGTCTTCATCCATAATTCTTGAACTCTATATCAGAAACTGACAAGCTTTTTTTCTACTCTAAAGGGCTAGATATTTCTGTCTGTGTGCACTACATGGTTTCTGTTTCAATTATTTAACTCTGCCATTGTAGCATGAAAGTTAGCACAGGCAATACATACAAAAATGCACATGAGTATGTTCCAATAAAACTTGATTTGTAAGCTGGGCACGGTGGTGGATGGCTGTATTCCTTGCTACTCAGGAGATTGAAGAGGGAGGATTGCTTGAGCCCAGAAGTTCAAGAACAGCTTGGGCAACATAGTGAGACCCCGTCTCAAAAGAATGAGAAACAAAACAACTTTATTCCCAGACTTTGAAACTTGAATTTCATAGAATCATTTCCTGTCATGAAATTGTATTATTTTTAAAAATGTCTAATCATTTAAAAATGCAAAAGCAATGATTCACTCATAGGCCAAAGTTTGTAAGTGTTAGGTGTCAGGCTAGATTTGGCCTGAGAGTCATAGCATACTAGCCCCTACTCTAATGCAAGGGGAGATGCCAGAAGACAGACCAAAAGGGGAATTTGGATAGGACTTGGTGGGAAGACTGGAGCAGAAAGATAGCATGGTTCATTGGTTCATGTGTCCATTCATGTAATGACAATTATTGAGAACCTACTATATAGGTGTCAGGTACTCAATGAAGTGCTAGGGTCAGAGTAGTGAGAAAGATAGCAAAGGACCCAGTGCTCACCAAGCTTACTATCTATCAGGAAAAACAGACTTTGAATCAACATTTAAAACTGTGCTGGCCGGGTGCAGTGGCTCACATCTGCAATCCCAGGACCTTGGGAGGCCGAGGTGTGTGGATCATGAGGTCAGAAGATTGAGACCATCCTGGGTAACACAGTGAAACCCCACCTTTACTAAAAATACAAAAAATCAGCCGGGCATGGTGGCGGGCTCCTGCTGTCCCAGCTACTCAGGAGGCTGAGGCAGGAGAATGGTGTGAACCTGGGAGGCGGAGCTTGCAGTGAGCTAAGATCACACCAGTGCACTCCAGCCTGGGCGACAGGGTGAGACTCTGTCTCAAAAACAAACAAACAAACAAACAAACAAAAAACAAAAAACTGTGCTAAGTGCTGTGAACAATTCCAGGAGTCCAAGAAAACATACGTGAGGGAGAATACCGGAGAGGTATTAGTTGTCTATCACAGCATAATAAATTACCATGAACTTAATGTCTTAAAATAACACATGTTTATTATCTACCAGTGTCTGTAGGTTGAGAGTCCAAGTACAGCTTAACTGGGTCCTCTGCTCAGGGTTTCACAAGGCAGCAAACGAGGTGTCCACTGAGCTGCATTCTCATCTGAAGGCTTAAATGGGGGGAATTTTTACTTCCAAGCCCTTTTGAGTTGTTGGCAGAATTGATTTCCTTGTGGTGGTAAAATTGGAGGTATTGGCCTTTCTTGGCCATTGACTGGAGGGAACCCATAGGCCCCTAGGGCAGCCCACAGTTCCTTGCCCCAGGGACTTCTCCATCATGACTATGGCCACTTACATTATCAAGCCCACAAGGAAAGTCTCTCTTTGGGAAGACCCAGTGTCTCTCTCAAAGGCTTTTACCTGATTTAGTCAGGCCCAGAGGGGCAGGATAGTCTTTTAACTAACTAAAAATTGATTTATTTTGGAGCTTAATTATATCTGCAAAACCTTTCACCTCTGCCATATTCTATTGGCCAGAGGCAAGGCACAGGTCTCACCCAACTCAAGAAGAGGGGATTACACAGGCTCTGAATACGAGGGCTGGAATCACAGGACCACCCTAAGGTCTGCTCACCACAGGAAGGGAAGATTTTTCATTGAAAGCATTATTTATTTTTGGACTGATAGATGAATATGATCTAGCTAGGTGAAACCTAGAGGGAACAGAGTTCTGGGAAGAGCAAACGGTGTGCGCAAAGACCCAGTTTTGAGGAGAAATGGCAATTCTGCAGAGCTGTAAAAAAACCAGTTTAGTAGAATGGCTCTCATTTCTGGCTGTATACATCACCTGAAGAACCTCAAAAATAGTCATTTTTAAAAAACTATTTTAAACCAATAAAATTGTAAAGTTCTTGGCTTAGGGTTTGGCAACCATCTTTTAAAATTTTCCCTAAAATCTCCCAAATTGTCTCTGGGTTGGACAGGGGTTAGGGGCTGCCCAGATGTTAGGAACAGAGAGATAAGCAACATTTCTGTTGACTCAGACCAAAAATTGCTCAGTGAGATTTCTCAAAGAATGTAAAACAGAACTACCATTCAACCCAGCAATCTCGTTACTGAGTAGATAGCCAAAAGAAAATGAATTATTCTACCAAAAATACACATGCACGTGTATGTTCATTACAACACTATTCAAAATAGCAAAGATGGAATCAACTTAGGTGCCCATCAGTTGTGGACTGGAAAAAGAAAATATGGTATGTAACATATGGAATACTATGTAGCCATAAGAAAGAATGAAATCATGTCCTTTACAGTAATATGGTTGCAGTCAGAGGCCATTTCCTAAGCAAATTAATGCAGGAACAGAAAAATAAATATCACATGTTGACGCTTATAGGTGGGGGCTAAACACTGTGTACTCATGGACATAAAGATAAGAACGATGGACACTGGGGACCACTAGAGGAGGGAGGAAGAGAGGGGGCAAGGTTGAAAAACTCACTATTGAATACTCTGCTGACTATCTGGGTGACAAGATCAATCATTTCTTAAACCTTGGCATCACACAATATAACCAGAAAACAAACCTGCCCATGGACCCTCTGAATCTCAAAGGAAGTTGAAATTGTTTTTTTTTTTAAAGAAAAAAAAAAATTTCTCAGAAGATGCAAAGAACAGCTCCTTGCTGTTTTCAAAATCCAGACATCATTTAAATACTCATTTAAGGAAATCAAATTCATGTTATTTAGAAAGCAATATTTTCTTTGGACCAACAAAGCTAGACTTTAATTGGAGACGTGCAGCACAAGTTTTGGCAGAGTTGCCCAAGGTGCTCTCCATTATGGCCGTCTCTGTTTTAAAAATATACAATCAAGCCGGGCACAGCGGCTCACACCAGTAATCCCAGCACTTTGGGAGGCCAAGGCATCAGGATTGCCTGACTGAGGAGTTCGAGACCAGCCTGGGCAATGTGGTGAAACTCTGTCTCTACTAAAATACAAAAAATTAGCCGGGTGTGGTGGCATGCACCCGTAGTCCCAGCTATTTGGGAGGCTGAGGCAGGAGAACTGATTGAACCCAGGAGGCAGAGGTTGCAGTGAGCTGAGATCATGCCACTGCACTCCAGCCTGGACAACAGAGTGAGACTCCATCATATATATTATACGGATATATATACACATATATATGTATCTCCAATCAAAATGTACTTAGGTTTTACTTAAGTCTGCATTTGATTCAAGAAGCTGTGTTTGAGACAAAAGATTCAAAAGCAACTTGCAAATGAAACTTTGATTTCAAAGCAATTAGTATGTATCACTCACTGACTGTGTGTGAAGTACTTTCCTGAGCATCTTTGTGTAGAATACAGTATTTAACACACACAATAGCACAACAACAGCACAAAGAAGATATTATCATTCCTACTTCACAGGCAAAGAAGAGGAGGCTCAAAAAGTAATTTGTGCCAGGCAAGGTAGCAGATGGGAGAGTTGAGGAGTTTTGGAAATAGGCAGTGTTGATGTTCTTCAAATCCTGGGCCCCTTTCTCATGGCCTTTGTGAGCTTAGAGAAGCTATTCAGTCCGTTTAGTTAAAAATCTTCATTTGTTAAATAGACAACAATAATACCAACCTTCTAGCATTGCTGGGAGGATGAACAAGGCAATCTTTACAGTCCTGGGAAGAAAAGGTGAGTTCTGTTTCTTAGTATTCTTCTGACCTACACCTACACCAAGTCATAATAAACAGATTCAGGATGCCTACCCCACGTTCTCAATTCCAAGTCCAGTGGACTTTGCATTGAGTAAAAGCAGAAGTACATACTCTTTAGCAGTTTTCTAGGAGAAAGTTTCTCGCCCAGGTAAAAAGGAAGATGATTATTCAAGTACCCTCTGGAAGTGGAAATATCTTTAATTTTTTTCATCCCTAAACATTTTACTTAGAAATCGAGCAATCTCACAGATTTAAGCTTAAGAATCAACTATGAATTCTTTTATGAATTCATAGTCTTTTATGACTTCTTCTGTGAGACTCAGATTTTTCACAATGAGTTAAGATAATGATGGCTACTGGATTTTTGTTTATTAGTGGTGCAATCATGGCTCACTACAGCCTCAACCTCCCTAGTAGGTGGGACTACAGGTGGTCGCAATCACACCTGGCCATTTTTTTTTGTTTCTTTTCTTTTTTGGTAGGGACAAAGTCTCACTATGTTGCCCAGGTTGTCTCAAACTGCTGGGCTCAAGTGATCATGATCCACACCCTTGGCTTCCCAAAGTACTAGGATTACAGGCATCAGCCATTGCGCCCAGTGATGCCTACTTGTAAATATTTTTGCAGCTCTCTAAACCCAATGCTCATGCAACTCTGACTTAGCTTGCTGTCTGGATCTTTGCAGTTGCTCAGTAAAGAGTCTCTGTTAATATAAGAACCAAATAATAAAGGGTGCATCAAGGAAAGTGGTGAAGGAGATTTTCCCCAAATTATTTACTGAACCGTTCCACTCATTAGTCCTTAAAAAGATGACTATTTTGATTCTCCTTATCTAGCACCCACTGCATGATGTGAAAAGATGTTAAACATAGTGAGACCCTGCATTATATAAATAACACACACTCTAAGGTTTCAGCCCACAGTTTATTTTAGGTCTCAATCTTCAGGTACTTGGCATCCAAGGTCAGGTATACTGAAAACCATTGTCCTTTCACCATGAGGCTGGAACATGTCATAGAGGAAGGCCTGTCACAATCATTATTAAATTGTCTGTTCACTCAAGCCTGGAGTACATTCTGAGGTTATGTTGCATATCACCAGCCCATGGCCAAGGATAGCCAAGCTCAACCCTCCCTGGCCCCCCTACCAGACCCAGAAGATTCACAGTTTTGCAATTTGAATGGCCCAAGACCTTTGGGCCATTGCATAGACTGAGTTTCCAACCCTGAATTCTTGCTTTTGACTCCAGTGCTATATTGGGAAAGTTATCTTCTAGAAAAGCAAACAAAAAGAAGGCCGCTTGACTCCTAAGGGTCATTTCCGAATGCATGTGTAATGCTCCAAGAGCAATGGAAAACAGCTGTGGAACTCCAGCTGCTGCTTTGAGTAGTAAGAGGGAAACCGCCAGGCTTGCGTGGACTCCCTTTGGTAGCCACGTATCTCAAGTGGCTTTTGTTTTTGAATGATAAGATAGTGCATGTGCTTCTTAATTTTTAAAATTCCATGTCATCCGCTGCACCAGCAGAAGCCCTGGCAATCTGAACTCTAAAGGACAGCTCAGTGCACCAGAAGTTGAGCCAGTGTTGGAAACATTGCCAAAGGATCTTTGTGGGTTTCTCATAAATATTGGAGTGCACAGATGATGCTGAAATAAAAGGAAAACAGATAATCCAAACTACCCATGATAGAACAACAACAAAAAATCTTTTAAGATTCCAGAAAGAAACCCTTACAATTATATTTCATTTTTTAAAAGAAATATGAAAGAAAATGACTTCCTCATTTCTTAGAAGAGAAATGATTGCAAGCAAGATATAGAAGAAACTGAAAACATGTTTTGCTTAGTGAGTATGCCAACTGTTGGTGAGAAAGGAAGGAAAGAAAGGAAAGAAAAGGAGAGGAGAAGGAAGAGAGAGTGAGCAAGAAAGAGAAAAGAAGAAGAAAGAAAGAAATAAGAAAAATAAAAGAAAGAAAAGGAGAAAAGAGAGGAAGGAAGGAGAAGAAAGAAAGAAAGGAAGAAAGAGAAAGAAAGGAGGGAAGGAAGGAAAGAAGGAAGGAAGAGAGGGAAGGAGGGAGGGAGGAGAAAGAAAAGAAAGAAAGAAAGATAAAAGGAAAAGAAAGCAAAGAAGAAAAAGGAAAGAAAGAGGAAGAAAGAAAAAGTGGAAAGAAAGTGGGAGGAAGGAAAGAAGGAAGGAAGGAAAGAAGGAAGGAAGGAAGGAAAAGGAGGGAGGCAGGGAGGAAAGAAGAAAAGGAGAGAGAGAAAATTAGAAAGGGAGGAGGAAAGGGAGAGAGGGAAGAAGTGGGGTTGCCTTCTCCACTAGATAGAAGAGGCCCATTAATTAGAGACTATGATACTTTTAGGGGTCCACGTCAATGTTTTAACTTTATTTTTCTTTAAAGTCAGAAGAAAAAAGTGAATATAATAATAAATATGTACTATTGAAGCCTACCTGTATCATATTTATTCATATACCAATGCTTTCATGAAATGCAGTTTTTAAATTTATTTATTGGAGAAAGTGACCCGTAAAGTGCCCAGGGCCTACAAAAGTCATCACAGTCTTAGGAAGGAGGAAAGGGGAGGGGAGAAGAGAGGAGGGAACTGGGGGCAACAAAAGAAGAAAAGCTAGAAGGGAAATACGGTAAGATTGTGAGATTTTGGGCTTGGTAATAATGGTTGCTAAAGATTCTTCCAGTGGTAGCTTCTAGATGGTTATCCAGTTGGAAAACCTGGTTTGGAGACTTGAATGCAATTACCTAAAACTGTATTTTAACTTTCCGGTGATCATTAATGCACTGGGGAAAGAGTTACAAAGGCAATAAGTTACTTTTTTTTTTTTTTATACTTCAAGTTTTAGGGTACATGTGCACATTGTGCAGGTTAGTTACATATGTATACATGTGCCATGCTGGTGCGCTGCACCCACTAACTCGTCATCTAGCATTAGGTATATCTCCCAATGCTATCCCTCCCCCCTACCCCCACCCCACCACAGTCCCCAGAGTGTGATATTCCCCTTCCTGTGTCCATGTGATCTCATTGTTCAATTCCCACCTATGAGTGAGAATATGCGGTGTTTGGTTTTTTGTTCTTGAGATAGTTTACTGAGAATGATGATTTCCAATTTCATCCATGTCCCTACAAAGGACATGAACTCATCATTTTTTATGGCTGCATAGTATTCCATGGTGTATTAAAGACTTAAACGTTAGACCTAAAACCATAAAAACCCTAGAAGAAAACCTAGGCATTACCATTCAGGACATAGGCATGGGCAAGGACTTCATGTCCAAAACACCAAAAGCAATGGCAACAAAAGACAAAATTGACAAATGGGATCTAATTAAACTAAAGAGCTTCTGCACAGCAAAAGAAACTACCATCAGAGTGAACAGGCAGCCTACAAAATGGGAGAAAATTTTCGCAACCTACTCATCTGACAAAGGGCTAATATCCAGAATCTACAATGAACTCAAACAAATTTACAAGAAAAAAACAAACAACCCCATCAAAAAGTGGGCGAAGGACATGAACAGACACTTCTCAAAAGAAGACATTTATGCAGCCAAAAAACACATGAAAAAATGCTCATCATCACTGGCCATCAGAGAAATGCAAATCAAAACCACTATGAGATACCATCTCACACCAGTTAGAATGGCAATCATTAAAAAGTCAGGAAACAACAGGTGCTGGAGAGGATGTGGAGAAATAGGAACACTTTTACACTGTTGGTGGGACTGTAAACTAGTTCAACCATTGTGGAAGTCAGTGTGTCGATTCCTCAGGGATCTAGAACTAGAAATACCATTTGACCCAGCCATCCCATTACTGGGTATATATATACCCAAATGACTATAAATCATGCTGCTATAAAGACACATGCACATGTATGTTTATTGAGGCATTATTCACAATGGCAATAAGTTACTTTAACTCATCCCATGTTTCCTGGTCTGTATTGTAGCACATTTGTGGCCTTAGATTACCTGAACCCTTTAAGTCTTTTTTTTTTTTTTTTTTTTTTTTTTTTTTGAGATGGAGTCTCGCTCTGTCTCCTAGGCTGGAGTGCAGTGGCGCGATCTCGGCTCACTGCAAGCTCTGCCTCCCAGGTTCACGCCATTCTCCTGACTCAGCCTCCGGAGCAGCTGGGACTACAGGCGCCCGCCACTATGCCCAGCTAATTTTTTTTGTATTTTTTGTAGAGACGGCGTTTCGCTGTGTTAGCCAGGATGGTCTCTATCGCCTGACCTCGTGATCCGCCCGCCTGGGCCTCCCAAAGTGCTGGGATTACAGGCATGAGCCACCGCGCCTAGCCGTCATATTTATGATCTTTAAACTTTAGGGAAGCTGAGGGCAAAGGAAAATTTTCACCCTCAGAGGAACAGACTTCCTTTTTCTAATGTTGTAAATTACTAGGTCCAATGCTTCGTTTCCTGAGTAAGGGATGGTTGCAAGTTAAGGAACTTATAAAAGCTCTGGCCTTCCGGGGCATCTCTCATCCTTTGACACTTTTTAAATCTTAATTTTCGAAATCCTTAGTCCAAGTAGTCACCGCCAAGCCTGGCCTCCCCTCTTCCGCTTGCAGAGGGGGCCGCATGAATTCTTTGGAAAACTGTTTCTCTGGGGTCCATCTAGACCTTTACAGACTGAATGCAGAAAAGAAGAATTTACTATAAGAATGTGTCCTTCTGAGTTGGACTAGAGTACAAAATATTACCACGAAACTCAGCTGAACCATTTGATTCACTGGCAAATATTTAGGTAAGTTGCTCTGTGCCTCAGCTTCCCCATTTGAAAATGTGACAAGCAGCATCTTCTATGCAAAATGATTGTCAGGATTAAAATTAACTTATGTGTATGAAGCATTTAGCACATGCTTGACAAGTTTTGGATGCCAATTAAATGATGGCTATTATCTTTACTATTGTTATTTAATTTTCATTTTTTCTCAATTATTAAAGAGATGATACCTATTGTACAAAAATTAAAAGTATTGAAAAGTGCAAAGAGTCAAATCAAATAGAAAATCACCCATAATCACTTCACCTAGAAGCAACTAATTCAACATTTTGGCATATCCCTATTCCACTCATATGTTTGACAGCATTTTAGATACAAACTATTGAAACTAATAGGAGGGTGCCATACAAAAATCAATTGTGTTCTTATTTATCTGACATCACATAATTACAAAATGTATTTATTAAATCGGGTGTGATTTATAATGGCAACCCAAATGTGTAGAGAAAAAAACTAACGAAAATGTACACTTTCTGTGGAAAAAAATAGAATATGTTACCTTACGTCATAAAAAAAATCAGTATCTGAAGATGTAGATCATAGTTATGGGTGATCAGATTATAAACTGACAGTTCTTCCCAAATGAATCAATATTTAAATTCAAAGTAATTCCTATAAAATCCCAACAAGGAACTTGAGAAGATAATACTAAAATTTCACATGAGAGATAAAAGAGGCTGTAATAAAGAAAATTTTGAATAAGTAGAAAAAACCAAGGGACTTACCAGGTATCAAGGTAAGTCATCATTATAAGGTGAAAATACAGACCAATGAGATTGAATAGGAAACTCCAAAACAGATCCAAGCATTTATGGAAATGTAACATAGAATATAATGGCCATAGAAATCAGCAAAGGGAAAGTGAACTACATAATCAATAGTCCTGGTGCAGCTGGTTTTCCAAAAGAAGATAAATAGAACCAATCACTTTCTCACTCCATGCACAAAAAATTATTCCAAATGGATTAAGACCTAAATGTGAAAATCAGAACCAAAAATGTAGTGGAATATGTAGAAGAGTATTATCTTTATGCCTCGTAATAGTAGAGTTCTCAACCATTGCTCAAGTGCATTATTATTTCTTTAAAGAAAATTAATGATAACTTTGCCTTTATTAAAATTTGAAAATTCCATACAACAAGATAAAACAAAGCCAAAAGGCCTCAGAGAAGATATCAGCAATCCACTATCTAAGGGCTGATATACGGAATATCTTACAACTAATAAAGAAATGCAAAGAAGGCAATAATAAAATGAGCAAAATTTATGAATGGACAAGTGTTAGAACAGAAAACCCAAAAGACTAATGCGTGAGTGAAAAGATGACCAGTCTCACTAATAACAAAGAAAATCAACACTAAGATACCATTCCACACACATAAGATAGTTTAGAATTGAAAAGTCTAACAATACCAAGTGTTGGCAAGAATGCAGAACAAAGAAAATTCTCATACTTTCTTGTTCAGTGTGTAAATTTTTAAAATCATTTGGGAGAGTAGTTTTGCAAAATCTAGCAAAATTAAAGATAGGCATAACTGAGACCCAGCAACTCCCAGGAATATGCCCTGGAGAAAGCTTTGTACATATGTATGATGTGCAGGTACTGGAATGTGTAGTGCTATAACCTAAGATGTTCATAATAGCCAAAAATGGAAAGCCCTGTAGACGTGCATCAATAGGAGAATAGATACATTAATTGCATATTTATGCAGTGAAATACTCCTAAGCAGATAAATCAACTAGAAATATATACCTATCAAAATGAATTGATCTGCCAAACATAATAGTACATAGAAAAAGAAGACTATAGGAAGTTGTTGGTTATGTAAAATTTCAAATATAAAAACAACACTATTATGTTGTTTATGGGTATTTCTATATTTAGTAAAAGTATAAAATTATGAATTAGATTAATAATCAGCAAATTCAGGGTAGTTGCTTCTGAGAAGAGACTGAGAAAAACAGAATGAGAAATTCAGTGGATTTCAACTGTCTGTAATAATGAATCATTTAGGAAAAAAATGAATGTGAATATGGCAGAGAAAAACATTTTAACAAAGTTGAGTGATGAATGCACTGGCTAAGTTATATCATTGTCTGCATTTTTCTATATACTTTAAAGATTTCATAATATGACAAATATTTTTAAAGCTTATAACTAATACCTATTGCAACTGCAGTTAAAGGAATAAAACCTAACTGTTCACAAATATGCCAAATGAAAAGCACATTGGTAAAAAAAAAATAGTAATAATAAATAAAGGTCTGGAAGAGGAGTAACTTCCCAGGGAGGGAACTGCTAAATGGAAAAGTTGAGTTTTTCTTCTTGACTGGCTGATATCTTCTGGAATTTTCTTGTATTAAGTGTCAAGCCATTTGTACTCGGTACCATGATGTGGGGAAACCTGGAGCCACAGGCATCCATGCATTCTGCATTTCCCCCACCGGCACCACAACCAAACACAAAACAAAAACATTTGGACCATGACCAGCAAAGCCAGCATGCACCAGGTAAGAGGTAAAAATGCAAAATATACCATGGTGTGACCCATGTTTGCTCAGTGAGATCTGGCTCTGAACTTCCCTGAAGTCAAAACAAAGAGGAAAGCATGGCCAATCCCAAGATTTGCAGCATCCAACTGGCAAAATCAAAGGGCTTATCAGGAGAAGTACAAACATTTCAGGAGATTAGAGCCCCAAAGAAAATTCTCCCTTGTTATGATAAAGATAAATAGAAAATGAGAAACAAAGCCACCTATCCAAGAAATAGCTTAAACACTGAGCACTGAATCTGCTCCAACAATACACACAACTTACTGTCTACACTGCGTGACTTGTATGATAATGCATACATTATCATGACTTTCCTGTGCCGTTGTCTTCACTAATGACTTCACTACTCAAGAGGACTTTTGTCCAGGCATTGATTGTTCATTACAGGAACTTCCCCAAAGACCTAGCCACTCTTCCCTTGAAAGCATCAACAGACAACTGGGGCCCTAAGAGCCTTTGAATCTTTATTGTTTCCCCAATACTTTAGGTAGAAAGAGGATACAGAATGGGTGCTGGTATCTGTTACTAGGTAACAAGTGTCTTCCACAATTTTAAATTGTATTACTCATATCAACAATTGGCATTCAGTGGGTCCTAAAGATTTTGCATTTATTATCTCATTTAATCATTAAAACATCTCTAAATGCTTGGTACTGATATTTTTCCCATTTTACAGATATAGGAAAGCCAAGGCTCAGACAGATTAAGTAACTGGTCCAATGTCAGATAGGCAGTAACTATCAGAATCAGGACTTGAATTGGATCTGTGTGCCTTCAGTGTCTCAGTTCTATAACCAATATGCTTTACTGTTTCTGTTGGAAAAAATCAAGTCTATACCACCAACAACTGGTTGATTCTAGACTCCATAAAAGGAAAAGGCATGGCCCTTTCTCCATCTTGAAAACTAGTTCCATGAGATAGCTATTCTGAATCTGACCCTGTAGTTCTCTGGGCTTTGTGACTAGCCAATGCCCCTCTTTAACACAGCCCCCTCTCTCCCACTCCATCCCAAGAAGAAAGCATGGCCTTTGTGATATAAGCTCCTGGAGCCCCCTCCATGAAAGCAGTGCTGGGTCCACAGACCCAGCCCAGGGACCATTTGGCGGGCTGAGCCATGTGGTCATGGGCCAAGGTTCACACAGGAGTGCAGAGTGATTTGCAGTCAGTTGGGAGTGATTACACAGTGTTTCTCATCGATAGGCAGGAGGGAGCCTTGATGGGATAATGAGATGCAGCTGATGGAAAATCACAGCTGACTGTCGCCAGTGAGCAAGCTCGCACAGCCCTACAGTGCTGCAGTCGAGTCCTCCCCACTGCAAAGAGCAGGAGAAAAATCTGTGGAATTTTAATACTAAGCCACCCCACAGTGCCAAGGGAAATTGACTGGAGGGTCCACCAGTTGAGTAGCAGATAATTGGGTAAGAACAGGATAGAGGGGATTCCTCTGGACAAACCACAAACCCTGCCAGGATAGGGCTCCAAATAGCTTTCCTAAAAAGAGAGAGCAGCAATGCACAGGCAGCCCCTGGGAAAGGGCTAAAATGCAGGGTACTAACGCATGGGGCCCCTTTATCTTGCCTGGCCCCAGCAAAACAAAAAGAGTTTCTTTGCCTCCGTGCATTACCTGTGCAGGGTTAGAAACTGCCAAGGAGTGTTTTCCTCACTGTGCTCAATGAGAGAATCTGTTTAAGCTATGTTTCCATAGATCAGTTCACTAAGGGCCAACTTGAGCCCTGTTTACCCTCCTGTAGTCAACGAAAGACAGCTGTTTGCTTAAATTGAGGTCTCCTTCTTCCATGACAGTCATTACTGCCTCCCCAGTTAGAGATAATAAGCTTGAATTTCCCAAGCAGATGTGAGTTGCTCAAGTCTTGACTATTCTTGTAAAGGCCATCCAAAACCCAGAGTGATGTTCTCGAGGAAGGTACTATAAGACTAAATCTTCATTACCATTCCCAATGGACGTACAAAGAGGTCCCTAATAAATAAACTTGCTGAGTGGACAACTCTGGCCCAGACCTTTAACCCCATTTCCTCACATAGCATTTCTATCGCCTACATTTAGGCTGCGTTGCCCCTGAGCAACTCACTGGACTCATTCATAAGAAAGGAGGTGGAATTTGGCCAATCAGTGCTTGGCTAGTGATTGCCTAAATAAACAAATAGTGCAGTTAGTTAAAATGAGTCAAACCCTTGGTTAACCCATTCAGTTTTGTTTTGTTAAGAACTTACAATATTACTTTTTTAAATTAAAGACTTTTTTTATTGTGAGAAAACTGTACATTCAAAAGCAGTTGTAAGAAATAATGCAAAGAGATTCCATGTAGACTTTACCTCGTTTTCCCCAATGGTAACATCTTGCAAAATTATAGGGTCAAATCACAACCAGGATATCGACATTGATACAATTCATTGATTCTCAGATATGCCTTGTTTCGCTCATTTGTTTTATGCAATTTTGTCTTACAGGTAGGTTCCAGCATCCAGCACCATGGTCAAGGTAGGGAAGAGTTCCATCACCACAAGCATGCCTTGGGTGCCTTTTTTTAACCCTCCTCCCTGACCCATCCCTAACCCCTGGCAACCATTAATCTGTGTTCTGTTTCTATAATTTTCTCACTTTAAGAATTCTATATCAATGGAATTGTAGAGTATGTATTATTTCAGAATTGACTACGTTTTCACTTAGCATCATTATCTGGATTCATCCAAGTCGTTGCGTGTATCCATAGCTCATATCTTTTTATTGCTGAGTAGTACTCCATACTATGGATGTACCACAGTTTATTTAACCATTCACTTGCTGAAGAACATCTGGGTTACTTCTGGTTTGGGGCTCTTTTGAATGCAGTTGTTTTGAATATCCACGTTAGGTTTTTGTGTAAACATATATTTTCATTTTTCTGGGATAAATATCCCAGAGAATAATGGTGCGGTCATATGACAATTACATAGTTAATTGTATAAGAAATTGCCAGACTGCTTTTCAGAATGGCATGGCCGCGTTACATTCCCACCAGAAATGTGTCAGTGATCCAGTTTCTCTGCATGCTCACTACCTTTTGGTGTTGTCACTATTTTTAATCTTAGCCATTCTGATAGGTGTGTAATGATATTTCACTGTGGTTTTAATTTTTACTTACCTAAGGGCCACTGATGTTCAACATCTTTTAATGTGTTTATTTGCCATCTGTACACCCTCTTCAGTGAAATGTTTATTCATATATTTTGTGAATTTCCAAATTGGAATTGGATAGCTTGGCTTTTTTTTTTTTTTTTTTTTTACTGCTGACCCATCCCACTTTTCCATTTATTGCTAGAGACAGAAACTAAAATCCGTGGCTTCAGGCTGCTAAAAGCCGAAAACAAAACAAAACAGAACAACAACGACAACAACAACAAAATAAGGTGTGTTGGAAAAGCTTGCATGAGTTTACATATATCCTCTCACTTAATGATCACAATCCTGTGAGTTAATTTGTGTTTCCTTTCTTATGTTACTGTAAGGAAAAAAGCTTGGAGAAATTGTGTGCCCAGGGCCACAGAACAAGAAAGTTGCAGAGATGGAAACCCAGGTATCTTGACACTATAATTTGTCCTCAAATGCCTGTATTATAATGTCTACGTGTGTATTGTTTAAATTATTTGACAACATGAAGTCATGTCTTTTGTAATCACACGCAAGAAAATATTGCTGAAAATAACTTAATCTTGTAAACCTGTAAAAGAAGAGATATGTCCTCTCTTTGACTAGCTTAGCTGCAATGTCAATTTACCATCTGTGGGGGTGAGTCTGTGGTCTATGTACAGCCTATGGGAATGTTCCCTTTAGGACATTTTGCCCATAAACGAACTTCTAAAATTTCTTGAATATTCTAATGACTTACAGTCTCTAAAAAGAAATCTTTTTTTTTAAGTATATAATTTTTTTCCTTAAAATGGATTTGGCTGCTTTCTAATAGCTCCTGAGAATTAAATGGTCTCTACAATGTCTCCTCCATATTCCAAATAAACAAGTCAAAGCCCGAAAGCCCTGTGGTGGGACATGACCCAAACACACAAGTCTTTATGGCCTAAAGTCACCTTGCCAGAATGCACTGAAAGACAAACAGAGAGCATTCTTTAAATATTTCTAGTTTAAGAAAAAAAAAAAAAAACCTTATTTTTTTTAAACTAACAAGCCCCTAGAAAGAAAATAGTAAATAAATGAAAAAGTAAATCGTAAATAAAATGTACATTAATTAAAATAAGTAAGTATTCGCTTGACAAAAAACATCTCCAGTAACCCAAAATCCTGCAAATGAAAGAAGTGGGGGAGTGGGGGCTTGGCATAAATATTCCAGAGCTCTTCCTCAGTCTCTTTATTTCATACTTTTCTGATCCGCTGACACCTCCCCACATACTCAAACCTCTACAAAAAAAAAAAACACTAAAAATTAAAAAAATAAAAATAATAAAAATAAGTATGATTATTTTTCTAAGGGCTGTTCATTCTACCCTGGAAATATTTCTTCTATTACTAACATCCTTTCTGTTGTGATGACCACTAACTTAGTTGGGCTCATGTCGCTCGTTTCCTTCTGGATTCTTCTAACAATCTTCTCCTAACTCCAGTTTCTTTCTTCTTCAACCCATCTTACCCAGACTGCCATATTAACTGTCACAAAACACAGCTCAAAGACCTTCAGTGGCTCCCCACCACCTGCTGATGCAAGTATAAACTCTGCAATTTGGAATTTAAGGATATTGAAATAATTATTTCAATCTAACTTTCCCTACTTTTTCTCCCACCTTCATTCTGTCCAACCTGGGGGGAGAACCATTTCCAAGCTGACCTTGCTATCTCTGTGCCTTTCTTCTAGCTGAGCCTTTAGCCTGTGCTGTCCTCAGGGAACATGTGGCCATTCACTGCCTTCTTCAAAGCCATCAGAGCCCCTCCTCCGTAGGATTTTCCTTTTCTCCTATAAGTCAAGACCTGGAACATTAGCTAATGGTAATCCTCAGTTTAGCATAGCTGCCTGCAAAGATAAGCATTCTGAAGGCGCTCTTAGTCTAATCTTAACAATGATATGAGTTAGGCAGCGGTGTGCTGGTAAATGTTTAACAACTGGTTCTTGGGGGAAGAGAGGGAGACAGTAAATGCATATATTTGCATACATACATTTATTGTAACTGTTGTTGATATAAAGGACACAAAGCCCCCTTACAAATAATAATGAAATATTCAATACTCCTTTTTGTAAATTCCGTATAGCCCCTCGATTCTTAAGGAATATTTTGTTGTTTTTTGGTCAAATAATTATATCTATAGCCAAACTGTGGTTGCAAAGGACAAGTGAGGATAATTCCAGCATAAATATTTGTTGATAATTTTGTTTTCATTAGTGAGTAAGATGAAAGTGAAATGTGAAATGCTGGAACTTCACTTACTTATTAATGACATGAGTGAATTCTTTGCTAGCTTAGATAATAGCGATGAAATACTGAAATAATATTTGCTCAAGTTGTTATTTGAAATACTATATTCTTAAAGTAATAGTTGCAGACACTACACAATTTTATGGTTAATTTGCATCATTAACATCATTTCTAACACTTACTTAAGTCTAGAGAATCAAAATAGCAATGAAGCCCTGATTTGCCTATTTCCATGGTGTAAATATTTCCATCAGCACTGATGTCAAGCTACTAACCTGGCATTACTGAACATGGAGGCAAGAAAAGATGCACAGCAGCTCCCTATTACATAATATTTCTACTATACAGATATAATAGATGTAAATAAACCAAAGAATATAGGTACATGTAAAATAGTTAGAAAGTTTTAAGTCTTGAGGATTTATTACCTTTGTTTTAATGTGATTGATTTAATGATAAATTTGTATAATGTAATCCTTAATTATGACAGTGCTTAATAATTGGCCTGAACATTTTCTGAAAATTTTAACAATCAGCTCTCATATTCCAGCACAAGCCAGCCCCAGCATCTCACTGGAATGAGAGATTATTAATGTCCATTTTACTGATGAGGAAACGGTTCTGTAGTCCAAACACAAATGTGTCGATTGAGCAAATAAATCTATATGAATCAAAATTATTTCACCAGTGCTCCAGCAACCTGAGATCCTGCTCATATTTATCTTCTTGATCTCTGTATCAGTGGGCCCAGCACGGCAACTGGCTCAGGGGCAGAGCTCGATCGATTCTTGTCAACCTTGCCCTTCCTTCCCTATTCAGCTGTTTATAAAGAAGGCTGACCTACAAACTTATTTTGGTGAGAGCATAGGAAAGATCTATTCTTGAGCAGTGAAACACAACTAGCTTACCCCACTCCATTTTCCAGGTCTGACCTAGCTCTGTGACCTCAGCCCGCCACTGCACTCTAAAGCTCAAAATGGAAACCACGTGATACAAACAGAATAAGAGAATAATTACAAAAGGCTTTTTGTAAACTGTAGAGTACTGCATTCTAGGGATTTGTTCTTTTGAAAGAAGAGAACCCATGGTAGAGGTGGGAAGAAAGGTTTTCTCACTTCTCTATAGGTATCCATATCTCTTACTAAAAAATATATTGACTCTGGACAAGATGGGAGAAGCCCTCCCACTATAAGCAACTATAACAGTAGACAAAAAATATATGAAATAATTATCTCCAAGCACTGTTGCAAGCAGCAGTGCAGGATTCCATTGGCTTTCCACCTGGACACACTTTTTTGTAATGTAAACTAGGGAGAAGGATCTAGAGCAGTACAATCTAGCTCAGCTGGGGAGACTGAGATGAGAGTTTGGGGTCATGATGTTTTTGTAACATGACATTACAAAATTATGTATACATTAGATATTTATTCTGGATTCAAGATAGACCAATGTATTTTAACATGACATAGTATGAAAAGTTTATTGATATGGTTTCAGATTCTGCATTGCAACTAATCTCACTAATTTTTTGATGATACAGTTGCTTTTCATAAAAACATATTTTTTATGTGTAATGGGGTTTATAATTGCCATTTTAAATAACTTAATAAACATTTACAATTTTCAGTTCTAATTTATAATATTTTCAACATAGATAAATACAATGCACTTGAAGGGCCACAAGACAACAGTATTTGACAAGGGCTTCCCTAGAGTCAAGGTTATTCTAGACCTCTAATGGAGTTTAAAAGAAGGGTTGAAAGGATTGCACTGACCTGAAAGTAAGTTAACTGCCTAATAGGACAAAATTCAACACTTTATTAAGATTTTATTAGGAATGATTAGGAAATTCAGACACTCAAAATTTAGTATCCATACAATCCAATATCCAACCAAAAATTACTAGACATTTGAAGAACCAAAAATATGTGGTCCATATCTAGGAGAAAATTCAGTCCACAGAAACAGACCCCAACAAAATGACAGAGATAATAAAATTAGCAAAAGAAGAATTTAAAAGAGTCACTATAAATATGTTTGTATTTAGGATTCTCCAGAGAAACAGAACCAACAGTGTAGAGTTTTATTATGATGGATTGGCTCACGTGAGTAGGAAGGGTGAGAAGCCCCACAATCTGCCATCTGCAAGCTGGAACCCCATGAAAGCCTGATGGTCTAGTTTCAGTCCGAACTTGAAGGCCTGAGAACCAGGGGAACCAAGAGTGTGTCCCAGCCAGAGTCCAAAGGATGAAGAACCAGGAGGTCCAGTGTCCAAGGGCAGGAGAAGATGGATGTCCCAGCTCAGGAATAGAGACCAAATTCACCCTTCCTCCGACTTTCTACTCAGGCTCTCAACAGACTGAGCGATGCCCAACTGTATTATGATGTCAATCTTCTTTATTCAGTTGACTGATTCAAATGCTAATATCTTCCAGAAATACACTGAGAGACACGTAGAAAAATGTTTTACCAGCCAACTGGGCATTCTTTGGCTGAGTCAAATTGACATGGCCATGCATGGTGGCTCATGCCTGTAATCCCAGCACTTTGGGAGACCGAGGCAGGCAGATCACTTGAGGCCAGAAGTTCAAGACCAGCCTGGCCAACATGGTGAAACCCTGTCTCCAATAAAAATACAAAAAAATTAGCCAGGTGTGGTGGCATGCACCTGTCGTCCCAGCTAATCAGGAGGCTGAGGCAGGAGAATCACTTGAACCTGGGAGGAGGAGGTTGCAGTGAGCCAAGATCACACCATTGACCTCCAGCCTGTGCAACAGAGTGAGACTCCGTCTCAAAAAAATACAAACAAACAAACAACAAAAAAAATTGACACGTAAAATTAGCAATCACAATGTTCACAAGTATAAAGGAAAAGAATAATGTAGAGGAAACATAAGGAATCTCAAGAAAGAAGTAGGCCGGGCGCCATGGCTCACACCCGTAATCCTAGCACTTTGGGAGACTGAGGTGGACGAATTGCTTGAGCCCAGGAGTTCAAGACCAACCTGGACAATATGGTGAAACCTCATCTCTACAAAAAAATAAATTAGCCAGGCATAGTGGTGTGCACCTGTGACCTGTGGTCCCAGACACTTGGGAAGCTGAAGCAGGATCATATGAACCAGGAGGTTGAGTGTATTGTGAGCCAAGCTCATGACGCTGCACTCCAGCCTGGGCGATAGAGTGAGATCTTGTCAAAAATAAGAAGGAGAAGGAGAAAGAGAAGAAATAGAGGCTATAAGAAAAAAATAGAAATTCTGTAATTTGAAAATACAGTATCTAGAATTTGAAAATACAGTATCTAAAAATCTAGAATTTGAAAATACGGTATCTAAATTTCACTAGTTAAATTGCTAGATGGCTTAATAACAGACTGAACACTGCAGAAGAAATGATGAGAAACTTTAACACAGAACAATACAAACTATCCAACATAAGGACAATAGGAAACAAAGCTGGAAACAAAATGGAACAAATTTTCAGTGACTTGTGGGACTGTATCATGCAGTCTAATATACATGTGACTAAAGCAGCAGTAGGAGAGAAGAGATTGGAGCAGAAAATACATGGAAAAATAATGATGGAAGTTTTTCAAAGTTTTTAACGTTCACTAAACTTTAAGCAGGATAGCCAAAGACACACACACACATACACACACACACACACACACACACACACCCTAACCAAGACACATCATAGTCAAATTGCTAAAATCCATGATACAAAGAAAATTTTAAAAGCACCAGAAGAGGAAGAGTTAAAACAATGGGCCGGGCGCAGTGGCTCACGCCTATAATCCCAGCACTTTGGGAGGCCGAGGTGGGCGGATCACGAGGTCAGGAGATGGAGACCATCCTGGCTAACAAGATGAAACTCCGTCTCTACTAAAAAATGCAAAAATTAGCCGGGCGTGGTGGCGGGTGCCTGTAGTCCCAGCCACTAGGGAGGCCGAGGCAGGAAAATGGCGTGAACCCAGGAGGCAGAGCTTGCAGTGAGCCGAGATCGTGCCACTGTACTCCAGCCTGGGCGAAAGAGCGAGACTCCGTCTCAAAAAAAAAAAAAAAAAAAAAAAAACAAAAACAAAAAAAACCGAAAATACACACTATATAAGAAAAACAATAAGAATATCCAAAGTATTTGTAAAAAAAAAATGCAAACTAAAACATAATAAAATGATGTCATTAAAAGGCTGAAAGAAAAAAAAATTTCGACCTAGAATTCCATATTCAGTTAAAATACTCATTAACGATTAAAGAAACGACAACAACAAAAATTTCAGACAAATGCAAAGTCCGATAATTTTTCATCAGAAGGCCTGCACTCTAAGAATATTAATGAAAATGTTTCAGGCTGAAGGAAAGTGACATTAGACAGGAACTGTGTTATGAATAAAGGAATGAACAGTGTAATTCTATAGGTAGATATAAATAAAATACTTTTATTATTTTTTAATGTAATTTAAGGCTTAAAATTGACAACAATATATTTCAGTATTATCACAGATTTAGAAGTAAAACATACAACAATAATAACAAATAGTGGAAGGGGATAACAAAAATAAACTGTGCTAAAGTTCTTACATTTACATCAAGTTTTGTAATAGTATTTGAAGGTATGCAATGATAAATTATACATGTATACTGCAAATATAAGGAGAGGAACCTCAATAAATATATATATACACATATATGTATGTACATATGTCTACATACATACACATGGAAATTAATAAATAAAACACTGAGATACAGATAATAAACCAATACAGAATACAAGGTAGAATACTAAAAAAAAATCTGAAAAAAGTACTCATTTTATCCAAAGAATGACAAAAAAGAGAAGGAAAGAAACAAATAGAAACAAATATCAAGGTGGCAGGCTTAAACCCAAGCATACCAATTCTACACAGAATGTAAATGGGTTCAGCACTCCAAATGAAAAATAAAATTTAACAGACTAGATGGAAAAGAAAGACACAACTATATGTTTTTTCACTAAAGATACATTTTATATATAACGACATAAGCAAGTTAAATATAAAATAATAAAAATAATATGCCCTACAGCTAGGAATTGTAAGAAAGCTGGAGTGGCTATATTGATGTGAGACTAAGTAGATGCTAGGACAAGAAATTTTTCCAAACATGAAGAAAGGTATTTTATGTCAATCAATAGGTCAGTTTACTAAGAAGACATAACAATCCTAAATCTGTGTGCTCCTAATGACAGAGCTTCAAAATACTTGAAGCAAAAATGACAGCACTGAGTGAGAAATGAACAAATTCACGATTATAGATGAAGATTAATAAAGGCATGTAGACAGAAAAATCAGTTTAGCCTATCAGTGAAATTGACTTAGTATTTATAGAACACTGTATCCAACAACTTCAAAATATATAGTATTTTCAAGTAGGCGTGGAATAGTTCTAATACAAGGTATGTGTGTTGGGGCACGAAACAAGTCTCAATGAATTTTTCATAATTAAAATCTTACAGAGTATTTCTGTGGCCAAAGGAATTAAACTAGAAGTCAATTACCAAAAAATCTGGAAAATCCACAAATATCTTGAAATCAAACAACACTCTTGAAAATAATGCATAGGTCAAAAAAGAAACATAAGGGAAATCAGAAAATAATTAGAACTGAACAAAAAGAGATCACAACCCATCAAAATTTGTGGGATGCAACTAAAGCAGTGTTTTTTGTTTGATTGTTTGTTTGTTTTGAGATGGAGTCTCGCTCTTGTCACCCCGACTGGAGTGCAGTGGCTCCATCTTGGCTCACTCCAGCCTCCATCTCCCAGGTTCAAGTGATTCTCCTGCCTCAGCTTCCTGAGTAGGTGGGATTACAGGCACACACACCACACCTGGCTAATTTTTGTATTTTTAGTAGAGTGAGGGTTTCACCATGTTGTCCAGGTTGGTCTTGAATTCCTGACCTCATGTGATCCTCCCGCCTCGGCCTCTGAAAGTGCTGGGATTACAGGCATGAGCCACCGCACCTGGCCTAAAGCAGTGGTATAAATAAATTTTTTTAACTTTTATTTTAGTTTCACGTATACATGTGCAGGTTTGTTCTATAGATAAACTGCCTGTCACAGGGGTTTTGTGTACACGTGATTTGTCACCCAGGTAATAAGCGTAGGACCCAAACAAGCGTAGTTGTTTGATCCTCACCCACCTCCCACTGTCCAACCTCAAGTAGGGCTGGTGGCTATTATTCCCGTCTTTACGTCCATGTGTACCCAATGTTTAACTCCGGCTTATAAGTTAGAACATGCCATGTTTGGTTTCTGTTCCTGCTTTGGTTCACGTAGCAGAATGGCCTCCAGCTCTATCTATGGTGCTGCGAAAAACATTATCTCATTTGTTTTTATGGCAGCATAGTATAGGAGGAAATTTATAGCTTTAGGTATTTCTATTAACATAAAAGAAAGATTTAAAAGTGTGGACCTAAATTTCCACTATAAGAAACTAGAAAAATAATAGCAAATTATACCTAAACTATTCAGAAAAAAGGCAATAATAGAAAGAGTGGAAATAAATGAAAAAAATGGATAAACAACAGATAAAAATCAAGGAAACAAAAGATTGGTTCCTTGAAAATATTAATAAAATTCATAAACCCCTAATTCCACTAGTCAAGAAAAAAAGAGTAATCATTTACTAGCAATATAAAGAATGAAAACACTATAAACACTACCAACATTAAAAAGATAATAAAGGAATATTGAAAGAGCTTTATACCAATACCAAGACCTATTTCTTAAAATACACAAATTATTAAAACTGATAGAAGAAGAAATAGAAGTTTCAAATATTCTACATCTATTAAAGAATTTCAATTCATAAACACCTATCACAAAAAAAAATCAGGTTCAAATGGCTTCCCTGGTAAATTTTATTAGGCTTGCAAGGAAGAAATAATGCTACTCCTACATAAATTCTTTCAGAAAACAAAGGAAGAAGGAAAAATTTTTACCTCATTTTATGAAGACAACATAACCCTGATAGCAAAACCAGACAGACATTATAAGAAAAAAAAAATCTTCATTAACATAGGTTGAAAAACAAAAACCTTTAACAGAATACCAGGAAATGGAACTTGACAGTATTTTGGCAACCAAGAGGATAATATATCATGATCAAGTTCAATTTGTTTTAAGAATGTAAGGTAGGTTTAATACTTGAAAATACAATACACCACATTAACAGAATATAAGAGAAAAATTATATAATTATCACAGTGAATGCACACTTTAACAATGTGTAAAACCTGTTAGTGACAGAAATTCTTAGCATAGTAGGAGTTGAAGGAAATGTTCTCAATCTAATAAAAGGAATCTATGGAAAATACTATAGCTAACATTCTACTTAAAATAAAAGATTAAGTACTTTTTCCCTAAGGTCAGGAATAAGGTAAAGATGTCTTTCCTCATAAATTTTATTCAACGTTTTACTGGAGGTCCTAGACAGTGCCATAAGACAAGAAAAATAAAAGCCAAATATATTAGGAAGGAAGAAGTAGATCTACCTTTATTAGCTGATGACATCATCCTGTATGTAGAAAATCATAAAGAATGTAACAAAGTGCTACCAGAGTGAATAAATAAATTCATTGAGGTCACAGGATACAGTCAATATAGAAAAATAAATTATGTTTCCATATGTTCACAGAAATCAATCTTAAAATAACATTTTTAAAAATTTTTCAATAACACAAAAATATAAGTAATATCACAGAATATAAAATACTTATTGGAAAAACATATCAATATAACAGAATAGAAAATTCAGAAATAGACCCAGACTTAAATGGTTAGTAGATTTTTCAACAATGGACCAAAGCCATTTATTGGGGAAGGAATTTATCTATATATAAAATAGATGAAACTTGACTTATATCTCACACCATATTCAAAAATTAATTTCAGATGGTCCATGGGCCTCAATGTAAAAGATAAAAGTAAAAATCTTCTATATTGAATCTCAGAGAATTTTTTCACATCATTAAAGTGATCAAAAGTTTCTTAGGAGACAAAAAGTACCTACCATGAAGGAAAAATAACATGGCAAAAATGGACTTCATTAAAATTAAGCATACCTACCTTTCAACATACAACATTATAAAGTGCATATTAAGACATACACGTTGAGAAAATAGTCAAAAGACTGATACTCGGCAAGGCGTAGTGGCTCACGCCTGTAATTCCAGCACTTTGGGAGGCCTAGGCATGTGGATCACCTGAGGTCAGGAGTTTGAGGCCAGCCTGGCCAACATCATGAAACTCCATCTCTCCTAAAAATAAGAAAATTAGCTGGGCGTGATGGTGGGCACCTGTAATCTCAGCTATCGGGAGGCTGAGGCAGGAGAATCGCTTAACCCCAGGAGGCGGAGGTTGCAGTGAGCTGAGATGACGCCACTGCACTCCAGCCTGGGCAACAGAATGAGACACTGTCTCAAAAAAAAAAAAAAAAAAAAAAAAAAAAGACTGATACTCAAAATATATGAATGTATAAACAACCCTTAAACCTCAATATCTGAAAGATAAATGACTCAGCTTCTTTAATGAACAGGAAACTCAAACCAGAACTTAATTTTAAAAATACTCAAATGGTCAAAGGCACACGAAAAAGTGTTCAACATTAGTCATCAGGAAAATATAAATAAAACCATGAGATAGTGTCATGCACTGACTAGAATGGCTGAAACAAAAGAGATTGACAGCGCCAGATGTTGCTGTGGACCTGGAAGGAGTGCAAAATGGTAGGATCAGTTGGAAACCAGTCCAGCAATATCATAAAAGTAAACATACGCCTACACCAGGACCCAGCAATACCAGTTTTATTGTGCACCCAAAAGAGATGAAAGCATATGTACATAAAAAGACTCGTACAAGAATATTTACAGAAGCTTCACCAACAATAATAAATAACTATACAGAGTTCAGATGTCCATCAAAAGGAAATGAATAAACAATTAGTGACATATACATACAATGGAATACCATACAACAATAACATGTAATAAACTATGAAACATGCCACAACATGAATACACCTCAAATACTGAACAGAAGCAGCCAGATATGAAGCAGTACTCTGTATGATCCCATTCAACTGAAGTTTTGAATAGGCGAAACTAATCTCTGATGAAAAAAAATATGGCTTAAGTCATTTTTCTTCTTACCACCAAGAATGCCAATGTAAAACCCTTAAATACACACACGCACACACACACACACCCCACAACCTTCCGACAGATGATACCAAATGTGACTTAGACTTCTCCTTCACTGAGATGCAGAAATTTGATTTTTCCCCCTGCTAGTACAGAATCCTATGTACTCAAGAATGCAAACTGTAAATCAATACCTATGACTTAAAGGTGACATTTCAACAATTGTACATCCTGGAGCCTCTCAGGATCTCAGGATCATTTTGTTCCTGTCAAATATCTAACTTTTTAAATAATTTATGAGCATTTAACTCCACTTCTTACAATTCCAGGATGAACTTTCTTCATTTTAGATGTGTATGTTGTCATTCAAAGAGCCAGTTATTTATTCATTAAATATTATTGAACAAGTACTATGTGCCAGGCACTAACTATATTGTGCAGTGTGGATATAATAGTGGAAAAGGCAGTCACAACCTAGACCTGAAGCTTACATGGGGAGGAAGAGAGAATAAACATCAACTTAGGGGTTGTACCGATAGTTGTTCTTTTTTTTGTTTGTCTGAGACAGGGTTTCACTCTGTCACCCAGATTGTAGTGCAGTGGTGTGATCTCTGCTCACTGCAACCTCTGCTTCTTGGGCTCGAGTGATTCTCCAGCCTCAGCCTCCCAAGTAGCTGGGACTACAGGTGTGTGCCACCAACGCTCAGCTAATTTTTGTAGAGACAGGGTTTTACCATGTTGCCCAGGCTGGTCTCGAACTCCTGAGCTCAAAGCAATCGGTCCGCCTCAGCCTCGCAAAGTGCCGGGATTACAGGTGTGAGCCTGTGCCAGACCTAATTGTTAAATTGTAATTGTAATGATTGTTAAAAATAAAAAGAATTGGACAGCGTAGGCTTCTTATGTGAACATTTACCAAGAAGGCATGATCTTGTCTTAGATGAATGGAGTCAGAATAGAGATCAAGGAGTGCTTCCTGGAGGAAGAAGCTTTTGAGTTGGGCTTTAAGTGTGAACAAAAATGTATTTGGAGGGTGCTAATATTTAAGATGCCATGAGAAAACCCCACATTGAGGAAAGCAGAGATACAGTCTGATGAAACTAGCAAGGTCTGTAATAAGCAGGGCTGTGTTAAGAATTTTGGCTTGATCAATAAATAAAATCAGTGGGGAAGCTATTAAGGAATTTGCACTATGCAGGGATATGACCGTCTGGTTACAGTGTGTAGAATAGACAGGAAAGTATGGGTACAAGCAGTGGGGAGACCAGATTGAAGACAATAATAATAAACAAGTGTTCCTATTAATTTCCAAGGAGAGACGTGCTCTGAAGTCCATAGACTATCAAGATAGAGCTAATTTGGGACTTAGATAGTCCTACTGTGAAGAATTAGCAAATACATGGCACTGCTTTGTGGACAAAAATCAGAAATCTAACAGGTTTAGCAGAAAAAGTGAAAGAAGAGTGAGAAGAAGAGGATATAAGAATAAACAGACCCAAGAAGATGGCCTCAGAAGACAAACACCTGGGATAAGCTATGTGCCAGTTTTTCTTTTTAATTTTTATTTAGATTTAGCAATTAATAAGAGCTCATTCTGCCTCAAAAGTGCACCAAGGGCTTTATATTTATCACAGAACTGGAGGTTTAGGGAGGTAGAGTAACTTACTCAGGGTTACAAAATCTGTAGGTGGCAGAGACAAAACTTGAACCAAGGGCTTTCTAGTGTGAAATGTTGACTCCTCACACTACATGATGGTCCTCTTTAATGGTTACCTCCTGCCCTTGGAGTTCTCCATTACTCCAAGCCCATTATGTTTGGAACGATTCTGAGTTCTTCTATACTTCACCATGGATACATGAACCTTAGCCCTAATGGAGCCTTAGAAATTGGCCGGGCGCGGTGGCTCACGCCTGTAATCCCAGCACTTTGGGAGGCCGAGGCGGGCGGATCACTTGAGGTCAGGAGATCGAGATCATCCTGGCTAATGCAGTGAAACCCCTTCTCTGCTAAAAATACAAAAAATTAGCCAGGTGTGGTGGTGGGCGCCTGTAGTCCCAGCTACTCAGGAGGCTGAGGCAGGAGAATGGCATAAACCCGGAAGGCCGAGCTTGCAGTGAGCCGAGATCCAGCCAACAGTGCGAGACTCCATCTCAAAAAAAAAAAGAAAAAGAAAAAGAAAAAAAGAAAAGAAAAAAAAAGAAATTAAGTAGATCAATCCCCTAATTTTATAAAAGGATAATGTGAGATTTAGGGAGATGCTGGTTTCCGCCCAGGGCCCCTCAACAAATATTGGCAAGTGAGGTACAGAACCCGTAGTCTTCCATTAAACCATACTATTTATTCAGCTGATCCATCCTCTTTATAGATTTGGGGATTTGGCAAACCCCAAATTATACTGTTTGTAAGTCATACTGAGCCTGGGCTAGCCTGATAGAGAAGGGCACTTCTCAAGCACTGGTCTGTAAACAGAGTAAACATCAAAATGACTTGGAGAAAAGGAGGTTTAAGTCTAGACAATTATTTTGTTTAGTTCCCTTCTCCAGTGGGAGGAAGAAGTATTGCTTTATATATATAAACATATTTATATATATACATATATATAACATATAAACATATATATGTTATATAATATATATATAATGCTGAACATTTTAGAACTTGTAGCTGTACTCATTGTTTGTTCATATTCCTCAGGGAAAAATACCTTCTACTACTGCAAGAATGATTATTTGGCTACCTACAACTTCAATTTAGATAGGAAAACTTAATTTCACAAACATTAAAATAATAACCTCCATTAGGTAGAACACTGCACTAGTTAATATTTCCAAAAGGGAAATTTGCATTATTTATGCTTTAAATTATACATCGATACCCAAAAGAAAGCACAAACTACCTAGAAGATATTTGATGATCTAGCCTTGTGTAATTAAATGCAATTAATTTGCAATTATTCCACATTCTGGAACTATTCGAATCTCTTGGCAATTCTTGGCAAAGAAGCATCCACACCGATCCCAACTGGGAGAGGTCCTTTCTGGGTAGGAGGGACCCGGATTTGGCAGCAGCAAACTTGAAACTCAAGGGAGACTCTTCATGTTCCCAAAGGAAGTCCTGGGGCACCATGCCTATGGTGAACAAGGGTGCTTGTTCAAAATGCCAAAGTGTGATGATTTTAAGAGGATTCTCCTCTTTCAATAATCTCTGGGTACACTTGGAAAGAAATTTTACCTTCTGTGCTGTAATTGAATGGATTTTTTATTTTTAAGATAAAGAACATTCAATTTTACAACTCTAAAAGGAAAGTCTACAGGCTGCTTTCTCTAATTCAATCCTAAAGCTCTTCTCTTTGATGAGGAGCAGATATTGTTTAATTTCTGACCCACCAATATGTCTTCCCAGCCTATGGAGAGACGGGGGTGCTCTGTACTTCCTTCCTGTTTACCACTGTAACTTCTTCCCTGACTATATTCTCCACTGTGGAAAAACTCAGAGTTGTGACTAGGAAACAAAATTCCTGGAGGTATTTAAAAAAGAAAAAAAAAGGCAGGGTAATGCAATGTGTGGAATTTGGATTAAGCCCTGAAATGTTTTTAATTCCATCTCCACTGTTCACTATTTGTGTGATATTAATGAAGTTAAATAACTTCTCTGAACCTCAGTTTCTCCACTGAGGTAAAATTCTTTCAGCATTATCATGATGATAAAGTGAGACCCCTACAATGTAATAGGTTTCTAGCATAATCCCTGGCAATGAGTTGAATCCCACGATTATTCCTTCCATTAAGAAAAAAAAAATATTTGAACCAACCCCCATGTATTATTTCACAAACCCAGAAGAGCCCATTTTATTTTAGATAAGACACTGTGAGAACTTAAAAGGAAAGATAGGGAAGAAGTTTGAGATAGGCTTTGAGCAAAAACAAGAGACAACCAACAATAACAGGGGATTTGCTATAATCATTTCTGGAGATCTTTGCTGCATAATGCGGGTTCTTCTTGCACAACAGCCAAACATGAATTTGACAAATGAAATGACTGTTTTGGTCTGTGGTAGGTCAGAAAACAACAGTAGACCAGAAGGCCGTGAAGGGGATTTAAATTGGGTAAATCTTTCAACCTCTTCTGACAAGTTCAGTAGAGTTGGCCTTGATAGAAACTGCCAACAGTAACTTCTCAGTTTCCAATATCCCCCCACACCGGTGGACACCTGGGATGTTCATAGGCATTACTGTGTTTGTTTTGGATGTGGAAATACGTGGAAATAGAATGAGATCTTCCCGAGATTCTTACACATAATCGTTTCTTGAATTTCACTAAATTGTGGAGTAAGGTTTATTTTGGAGCCTGCAACCCCAGATAATGAGGTCATAGCCCCAATTTAAACCAGAGACCAAAGCCAGACTTTTTTAGCTTAGATGTAACACATTCAGAAAACACACAGAGAGAGAGAGCAGATAATATATATTATGTATTTATTAGAGTCAGTAGTTTGCTCTTATTTTCTTCCTTTGGTTTCCACACACACCCTCAGAATGCCTGCTATCAATCACACCCCTTAATAGTGACAGACATAGATGTGATCTCAGGGAGTAGTGCACTTCTATTGTTTGATGATGAGGAATTGGGCTGTCCCCACTCAACTCCATGATAGCAAGATGAGGAAATCAATGCCCAAAACAGGAGTGAACAGCTCCCATAATAAAACTGAAGAGGGACTACTGCTATTAATAATAGTTAATCATTAATAATAATGATAATGATCATAATAATGACAGTAGTTGGGCTGCTTACTGAGCACATTCGAAGCATCGTGGTGAGAGCTTGCAGACATTTTATTGTGTAATTCTCATAATAATCCATTTATTGTCACCATTTCACAGATGAGGATACTGAGGCTGAGAAGGTGGTCACATCACTGGAAAGTAATGGGGAGGGAGTTAGAACTCCTGTCTGTAAAGTCTTTTAACAACCACATGGGTTTAGGTTAAGGATAAACTGTGAGCTCCACACATAGTCACTCCCTCATTCCAGAGTTATTTATTGCATGTTGACCCCATCGCTGGGACTAGGATAGATGGAAAGAACACAAAGATGAATTAGACTCAGTGGTTTCTCCAGCATTGCAAATGAGGCACCTGTGAGGAACAGCTGGCAGCTGGTGTGGTGAAGAAGCTGTGAGAGGTTGGGAGCTGTGGCTGAGGTGATTGAAGCAGTGGGCCAGGCTCCATTAGGGAGGATCTTGTGACCGCAGCTGTGGAAGTTCACCTGTATCCTCTGCACATGTCAGGGGTTTAAGTCATGTTGAGGCAGAATTGGATTCAAATTCTAGAACAGTATCTGACTCTAGATCATGAATTAGTCGGGAAGGGTCCAAAATTGAGACAGGAAGTCTATTTAGAGAAGCACTGGAATGGTCCAGGCAACAGAGAATAAGGGCTTGAGTTGTGGCCACTATAACTGAGACAGTGAATTCATAAACTACTTATGAGGTTGAATCAGCAAGACTTGTGAATATTGGGGATTGGTTAGATTTGAAGAGGGAAGGAGAGAAAGGATTGCAGTAACTCTTGTAATATGGCTGTAGGGACATAAGATGGTCCTGAGACCATTCCATCAAAGGGCAGAGTTTTTGAAGGGTGGAGAAGTAGAGCCATTAAAAGGGAGTTTACTGTTCCTCTCTGCTAGCACCTTGATTTCCTGTCCACTCCTGGAGTCCCACTTCATCACTGTTCCCTCAAAAGTCCAGAACTTCATGAATTAAAACAGAGGCTTTTCTCTCAACTATTGTAGTTGGTCATAATCCAGCTCCATAACCAAACATGACCCTCATCCTCAGAGGAACCAGGGTTGTACAGCCAGACTTTGTCTCCTACAGTGCTACCTGTTTTTTTCCAGCTTCCAAGTGCTGTGGTCTCTAGATAGTTGAGTCATAATTTCCCAGGATGGGAGGTGGCACCAAACACCTCCTTTTTAATAAGCTACTTTTAACCTGCCTGTGTTGACATTCTGCCTTGTTATTCATAATAATGTATGAAAGTTTCATTTGGAGTTTGCTTTACCACTGGACTACCTATAACAGACTAGATTTTGGGCTAACTCCTGATTAGCCTGGATAGAAGCCATTTTGGCATGGTATTTTCATGGGAGTTTGGAGATTTAATAGTTCAAATACCTGCTCTCTGTAGACTCTTAAGACCCTCAACATTTCAGTCCATGGAGTCTTTTCTACTTACTCTCATGAATGAGAGCTGGCTTGGTGCACACCTCTAAAATGAAGACCAAAACTTCTAATAGAATATCTTTGCCCCCATTCCCTAACCCTGTACCAACCCAGATAATTTTGTTAGGCTTTCTACGTGACCCCTTGTCTTTTGCTTTCCTCCTCCTCCTCAGAGGTGAGTCCAAACTTTGCACAAAAGAAAAAGCTACTAGGTGATGTCCAGCAGCAGAAAATAGACCTTTAACATGAGCTGTGGGGAGCAAAACTTAATGGACTGTACTCACTCAGAACTGCTAGAGCCTGCAGCTACAGAATTTATAGAATCAACACACACACACACTGAGCTGCATTGTAACACATACAAAGCTATCCAGAAAGAAACTTAGGGAAACTGACAAGTGTAACTACCCAGCTCAGTGACTCCAAAGGATCAGGATTTACAAACTTCTGCATCCCCCTCACAGTCTATGTTCTAGCCCCAGTGAGCCACTCTAGCTCATACCCTGGGAATGCAAGGATTTCTTTTTCTTCCAAGTATAGGCATGCACTTCTCCCTTTACTAGCTAACCTTTCCCTTTTTCTCATCTAAGTTTAAGAATAATTTATTGGGAGAAATATTCCCTGATACCTACCAGTTAGATTAGGTGTCCCTGCCCAAGTTACAAGTATATGTGATATGTTCTGGCTCTGTGTTTCCACCCAAATCTCATCTTGAATTGTAATCCAAATTGTAATTCCCACATATTAGGGTAGGGACCTCATGGGAAGTGATTAGATCATGGGGGTGGTTCTCCCATGCTGTTCTCTCTCCTGCTGCCATGTGAAGAAGGATGTGTTTGCTTCCCCTTCCACCATGACAGTAAGTTTCCTGAGGCCTCCCCAGCCACACAGAACTGTGAGTCAGTTAAATCTCTTTCCTTTATAAATTGCCCAGCCTTGGGTATTTCCTCATAGCAGTGCAAAAATCAACTAATACAATGTTGTAGTGCTTTCTTTCCCTGTATTCCAATAATCATTTTACCTTTCTGTGTGACTACACTTTAAACTTAAGGGCCACAACTCTCATCTCCATATCCCCAGCAGTTTGTACATGTACTGCATACAGTACTTAATAGAGATGAAGATGGTAATGAAAGAATAGGAGGTTGCCTCTGCTCAACGTTCTCACTCAGCATGAAAACAGGAAGAGAATATAACCTTCTTTCTGACAGGCCCACTCTGTTAGGTTTTTCTACTAGGGTGACTCCAACCAGGACAGAGAAACAAGCCTTATCTAGCACTTCCGCAGCCGTGATGGGCTCTTCACTGTGCCCCCAAAAATATGACTCTTCCAGGGTCTAGGAAAACACTGACTTGACAGAGAACAGAAAGCTCAAATTGGGTATCATGAGGCACACCTCAAAGAAGACCCAGGCATTACTCCTGCAGATGCTGAATGTGCTTTTCAAGCCAACACTTTGGAGAGAAAGCCTCACCACCACCTCCTGTCTCTTCATGTTCTGCACTCAACCCCTGGGACACCATTGCCCATTTTACAAGCCAGCACCTGCATACCTCCTAGGCACCAGCCTGTTGGTGCAATCCTGAAACTCACTGGACTGGCTGCCCCAATCTCCTCTAGTGACACGAAGTGTGCCATGTCTTAAAGATGCCCACCATATGCCAAGTTGAGAAAATGGGAAGGTGCATTCAGATTTTAACTTCCCTGTTCACCCTTTTTCTGGCGCCTCTAAACCAGGGTTCACTAATACTGCTTTACGTGCAAGTTTTCAAAATCACATCTGTCTCTTTCCTTGATTGTGGTGGCGGGAATTCTTTCCCCCCTATTCAGAACTCTCCCAATACTTGCCTCTTTAATTGGAGAACACCCTTCAGGTTTCACTGTAGTCACAGTACAACATCTTTGATATTAAAGGTCAGTGCAAAAATCATTGCAGTTTTTTACCATTACTTTTAATGGCAAAAACTGCAATTACTTTTGCACCAACCTAATATTAGGGTCTGCCTCTTCTCTAAGGCTCTTGAAGGCACAAAACAAGTCTTACTTTTCCTTATCATCCTGACAGGAATCTAGTACCAGAGGCTTATACATATTTGGCAAGTAGTACATATTTATGAAAAGAAATGGAGTGAAATTATCTGGAATGAATGGATTCATTAAATGAGGCATGGTTTGGCACACCACACATCTGCAAAAGAATGCAATATTCAATAAGCATTTATAGTCTCTTTGATTCTTTTTGATGATTTTGATGCTAATGTGCTTTTGATTCAGTAGTAAATGGAAGCAGAAGAAATGCAAATGCACATAGAAATTATTGTGAACCGTGAGAAAATCACTAGAATGGCTAAAGAGAAAAATAACGACAGCATCAAATGATGGAGAAGATGTGGAGCCACTAGAACTCTCATACATTGTTGGTGAGAGTGTAAAATGGTAAAATCACCTAGGAAAATTGCTGAGTAGTTTCTCAAACAGTTAAACTTATATCCACCTAACGACCTAGCAATTCTACTCTCGGGTATTTATCCAAGAGAAATGAAAACATGTAGGTCTACAAAAAAGATCTTATGAAAGAATGTTCATAGCAGCTTCTCTCATAGCAGGGAAACACTGGAAAGAAGCCAAATGTTCATCAACAGAAAAATAGATAAACAAGCTGTGATATATTTATACAATGGAATATTACTCTGCAAAAAAGGAATAAATTATGTGCATAAAACAACATATGTGAATCTCAGAAATGATATACAGAGTGAAAGAATCAGACAACACAGAAGAACATAGTGTACAATGTCATTATATAAAATTTTAGAATTTCATAGAAGACTCGCCTACAGTGACAGAAATCAATTCAGTGGTTGCTTCTGGGGTGGAGAACTGACTGGAAATTGGCACAAGGGAACTTTTTATGGTGAGGGAAACGTTCTGTGTCCTCGCTGGTAAATGAGGTTACACAAGTATATGTGTTTGACGAAATTTGAGTCAACAGCACACTGAACAGCATGTCATTGTATGCAAATTATACCTCAAACTAAGAAAGTCATTTTGGATACTTTGTCTCTCAAGTCTCAAACAAAGAGAAGCCTAGATTTTTAGGGCAGAAAGAAGCCTGAGTAAATCCTAAGGTCCCACTCACTGTGTAGATGAAGAAACTGAGTCCCCAGATGGAGAATTGACATGTTCAATATCGCACAGAAGTAGTGGCTGAGGCAGAATGAGAACGCAAGGTCCTTAATGTGCAAGAAGGTTGGAACTTCATCGAGTGATCCCTTAGAATGGAAATGCTGGGAATTATTACAATGGCACAAAAGTAATTGCGGTTTTTGCCATTGAAGGTAATGGCCAGAACCACAACCACTATTGCAACGATCCAATACTTCACCCCTACATTCCCCTTGCTTAGATATTATCAGTTAATTGTCCTAATGTGCCCTTGTACCCACCCCCACCCTGCTCAATACCATTCTACAACTCCTTCTTATGGTATTTCACCAAGGTGGATGATTTCCTAAGCTTTAGCTTCATGAATACTAGGGCAGAGCTAAACTAACTAGAGTAAACTAGAGTTGCATTCTCTCTAGATACAGGAGCTCTAGGTTTTAGGTTTTAGGTTATCCTAGGGCCAATGCAGAGACCCAAAAAAGAAACTCAGTGACTCAGAAGAAAGGTAGAGAAAACCCTGGTTGTCAGAAACCAGGAAAAACATAATAGGATCAGACACAGAAGCCCAGGCTGCTATAGAGACTGGCCAGAGGTCACTGAGTTGGGCAGGAAATGGAGCAATGAGAGGAATCTGCCCATTCCCTCCCATCACCCATGCAAACGAGGCTGGGTTACTTGCTCTATTCTAGACAGTCTCTCTCTTACCAGACAGGCTCCTCGTGGTGACCTCCCATCCTATTGCTGGCTCTCTGCTCTTTACTGCAACCACATGTCACTTGGATACCCCGGAGAGCGGCAGGAAAGCATCAACCAGGTAAGATGTGGTCCCCAGACCCATCACCTCTCACTAAGGAGAGGGATACTGTTTAACCATGACACTACTCTGAGACAAAAACCTAAATTTTTACTCATAAAAAATCAGTTGTGAATCATCCCCCTGTGATTTCAATTCCTTGCATGTCAGCTTAGGAGGGTTGCTTCTGGGTACTGGCTGATTTTGCTCCTTGGCTACTTCTTTTCAGATAATAAAGTCCTTGGTAGGGCAACCACCCCTATCTCCTTCACTATGGACTCCTGTATGTCCACTCTTACTGAAGGGACAAATTGTGGGAAGGCAGGCCATAAGCTCCCAGTTGAAAGCTCTCTCTTGAAGAGAGGTAACCAGCCTATCAGCTGTGGAAGACATTTTGTAAGCTTCAAAGGGCCATCTCTTATACAATACCAGACACTTAGTAGATGTCTTTTAAAAACCATATTATTCCAGTAAAGAATGAGTGAACATTTGCCTTCTGGAATCTGTGGCATTGTATCTGAGTGTATTCTGGGAAAGAAAGCAATTCTGCTTTGGAGCCCGGTCAATCTGTTTCAGGGCACACATTGCCATACTGCCCATAGATATAGAATGTAACTTCTCTGAGCCTCAGTTTACTCATTCTCTATATGAAAAATAATAATACTGAACTTAAAGTAGGGGCTTGTAGCCTGGAGTCCATGGATCCTTAAGGGTACCTTAAGATGCCCTTAAAATTGAATATAATTGTCTATATATATGAATTTTTATGAGGGAAAGAATTTTAGATTTCATCAGATTCGTTAACTAGGTCAGTAACTTCTTTTAAAAAAAAAGAGAAAAAGAAATCACTGTGGCCTTAGATATTTTTGTGAAGATGGAGATAACATATGTAAAGTGCCTGAGAAAGCTAGAACGCACTGCAGCAGCTGCACAATCATCTGGCCTGTGCAGCGAGCTTTCTGAGCTTCGGAATGGGTTATTCCAACTTTTATGAGTCTGCAACCTTCAAAATACGCCCTTTGAGTGGCCATCTAGGTCATTCGGGGCAAATTCCTCATTCTCTTCTGGACCCAGTTTGTTGTCTATAACAAAAAAGTTGTACCTGGTGTTCGCCCGAACCTTGCAGATGTTAACATTCTGACTCTGTGCTCCCCACCTTCGATGATAGGAATAAAATGCAGGTGAGCATCAATGTATTTAGCTGTGTTTCATTTTCCAGAGGGGTTAAGGAGAGTGGCCTCTGCTTTTTACTTCCAAGAGAACTTAAGTTGGTTACTGGAAGTCAACTTCAGTGCAAAGAAAGGTCTGGGAACAGGGTGTGGGGAGGGCATTCTCAGGATTGTGCAAGGAGCAAAGCAGACCAGGGCCTTTGGGTTTCTCCTTTGAAAAGAGGTGATGGAGTCAAAATCCCAGGTTTTGGAGGAGCAAAGCAGTTCGAAGGGGCGGAGTGCAGGTGGGTCACCACTTCTCTGCTTCTTCCAATCTCTCAATCAGCTGAAAAGGAAACTGAGATAAACACTCATGTTTGGAGGGCAAACCACCAATTTGCATAGATTTAGGCAGGAAAGAGCCCTTTTGGCTCTCTTCCTCTTTGGCTTGCTTCCAAAGGCTCTTGAAGAGCCTCTCTCATGTAGACCCCTACGTTAGGGTAGACTTTTGAACCCACCCTCTGGTTGGCTTTGGGGGAAAGAAGACAGGAGTCTGAAACACCCATCCCATGCACTTCACAGTTATACCAAAGACCTGGTGTGAGCATTTGGAGCAAATGCACTGAAAACCCACTCATCCTTGGCTAGTTCTTAGATGAGTCCATTACCAAGCCAGGCAGAATTTCTCATGAAAGGGGGCTCTGGGTTATCCCAAGGAGTGGGTTCTCCATATGGGGGCTTTAGTTACTTATCTGGTTTACACATTAGCCCACCTCAAATTTCACAATTCCCCAAAAGGAGTTGAAACATGACCCATTGCTGTGGTGTGAATATGGTTGGTCCCCACCCCAACTCATGTTGAAATGTGATCCCCAAGGTGGCAGCGTGGTGTCCAGTAGACAAAATTCGTGGATGGCAGGAAGACTACAAGGAAATCAAAACAATGAAAGGACCAGAGTCTGATCATATTTCTCAGACAGGAATAATGGCAACATCTCATTAAAATTGATGCAAAAATAGATACAAAACACACCTACTTTGATTTAGAAGAAAAAACTAAAAACACAAAATAGGTTGGAGAAAAAAAGACCAAGCAGGAACATACATGGAAAAAAAAAAGCCAGCAGTGTCCTAGTCAACAAGAATGATCAATATAAAGCAAGGGTGATGTCTGGCTGATGAAGAAGTCAATACAGATTTGGGATATATTAACAGAAGTTGATGTTCCAGTGCAACAGAGGTGTTCATCTTGTCTTCCTCCTCCGTGGTCAGCCCAGCCCTAAAGTCGGACCTAGTATGAGAGAAACTGCCTAACTGGCTCAATAGTACATTCCATGATAGGGACAAAATCAGAATGAAATAAATAAATTTCTGAAATTTGGAACCTTTCCACCTGCAATAGGTTAACAGTCCTACCCTCAGAGGTCTCTAAGAATAAACTGAGTGACCAAGGCCAGGCCTGGTGGCTCACACCTGTAATACCAGCACTTTGGGAGGCTGAGGTAGGAGGATCACTTGAGTCCAGGAGTTCAAGACCAACCTGGGCAACATAGTGAGACCACATTTCTACAAAAAAAAAAAAAAAAAAAATTAGCCATACATGGTGGCAAGTGCCTGCAGTCCTAGCTACTTGGGAGGCTGAGGCAGGAGGATCACTGGAACCCAGAAGGTCAAGGCTGCAGTGAACGATGATCACACCATTTCACTCCAGCCTGGGCAACAGAATGAGACCTTGTCTTAAATAAATAAATAAGTGACCATTTTGAACAAAATATATTACAGGAGAAATTCCTAGAGAAGTTGGATATGAGAGATGCTGTGCACTTCCAGGGTGCTATGATTCTCCACTCTTTCTGTGAACCTTAATGCTATGGACAAGTAACAGAGTGTCCTACTAATGCCTTTCATTGTGTTAAGGCAGGTTTAATTGCTTGTCAAACCAGTTGGTTTACCGGATGTCAAGCCTCCCTGGGGAGGCAAGGGTTGTGCCAAGTTCTTTGCCATCCAGATGGTCAGGGCATGGAGTATTCCCTGGAGGGACCTATCCTACCCCACCCCAGAAAGCTGCTGGACCTTGGCATGTGAGAAAACCTGGGCCCCTCCAGATTTATATGGTGAGGGAGTGGGAGCTGCCCCACCTGCTGGTCTGGCTGCCTGAAGTCCCATCCCACACAGGTTTGATAGCTCCCTAGGAATAGACTGTGGCATGGGCCCCAAAAGTTGTCTGGTAGAGACACTCATATTGGGCACAGTCTATGCCAGCCCACCCAGGCCTCACAGCACTTCTCTGGCTCTGGTGTTTGCCGTATCCTGTCTGCTAGATTGTGAGGTTCCCTAGGATAAATATAGATGAAAAGCCGACTTCCTCTGGGAAGCTTTCCAAAATTAGGCCCTCCCCCACAACCCCAGACGTGAGCTTCTAGCTCCAAAATCCACAGTATGGGTTTTGACTTCTCTTCTAGCGGAAACCACTTTCTAAGTTGAATTATAACTGTTTACACGTGAATCTTATCTCTTGCTCTCTTACTTGTTCATTCCATTCTCATTTTAATTTTTTGTCCCCAGCACCTGTGTGTTGTCAATTTTTAAATCCATTTGTTCAATAATTTACTCATTCATTCAAAAAATATTAATTGAGCACATATTCAGTCTCTATTCTCATTGAACTGTCTCACAGTCCAATGGGTGAGGTAGATTGTAATCAAGTTGTGCTGTATAATAGGGAGGGAGGGAGATGACGTGCTGAGAGTACAGAATATTGAGATATGACCCAAGCAGGTTAGGGAAGACTCCCCTGGGCAGAGGAGAAGAGTGAGTAGGAAACAACTGGGCAAGAAGTGGGGAGGAGTGTGTTCCAGGAAAAAAGGAATAGCACGTGCAAAGATCCTGCAGTAGGAGAAGCCATGGTATCTGCTGGAACACGAAAGAGCAGTAGTGTGGCCAGGGCAGGGAGGAGCAAGGGGAAAGGTAGGGCTGGAGAGGAAGGAAAGGATGAGTGATCAATTGGATGACTAATTAAATTCATGATTCGATGAATCAATGAGTGAATGAGAATATTCCCTGCCCCTTCACTGGGAATTATGTAGGAGCGTTGGTTTGAAAGCCAAGAGAGTGGAGCTCCCGTCACCTTTCTACCACTAGCTCCTCTATGGTATGGGATTAATCGGCCCCCTTTCTGAGCCTCAGCGTGTTCATCTGTCATAATGATAGAGGAGGGTATGGTCATTGCTGTGATGTTTTCTGTTACTGTTTACTGTGGATGCTGCTTGTAAGGTTTACTACAGGAGGTGCTGATGGAAGCTCTAAGCTTCTACCAGATTTCACAAAAGCGGATGCCTCCCAAGGCTGTGCTGGTCCCATAAATGCATCTAGCCAGCTCGGTGTTAAACAGCGGGGTTGATGTGCTGCCTCATACTTGCCTTGCACAACACCCTCCCAGGTAAGGCAGCACATTCCAGATCCCATTGGTCTGCAAGCTGCCGGTCAGGGCATGGGCACTCTATGCAGTGACATGTCTACTAAAGAATCGTCTGAGAATGAACTCCTTCAGGCAAAGCAAATAAAAATTAAGGTAAATTAAATGTTAGAAGTCACAAATCATGTGAATAGGAGGCTCTGCTGCTTCTGCACCTTAGGACAGAATGACCTTGGTCCCTGCCTATGATGCAATCTTCCCAGAGGTCCTGTCCAGACACATGACTGGCCCTCAAGACAGTCATGCATTCTGCCCTTTGTCTCCAAATGCCACTTTCTGGCCCTTTCAGCCATTCACCAAACAATTAGCAGTGGTCCTGGTGTGCCACACCCTCTGCAAAGAACCCTTGGCAAAAGACTTGAACTTGGTCTTGCCCTCCAGGAGTTTCCAGTCCAGTGAGGGGGACAAACAAGTCTCCATCTACAATGGAATATAGCATGCAAATATCCTATAGAAGTTCACTCATTCATTCTCTCAGTCAGCCAACAAATAGACACCGAGAGCCTCCCTCATGCAAGACACTGTTTTTGCTCCAACAGAGCTTGTATTTCAGGTCCCATTTATATATACATGCATTATATGAAGCCTTAGATGGTAAGATGGAGAAAAATTCAGCAGAGAAGTAGCATGGGAAGAGCTGAGACAGAGGCCAGGATGTGATTTTGAATAGGACAGCCAGGGTAGGCTTTATTGATAAGGTGACGTGAGCCAGCACAGGATGCCAGGGAGCCTGTGGACAACATGTCTACATAATGGGGAGCAAAGTGCTATATGACCTTTTGTCCAAGGATCTGCAGGAGGCAGAATGTCTCTTTCCTCTGCTGGTGTAGAAGGGACCAGAATGATGAGGGCTAAAGGTCTAGGATGCCAGCCTGGCTTTCCTTGGGCCCATGACCACTTGGTGTAATTGAATTAAAGAAAAGTCTCAGAGCTCTTCAACTACTTTCTAACCCCCTACCTAATTGCATGTAGGTCTAACCGTCTGAATCATAAATTAATATATTCCTGTAGTAGACAGACTAAAGGTCCCCCAAAGATCGTCTCATCCTAAACTCCAGAACCTGTGAATATGTTATATTCCATGGTGAAAAGAACTTTGCAAGTGTAATCAAGTTAAGGGTCTTTATGGGGCAATTATCCTCAATTATCTAAGTGGGCTGGATATAATCACAGGGTCCACATAAGAGGGAGGCAGGAGGGTCAGAATCCGAGGAGGAGAGGTAATGTCTGAGGCAAAGGTCAGTGAAGTGCGGGGCAACAAGCCAAGGAACTCGGGTGGCCTCTGCAAACTGGGAAAAGAATGGAACTGATTCTCCCCTGCAGCTTCCAGAACAAACACCGTCCTGTCGACACCTTGATCTTAGCCCCAGAGACCCATTTCCAACTTCTGACTGCCAGAAAGGTAAGATAACACATTTCAGTTATTTTAAGCTGCTTAATTTGTGCTAATTTGTTACAGTAGCAAAAAGAAAATAAAATAATTACTAGATTATTTTCTTTGATAAAAATACACATAGCAGTTTACAGAACTCTGGGTCTCTTTACAGATGACAATTCATCATTGAATCCCCCAAAAGCATGCATCAAGGTAGGTACTATTAGTTTCCTCATCTTGTCGATGAGGTCATTTAAGCACAGAGAGTTTAGGCAATCTGCTTAAGGTCACACAGCTCTTAGTGGCGTGGCCAGGATGTGAACCCAGGTTGTCTGGCTCCAAGGGTAATGTGTGCCTGCTCCCATTTATTTTCTTACACTGAGCTTTGCGAGCTCTACAAGAGCCTTGCCTTTCTCAGGCCTGGACAATCACCTGTGCTGTCTCCACAGGGGGATTCCTCCCCCCATACTGCTGGGTCCGTGGACAGCCTCTCAAGCCACCTTATCACTTATCCACAGAAATTTTTTCTCCTTTAAAGAAACCAAGCATCACCAAATCAATATTGAAACATATATCTGGTTTCCATTTCTAAGGGAAAACATAGAAGTAAAGAGGTCATCGATCTTTCTTTTTTTTTCCAATTTTATAATGTAACCCAATATTTTTATAGAGATACAATTCACATAACCTTAAATTCACCCATTTAAAATGTACAATTCAATGGTTTAAGCATATTCACAAGGTTGTGCAACCATCACCATCTTCTAATTTCAGAGAATCTTCATCACACCCCAAAAGGATATCCTGTTCCCATTAAGTAGTAACTCCTCATGAACCCCTTCTCTCAGCCGCTGGAACCACGAATTTACTTTCTCCCTCTATGAATTTGCCTATTCTGGCATTCCATGTAAATGGAATCAGACAGAATGGTGTAGCCACATCAGGTTTTTCTTCTGTCCTAAGTAAACCTGCCTGGTTGATAAGTGAACGTTGCACGTTGTTGGGTTGTGCACCACAAGTCTAATATTCACCATTTCTTCCTTCACCCTCCGTTCCATTGTCAGTTTGCCATTATTTTGTGGCTCCCTTTGCGTGGGCATGTTTGTAAGCTGCTCCAAACCCTTTTTGGAATTGGGCAATGCGAGAATACATAAAAACATTGATTCTCAAATCAACCAATAATGAAATTGAATCCTACAAAATGTGGCTTTTGTGTCTGGCTTGTTTCACCTCCTAGCATGTTTTCAAGGTTATTCCATGTGGCAGCATTAATCAGGACATCATTCCTTTTTACAACTGAGTGATATTCCATCATGGGCCATAACATGAATGTGTTTATCCATTCACCATTTGGGTTGCTTCCACCTTTTGGCTATTGGGAATAATGCTGCTATGAACATGTATGCGATCCGTTTTATTGTACCTAATTAGAAGGGATTCCAGACAAGATCCAGTGGCTTCCAGAGAGCTCTGCTGGCATAGAGGCCTGTGAGCAATTTGCTCTTCTTACACTCCAAGTCTCTGCGGTGAGATGTCAACACCCCTTTGGAATGTACCCCAGGGTCCAAGAAGGAGCAGTGGGTTCATGTGCAGAGACTACATTGTCCTTTCCCGTAGGGGAAGTGGGAGAAGATTCTCCATCTAAAATACAAAGGGTTTCATGAAATGAAGAAACTTAAACTTGCAGAGGGAACCACTCCAAGGAGCCGAGTCTCATGCTAACCTCTCTTTCATGGTTATTTTTGATGCTAGATCCACTGAAATGCATTATGCTGCATTGATATATGGGATACACAGTTTATATGGACTGCACACATTAAGCAAGATACATACATATTTTAAATGTAATATGATATGTCATTATGACTTTTTTTGTTTTCAGGATTCGCTTTGAATAAAATTGTAAAATACCTCTTAGGAGGGGTTGGGGACAAGTAAAAAAAGTTATGTCCAAAAGCTCCAGTAATCAAAGGCTTTGGGTACATGCTTTTGTCAATAATTTTAAGAGCTATTAAAAGCATTAAAAATAAGAAAGGACTTCTGTTACTTGGTCACCAAGAGCTCTTCCAAGTTCCTATCTACACCAACCCTGACTTCTCGCAGCCTCTGTAGAGGCATGTACCCCATGCCTTAACGTGAAGCCACGAGTCTCAGGCTATGATCTCACCTCCTTTGTCCAAGCACATCCCAAAGAACATGTCACCCAGCAGCGTTTCCAGTGACAGCAACACAATACAGGCATTTCAGTAGCACTTGGAATAAATGTTATTTTCATTCCAAATGCAGTGGTGGGAATCAGAGAAACAATGGCCTTTTCCTGCCCGATGATACAAGTTAAAAATATTGCCTGCTTCTTTGCTAACTCCCATCTTAGCCCTGCACATTTAAAAATACACCCGTCACTGGCTCTGCATTTGAAAATGTATTTTGCATCTGATAATTATGATGCATTTAAAGGGCAAAATTAGAAAGCACAAAATTAGGCTGCCAGACTTAATTAGCCCATTCTTTTTTCTAATGGGTGGAATTCGGGCAACCGTGGGCTCTAGGGGCACAAAGACCCCTAATGGGCGTAGTGGAAATTCACCCACATCTCTATAAACTCAGTCTCTCAGCGAACCAGATCAGGGGGATTAACTGCACAATGAGAAATGTGAGACACACAAAACAAGACAATTACACCCTCTTGTCCTCAAGAAAACGATGTGAGTGCAATTACAGAGTAATCTATCAACAGATAACAGAGGACCACGCACGTGGCCTCCCAGAGGCCTGATGTAATCACAGTGGCATTATGGGCTTATAGGTAAAGAGACGAACTCCGAGCTTGACGTGACAAGTTTTCCAGGATAATTATCACCCGTACCTGCCTGCATGTGAAGACCCATTTCCCGCACCAGCTCTGACCTCGCTGAATGATTACTGAAATGCCTTCCTGTGCACACTGTAACTGGCCACTGCTCCCAAGGACCATAAGCTCTTCACAGAGGGGTGCACTGAGCTGGCCAGGATAGGACTGGAAACTTCCAAGTGCCTTCCAAGGCTGTCCACTGTATTCTCTGAAATCTGATTCCGCGTCCTTGATAAAGTTATCTTGACGGCTGGCTGCGTGGAACTCACCCTGTACCCAGCCGGGTGGATCCGTCCCCAGCATTCAAGGGGAAAGTTCTGTCTGTTCAAGTTGCCATGGTCCTTCGCAAGCCACGACAGGCCATGGGAAGCCGAGTCGAGGCGCCGTGATCCCAGGTATGAGTCACCCTGGTGAATCAGCTGTGTCCGTACTATTTTTTTCAAGCTGTGGTTTTCTTTATAACAGAGACTGTGTTGTTCATTTTGCAGCCAGATCTAGAAAGCTTCTGTATGCTGAGAAAGGAGGCCTACTGTACTATGTCCACTAGACGGAACCTAAAAGGTCCGCCCCTGCTACAGGCCGCAAGGAATGTTCTGAAACAATCCATGGCACAGCTGCAGAGCTATGGAAGGGGCCTGAACCCTAACTCTCAGTACCTGGATGGTCTCTGGCAAGACACTGCACCTCTCTGAGGTAAAACCCTCAACTTGTAGAGTTATAAAAATTCATTCATTCAAGAAAGTGGCTTTCAACTAGGGGCCATTATGCACCACCACCCACCAAGGGGACTTTTTGGCCATGTTTGGGGACATATTTGTTTGTCACAAGCACTTTCTTTACCATTCTTTTTTTTTTTTTTTTTTTGGGATGGAGTCTCACTCTGTCGCCCAGGCCAGAGTGCAGTGGCGTGATCTAGGCTGGCTGCAACCTCCACCTCCCGGGTTCAAGCAATTCTCCTGCCTCAGCCTCCTGAGTAGCTGGGACCACATGCACGCGCCGCCATGCCTGGTTAATTTTTGTATTTTTAGTAGAGACGGGGTTTCACCATGTTGGTCAGACTGGTCTCAAACTCCTGACTTCATGATCCACCCACCTTGGGCTTCCAAAGTGCTAGGATTACAGGTGTGAGCCACCATGCCCAGCCTTCTTTACCATTCTTTATGAGGCATTTGATATTATAGAAAAATCCTTTAAGTCACTAAACAGTTGGTCAAGATTCAGACCTTCATTTTTGTTTCAAGATTTTTATACAAAATGTATATGATCTCAAATTACATAGACCGGGATGTAGGGGAAAGGAGGCAAGTAAACTATGGTCCGCTAGAGTCACTATGTCAATGTTATATTTTTTAACCTGGTTAACATCTCTTCATGACAATTTTTAGCTATTTCCTTCCAAAGAGCCAAAACAGGAGAAATACGAGAATAGGTTGCTAAAAAAGGTATAATATATTTCAGTTTCTAAAACTTAGTAATTGGAATTTTCCCAGTTCTGGGCAGCATTGCTTTACCCAGAGTCCAGTCTGATGATAAAATGGTGGCCTCAACCAGGATTCCCGAGAGAGAGAGAAAGAGAGAGAGAGAGAGGGAGAGAGAGAAACATTCAGGAGCTGCACACAAACAGGCAACCTGCAGATCCTCAGAAGAATGAGAAACGTTGGAAGGTTTGGGTAGGAATCTCTGGGGGCCTCTTAACTCCTTGCAGAGGCACCTTACTTCTACAGCAAACACAGCTCTCTTACCCCTTGTATCTGTAACACCCAAATCCACAGCGGACAGAACAAAGAGCGTGGCGATTGTCAGGGAGGAAGAAAGAAGAAATTCAGCAAAACCCCAGCATGGGATAAACAGAGCCCAGGCAATGCTGAAAGTTTCCCACATGCCAGGTTCATACAGTGCTTGATTGACCATTCAAGGGAACACAGCTGTTATGGGGGAGGGGGAGGCAAGGTAGAGCCTGAAAGAGGAGGAAGAGGACTGTTTGCAGACTAGACTATTCAATTGACTTGGAAAGAATTCCCCTCATGCCTCCCTGCATAAAATAGTTGTCTATTTCAGATGGATTACTGCAAACTCCCAGATAGAGCCCTTAAGTGCTGTTTACACAGTGAGCTAATTGCGGTAATGGAACCCACCCCATCTTGTTCCTCAGCTTCAGGCCAGTTTCCCTCATGAGCTTCCATAGTAGCAGCCCTATTTGTGGATCTCTCTCTCAGCCCCATACTAGGAGCCTAAGTGGGAAATATGTAATTATTCACTTTATGGCTATTGACGCCTCCTCCAGTGCGACTGGCCATCACCACCCAGGGCTTTCAGGCAGCAGGGATAACAATCAAACAGAGGGGGTCTGTCTGGAATCAGACTGACCTTCATTCAGGACAGGGCCTGGGGCTCACCATCACCAGAGCCTTGCCTGTAGAGGTCCTGGGAGTTTGAGTCTGGGTAAAGTTCATATTGTGAGACACGTCTTTCAGTAGTGGTGACTGTTCCGTTGGTCCCTGGTGGTCTCACTTTTTTCCTAAAATTAGAAGCAGGAATAATAGCCCATAGTGTTCCTTTAAATAACTCCGTATATCTTGGTGAAATGCACCTGTCACTGCAGTTGAGGCCAACCAGAGTCCCAGTGTGCATGCACTGTGACCGTTAATCTGGGTGTATACAGCTGGAGCTTGCTCATTGATGACTCTCATTCAACAGACCTCACCTTTTATAATGCCTTTATCCCATCAAGCCCCCATCTAGATCCTATTTTAATGCAACAACCAGTTTCTCCTACCCTGAGACTTTGGCTCCTGTATTCATTCCCGATTGCTGCTATAACTATTAACCTCAAATTTAGCAGCTTGAAACAACACAAATTCATGCTCTTACAATTCTGGAGGCTAGAATATGAATGTGGGTTTTACTGAGCCGAACTCAAGATGTTGGCAGGGCTGTGTTCCTTCTGGAGGCTCTAGAAGAGAAGCCATTATCTCACCTTCTTCAGCTTCTAGAAGCTGCCTGTTAGCCCTTGGCCTCGTCCTCCATCTTCAGAGCCAGCCATAGTGGGTAAGTCCTTTTCAAATTACATCACATGACTCTTTCTTCTTGTGCCCTCCCTTATATTTTTAAGATCCCATGTGATTACATGGGGCCCACCCAGATAATCCAGGAGAACCTCTCTATTTTAAAGTTAGCTCAGCAACCTTCATTTCATCTGCAACCTTCATTCCCCTTGGCCACTTAATCTCCCAAAGGATGTGGACATCTTTGGGAACCATTATTCTGAGTGCCACAGTTTCTCTTCTGAGAACGGTTCTTATCTCATCCCCTCAATTTGGCAGTTGCACAAATGACTTCTCAGGTAACAATTTTTCTAAGATAATGTTGGATCTTGGGACTTTCCTGCTCTCTCTCTCGTGCGCGCACGCTCTCTCTCTCTCTCTCTCACACACACACACACACACACACACACATCATCATCATCATCATCATCCGTTTCAGCTTCCCATGAGTGGACCAGAACTAGCATGTAAGCTCCATGAGGACAGCTTTGAACTATATTCTGAGTGCTTAGAACAGCACCTGGTATACAGCAAGTGCTCAATAAATATTTATCAATCAATCAATTGGAAGAATACATTTCAACCTGGAAATGGTGTGACAATATCATACGTGGGCCCCAGAGTCAGAAACGGAGTTGATTTCTTGCCTAGTTACTTAGCAGTTCTGTGTCTCTAAGTGCGTCACAGTGTTCCCATCTCTCAGGTCAGGATAAAGTCACCTGTCTAATGTGGCCGCTGTGAGGTGAGAGCATGCTTAGTGGGAGCCCCGGGGTGTGATAGCATTGTCCTTGCCCTAGTGGTTACCACTGTGGATAGGAAAAGAGACATGTAGGCAAACAAGACCCTCAAATGTTAGAGGTGCTTTGAGAAAAATGTGTTGAAAGACAAAGAAGGAAATGGCGAGTTCAAGGAGACTTCACAGACATGTGGAGACTGGAGCCTAGTTCTAAACAATGAGTAGGTGTCAGAAAGCTGGGAGAAAGCAAGAGGCATTCCAGGAAAGAGAAGGGCATGAACAAAGGCTCAGAAGCATGGAGCCACCTAACCCATTCAAGGATCAGTGGGCAGTTTTATAGGATTAGAACGAAGGGGACAATAGTTTGGGGGGTGGGGGTGACGTGACAGGTGATAAGGCTGCAGTGGTGTGGCAGGAGGGCTTGTGACTGAGCAGGTCCTATGTGCCCTGCTAAGGAGCTCCAATAGCTTAAGATGGTGGTTGACAAGCTGGGTATGCCTCAAATTAGTAGCACCAACACATGCATGGTTTTTGATTCTGTGCTCTCTCTCTCATTCACACAAACTGACATGTGCATGAGACACATACAGTGGTTTTGCAATAAATCCATACACCTGGGACATGCACATCTATCGGATGCACATACAACCTGCCTACTAGGATGACAGATGCATTTGGGGTCCACATCTTGTATACATACGCATTCACGGTCTGAGCACACACAGGAGGCATCAAGAAGCACACACATATAGGACATATATCTATGTGCCCAAAACAAATACATCTCTAACCATGTGGGCAAACATGCACACACACAGAGGGCACACACTCAAGCATGCATGTTCAATGTACACACTGACCATGCACATACGGGCACACACACCATCACAAAACACACACCAAGGGCACTAAAGGCACAGGCACATGAAGAAAGGACACCATTACTCTCCATGTGTACACACAGGATACCAATCATGCACACCTTCCCACATGCTTATTAAACATACCCACACTTACACACACACACACTGAACGTACACTCACACCATTCACATGCACAAACACACACACACATGCAGAGGGCACACACAGTGGACCATACCAAAATGCACGTGCACAAGCACACACACACACATCTTGACCATGCACACACAGACTCCTCATTTCTTTCTGGAATGTGTCTGGGTTCCAGGCAGGCCCTTGTTTGGCCTGAGGGAGGCTGTGATTATTCTCCCAGCCACAGCAGGCAGGGCAGCTCAGAGACCTGTTCTGGATTACACAGTTCATATCTACGTCCCTCCCCGTGAGTAAGGGTGGTGCAGAAAAGGAGTGCCTTAGCCGCTCCTTGCACCCGGCTTCTATCTCTCCCTACAACCCAGCCCCACTGGAGTCTTTGCAGCCTGTGACAATGGGATGTTATCCAAAACCATTGCTGCGTCTTTTGCAAGAGTTCCCCATGTGAGACTCACTGCCTATCCTTATCCCTCCCTTCCAAACTCAGCTGGCGGGAGGCCAAGCCATCTCTGGGGTAGGGGGGCAGAGCTAAGCACTTGGCAGCTCCTAGCACTGTGAGGCCCTCATCAGCCACTCTCCCAGGGGCCCTGTTTGGGTGCTGAGCCCAGCCAGCTCTGCAGCTCTGCAGGAAGGAGTCCCCTGCAACATCTGCTTGGCCTATCTGGGGCTATTCAAGCACAGCTTCCTCTTCTGCCTGTGCTTATCTAGGAATTGGGTTCCAATGAGCCAGAACCTGGTGCTTTCACCTGAAGTTTTTTTTTTTTTCTTCCTTTTTTTTTTTTTATTATATCACCTGAAGTTTTGACAAGTTATTGTTTCCTGGCAGCAGCCAAGATGGAGCTGTGACCTCCATCTGGGTTAATGAGTGGAAGACTCACCATGCGCCTACCATGTTGTCCCAGTTCATTGTCCTGCTCCAAGGCGCTAATAAACAAGGTTACGCCTCATATTGGTTGCACAGTCTCCTCCTTGGAGACCATTTCATACCCTCAGTCAGAGCAAGCCTCAACAGATGCAGACCAAGCCCCTACTCCTTGCTAGAGAAGGAGAAAAATGGCAACGTCAGTGCAGCGAGCTGTCAGAGGGATGTTAATAAAGTAACTCAGATGTTCTCCATGGCCCCCACTCCTGGGAGATTTGGTTAAAATTAGTCCAAAACCTAATTCCACAGACTTGCAAGAATCCCGAGCTGTCCCCAGAATTGCTGTGAATTCCTCCATCTATTCCTCACATGTCTCTTAGCTTTGGAGCTCTGAATGCACCTGCATGTGGCTTCAAATTCCACCCCCATCAAGCTGAACAAAAACCCATTACTTAAAAGAATTTCAAAAATAAACCGACTTGTCTGAAACACTTTGAGTTCAGTGACTTTACTGAAAGGTTTGTGATCACAGGAAGGGGTACATCACAGGGGCCTGGGGCTGGTCTTCCTGTGTCCCACCAGCTTCAGTCCTGCACTCACCTCCCATCTTCTTCTTCCTTCCCTCTCTAGAGTAACTCCTAGTTCTGTCCCCCTCTCCATGGACTTTCTCACATTCAGGTCCAGGAAGATTGGCTCCCATCACCCATTCCCAAAGAGACGTTTTTAAATATTCTCCTCTCCCAAAAGTGGGTGTCTGCCCTTAAGAAATTCTCATAACAGCTGCCAAGAAAATAAAATATTCTCTAAAACATCACATTATAAAACTGCGTGTTCACCAGAGAAGTTCCTCAGACAAAGATGAATAAACATAGAAAAGGGAACTCTGGAAATGAGAGTACTTTCAATATTAAGAAGATGCCTAGCCGGGCACGGTGGCTCACATGTGTAATCCCAGCACTTTGGGAGGCTGAGGCAGGAGGATCACTTGAGGTCAGGAGTTCGAGACCAGCTTGGCCAACATGGTGAAACTCAGTCCCTACTAAAAATACAAAAATAAGCTGGACATGGTGGTTGGCGCCCGTAATTCTAGCTACTTAGGAGGCTGAGGCAGGAGAATCACTTGAACCTGGGAGGCAGAGGTTGCAGTGAGCCGAGATTGTGCCATTGCACTCCAGCCTGAGCAACAGAGTAAGACTCTATCTCAAAAAAAAAAAAAAAAAAAAAAAAAAGACCAAGATACCTGAGATAGCTGGCTGCTAAATGCAGAATTAAATGAAGAGAGAACTCAGGAATTGGGTGTCAAGACGGACTCTTTTTTGCCCAAGCATTGGTGAGACAGATGAAGCAAGAGTCAGAAGCTCACACCCCAGATGGGCCCCCAAGAAATTTCTCTCCAGCCAGGGTCTGACATCTTTGTTCCATGTTGACAACAAAGGTCTGAGCTCCAAAATCCACCCCCGCCCCCGAGTAATTGTGGTTTCTCCAGGCCAAGAGGGGTGAAGACCGGGCAGGCACAGGTTACAGGGCTCCTCTGAAGAGTTGACTAGCGGCCATTCATAGGCAGGAGAGCTCCTTCTCAACAAAGTCTGTTTGTTTCCCCCAAGAGCCTGGAGAGTCCGTGCCAAGAGAGAATGACTCATTGGCTCCCAGGCCTTGCCTCACTCTGGGAGACACTGAGCCAGGCCCTTCTCCCCAAAGAGCAGCAGGGCAGCCTCCATCTGGCTCCAGGCCGATGTGGGTGCTACACAGTGAGCTTAAAAACTCAACATGGAGAAGGGTCCAAGTGCGAGTCTTCCAGCCTCACCCCTCATGCAGGATTCCTGTGTCCATGCGTGATGACTTTCTTCAAGGGTTCAAACATGATCAGTTTAAAAGTGAATGTGATTCCCCTCCATAACCCTGCCCATCTGGAAATCTTGAGTCATGGCCAAATTAGAATGCAAAAATGTAGAAACTAATGTTGGGTGCAAAACAGCCTTTGCAATATTTTAGAAGCTTCCAGAAAAGCTTTATCCACAAGAGAAATTTTTCTTCAGAGCAGTAAAAATCAGTTATTGACACAGGTTAACGTAACTCATCAATGAAAAACTGGATACAAATCCAACTAGTTATCCTAACAGCTTCAAACTCATAGTCTATTATATTAAGATTATACTTGCTACTGACCTCACAGGATGGTTGTAAAGAGTAAATAAGAAAATGATGACTACAGAGACAGGCCGAAGCAATGCTCTCAGTAACTTACAAATATTATCTGACTCCATCCTCATCATCTCCGTCACAGGTCTCCAGAAAGTGCAGGAATCTTTAAGCCACTTTGAGGAATCTGAACCTGGAGAACTCAAGTGGTTCAAGTTCACATAACTAATAAAAATCATATTAATGACTGGCACCGTTATCACGTCTGTTATCCCAGCACTTTGGGAGCCTGAGGCAGGCGGATCACTTGAGGTCCGGAATTCAACACCAGCCTGGCTAACATGGTGAAACCCTGTCTCTGCTAAAAATACAAAAATTAACCGGGTGCAGTGGCAGGTGCTTGTAATCCTAGCTACTCGGGAGGCTGAGACAGGAGAATCGCTTGAACCTGGGAGGTGGAGGTTGCGGTGCACCAAGGTCACGCCACTGAACTCCAGCCTGGGTGACAGAACAAGACTCAGTCTCAAAAAAAGAAAAAAATTAACGCAGCAAATAAGTAGGAAGATAAGATAGCAAAAGGTGAGCCCCACTCAGCGACTTAGAGATGCAAAAATGTTTTAGTGGCCAGTGCTTTAGAAGCACATGTATTAACTGGCAATGAGTATGCTAATTATAAAGCTAGCTTATCAGTTCAGTAAAAACTGTTTCCACAGGTCCCTCGTCATATCAGCCCCCAGACAAGGTATTTCCTAAACAGAAAAGTATAAATCTGCAGGTAATCTTGATTAGTTTTTCTTATGCTTCCTCCCAGGAAGAGAGATGTCACCTAGTCATTAAAAAAATAAATTTATTCAGCGCCTCCTTTGGGCCATGCACTCTGTTGGAACTGGGAATAAAATCAGTGATGGAAAGAGACAGAACTTACAATTCAGGACAGGGTGTATCAACCTCAGCACTGGTGACATTCTAGGTTGGATCATTCTTTGTTGGAGGACCCTGTTCTGAGCATTGAAGGGGTGTTTATCAGCATCCCTGGTCTCTAGCTACTAGATGCCAGTAGTGTACCCCAAGAGGTGACAACCAAAAATGTGTCCAGAAATTTGTCAAATGCCCCTAGGGGGCAAAATCACCCCAATTGAGAACCACTGCTGGAGAGGAGGAGAGTCACTAATCAAACACGGACAGTTGTCTGCACAGGGAACTTGGAGGACCAGCCCCAAACCCAGTTTTTTTCATAGAAGTGATCTCTAAATGGAAATACCAGCCCTAGCAGAACTAGGCAGAAGAAGTAGTTTGGAAGGTGGGAGAGATGCGTCTTGGAATCATATCAGAGGCAGAGGAAACAATGAGACCCAAGGCAAGGGGGGAAGTGTGATTCTGATTTGGGGTCTGTGTTGTTTAACATATGTATCCATGCTGTAGATAAAGACCAAAGGCAGCATTATTCAATGAGCATTTGGTGCAACACAGAGAGAAATGTATTTCAGGAGGTTCATACAAGCTAGAACCATGGGCCAAAGTTATAATGCACTAACAAGATCAAATGCAAACTTCTACACTATGTGCTCCCCCAAATCCAGCCATTAAAGAAAGGAACCCTTGGCTGAAAGTCAGAGGACTTTTAAAAGGCTTTCAGTGGAAATCAGTGGATCTCATACTCATTCATGCATGAGAAACCTCTGGAGGGCTTCTTAAAGCACAGATGGCTGGATACCAACCCCAGTGTTTGTGATTCCGGAGGTCTTGGGAGGAGCCAGAGAATTTACATTTCTAACAACTTCTCAGGTGATGTTGATGCTGCTAGTTTGGGCATCAACTTTTGAAAACCACTGGTATCAGCTTTAGTTTTCAAAGATGTTAATGGCAACAAGGTCACATAAATAGAGATAGGGTGTCTAGTCCAAGAAGGTGAGAACCTCAATACCAAGAGACCACACTGGTATGCCAGGAAGAATGCTAAGCATCACGTTTTAAGGGATCTTTGGTAAACCAAAAGATGTCCAGAGAAGAGTAAGAAAATGTGGGGCATTTGGCCTAGAAAAAAAGAAGTTATGAGAAGAATGTGGGAGCTGCCTTTAAATAGCTGAGGGACTGTACCGTGAAAAATGGATTTGATTCCATTTTTATTCTCCAAGTTTGACCATAGTAACTCAAGATAGGGACAGCCAGCGAGGGTAGGAGCGACAGGAATAAAGGTTTGAGCTCAACATGCAGTGGAATCTTGTAACAATTGCAGCTTTTATGCAGCACTATTCAATAGAAAAATAACATGAGGCATACATAACAATTGTGTAGCAGCCATATTACAAAACGTAAAAAGAAACAGGTGAAATTAATTTTAATAATATCTGTTATTTAACCTAATCCTTCCAAAATGTTGTCTCTTTGACATGTGATCGGTATTAAAATTATTAATGAGAGAGTTTACATTCATTTTCTTTTTGTAGTCAGTTCTAACCTAATGTGTGCTTTACATCTTTAGCACACCTGCATCCAGACCAGCCACCACTGTTCCTGCACTCCGTGGGCAGTGGCCACAGGTGGCTTGGAGCTCCAGTATTAGACAGCGAAGCGTTAGTGAATCAGCCAGCATGAAACAAACGATTCCTCATTCTAATCAGTTGCTCTGTTCTGTTACTGACTTTGGGATTTAATGACATTGGTATTCCCTTTATATATTCCTATTTTAAAATGAATTCTCTATAGGTTTTATGTATATTTTGAGAATTTTATAACACGTTTTAAGGTATCTAGAGAAAACCTGGGACACCCTAAATAGAGATGGTATCCGAATTCTTTGCTGTAAGTGACAGGAGGCTCTATCCAACTTGGCTTAAGAACATAACAAAATAATTCATTGGTTCTCAATTTGAAAAGTCCAGCAGCAACACTGGCTTCTGTCTTGGCTTGGCTGTATCCAGACATATCAATTGAGTTACCAGGGTCTTCTATGGCTCCAAAATTCTCTTAATTCTGTGTTTGCCTTCATTCGGTGGATCCCCCTGACATAGAAGTATGGCCACTGGAAACTCCAGCCATAAATCTTATGTACAGTGAGCATTCCCTGTAGAATAAGCTTCTTTTTTCACATAGTTCCAAAGAGTCCCAGATTTGAGGCTCATTGGCTTGAATTGGCAGTGCACTGATTATCCCTGAATCCAAGCATTGTGGACTATGTACTTGGTCAGGGTTGAGTCACCTCTGGAGCCAGGATTCTAGAAGGTCAGACTCAAGCAAACCTCAAGAATGGGGTAAGAGGGATGGGTTTCCTAGAAGGAAGGGAAGGGGGAATGAATACTCATTCACTAGAGATGGGCATTAATGACAGAGGACAATGGGACATTTTGTCCTGGATTATGACAATTACCCTTTGAGGAGATCCAGTTTTATCTTTACTGCGAAGGCACTGCTTGGAATTTCGTAGATGAGGAACTCAATTTAAGGCCGCAATCTTAAGTATTAAGGTCACAATGGGAGTCTTCTTTTGCTTTGGCAAATCTACTTGAAGAAGCCTTGTCCCATGTGGCTGAATGTAGGTGACAGACTGAGATCAGAATTAGCCCCTGGAGTCTGAAAACTATGTTTAACTTTACAAAATTCTCAGAAAATATAGAAGAGTGAAACTTGGACCAACTGGGCTGCAATATATTCTTTCCCTTCCTTCCCCCAAACAGTGAGCTTTCAACCAAGATGGTGACTGATTTTGCACGAAAGATCTCTAGGATCAAAGATGTGAAAAGTCTGACAAGACTCAAAGTCTGACTTTTTCAGATCCCAGAACACCCAAAACACAAACAGGATGGTGCATTTCATCTGAATACCTGCACCCCTTGCTCACAGGCATTCTTTGTACCCATACTCATTTACCCACTAATTTCCTCCCACTGAGTTCAGGTTCCTCACAGCTATGCACTTTCTCTGCTCACAGATACCTAAGTGATTCTTTAATTCATCTAATAATCTAGACAGGGTCGTGGGCTGATGCTTGAAATCCTTATGTGTGTAACAAATTTGGAGAAAAACAGAGGATTCCAAAAATTGAAAGGATCTTTAGGGGCAAGGCATCTTTTGTTATATAAAATATGATACCTTCTCTCAAACTAAGATTGCTTTACAAATAGCAGTGACCAAGAAATATTAGTTACAATCAGGCTGGGTGCGGTGGCTCACACCTGTAATCCTAGCACTTTGGGAGGCCGAGGCAGGTGGATCACCTGAGGTCAGGAGTTCGAGACCAGCCTGGGCAACATGGCAAAACCCCACAAAAATTAGCTGGTGTGGCAGCGCATGCTTGTAATTCCAGCTACTCAGGAGGCTGAGGCAGGAGAATCGCTTGAACCTGGGAGGCGGAGGTTGCAGGGAGCCCAGATTACGCCATTGTACTCTAGCCTGGGCGACAAGAGCGAAACTCTGTCTCAAAAAAAAAAAAGAAAAAGAAATATCAGTTTTAATCTGGCAGAGTTTCTCTGCAATACTTCAGTTTACACGCTTAATTTGTGGGCTCCCATTCATCCCTCTGGAGCCTTCAAACTTTGTTGACTCTTCCCCTCAAAGATCTCCACTTACTGATTTGTTTGGCATTTCACCTCCTCTCTGCACGGACCTGAGGCTGTGGGGCAACATAGCTTAATGGAGTTAGACCATCGTGGACTAAAATCTCAGCTCTGCCCTTCTTTAACCATGTATCTAGAAAGTTCTTAAACTTGTCTGGGTCTCAGTTTCTTCACCCATAAAGAAAATAAAAATCTTGTCTTGGGTTGCTTTTTGAAAAGATATGAACTAATGTATGTAAATTACATGGGGCACAAAGTTATGTTGCTCAATAAATAGTAACATTGTAATTATTATTACATTGTACTCTGGTTACTTGTTTATAAGTCCATATTCCCCATTAGAGTCTGGGCTCCTCTAGGGGAAGGACTGTGTCTTATTAAATTTTATGTTTCAATCCGGAGTGTTAAGAAATACATGTTTACTGAAATAATAACATGAATAAATGAATGAATGCATACAGATGAAAACACAGTCCACAGCCAATCTCTAGGGAACAGTGGCCCTACAATAATAATATTATGTGAAACTCTTTCATTTTCAGTTGAATATTGAGCACCATATTAGATTGAATCACACGGAATGTTTCTAAAGAAACATTGTCCATGGTCAGTGTGGGCGACTTCACGTGATTCAACCTCATTAAGAGCTATAAGTCTTGAATTAATTTTCAGTGTATTCCAGATATCACCACATGATTAATTGTATTAAACATCTTACTGGTCCACCTCCTTCCAACCACACTGAGCAAGCAGAGACTGAAAATCAAAATAACAGTGCTTGTAAATGGAAAATGCCTGCTTGTAAATCAAGCTGTAAGTATCACAGGCCCTGAAACCTCACAGTTGGCTTTCTGAAATTCAACCCCTTCCCCATACCCTGTTTTAGAACTAGAGGACCTACCTGTGTATTTTCAACTTGAGAGCAGATGCACGCTTATCCGACACTGCAGTCTACTAAGCAGCATCATTTCAGGTATGTTTAAACCTGAAAATTTGACTCAGGCAGTGGGCATCCAAATTATTTCTCAGCCCAATTGACTCAGAGGCAGCCCGGCTGGGCCAACTCCCTTATAAAAAGTAGTCTCTTACTTGGATTCAAAAAACTCCTTCAGTGCATGATGTTAATCTCGTCCTAACCATATTTTGTAAATACAAAGGCTGGTTCAGTGGTCCCACTGAGACCTCATTTCCCAATAATGAGGAAAATGGCATTTACAGGAAGGTCTGAAACTTTCCTTTAGTAGCCTACATTTTTTCTAAGTCCCGTATGAAACCTCCATGTGGGCATGACTAATGGATCCACCTAATTAAATTTTTACAGCATTCCATGGCTGGAGTGTCAAATGTTTGCCTCCAGCTTGAATCCTCGTAACATTGTCAAATAAGTCTTCCCCCCCATCCCCCTCCCACACACACCTTTTTTAGGGGCTGTGGGCTGCATTCCAATGTCATATGAAATCAGGATTTGCTTCATGAGGATGAAGGCATGGATTGCCAAGTGGTTTTGGTAAGCCAGCCTACCTTCACCTATTTAGAGAAGTTAAAAGAAGCAAAAACAAACTAAGAAACAAAAAACACAAAGCAACAACAAAAACCCTCTCCAGCCAGGGTAAATTCTACATGAGAAGTTGAAAAGGTCATGTCTTATGGACAAGGAGATCATCATTGTTGTTTACAAACCCTTGCTGCAAAAGAGCATAGTCTGCATTTGGCAAGATGGAATTTTAACTCTGAAAGCGTTCTTGAATTCAGTGGATTCTATGGTCTTCGGAACAAAAGGGATTTGCTGAGTGTCATCTATAATACATGTTTTGTTGGTTTTTGTTATTTCATTGGTTTCACAGAAGAGACATGCAATCAAACCATTTGATCTCTCTTTACTAAAAGGTGAGGGTTTATCACAAAATGGGTTGATACTTTGAGAATGTGTCTAGAGTTGCTCAGCAAAATGAAGAAATAGAATCCAATTTTCACGCTGAATGACTCTCAGACTCAGCCAGGTCACTGCCGGTTCCGGGCCGCGTGCTTCCCCACTGACCATCGTAGAACATGTTGGAGGTGCCTTCTTGAAGATAGATGCTCAGAAAGGACATATGTCAGTCAATCCCTGCACACTCTCTAAGCCAGAGATTCTCCAAGTGCCGTTCACATCATCTACATCCAAACCACCTAGTGAGCTTGCTGAAATGCAATTCCAAATCATTTCAGTCCTATTCTCGAAGTGGAGACAGAGACTCCACATGCTTGTCAAGGTGCTCCCAGGGAAACTCCAGAGTTTGGGGGTCCAGTGCTCTGGGGTTGCTGGAAAGGTCACAGCCAAATTCCAAACCCACAAGGGGGCTGAAGTTGCAAGTGGCAATCAAGTCATGGAGTAACTGAGGCCAGATGGAGACCCTTTCCAGGGAACCAAGCCACAGGCACAAGGCAATTGTTGTTTACATCCAGTCTTAAGGTCTCTGTGGACACACAAAGGCTCACCCCACCCCCAAAAGACCCCAGAGATGATTCTTCTAATCCAAGACTGCAGGAATTAGTTGTAGTAGTGAACCTGCTTCCGATATCTATCTTTTACTCTCTCTTCCCCTAACAGTCCCACCCCCTACACACGTACTCACAAACATACTTGGGCAAACACTCAAATGAGTCCACTTGCACAAACTTGCACCTACCTGCTTGACAACATATATGTTTGCAAACATACCTGTTGCCCACATGGTGTAACAGAGAGATACTGTACGTTGGCTCTTCCTGAGACAAACTGCCATCCTATCAAAAGATTTATCTTTTTAATTCATCTTAGGAAAAATCACTAACCATAAACTATTCAGAAAATCATATCCCTCCAAGACCTCCATCCTAATGTGAGAATCTGCTAACTATACAACCAATGAGTGACTAGAGTCACAGTAAGATGAAATTGTCAGACATTTATGATACAACCAGCAGGATTCCTTGGAGGCCATTTCTCCTGGTCCTGATCCTGGGATGAGCCCAGTACCATACTGGACAAAACGATAGTGTATAATATGGTCAACTCAACAGTCGTTGAAATTGGGTGGCCCTACAATAAATGTCTTCAGCTTCATTGGCTGTGTGACCTAACTGATCCTCAAGGTCCTTTTCTATAAGCATACATTTTATAAAGAAATGAGACCACCTGGGAGACCACATAGCTTAAGGTGCTAAGACATTCAATAATAGGTAGTGATTGATAAATTATTGGCCTCACGGAATGCCTGCATTCCACAGATTTTAGATTCAGCAAATTCTCAGTTTGAGCCTAGACTCTTCCACCCATGCGCTGAAAACTTTTCTGCAAGTTTCTTGCTCTCTCTAAATGTCAGGCCCCTCATCAGAATGAAAATAACACCACTACTGAACTCACAGAGTTGCTGGGTGAATAGTCATAAGAATTTATATCAGGCATGGTGAATGCTTAGAGATGGCCGGCTTCTTCTCGTGCTCCAACTTTTTCTCTAAAATGGAGAACATCTTATGGAAAGAAAAAGTAGCTACTTTCCCCCTAGGGGAAAGCAGTAGGCCAGGAGAATGGACAGAGGCAATGAATTTGTAACTGTTAAGAGAAAGGTTCATTCCCAATAACACAGGTCACATAATGGTCTTTCAGAGAAAGCCAATCTCTGTTTCCTGTGTCTAGGCTGCAGGAAATCTCACCTTGCCTGTGGTCAATCTTGGGTCAAATAAGCTCCGCCAAAAAGAGAAGGGATTTTTCTCCTTGAGCTGGGGGCACTTCTTTTTGAAAGGTTTTGCTTTCTTAGGCAGGTAACCAACAGGCTTTTGAATTTGGTAAAATGTCTTCAATTGCACACGTTCAAAGAGGCAGATGGGTTTTTAGACCTCATAAGTTTTATTACTTCTTTCTTCTGAGCTCTGTATCCTTAGGCAAGTGGCTAACCCTCTCTGAATCCCTGTTTCTTCATTTTGAAAAAGTAGGAGCTCTATGGAGGTCTCTGAGTCCCTTCAGTTCTTACTCCTGGGCACAGAGCCAGCATTGTCTCACTCTGGTGCCCCCAGGTTTAACTCTGGCCTTGTCTTGGGTGAAGGACATGTTAGCTGATTGGACACCAATGCTAGCCAATTCCTCAAAAAGTTAAACAGAATTACCATAGGACCCAGCAATTCCTCTTCTAGGTATATATGCAAAAGAACGGAAAACTGGTCTCCAAACAAATACTCGTACACAAATATACATGATACCACTATTCGCAATAGCTAAAAAGTGGAATCAGCCCAAATGATCATCAACTATGAGCAGATAAATAAAATGTGGCCTATCCATACAGTGGAATATTATTCAAATATGAAAAGGAACAAAACACTGACGTGCTACAACGTGAAGATGAACCTCAAAAACATTAAGCTAAGTGAAGGAAGCCAGGCACGAAAGGTCCCATACGGCCGGGCACGGTGGCTCACACCTGTCATCCCAGCACTTTGGGAGGCTGAGGCAGGTGGATCACCTGAGTGCAGGAGTTTGAGAGCAGCCTGGCCAACATGGTGAAACCTTGTCTCTACTAAAAATACAAAAATTAGCTGGGTGTGGTTGCGGGCACCTCTAATCCCAGCTACTCGGGAGGTTGAGGCAAGAGGGTTGCTTGAACCCAGGAGAAGGAAGTTGCAGTGAGCCAAGATCGTGCCATTGTACTCTAGCCTGGGCGACAAGAGCAAAACTGCACCCAAAAAAAAAAAAAAATCCTGAGTAAGATTCCATTTCTAAGAAATAGTCAGAATAGGTAAATCCACAAAGACAGAAAGCAGTTCAGTGGTTGTCAGGGACTGAGAAGGGGCAATGAGGCGTGACTGCTTAATGTCCAAAGTGTATGGAGTTTCTTATGGGATGATGAAAATATTTTGGAACTAGATAGAGGTGATGGTGGCACAACATTGTGACTGTTCAAAATTCCACTGAATTGTACACTTTAAAGGGGTCACTTTCATGTTACGTTAATTTTAGTTCAATTTAAAGAGAAATCCCAAATCAACACATAGGTGTTTTTGATGCCAGAATGAAGAAAACAGAAGTCAGTAGTTGTCAAAGCACTGATTAAAAATGTGCACCTTGAGGGCAGGGCAGTCCCCTAAATCTCTTTAATTAAGACAAAGAAGACAACAACAGCGGGGAAATAGCAGTTCAGCAGATAAATAGCAACCCAAAGACATGAGCCTATGGCTTCCCAGCAATGGTCAGCTGCGCTGATTTTTCTAGAGTGAAGTTAACATGTTAAGTGTGCAAACACGCTGTGGGTTCCTTTGTTTCCCCCTCCCCGACCCTCTCCACCAGCTATCTTGGCTTGGCACGCATCCTATTTTCCGAGCGGCAGCTGTGCACAGTTGAATAGTAAATCAAACACCCTAAAACACTGTTGTTTTAAAACAATGTCTCAGATTTCCCAGATATTTCATTTCTGTTTTTCTTCCCAACACCCCTTGCCTCAGACGGCACTGATAGTAAACTCATTCAGGTATCGAGTGTGCTGCTATCCTGTTCGGAGGGAGTTCATGGGTGAGTTAAGAAGTGGTTTCAGGGGGCAGAATTTACAGGCAGAGTAAATTTCAGGCTGATCCTGTATGTTGTTAGAAAATATGTTTTGAACAAATGCTCTAAGACAGGAAGGGTGGGGCTTTCTCAGAATACCAATCACCAACGTAAGCCCCAAGTTTCCAAGGATACTGGCCCTTCACGCCCTTGGTTCTGCAAACCACTGGGCAAAAGTCTTTGCCTGTGGCTCCCAGAAAAGGTTGTGTGGGATCCAAACTCACTGTCCAGAGGGTGCAGTTTTCCTATGGAAAGAGACAAATCATTGTGCTGAAGGTTTTTCTCGAAGGGGTAGTTCCTGGTTTCCTGGCAAATCTCATACACATGTACACATAAACACACGCTAATAAGCCCTGGGGTTACGGGTGCCCCAGCTCAGCCTCCAGTTCTTTTTTTTTTTTTTTCTTTTTCGAGATGGAGTCTCACACTGTCACCCAGGCTGGAGTGCAATGGCACGATCTCAGCTCACTGCAAGCTCTGCCTCCCGGGTTCATGCCATTTTCCTGCCTCAGCCTCCAGAGTAGCTGGGACTACAGGCGCCCGCCATCCCGCGCAGCTAATTTTTTTGTATTTTTAGTAGGGACAAGGTTTCACCATGTTAGCCAGGATGGTCTCGATCTCCTGACCTCGTGATCTCCCCGCCTCGGCCTCCTAAAGTGCTAGGATTACAGGCGTGAGCCACCGCGCCCGGCCAGCCTCCGGTTCTTAAGTCAGACTTTCTTGATCTTGGCATTATTGACATTTGGGCTTGATCATTCTTTGTTGGGGGTGAGGGGGGTTGTTGTGGGAGCTCAGAAAGGTTAGATGACTCACCAAGTCACAAGGCTATTAAGTCACAGAGCTAATCATATATTCACTCAGCAAACATGTCCTACCACTTTCTGTGTGTTCAGCATTAGCATAGGCACTGCTAGCCAGCAAATATTTATGAAACAACCACAAGGTGTCAATACTATGGATACAGGAGAGAAGAAACTGTAGCTTCTCACTGTGGAGGAAACAGAAAGTAAACATGCAAACCAGGGTTTCTCAGCCTCTACGCTATAAAGGCTTAGAATTTGCTTGTTCTTTGATAAACGGGGCTCTCATGGGCATGCTAGGATGTGCACGGACAGGAGGGAAGTTTGGCAGCATCCCTGGCCTCCGCTGATTTCTAGTAGCATCTCCCAGTCTAGATAACCAAAAGTGCCCCTGGGCATGGTGGCCTGTGCCTGTGGTGTCAGCTACTTAAGAGGCTGAGGCAGGAGAACTGGTTGAACCTGGGAAGCCAAGGCTGCAGTGAGCCATGATTATGCCGCTGAACTCCAGGCTGGGTGATAGAGCAAATTCCTGTCTCAAAAATTTAAAAACTGAAAAACTAAAGTGTCCCTGGACATTGCCCACTGTCCCCCGGAGGGGCAAAATCAGCCCTGATTAGGAACCACTGACATAAAGAGAACTTAAGAAAACAAACTTCAAATGGAATGGAGTTGTCTAACAAGAGTGGGCGTTCTGTACAGAGATTTTATTCCAGAGATGAATATTCCAGGGAAGGAATATTCAGAGATGGGAGCTGGCCCCTGGAGTATGATCAAATCGACCCAGCTGAGAAGAAAGCAGCAGTATTTTAATCCATAATTGGACTAGACAATTTACCTGAAATTTCCTTATTGAATCACTCATTTAATGATAGTGTCCTCGCAAGATGATAAAGTCCCAGGCAACCAGGGACTTTGTGGACCTGAGTCACTGCTGTATTCCCAGAGCCTACAACAGTGCCAGACAGAAAGTCCTGGACTTTGAATGGTTTACCCATTCTGAAAATACCCTTCAATGTATTTCAGATATCACCGCATGATTAATTGTATTAAATATCTAACTAGTCCACCTCCTTCCAACCACACTGAGCAGGCAGAGACTGAAAATCAAAATAACAGTGTTTGTAAATGGAAAATGCCTGCTTGTAAATCAAGCTGTAAGTGTCACAGGCCGTGAAACCTCACAGTGGGCTTTCTGAAATTCAACCCCTTCCCTACACCCTGTTTTTGAACTAGAGAACCTGCCCGTGTATTTTCAACTTGAGAGCAGACGCACGCTCATCCCACACCACAGTCTACCAAGCAGCATCATTTCAGGTATGTTTAAACCATGAACTTTACTCCTGTTTCCTTTACCTTCTCTTATTTCTCCATCTTTGTCTTTCTTGCCTTTTCTCTCTTTCCATCCACACCAAAACATATGCACAAATTCTCAAGCACAAAAACAAAACCATCACTGCTCTTACAAACAAACACACACATACCCACCAACACACTAGCAGGGAATTCAAAGTCAAGACTAAACACGTGTCCTTGACTCAACGTTCTGAGAAACAACACCCATGCAAACCCAACAAGAGGTCACCAGGACACAGATCGTACCAGAAACATCAACGGGCCTGCCAGGCTTTCAGCATTTCTTGTGATTTGTCACAACTTGAGGGCTTGGTGTCCTCACTGCAAGGTCACTAGAAATTCTGTGTCCAAACTAAGAAATCGTGTCATGCTTTGCATTCAGAGTAATGCACATTTGCAGGGAAAAATAACCTTCAAAGTTCACCCCCTCTACCTCCAAAAAGAAACAACCACTCTGGCTATGGAGCCCGTAGAAAGTGGTTCCCAGCTCTTGGCAAGATTATTAAAGGCTCGCTGAGCAGGCAGAGACGCAGTTCAGAAAACATAATAATTTATTTACCCAGATAAATTTGATACTTGCTGCATAAACTTGAGGGCTCTTTCTTCAACACTTTATATGCTGTACTATACCCAAAGGACTGTAACTGTACCTTTAGATTGAGGAAAGTGATTGGGAAATAGCAAACCAGACAAATAAATAAATTATATGTATTTGTTTTTGTAACGTGCTTTTCTAGACATGCCACAAGGCCTCTCTACAGTAACATGTGCTTGGTAGCCTGAAAGAAAAAGCAACCCCTTGATCTGAAAGAATTGAACTCTTATTCATTTTCCTCCTGGGTGGAAGTGAACACCTGTCCATCTGCCATTCTTGGTGAGCAGAGAAAGTTCAGACCCTGCAGCCGCCATGCTAAATCAAGGTGTCCATCCCTTTTCCCAAACTGCACACAGAGGAACCTTAAAATTAGGAGGCGAAGTTCTAGAAATGCATGAATTCAGACCCCAAACCATATTTGGGTTTGAGAAGGTACCAGAACTTCCATAGAAACTGCAACTATCCTATGAAGAGGACCGAGTCTGGGATGGGAGAAGAATTTAGCCTTCTCCCCAGGGCCAGCTGATCTCCTGTGATGAGAAGTATTTCAAATCAGGCTGTCTGAGTTCAGATGTGCCAGGGAAGTCAGACTCCTGTAGTCTCCGAGGAACCCTTTTAATTTTCAGTTTATTTTGCCCTTCTTATTGAGTATTTAGTATGGGTTGTGTTGTTCTAAACAGTTTACTTGACTGTAATCCTGCCCAAAATTTTAGGAGGTACTATTCTGTTATCCATGTTTTACAAACAAATAAAACCTAGGGAGTTTAGGCCCTAAGTGATGACAGTGGAATTTGAACACAGGTCATCCTTCATCATAGCCAGCACTCTTTCAACTACAGCTGTGTCTCCTAAATGCACTTTATTCACCATGTAGGGCATTCCCAGTCCCTCAATGGCTTCAGTCATTGCCTCTATAATAGCCATGAAAAAGAATTCAATGTCCATGCCAGCTCCAGTCTGTTGGTAACAGATGCCTGAATCATTGTGCATAAGCAGCCAGGCACAATGAGACAATAAAATTCCACGATTGATTAGCAATGTCTGCTATGGGTGCAGAAATAGCAATTAATGGCATGTATGCTACCTGTTTGCTGATGACTGCCCACTTTCCACTGCTAGCCAGAACTTTATCTTCTGTTCTCCAGAGGCAGATTTTCAACTACCTACTAGATGTCACCACCAGAATGTCCCTTGGGCATCTCAGACTCCTCAAAGCTGGCCTCTTCTCTCATGATTCCTAACCAGGTTTGACAAATATAACTATCCACACAGGTTTCTTTTCTTTTCTTTTCTTTTTTTTTTTTTTTTTTGAGATGAAGTTTCGCTCTTGTCCCCCAGGCTGGAGTGCAATGGCACGATCTTGGCTCACTGCAACCTCCACCTCCCAAGTTCAAGTGATTCTCCTGCCTCAGCCTCCTGAGTAGCTGGGATCACAGGCGCCTGCCACCATGCCTGGCTAATTTTTGTATTTCTAGTGGAGACGGGGTTTCACCATGTTAGCCAGGTTGGTCTCAAACTCCTGACCTCAGGTCCACATAAGTTTCTATGCTAGAAACCTGAAAGCTGAGCTTAGTTCTTCCCTCTCCTTTATCCAGTATGCCAATTGATCACACATCTTTTCCATTCTACTTTTCAAAAATGTTGAATCTGCTGTCGGCATCACATTCCTACTCCTTGGGTCTACGATAGAACCTCATCTCTACTATTGCAGCAACCAAATAGCGAGTAGAGCTCCTGCCACCCAGTGTGCTCTTCCACTGCCAAGAAATCCTTCTGAAATGCTAATCTGGGTATATATTTCCCCTGCCCAAATACTTTTATGACTTCTTTAAATTCCAAACTCTTCAGCTGACATGTAAAACCCTTCACAAGGGAGGCCTAATTTTAACCATGTAGATATTTCCCATGCCCCTCTGTTACCCAACCCATCATATGTTACCTGTGCTTCAATAACAGAAACCAGCTTACTCTATCGTGCCATCATCACTCAACCCTGTGTGTCTTTGTAGAAACTGTTTCCTCCAGTCAGAATGCCTTCCACAATTTAGTGATGCTTTCTAGACATATCCATGCCCTTGGCAAGCATGGGCCAACAGTCGCAGATTATGTCCTCAGCTCTAAGATGTGCTGTCTGAAGAACCCAGTGTAGCTATATAATGCCCATCTACAGAGGAGCTGGGCCTTATCCAGGCCTGTCCTTTCCTGAATCCTCTTGCAAAGCAGCAGCCGTTAGGACGAGATTCACAGGCTATGCGTTAGTAAGTAGAAGGTACCCTTGGGATGGTGTTTCCATGGAAGTTGGATGGTGAGAACCATGACTCTTGGCCACCCCTGACAGTGTCAGTTCCACTCCAGGCACCTCAGCTGGTGGATTTTTGCACCAACTTACAGCTGCCACTGCATTTGGCCACACCTTTTCAGGACACGCAGTTCAGTGCCAGCCTCATAGCCAGAGTCATGATATTTGGCTCTGATTCATGACTGTGAACTCCTCAAGGGCAGGGACAAGTCTGACAAAACTTTACCCTCCCATCATAACTGATGTAAGGCAGACATTCAAGAAATGGTTGTTAATGGATTAAATGGAGTGAACCAGAGAGTAGATGAGTCAGTCTCAGCATCATCCCTTATTAGCTGGGCGGTCTTGGTCCAATATTTTAATCTCTCTATGCCTCAGCCACAAAAATGGGATCATAGTAATGCCATATACTCTTGCATTCTTCCGACATTGTTATCAGTAGGTAGAGGATAAATGGATGGATGAATGGATGGATGGATGGATTAATGTTCAAATAAGTAGATGAATATTCATGTTGATGAATGAGTGGATTAACAGATAAATAAATTATTTGAAGGGTTTATATTATCATATAATGAATTAAGAAAAATATTCTTGCATCACTGCCAAAAGCCACCATCCATTCATACACTAAATAGTGACCTAACCTCAGGAAACAACCAAATAACAGTAACATTTGAATCCCCAGGGATATCATGAAGGCTTCCTCTGAGCACCCGTTTTAACTAACACCCTTTCCCGAGAAGAAGAGGGGAAGGACGGGAGGAAAGGGAAGAGGAAGAAAGGGAAGAGGCTGGGAGGAGACAGCAGAAGAGGGGAGGAGAGGGCAGAAGAGAAGGGAAGAGGAGAGAGAAGTAAACATGCACAAACACACAGAAATGACTTAAAGCCCAGCCTTCCCATCAGGTGCTTGAAGGTGCTGTCACTTCAGTCTAACCATCTCTCACCTCCAGGCTCCCTGGGAGCAGTCTACAGGCCTGAGGTTTGGCCTTGTAGAAGGTGCTGAAGACAAGATCTGGAGCTCCCAGCTACTCTGCTTTTATTTAACCTGTCATCTCAGTAGCACTCATAGGCAAGGGCCGCCTGGTGGAGAGATGCCCAGGAAAAGGAGCCTCCCCCTGAATCCTTCTCTTTACCTGTTAGAGGTCATCCTTCACCCACCTCAGATCACTAACCCGTGGCTAAAAGGCCTGGCCCACCTGAAAACCCAGACCCTCCTGCTGGGAAGCTATGTGACCCCCAAAACTACGGCCCCTCCCCGGCTCCGCTACATCAGCTGAGTAATCTCCCCGCGCATTCTGACACACAGCTGCAAGAGATGAAGACTGTACTGTTGATAGATGAAACTTTGGATAAGATTACATGGTTTTGAATATCTTGATGACATATTTGTCTAAAAAGTCTTTTAGAGGACAGCCTAATATAAATGCACGGAAATGTTTCTAATGACTAGCATTTGTCTACAGACTTCGTTGGAGAAATTAGCATTCATGTGTCTCAGGATGTCATTTGCATTTGTATGTGGGGACCAACTTTTGAATAATCATTTCTTCCAGCCCAGAAGAGTTAACTATTTACTCTGAACACAGGCTGGTTTCCTTCCGAGGCGATCTGGTTGGATCTATGGTATCCAGAAATGAGTAATGATGCTCTGGTCATATAGCCCACTGCTCCAGGACCATTAGAACCTTCTAAGACATCCTCATATACTACTTGCCTTAGCAAATATTTACTTGGCTTTCTTCTGGCATCATCCACCTACCTGGTGTTATCACCTCCCCTGACCCAGCCAACCTAAGGTCTTGCTACAAACTCCAGACCCACTAGGTTAAAGTCTAAGGTCTATCTAGTTAAAAGTATACTTGGAATTCTCCCGATAATAACATAGATGCCATTAAAAATCCATGGAAAGCAGCTAGTTTACGGAGGTAGCATATATCCTATTTCCTGTGTGTTTTCTTAGAGGTCCATTGGCAGAGTCCAGGGCAATTTTCCTGGTCCAATTTTGCAACAGATAGGAGAAGAAAAGCTCCAAATAACACGGTGCAGAGCTGTTCTAACAGGGCTCCTGTGTGCTCTGTGATGTCTGGGAAATGAATTAACCTCTCTGGGTATCAGTTTCTCATCTATAATTTGAGGAGGTAATTTCACCTAACACCTAGAGTTTTGAAGATGAAGGGTGATCACGTATGTGAAATGCCAGGGTTTGCCAGGCAACAGACATGCTATAAATGTTATTTCCCTGCCTGACTCCTCGGCATTTCCTAGTGTTCCATCAGTAACATGCCTGAAAGCAAGTTTGCAAATAGCAAAAAAAAAAAAAAAATGATGTGCTGGTTTCAGGGTAAGATTCATTTGGGAGAGTTTGTGGAGGGCATTTTTATTGTTAGGTAGCTAGACAGCCCTGGGATTCCTTCACTGTGTGAGTTCTGGGTCTCTGGTGAAATTCTCCTGTGCATTTTCATTCTCCAAGGTCTTGCCATATGTCAGAAGAAACCCCCAGACTCTCCTGCCTAAGTGCCTTACCCTGGAGGGAGAAGGCTGAAGTTCAGGTGAGACCCACAGCATGGCTCTGCCCCAAGACCCAGCACCATGCAAGGAGTTGGCATTAGGTGAATGCTCAGCAAATGAATCTGTGTGTGAGCGTGGAATCCTGATGGCACCACGCAGCCTCTTAAAATGTGGAGCAGGAATGCCGAGGCTCTCTATTCCAAGAGATAAGTATCAATAACAAGAAGATGAATGGCAACAGCAGCAATAATCGTACATTTCCAGAGCCCTTACTCCAGGCCAGACTTTGAGCTGAGGGCTGGACAGTGCCATCTAACTGAAACACTACTGGCCCACAGCTGTCACCTCCCATTTCCTATCCCAAAGGACACTTGGATGTGAAATGGAGAGGGGGTTTGGAAACCCTAGGATTGTCAGTCAAGGATGGTAACATCCAGGCATCTCCATCGCTGTTCCTTCCCCTCAGCATACCCTGTCTCTGTCTTGTTTTGGAGCATGATACACTTCAGGTGTCACCCACTCTCTAGTATCTTCCCCAAACCCTCAGATTCGGAGGAAGAGGGGATTCTGTGCTTCCAATTGTGGGTGGATTCAGCCTTTTAGAGACTTCAAGAACTGGAAGATGAAAGATGGTCACCCTCCATGTAATTAAACATAGAAACAAAATCAGACTCAAGAGAAGTAAACAAAATCCAATGAAGTTCAGCTTTTCCCACGATAATGACTTTGATTTGTGTTTTAAGTTGCTGTCAACAGAGCTATTTGGAGTAGGGGGAGGGAGAGATGCTTTACTGATATCTGAAGCCCAGATCTTTCTGCCTGTGATGCAACCTGGCACCGGCTCTGGGGCATCCTGTGCTTCCCTCTATCACAGGCTACATGATGACTCATACTGGGATCTCTGATTTGCTGGTGTCTGTCTGTCCACTTGTTTGACACCTCTTGGAGGGCAGGAAATGGTATGCCACACGGAGTTGGACACATAGAAGGTGCCCAATGAATGCTTGTGAGATAAACGAACTTGCTCCTGTAGAACGTCGTCTCAATTCGCTGGTGTGTCCCACCCTGGAAACAGCTCCTCATAAACTGGTCTCTTTCTCTCTCTCTCCCTCTGCCACCGTGTTAATATCTCAAATGATGCTATCTGGTGCCTCGTGTCTCCTGCTAGAGACAACGCCTTCTCCCAAAAAGTCCCACCCTTTTTATGTCTGCAGAGGCAAGTTGGGAGAGGCAAAGCTGATCCTCTTTGAAGCTTGGATTTTTTTTCTATCATTATAACTTGAGAATATTTTTATGTCCCTCTTGCCAAACCTGAAACTTGGTGTCAGAATTGACAGTGATCCTCTGAAAAGTTGAGCCTGAACTGTCTCCAGGAGTACGCCTGACCACTCCTAACAACACGTTTCCCAAGCAGCAAAAACCTACACCTAGTCCTTAGGGTAGGAGCAGCTCTGGAGAATGGTACAGAAGCTTCTGACATCACTTTTTGCCGGTATTGTGAAAGAAACAAATTAACCCTGTGTATGTGGCTACTGTACCCTCTGTTTTGACTGAGTTGATTGTTCAATTAGGGCAAGTCAGTAAATGAATACACACATGTGTACCAACATACATTTTATATATATATATATATAAAATTGATATACATATATACTTTCTCCTCCCTCTTGTAGATATTTTGTTTTAAACATCTACTGACTCTCTGCAAATCATGTGGTTCCTTGCTGCACTACTATGAAAGATTGGAACTAGTTTTTTAAAAAATGTATTAAAAATGTCCCTTCATTCAACCCAAGTCCCTTAGCAAAATGTATGTTCTTACAGTTTCAATTATATCATTTATTGATGAAAAGCATACAGTTGCAAAACTGGCCCTCAGTGTCTGTCACCAAAGCATAACTATCTAAAGGATATTAGAGGAGAAATACAACATAGTGCTTTTCTTATCTTTTGTCCTTGAGTGGAGACCTTGGGCTGGATGGGGAGAAAAGTGGCAATCAGAGGCCTCATTCAAAGGCAGAGCACCCCATGGCAAAGGGGCTTTGTCCTAAGTACAAGTCCCACTCTCAAGTGCTCTATGGAAGCTTCTGGAACATTCATTGGTGGGGACATTGTAACGGCATCAAGGACTGAGGGTGTGTTAACAACCTTTTTGCTCTCACTCAAATTTGTGTTGAGTGTCTTTTCTTTGTCCCTCTCTGCAGATCTATCCTCTGCCTTTCCCCACCAGTGCTGTGCTCCGGGAGGCAGATCTTTTTGATCAGTGGGCTCCCCAGGTCCTCTGGCCAGGTTTCCATTTGAGTCAGGCCTACAAGAGACATTGGAAGGAGATGAGAAGCTAGGGTCAGGCTGCGCTGTCAACTTAGGCAGCATTCTCTTTCTCTTTCTCTCTCGCTCTCTCTCAATTCCTCTCCTCCCATTTTCTCTCTGAATTTTGGACTCCCTCCCTTTCCTTGCCTCCCCCAGCAGCAGGAGGTGGTACAGGTGCCCTGAAAATGGTAACCCCAGAAAATTGCACTTTCCCTTAGGTTTTTCTTATACTTAGGGCTACCCTTCGTCAACGTTCTCGTGATCAAAACTTTCCTCATATTACCCAGGGGGACTCCTTCCTGCCAGGACACAAATGATACAAAATGTGTCGACCAAATAGAATCACAAGGGAGTTGTTTCTCCTTGGGCGCCCTGGAGGTCCAAATGGAGTAGACGCTCTTTGTTGTTCTTCAGTTCTCTCCTTGGACCCATGTACCGAACAACGTGGATGACCTTCATACTTTTCCTGGGAGAGACAAAGCTGGGGTCATAAACACCCTATCAGGGCCTTGCTTCCCTCCCTACCCAACACACCTCCTTTGAACCCCTGCATCAGAGCTGAGCTGTGCAAAAGGGTAGAGCGCTAGACTAAGAGGAGGCCTGCAGGCAAGACCTGGTATAGCTCCTTTCCCACCCCTTGAATTTGGGTCACACACGTGCTTCCTCCTAGGGGTCATTGGTCAAGTCAAGCTGACAGCCCAAGCCTGGTTTCTCATCAGGCTGTCCAAGGACTTGAAAGATAGATGAGGACAATTTAAAACTTGCCATGCTCTAAATCAATACATGTGCTCTTGTTTGATTGGCATGCAGCCTCCTCAGCTAGACTAGGAGTTCCTTAGGTCAGAAACTATGGCTTGTGCCTAGTTCTCTATTCATCCACAGGATCTACCCCACGTCCATGCATTTGGGAGCTTATGATGTAGGCAAAGGGTTTCCACCAAAAAACAATTACTTTTCTAGATTCTACTATAGCCAGGAACAGCCATGTGACTCAGTTCTCACCAATAAGATGTAAATATTTCAATGCTACCATCGATTTCTGCTCTTTTGTTTTCTACTACTACCTGGAATGCAGACATGATGGCTGGAACTTCAACAGCCACCCTGGGAAAGTAAGGTGATAAGCAAGAAGGAAAAGATATCAGAATTGCTTAGATGCTAGCTTTGATATTATTAACCCAATGAACTAACACAAGCAGCCAACTACCTTTACCCTTGTGTGTGTGTGTGTGTGTGTGTGTGTGCAAGAGAGAGAGAGAGGACGCTAATCTTTATTTGTCTAAGCCACTATTGATTGATTGTTGCTTGTAGCCATAGGTGTTCCTATCCCACACAGTGAATAACATGTTAAAATAACTTCATCTTCCCCAACACTACATTTGCTTTGTAAGTTGAAATCTGTGTTCCATAGACTGTTCTTTTAAGTGAGAGGCCTCCATTAAGACTAATTCGAACCTAAGTTACCCCCAGTCATGCCTAAGACCCATAACCCCTTTCCATCCTTCTCAGCCACTCCTGGAGCTCCTTTAGAGCAGACGCCATGTTGTCATTTGTATCCCTACGTATCCACATCACATTTTTCATACAAGTGATATTCAATTAAAGACTGAGGCCTAAAGGAAAAAAAAAATAGGGTTCTGAAGTTCCAAAGAAAATGTTAGCAGTAACTACCATTTATTGAGAGACTAACATACGCGAAACACTTTCTAATCATTATTTCAGACACACCATATGCCTAAAGAAATTTTAAAGAAGTTTAGCTGCAGGTATTTTAAGTTTGGAGACCCCAAAAGGAAAGCCTGCTAAGCCTGGAGCTTTGCAAAGCCCTAGAGCTGAGAGAAACAGGGACGTTCCATGCTAGGAATTGTGCAATCAAAAGCAAGGCAATCGCAAGCGTGGGGTATATAAGGAGAAAATGCAAGTTGCTCAATTTTGTGAAAGAAAGCATATAAATTGGAGAGTTTGTAGAGTAATTTGGCCATGTTTGTGGCCAAATTACTCTACAAACTCATAATTTGGCAAAGATCTTGAGGCTTACGAATGACACAGGGCACATGTGCATCTGTCCCCAACTCTGCTGGGATGTCTTCCCTGCTAGACACACAATTCAGTGTAGAAGCCAGTTTGCTCTGCTTGTTTTAGCATCTGAAGGTACCAGCTGACCCAGCCAGGTGTTGACCCTGCATTTAAGCTGACTGTGTTTAAACCTTCAAAGTATCTACTGTTCAATCCATGAAGCGTTCAGAGGATGGTGGTTTGGGGCTATTGAGAAAGTGTCTCTTTCCACTCTCTAATTTGCATGCTGGATGTCTATTGAAAGTTGCTATGGTGATCCGTTTGACCAGAAGTTTCCGCTGAATCATCCCAACACATATATAAAAACATAAGTGTGGTTTGAGGACCCAGAGCCCAGCAGCCAGGGGAGATGTCTCCATTCTTCACTTGTGACTCACTTGTGGTCATGCGTAGGCCCAGCTGTGAGGAAGGTGAAACCTCCGGGTCAGGTGTAGCTCCCAGGAGAGGTTTAGCCCAGCAGGACACAGTGAAATTGCCCCTGGGGAACCTGAAGACCCCAGAAGGAAATGGAAGCCTGCACTCGGGCAGGGCCTTGCCCCACTGGGTCCTTCTGCAGCTGCAGGTATTCTAAGTAAATGTCTCAGTTTGGAGACTCCAAAAGGAAAGTGTGCAATAACCATGTATGTTCAGGTAGTTTATCTGGGGGCTGAACCAAGAAAGTAGAAGGGAAGGAGAGGCGATTCTGAGAGAGCAAGAAGGAAAAGCCACTAGAAGGATGTGCTGTCCGGGGGGCTGCTGTGGGCAGAGATCTGCTTTAGGGACAGCTTCTAGAGGAATTGGTGACAAAACACAGAGACTTGGAGCAGGCTGACCAGAGTTCAAATCTTCTGTGTGCATATTGCAGGGCCTAGAGGCCTTGCTGCTGGCCCCGGCAAATCTTAGCCTTGAGATTGACTTCTCTATGCATAGAACTGGAGGAAAGAATACCTTGTGAGGCATAAACAAAGGATGTACACAATGGAGCCCAAAGCAGAATCTAGTATATCCTCAGTCAATGTAGGTTTCTTTCTATCTTCTCTTCATGAAAGAGATTCAGCTAAACATGATCTACTATTCTTGGCTGTGGACCAGGCACCATAGCTTATGGCTGAGTCGTTAATTTATACAACTAACGATTTAAACAGGACTCCCAAAAGATGCCCTTCAACTTCTCTTTTGAAGTGAACTGGATTTGGGATTTGTTGTTCCTTATGTGACATATGTACTATGTAACTAGGTGAACACGCATATGGTTATCTTTACAGATAAACGAATGTAGATATGTATAGAGAGTTGCCTAATTAGTCCCTTGTTTGCTACTTGGGAGACTTTTGGGAGAAGCCCCTGGGTTTGAACAAGAATTCAGAGAAGTCAAGGGAAAAAATTCCAAGGCTGGCTGTTAAGATGCTATTAAGGGAGAGATACTGTTTTTCAAATTGATGTAGATTTTTAAAAAGTGTGCATCACATTACATTAGCAACAGTATAGAAAACAGATGCAACTTATCTAGAAAATAATTTTGTCATATCAAATCCCTAAAATATTTATACCTTTTTGCCTAGCAGTCCAAAGTTTTTATATTTGTCTTAGGGAAGTGATCAGATATTCAGCAATTGTGTATACGGATATGGATCAAAGCAGTTGGTGTATTACTGAAAAATTGGAAAGGATCTTAATGTCCCCAAATAAGCAAAATAATCAAATACATTAGTTTTATAATCACGTGATTAACTTTTATGTGGCCTATAAAGACATGCTTTCAAAGAGTATTTAATGACTCAGAATTAAATACTCTTGGATTGGTATATTTTGAAGTAGAAAGTAGGATATAAAACACCTTATAGATGTAGGATATAAATGGTACACTCAATTTGATCCCAGTTGTCTTAAAAATATTTTTAATTATACATTTGCATACTTGTGTAAATGTGTTTGTATATGCATTCCAATAAATAACTTGAAGGAAAATACTATGGGCAACCACTGTATCTAAGTTATCATCACTCATATCTTTATTGTCCTTTTTTGTACTTTCTAAGTTTTCTGTAATAAACAAAAAGTACTGTCATAATCAGAAAAATAAGTAAAAAATTTGATGTATAAAAATGCCAAAGAAGGCAAATTTTAGAATCCTGGTCATCTTTCATTAGCAAAATACTTCTTCAAAATGCAGTTGGATCTGCCCCAAAAAGGTGAGGGGAGCTGCACTGTGGTTACAGGAAAACCCGCTTTGATGCATGGCCTCTGACCCCAAGGAAGGCACAGTGAGGAAGACAGCCGGGTGGATGTGGCAGGAAGGGATTTGTAATCACCTTGAATGACAGCTGTCAGAAGACCGCGTGAAGGGTTGGTTAGTCTCCTGAAAACTCAGAGTGTCTGGTCCATTACAGTGCCTGCTGTCACTTCCGACCTTTGAGGATGCGTCTTTGACTGTGCAGAGAGGTTGAAAACTAGAATCTCCTAACCTCCTGACCTTAATATCTTCTCTGAATTCTCTCCTTTGATGGCACCTCCATTCCCACACTCCCTCCCTCTTCTCTTGTGGCCCCAAGTCTATGTTCTCCAGCTGGGACCTTTCTCAGGAACTCTAGTCCTGCATTCCCAACAGATCATAGAACTTAGCTGACCAGGTGCCTTGTGAGTTAAGGAGGTGACAGCAGGCACTGTCACCTTAACAGAACTCTCCTGTATGGCCCAGACGCATTTCTTCTCCTGCCTTCTTTTTACATCAGTGAGAAAATTTTTCTTGAGTCATGGATGACTTTGAGAGTTTGAGGGAGTTCATGAGACCCTTGCAGTAGGAGTGTGTGCATGATATCAGTTCATTTGGGGGCCCTTGAAGACCCTAACAGTCCTGACACTTCAGGTTAATGATCCTGCTTCAGACCAGCCTGCTTTCCACAGTAGCTGATAGAAACTGAGCACTTATTACTTGCCAGGCACTGTGCGGGGCATATTGCATGTATTATCTCATTAAACATTTGCAACAACTGAGTTGTCAACAAAGAAGCTGAGGTCTAGGGAGAGCATATTCATTTGCCCAAAATAACACAGTTGGTTTCTAGCAGGCTGAATTTGAACCCTCATCTAACTCAGACCACTGAAACTCTCAACCACTCTACTTGTAGCATCTGTTTGATGCACACTACCCCCACAATCAGAGGTGTTCATTGAGTGTTTACCAGTATCTCCAGCTTCTCAGAAACTGGCCTGAAAAATATTCTTTCTCACACAACTGATTTCCAACCTAGGCATCCAAGCAGAGATGCCTCTGACTGCTAAATATTGATTTTATTTCTGGGCCAAATAATATCATTATAATAGTTCCAGAAATTAAAACAGAAAAACGAATGAATAAGAAGCTCACAATGCTTGCACCACCCTGGACTGGATAAATTTTTTAGGGTTACCTACTGGTTGTCCATACAAATAGGGTCGCACCTTACTGAAAACTTTGAAATTTACTTGCGTCAAACTTTGAAATCTGAGTCAGCAGGGTTTCCACCCCTGTAGCCTCCCATGGTGCTTTGGAGCTAGTCAAAAGGAAGGCTGAGGACCTCTGAAAGCCACCCACATGGCTGCTACCTGAGTACCTGCCCCCCAGGTAGCATCACCATCCATGGGAATGAAGGAAAACATTTTCATAAAAATCCCTTCTGTAAATTAGCCATGAGTTGTAAAGGAAATTGCCAACAGTGTTTTGATGTTGCAAAGACAAAATGAGTTTAGACATTAAAAAATAATAATAATAATAATAATAATAAACCCTGTGATTCCTTCCCCACCTTGTTAATGGGAAACTACTTTGGTCATCATTCATACATTCATTTGTCCAATCAGTTTGTCAGCTGCAATTCTGAGTGCTGAATGTGGGCTACAGACCATCAAGGGTGCAAAGAACACAAGATGAATTTAGGCATCGTCCCGTCCTCAATAAACTCCCTAACTAAAGGCAGAGAGAAATGCTTAAAGAAGTAATTACAGCCCAGGACTGTCAGTTTTTGGATAGACGTAAGTCAAGGAGCCGTCAGGGCAGGAAGGAAGCATATCCAGGTTGGCCTGAGGAGTCAGAGAAAGATTCCCAGAGGAGGTGAGAGTGGAGCTGCATCCTGAAGGCCATTGTGCCGTGCAGTTCACCAGAAGTACAAGCAGGAGGAACAACATGAAGATGAACAGAAGTGAGAGAAAGAAGGCACACCCTGGGATCTGCAAGGATTCGAGGGGCTGGGAGCCATGTGCTGCAGAAGGGGAGCAAGGGTGCAGAGCCAGTGGAGGTGCTGGTGGGACCTGACTGTGAGCCTTCCTATGTGCACGTTAGAGGGTTTGGACTGAGACACGATAAGGTTTACATTTTACAACATATTTTTGATTTTTTTTTTTTTTGACCATGAAAGCCACGGATGAGGGAAAATTTGGAGAGAGATATTGGATGGATCAGACATGAGTTGAGAGGCAGTATTCCCTGGGTAAGAGATGAGAAAGAAGTCCATCACCTAAGAGGTGGCTGTGAGCATCAGATAGACTTCAGAGGCAAAGCACTGGGAGATTTAAAGGTGAGAAGATGAGAACTCTTCATTCATTCATTCATTCATTCATTCATTCATTCATTCTGCCATCTGACCAGGTCATTCAGTACTTGCTATATGCTAGGCATTGCGCTAGGCACACGGGAAAAAATGGTGAGCAAGAAATATCCCTACGTTCGGAGCTTACAGTCTCATGATGGAGACATCCACTGAGACAGCAAACGCTTTCTGTAAAGAACCAAACAGCAATTATTTTAAGCTTTATTTATCTTGCAGTCTTTGTTGCCGCTGCTACTGGTGTTCCTCCCCTTTTTTTCCTCCCTCTTCTCCTCCTTCTTCTAAAAAAAAAAAAAAAAATCTTAAAGTACAAAAAAAATGTTCTTTGCTCAGAAGGCTGTACTAAAACAGGGTCAAGAGTGCAAATAGGATTCAGGAAAATGATGCTGGGAGGAAGTAGAGAGAATGTGCAAAGTCTCTGGGATGGGGTCAAGTATGAGAGGCAGAAGAAGAAAACTAGCAAGGCTGGAACAGACAGCCACATGGGTGTGGCTCAAACAGATGCTGGAGCCAGAGTCAGGGACTGGATTTTAAATGTAAGAAGAAAAGATAACCGAATGTGCATTCAAAATATAACATCCACCATTTTAAAATGTGGTCAGCTAAGGATACAGGGAAGAGAAAGCAAAAGGAAATAAGAGGTGAAAGAAACTAGGACGACTGGGAAAACATAAGCACACAGAAAAGCAAGCAGAGAGATTGACGCAGAGTGGGAGAAATGACCACCCTTCCCACCTCCTGGGGTCCTTATGGCGATTCAAGAAGGTGATGTAATTAAATTGTTTACAGCAGTGGCGGGCATTTAGTAGATGCTCTATAACCATCAATTATTAGAACAAATTCAGTGTACAATCCATAGTGGGTTCTAAATAGACTTTTGTGGAATGGGTGAGTGAGTGGAATCGGGAGCGAACGTACGAATGAATAAGCAAAAAGAAAAAACATTCAGCAATGAAAGTTCCTGTTTTGGAGGGCAGAGGAAGTCATCGAGGGACATCTCCAACAGCGAGGGGCCATTCTGATATGAATTCCATCAATCCACACGAAGTGAGGATTCAATTAATACAGCTACTAAATAAGGTTTCATCCTGCAGTGTGAGGGCACCTAGGGCACGTCATCTGAGCCTGGCTTCTCTGCTCGGGAGTGCATCCAACGCCAAGACCCGAGGCAGTCTGGCTGGCAATTAGAGCCAAAAAAGCAAAATTCTGTCTCTAAGCACTTTCCCCCGTTAAGCTACAAATTGTTCTTAGGATCTTTGTGTTTCTCTAACACAGGATCTGTGCTAAATACCCAGCTCCCTTCCCACTGTGGGAGGGGACAAGAGGTGGGCACCGGCATGGATCCTGACAGGAGGGAGTTTGGTGATTCTGCCCTTAAAGGCTCCAGTGTTTAAAATCTTAACAGTCATCTGAATGCCGTCGCATCGTTACGTCAAGCAGCTCTCATACCTGCAAAATAACCCAGGCACTAAAGAGAAACAGAACTAAGGTGGACACTGGAGTCTGATGGATGGAGGCATGCCTGGAAAACTCACAAGAACCCCTGGACTCCAGACCCCCTCCAAAGGGCTTTTATAACTTCCTGAATATGCTTTAGCGTTGGGTTTTAATTAAACATTTAATATGCATCATGCAAATTTATTGATTCTGCCAAGGAGGAAAAGATGAATCTTGTACTTAGACATCTCCAGCTAAGATCACTCATATTTTCACGGGAGTTATTAATGGAGCCTCCAACCCCACTTCCGAAGTTTGAACACCGCTGCAGGAGCAGGGGAGCACCCTGGATCTGGAAAGTCACTGGCTCAGTGCAATTGTGTTCATTTCTGCTTCTCAGGTTGAGTCCTAAGGCTGGATGGAGAGAGGTACAAGTTGTTGAAATGAACATGAAACACTTGAAAATGGACCCTATTTGTCATAGGGGCTCTTTCTGTTCTCCGTTCCTGTTGCTCTGACTACCGTGAAGTTCTGATCCTGGGAAAGGATGCCCCAAGTAACCCAGAAAAATACTTCGACGAAATGGTTCCTTACAGGGCAAGATCTTACCATCTACCTGACCCAGGATGGTTGGGAATCTCATCAAGTTCATATTAATCGACCAAAATTCTGGAAGAACGGGGAATCTGATAGACTAAATACTCTCATTAACTGCAAATTAATCATAAAACCCTTTTGAATTTTTAACAATATCGTTAAAATTCCTTCTAAATTAATACTGGTCTCATTTCCCAACTTATTACAGGGTTATCAGACAAAAGTCTCTCTCTGGCGAGCAGGGATTGGAAAATACCCTGGGCTATTCTAAGCACCAATATTCATTGAACAAGACAATAGCTGTAGAGCAGTGGTTCTCAACTGGGTGATTTTGTCCCCCAAGGACATTTGGCAATGTCTAAACACATTTTTGGTTGTCACAACATGTGGAGAGTGGTTGCTAATCACAGGGTAGAGGCCAGAGATGCTGCTAAACACCCTACAATTTACAGAACAGGCCCCCCCACCACAATCATCCAGCTTTAATGTCAACGGTGCTAAGGTTGAGAAACTGCCACACAGAGATAGAAGAGGGTCTGTAATATATTAGCTAATCATCTAGAACAAAGATTAAAAACAAACCCAAAACCCTCTAATATAAGAATCTGGTAGGGACTCTGCTATTAACCAGTTCTGTGGCCTTGAGCAGGTTAATACACTGAGCATATTGAATTCAATTTGTTCACTCATTCATTTAACCAGCTTTTTAAAAAATGCTGTGTTCCAATCTAGGCAGATGAAAGAAAATAATTGATATGCACAAAGGTTTAATGCAGGAAAGAGGCAATGTCCAAAGAAGACCAGAGTGACTGAAAAATAATCAGAATGGAGTGCAAAGCAGACGACTTCTGGACCTTGTAGATCCTAGTGAGAAGCTGAGCTTCTATTCCAGGTGTGATGAACAATTACAGACAGTCAGTCACATGACACAGTTTATGTTTTAATGCCAGCTTACTAGACAGTACCATGCTCTTCTTATTCACTATATAAGCTCTGAAAGTGTCTGTTGGGTGAGAGACTCTGTTCCCTGCTGCTGTGGTGAGAAGACTTGACCAGAAGGAGAGGACAACACTGGAGGCAAAGAGAACAATCAAAAGGCTATTGCACGGTCTCCAGACAAAGATGGAAAAGACAGAAGACAGTCAAGCCATTTCTCAGATGATTAAACATAAAGTTACCATGTGACCCAGCAATTCTGCTCCCAGCTATACCCAAGAGGAATAGAAATACACCCCCACACAAAAGCTCATACATGAATTTTCATAGCAGCATCATTCAAAATAGCCAAAAGGTATAAACAACCCAACTGTCCATCCACAGATAAATGGATCAACAAAATATGCTGTATCCATACAATGGAATATTATTTGGTCACAAAAAGAAATAAAGTTCCATTATAAGCTACAACATGAATGAACCGCAAAAACATGATAAACATAATATTAAGTGAAAGAGGCCAGTCACAAAGGACTGCATATTGCATGATTCATTTACAGAAAAGAATTGATATTTATCCATTTATATACTTACTTGGGGATTTGAATGGATGGAAGATAAGATACTATCCCTGTTTTCATTTATAGGAAAAGTCCTGAATTGGCATATCTCTAGAGACACAAATCAGATTGGTGGTTGCCCATGGCCAGGAAGAAGGTGAAATGGGAGTAACTGCTAACCAGCAGGGCGATTTGGGTGGGGGTGATAGAAATGCTCTGAGTTTCCATAGTGGTGGTGGCTGCACAACACTCTGAATATGTTTTAAGAAACTGAATTTTATACTTAGGACAAAAGGATTGTATAGTATCTGAATTATAGCTCAAAAAAGTTGTTTTTTAAAAAGGTGGTGCATGCACTAAGATGGGTGAGGATACATTCAGGGTGTAACCCACAGAGCTTAGGGGCTGGTGGGATGAGAGAGGAGGGAAAGAGCAATGGAGATCACCTGACGGTTTCTCCATGATGCTGCTGTCCTTACTCTTGACAATTATATTTGGTATCACCTGCATGCATGATGATTTTTTCAAAATCTGCCTCTTTCTTCTAATTGAAGTGTAAGGGGGAAAAAAGGCTTGTGGATGGCTTCCTTAGATAAATCAAAAAGCTTTCTTTTTGAGGAGTCTTTTTACTCCAAATTGCCAGAAGACTGTGACCTTTAACCCCAGGAATGCTGATGGAGCAAGCTAAGGTCTACAAAGCATTGAACATTCGATGGATTTTGCATAGAAAGGATGAGTACAATTTAAGGTTGATGGCTTCCTCAGGCAGTAATTAACGCATGGAGAGAGAATCATGGTGTTTCCTTGACTTAGACACTTTTATTAGTTTTTTATACCCATACAAGTGTGACTTCTGGTAAAGTCAGTCAAAAACAAAAAGAACATTCTTTTGTGCAGATAAGAAGTGAAGATGGGGGGAGAAAAGACCCAGGAACACATAATTCATCAGCACTAGATATCAAGTTTTCCTTGTGTCATTTTTTTGGGGAGGTGGAACTTTAATCGAGTTTAAATTATACTGACAAATAATGAACATGCTTCCATCCTCACGAGAGTTTTCAAGGCTGGAGCAGAAGTCGACCTTCCTCATTTAATTCTGGGACAAGGAAATCTCCCTGTTGACCTTACGGGCCACCCAAGAAACACACCCTGTTATACTCACAACAATATCTAATTTCCAAAGTAATTGACTACACGTATTTATCCATTTATATACTTAATTGGGGATTTGAATAGATGGAATATAAGACACTATCCCTGTCTTCAAAGAGCTCATAGATGTATGACAGATGTAAGACAAATAGGCAATGGTAAACTCCGTAAAAGAAGTATTCAAGGGGTAGTGTGGGAAGCATGAGTTCATTCAGAAGTAGGCATATTACAGAAGTGTCTCTGAAGAAATTATGTGAGTTAGAATGCTCTTAGCTGCAAGTAACAAAACACAGAGCTTGCAAAATGAAATATTTATCTTACTCAGAGATCTGTAGGTGAGGGGAAATTCCAGATTGGATGCCCTGGCTGGACGCTGTCTTCAAGGACCCCTCGGTTCCTGTTACCCTGCTGGGCCATATTCAGTAGATCATCTTCTGACCCTTGGGGTTCTATCAAATGGGTGCAAGGTGTGGCTGTTACTGACTAGCAATGTGTACTATTAACTACCTTTATTAAGATGCCAGTGGCCTCTTATAGGATGCTCATATAAACTATGCTTTGGGACTACTGGAAAGTACAATTACTGACTTGGGTCACTATTTCCTTTTCTTCTCTTCCAACAGCATCTAAAGTCTGCACTAGAATTAAAGAACCTGAGGTTATTCTCTTGGGATTTCACAAGGCTTAGGTTAGCCCTCAAGTCAGATCATTCAAGAGCCAAGTGGTTTTGGTGGCTCTGGGCCCTGAACCAGACCCCTCCATTGGCCCTGGCTTCCCATCAGAGGAGACAGAGAGGAGGCGGGTTTTGTTTTCCAAGCCTGCATCGCCGCCCTCGCACTGTGCAGTCATTTTGGCTCCTTGGTGTAGGAGGATGCTTACCGCAGGCTGGTCTGAGCCCCAGGCTCCTCACCCCACAACACTCCCCCGCAGTCCACAGCCCCCTGGGTGACTTGATGCCTGGGGAGGCTTCATGGTTCAGGCTGTGCTTCGCAGATGCTCCTCCTTTCCAGGCCCTGGTTCTCCCATCTCCTTGGCAGGTGGCCCATCATGGTTGCCCAACAGTGGATCTGTGCTTTGTATCTCCCTGATCAAGCAAAGATGGGGTGCATGAATCAAAGAAGAACTCAAAGCCATGGTCTCCCCTGCCATCCTAGAGCCCCTCCCAACTTCCTGGTTGCTGACTGGAGACCACAGCTGGGCTTAGAGGCCCAGAGGAGCTAGCTGCCAAGTCATTCCATCTGAAATACCAGCTTGTGACCAGCAAACTGAACAAATTTAATACAGAAGTCACCGAGAGAGAATAAATAGGGAACCCTGTGGACTATGTCATCTTCACCGGGCAACTTTTCCATTACTCTCAGACTTCAACCCAATTAGAACCTGGCTAATTAGTTTTGTGCACTGCACAACAGTTGGAGAAAAAGGTCACTTTGGTATATAATTTTCTTTCTCTTTCTAAGCCACAGAACTTCCTGCAAGGAACAAGCATTAACCTCCATTTCTCAGAAGCAAAACAAGCCAAGTCACACATTTCTATGAATTCTCTCAGTGAACCAATGATTAGTAATAATAGCAGTAGCTGCATCTATTTGTTGAGTGCAGGTGCCTGACTCCACAGATCTCGCATGTCATGGAGCCCCCCCGAGACATGGGGAGCCTGTTTCTTATATAAGTAACCTATGTCCCACTGAGGATAAGGAAAACAGGCGATGCACTCTCACAGAAGAATATAGACAGAGGTCAGGAATGCAGAGAGCTTGCCCTGGCCCTACCAACCCCATCAGAGCTTGGGCAAGACTTTTTCTTTCTCAGTGGAGATCTCCAAGAACTTTATAAAATAATGAGTAGCTATAACAGTAAAATATATGTTGGTGGATGATTTAATTGAAACTAAGTATTTCTGCAACAAGAAAGATACTCCGGCAAGGACGATGGGGCCTCCCACCACACACAGACACACACACACACACACACACACACACACACAAGCAACAAGCATCACTTGGTGTCTACCATGTGCTAGGCAGCCTGTGAGGCACTGCCAACATTCTTGGTCATAAAAATGGCTTCAAAAGATATGGATAGAATTGCAGACTTTTAGGATGCAAGTTCAGTGTTCCTTGACATAGCCCAGATGAAAAAAGAGAAGCTTACACAGTTGAAACAATTCTCCCCAAATCCTTTAAAGGTTAGATCCATTAGAGAGACTGATAATATCAGAGGGTTAATTAAGACAAGGCCTCAGCACTGACTCCCTTCACACAATAAGAACAGCCCAATCCCTGAGTATGTTGGTGGGAATTATTCCTCGAGCCTTAATGTTATGTAAGGATATATGCACTTAACTTCAGCCTTAACTACTTCATCTGAACTTCAGAACACAGCTCATTACCCTGATCAGCTCTGCTGCAATTCCTGCTACCCATCTCAGTGTCCCTGCTCTCTGTGCCTAGGAGACAGCAGCAGGGGCACAATTTTAAGCACTGGCTTTATTTTCTCCTGAATCTTTGCTCCTGCTCTTTCATTGGTTCAGTGTGCCTTCTCCCTCCTTGACTTCTGGTTCCATAACCTAAGAACCCTGTCTAAAATTTGTATAGACAAGAATTTTGCAATAGGGACACTTTCAGTTATGACATATCCCTGTATTTGAAGAAACTGGGTGACCAGCCGGTGAGATTTTATTTCTAATAGCTGGAGGAGAGCCCCTGGTGCAGAATGATGGGAGTGTTCACTGGAAGCTCACCTGGCACACTCTGTTGTTTCAGGTGAGCACATGGATCCCCCAACTGGTTCAGGATACACCTTTAGACCTTGAAGAGAGTATTCAGTTCCATGCAAACCAGTTGGTTCTCATGGAACAACAGGGAGACCAATGAGAATGAGAACATGGACCCAACTCCTATCTGTGAGATGTGTTCCAGCACCATGAGGCCTTGTGAATGCTTAGTGAAGTGCTTAGGAGAAATTGTATTCCTTCTCATGTGAAACTGAATAATCATAGTGCATTCCATACATGATACAAGGCCCTAGAGATCTAAATAGATACCAGTGAGGAAAATATTTTATATTTATATCTATATATGTGTATATATATATATATATATATATGTGTATATATATACACACACACACAAACACATATATTATATGTGAAAGATAATTACATATGATGTGAGATTAATATATAGTATATATTTATTTATAAATATAAGCCTAGAAAGAGAGAGATGTGTCTCCCATGAGAGTTTCACTTCTGGAAAACACAAACATAAAAAATTAACTGCTGGCTAGGGGTCAGTATTGACTCCCTTCACACAATGAGAACAGCCCAATCCCTGAATATATTGGCAGGAGTTATTCCTCAACCCTATACATTATGTAAGTATATATGTGCGTAACTCCAGCCTTAACTACTCCATCCCAGTGAACTTCAGAACACAGCCCAGCACTCCGATCTGTTATTTCAGATGAGCACATGGGTCCCTCAGCTAGCTCAACACACCTTTAGACCCTGCAGAGAGTATTAAATTCCATGCAAATGAGTTGGTTCTCATGAAACAACAGGGAGACCAATGAGAATGAGAGCATGGACCCAACTCCTATCTGTGAGATGTGTTCCAGCACCATGAGGCCTTGTGAAAGTTTAGTGACATGGTAGAGGGTGGAAGGTCATCTCCACAAAAACAGCTTAACTTTCCGTTCAGATGTTCGTTTGTTTCCTACTTAATGCAGAAAGAAAATAACAAATAACATTGGTTCTTGTTACCAATAGGCTATTCCACATATATTCTAAGGGGTCCATGTGTCTAAGAGGCAAAAACATGTTAGTGTCTGGAAGATATTGCAGAGAAGCTCAAAAAGCCACCTTGTTTTAGTGTCCTTTTACATGTTCTCTGAAACTAGTAAAAAATGCTGTTGGACTGTACACCTAAAAATGGATGGATGGCTAGATGATGGATGGATGGATGAATATATGGAATGATATATGGATGAATAACAGGATTTTTTAATCCCTTTATCCCCCAGACTATTACAAAGCCTGACATACAACAAGCTTTTAATAAGTAAAGAACAGACATGTAGCTCTGATATCTTAATAATAGATCAGCTGGTCACTGGCCTTTCAAGACCTGGGCTTGGAGAAAATTCAACCGCATCTGACACATGTTGGTATCTGTTCATTCATCAAAACCTAGAGATTCTGATGTTGCATGCATGGCTTCATGTGTCTCATAAGAGCATGACCATTATATGGGGTAATTTGAAGAGCATTGCTACTCTAAGATACTTTCTGAAAACTCTACCACTAGTAGGATGAAATTCAGGAGCGGGGCAAGGAACCAATGAAAGCCTTCTTCCTTCCAAGTCTGTCATGAGAGGGTCTAGAGAAGAAAAATCCTGATACTCTGTCTGAGCACCCAAATTGCTTGCTCAAGTCACTCTCCTCTGCAGGCCTGATATGTCCCCATGTCCTGAATCCTTCCCAGATACAACGGAGGCTGACCCCTGACCAGGTGAAGCCTCATACAGGTCAAGTGTGTGATGAATTCTCGATTTCCAAATAAATTAACCTCAAACTCCCCATATACATGGAATGATGACACAAAAGGAACCACACTGAGACCACAAAATAAAAGCCTGGTGTTTGTGCCTGGTCTTGCACAGAAATCTGTTCCCTCTGGGGTTTGCATGAGTAGGTGGTTTTTAAAGGTAATACAAAGCCATAGTTACCACCAGGATTTTCATAGTCCCATAGAGGAAAAAGTCCTGTAATGTTGTATCTTCTTAGTGCTTTGTGCCTTGGAATGTTTTTCTCTCCCTCCTGGCCAAAACTTTTCTACAAAGTATCCCGGATCTACTCTCTTTCTCTGGTAGAATTTGAATCGATTTCATAGGAATTTACAGGACCCCTAGGAGCCAGGTGCTGGTTTGAGTTTGCTGGAACCAAGACACAGAGATTAAACATAAGGCTTCTGCTTCAAAACACTCGCAAAATCATGAGAGAAATAGGTAAGTAAGAAGACAGTGACAAAAGGGTGGCATGAGGAAGCCTTGTGATGGAAATGCCGTGTATCTTGACTGTGGAAATGCTGATTGTGATCACAGGAATTGATGCATGTGATAAGACTGCACAGAATGAAATCACACACACACAAGTGCATGTAAAACTGGTGAAATCTGTGTAAGTTGGGTACATTATAACAATGTCAATTTCCTGGTTGTGCTATTGCAGTCATTTTGCAAAATGTCAATGCTGGGAGAGAATGGGTGAAGGGTACACAGGAGCCGTCTGTATTATTCCTTACAACTGCACGTGAATCTACAATTACCCCAAAATTTAAAAAATTAAAATACATATATAATTACAATGTACAATCACCAATGCCATGCCAGTGGGCCCTGAGAGCAGAGTGGAGATACATCATCCCACTTAGATAAGAAAGTAGTAGTCAAAGAAGGGCCTCTCAAGGAAGGAGAGAAGTCTCAGCTATCAGTGTGAGTTAGCTAGGCTGAAAAGGTGGGGAGGAGGAAAGGATGCACCAGGCTGGAGGAAGCCCAGACCCGCAGGCACCATGGCTGGGTTGATAGTATGACCCTTGAGGCAGGTGAAAAGTGCAGTGTGGACAGCGTCCCTCACCCTGCCCCAGCAAGCCAGCTCTCCCACCATTCTGCTGCTACCTCCTTGGGCTCAGGCCACTCCTTTTAGACCTAAAATAAGGCCTGTTTTCATCTGTAACAGAACCCCCTTCTGCCTCCTCCCTTTTACAGGTCATTTGTTTGTTGAAGAAAGCAGAACATTCGTCTTAGAGAAGTTCCCAAATTATCCATTTGAATTATGGCTTCATAATAGGGTCTGCATCATTTCTCTATCGCCTGCATTTCCTGTAAGCTGGTAGTTTTACTATTACCATGACCATAATCATCATCACTATTACATTACTACCAAATCATCCCAATGTTATTGGAAAGGTAAAAATGTAGGCAATAGAGTGATAGCTTCTAGAAGTTTCATTTCTCTTTCAAATAACTTTTTTTTTTTTTTGAGATGGAGTCTCACTCTGTCGCCCAGGCTGGATGGAGTGCAGTGGCATGATCTCGGCTCACTGCAACCTCTGCCTCCTGGGTTCACGCCATTCTCCTGCCTCAGCCTCCCAAGTAGCTGAGAATACAGGCACCTGCCACCACGCCCGGTTAATTTTTTTGTATTTTTAGTAGAGATGGGGTTTCACTGTGTTAACCAGGATGGTCTCGATCTCCTGACCTTGTGATCCACCCGCCTCGGCCTCCCAAAGTGCTGGGATTACAGGCGTGAGCCACTGTGCCAGACCTCAAATAACTTTAAACCAAATCTTTCCTCCCCATGACATAGAAAATAGACAGCAACCTCATTGGTGCTTAAGTTTAGAAAGAGACTCTAGTACAAAGAGTATGTGCAGACTTGTGCAATGGCCAAGAAGAACCAGCACTGTAATTGCATTCAGCTCACAGAGTTTTTGGAAACAGATCTTTCTGACGGTAACTTCCAATAAAGTTGGTGGGTGTTACATTAATGACTAGACTCTTAGTCACCTCAAAGGAATGAAAATCAGATGACACCAGGATGGTGGAGGGAGGGGAGATATTAGCAATTCTGATTACAGATATGAATGTAATTTCAGGGGCGTTTTATAATTGCTTTTATGCTTTGATTAAGTGCCTCACGTAATACTGGGCTACAAGATGGGACGCTGGAGAGACACAAGGAAACCCAAGATTATTTACTAGCCTTAATGCCAGTGCCCTGAGAAGGCCGAAGAGGGCATATGTTTGATCATCAAATGCAACACAAAACCTTTACTTCTCAGCTTGCCCTGTGTGCTTTAACACTCACAAACAACCTGCAAACACACTGCTGCATATGTGTGTAGCAAATACCAGTTTACGGTTAGTTATAGAAATTCCCAAAGAATTAAGGGCATTTTCTAAAAAGGTTAAGGGGTGGAGGTGTCGGGGACTGGTAATAAGTCCAAAAGCTCTGTATCATCTGCATTTGCCATCTCATTCCTATTCCACCTGTCTGTAAAACAGATTTGCTCAGATCTTTTCTACCAGTGGAAAGGTTTTGGAAACAGTCCTTTCAAATAATGTCTGTCCAGTAAGATAGGCTTAAGGACACAGGTTCAGGCTAACATCTTTAAACACCCACCACCATTGGAAACCAGAGAACGAGACTTCTAGAAATTACAGTTCACCTGATTTTTCCTTTAACTTCCTCCTTTAATGATTTGCTATTCTTGTGAAACCAAAACAAACAAGAATGTTATAATAATGATGTTGCGATGACAGAAGCAATCTTCTTGGATCTAAGGATTCACACTGTGCCCATAAAATGAGTCACTTGGTCAGCTGGTCAACACTCACTCAACAGCTCCCTAAGACACACTCACAACAGATGTTTTAGGGATAGATACAAAGATGGACCATTTACCAGTGTTTGCCATGATACCATATGATATGATATGATATATGTTACTATATTATATAGTAATATACTATATTATATGATACTATACTATATCATATTACATTACATCGTAATATATTATATGTTACTTATCTGTTTTGTTACCTTTCATTTCTTGACTGGCTCCCTCCTACAATACATAATAAAGGAAAGGAGTTGTGTGTGCAAACTTTGCAGCCATGCCTGGATTTACATCTTGTACTACACCTGCTATGTGGCCCTGGAAAAGCCCTCTAAGGCAGTGCCTAAGGGGAAACTAAGGGGGTACCTTAGTAACATCCTCCATCAAATGTAAATAACAGCAGCACATATCTGATAGGGTTGCTGTGACAATCTGATAAGTTAAAACTAAGGGCAAGGCCCAGGTGAATATCATGTCTGAGTTGGCTGTTAGTAATGCTGCCATTTAATGCTGGGTTCCTCAGTGTCGCCCTGGGTGATGGCATTTCCATCACACTCAGACAGGCTCAGAGAATTCTCCAGGCCCCTGTCCCATACCATATCTGAGTCCAAGTCTCAGCCAATTAGATATTTCATCTCTTTGCCACAGGGGTGGGCTCGGGGATGAGCCTATAAGCAGTCAAATGAACTAGACCCATGCAACCCAAACCGCGACTTTGAGCGCCCTACTGGGGCCTCCAACTGACTCCCATGAACTCAGCATAGGAGGATTAAAGGCTGGAACTACTACAATTATCACACTCTTATGCAGAGCCCTGGTCTGGAGTCCACACAGATGGAAGGAAGCCAGTTCCAATGACACTATATGACCCCTGATCCCAACTAGTCCTGTCCCTAGATTTTGGGCCATGCAAGCCAATGAGAATCCTTTTTGCTTAAACAAATTCAGGTCAAATTTTGTTCACTTGCAACCCAAAGAGGCTGAATTGACATTCCATTATACAGATGAAGATAATGAGACTCAAAAAGCACGTCGAGAACTCTTCTAAGATCACACAATCAGCAAGGTGATACTCTACCTGTTGGATACATTGTGAGGCTCCCAAAGAGAGGTCGAACTACAACTGTGAGGATACAGGAATGAAAGGTAGGAGCGCAGGAGGGCTTCTGGAGCTGGGGGCTTAGTATTAGCATCAAACTTTTACTAATGGATGCCCGACACTCTGCTCTGAGCTTCAGGTGCAACGTCACATCTCATATGAGCTGTGCCTGGAAGAATGGGCATGATTTGGGTATGTGGAAATGAGGGCGGGCCTTGCATTCTTATCTGAAGCTTACAAAATAGTGTCTGTGTGCCTTGAAGTCCTGGGAAAAGCAGCTGTGACTCAAAGCTGCACCAGGGCTCTCTCTAGCAGCAGCAGGCAGTGCTGGAATAGGATGCCCCACTTACACTCAGCCACTTAATCCCAAGCCTCCCTTCCTCCAAAAACCAATCCCAGCAAGATTTGACTGCAGCCCACTTCAGTTCCAGAGCTCGCATATCTCAACCATGTTGTCCACTCAATGCCAGCTAAGGGATATAGGCTAATGAGTGAGCAAGATAAGCATCCTGGTAATTGAAAGATGGGCCAATCAGACTAGTGAGAGGCGAAGGTAAGAAGTGCTGTGTTGCAACACAGGAGCCAGCCACCCTGTCCCTTTCAAAGTCATGTTTTCTGGGACATTTGACAGGACATTCTGTGTAGGTTCAAGCCTCAAAAAAAGAAGCCAGGAATCAGACAGTGTGATCATGTTCACTGAAGAAACATTTATGGAGCGCTTACTGTATGCTGAGCTCTGTAGCAGGTGAAGGAGATGGAGAGATGAGAGGCGGTGTCCCTGGCTTTAAGCAGTTCACAGGTGGGTAGGAACTCCTGGGGCACTGTGAGGACTCAAACACAAACCAGCAGACAGAGTGGGCACCTGGCCTGCCTTGGGGGCCAGTGGGCAAAGAGAACACAAGTAAGGCTTTTAAGAGGAAATGCAAGACCTGAAGAAGAGTCAAAATTAGCCAGGAAATAAAGCAGAGGGCAGGGAAAGTGGGAAGAGGGAGCAAAATCGTGCAAAGACTTAGGAGAGAAGGAGAGAAAGAGGACAGGTTACGAGGTAAATACAACTTTAAGGCAGGAGCAGAGCAGAGAGAAGAGGGGAAACTATTGTTATTTCTCAAGTTCCTTCTATGCCCTGGGCCCCATACTGTAAAATGACGTGTATAGAGTGTGGGCAGAGTCCCTGGCACATGTTAACAGAGCCTGCTCTTTTGAGCGTTCGCTCGGGGCAGGCACCATGCCAAACACTTGGTATACATGCTCATCATGATCACAAGATTCCTGTCTACCTCTCACTAAGAAAAAGACGGGTTCAGAGAGGTCAGCTAATTTGCCCAAGGTCTTACACCTGGGGCAGAGCAGGATTTACATCCTCATTTTGGCATCAGGCACCTCCAGGGTATGTCTCCCTGCCCAGTGATCCTCCTCACTGTGCTGCCACCAAAGGCTCTGAACAATGTCAGCCTAAAACAACAGCATCCTCTGGCTTGGAGATGCAGGAGGGGTTGACTGTGCCATTCTGACCCTGCCTTGATGTGTCTGTTGTTTTGACCTCGAAATATTCCAGTGTGATATTCCAGCGTCTCTGATATTCCAACGTTGCCACCATGACCCATCAATGCTCCATGGCAGCCCGGGCATGCCAGCTTCCTTCTGTCTATGGGAGTCTGGTCCCTATTTATACCCACCCTATATTCAGCCTCAAATGGCTAGGAACATTCCTTCCATGCAAGCAGGTTTGTTTTTTACCGCTTCACGCAGCTCAGTCCATTTGCAGCCTGAAAAATGAGTTGAAGGAAGAGAGTGAAGGGCTTTGCTGAGGTCAGAGGGTGAATCAGAGGAGGACCCGGGTGCTGAACTCAGATGCTTTGTCTCCTGGCTGGTCCCTCTTCCCCAACCCCAACTGCCTGAGCTCACATCACTGTGACAGCAACCAAGCCTACCCCCTCATCAGCAGCTTCGAGCTGAGCTGAGAGTCAACGGTCGGTGACATTTTCCTGAAGGGTCCCCATCACTCCTTCCAATCTCTGAGGATCCCAGTCTGGGTCTGCTTCAAACAGCCAGAGCCATGCTTCCTCAGGCAGGACACAGACAGCAGGTCATAAATCACTCCTGGGCCGGTTCCTTCTCTCATTCCCAGATTTCTCTGAAAGGGGTCGAGGTGGGATCCTGGAACAGGAGATTCTGCAGCAGCATGCATATTTACACCACTGAGGGACTAGTTGCAGCTCAAAGGTGGACACTGAAACTCTGAACTCTTCTGTTGAAGAAAATGCCTCTGAGCCCCCTGGCTTCAAAATTGGCGTCAGGAAATGGCAGGGAAGTTGGTGATCTAAACCAGAGATAAAACAGGGAGGAAAGAGCTGATCTCAACTATGTTTTTATGTATACACACACACAGCTCTTCTGCTTAGCTTTTCTAGGTTACATTTATTTTTTATTAGTCTCTGAGATCCCAACTTTGGACAACAACTATGTATTTTGACAGGGCAAAGGTTTACAAAGACAAGGGCAGGTGTGAAATGTGACACAATTATCTAGTAATCTGTCTTCTCCAACAGAGAGCTTTGCCTACACCAAAAAAAAGTGAAGTTATTCCAGCCTGACCAATATGGTGAAATCCCATCTCTACTAAAAATATAAAACAAACAAACAAAAAAACAGTCAGGCATGGTGGTGGGTGCCTGTAGTCCCAGCTACTCGGGAGGCTGAGGCAACAGAATCACTTGAACCCGGCAGGCGGAGGTGGCAGTGAGCCGAGATCACACCACTGCACTCCAGCCTGGGAAACAGAGCGAGACTCTGTCTCAGAAAAAAAAAAAAAATAAGTGCGATTATTTTAGAATTGATTAGAAAGGTGTATGTAGGACTTCCAGATGGGGTCGTTTAGTTTAAAATAACTCCAATTACCAATTAGGCAGAGTCCATTTAAAATGTCCATTAGGGGACTTGAATGATTTGGTGTGTCACTGTGGAGTTCGGAGGGACAGTCTCCACTGAGATGCCACAGGGCTTTGTCCCTTCCAATGCTGTTATCAGCAACTCAGGGAAAGAGCAGGAAATTCAGAAAAGCTCCAATCATTTATGAGCTCCTCTGTGGCCCACACCATAGGAGACACTCCAGAAGCACAATCTCTAATCCTGACAATGCCAAATTTGCAGGTGACAGACCAGGCTCCGTGAGGCTAGGTCATATAAAAAGCACATCCATTTCATTTGCCACTGGTACTGAGCTGAAAAATAAATTAAAACTAGCTGATGGCACATTCTAGATCCAAACCGATTTAGACTAAACGTTAGATTTAGTCCCAGAACGGACTGAATCTAGGGACATGGAGCTTATGGAGGATTGCTATGAATTTCTGTGCTTGGGTTCAAAAACAAGCACACAAATCTAGGATGGGGGAAATGTGAGAAGAAAAAGCCTGGGCTTGAGTCCACTGTCCATGAATGATGAGTCACCAGTGTTAAGTGTCTGCCAGAGAGGCTGGTGAAATTGTGGGCTGTATTAGGAGCAGACAAACTGCAGCTTAAGGAGGTGGAATGTAGGTGCTCTCCTTAGGATGTGAGGCTCACACCTGGGTATCTGCATTCAGTTCTGAGACTTGAACCCTCAGAGGGCAGCAGGAACCAGGTGCACCCACCTGGGAGTTAGTAACCAGAAGGAGTTGGCACTTAAAACCAAAACATGTGTGGAAAAGTTAAAGACGCTGGCTATATTTTGAATGAAAAATGAAAAGCAGGGAAAGGGGGTCATGTTGGCTCTCTCCAACTTCCCAAAGACTCTGCGGCACAGAAGCACTTATTACACATGGCTTCATGAGTATATAAAATCAGGGCTAAGGTCTAGAAGAAGGGAGTATGACTTCGTGTTAAACAAGAGCTTTCTGGACAACCGCAAGAACTGTGGGAATATAGATGGTCATAATAGGAGGTAAAATTGAGATCATCCCGTCATTGGAGGTGATCAGGTACACCGAGTTGGAGTCATGTGTGGAGTTTTGTGGGCTCTGGGCACTTTGGCTTCTGTGGACCCTTTGTTCTACTAAAAAATATTTTAAATTGTATTTTACAACTGTGTTGGTATGATGACAGACATAATCCATGCTCTACTACATTCCTCTTGTACTTCTATTTTTAAAGTTTTTTAAAATGTTTTTGTGGACCCTTAGCAGTCTTGTGGGCCCCAAGAGAGGTGTCTGTTGGGCCCAGTGCAGAAGTTGTTCCTGAATGCTGCCAGCTCACCTAAAGCAGATTCAAGCTCCTATACCGGTTGGAAGGACGAGGTTAAGATCAGATCTCCAAACTTCCCCCGGTCTGAGGTTCCATTAGGCGAGTTCTGCCAAAGAAGACAGAAGTGCCCAACATCTCTTTCTGAGATTGTTAACATGAATGTGTTTTAAAGGGAGCACAAGTTAAAGAACTATGTACATGCTTCGATGCCATTCTGTAAAAAGTACCCACATATACCCCAACTATTACAGATGGTAACCCCCGAGACCAGGGTTTAAGGACTGGGGTGGAGATGAGGAGTAGCAGTTCTTTTATTGAATATCCTTCTATTTCTGTCCTGTTCAAATGTTTATATTTAATAAGGAGTATGTATCACTGTTATAAAGTTACTAAATAAAAAATATTAGCAGAAGGGCGATAAATTTTACTATAATTTTATTTTGAGTAGATGGGGAGGTAATATGCTATTCTTTGTCAGGTTAGGAACACTCCATTATGATGGGAGATGCTCCGAGGATGTCACGGAGCATGTCTGGTGTTTTCAGTGCACAGAAAAACACATCAGAGAGATCAGCAACACCCACGTTGCCACCAAGAACTAAGGTATAAAACAGGGCTGTAAGGGACCCCTTTCCTTAGGCATCAGCCAAACAAACTCAGAAACAGAAATTCAGAAGCCACCTGCACTGACATACTCATCCTGGTAATCACAGGCGTCTCTACATTTGGCCTGTATTTTCTAAAACTCTGTTTCTTTCCCAGGTCGAATGGCTGCTGAATGCCTTTGGAACAGGAGCTATGAATCACCCCGCCTCCAGGGCTAGGAAGGAGGGTGAAGAAACTTCACAGAGTTAGCACTACCGCACTACCGAGGAGCCTGTCCTCTGAGTTATCATGCATGAGAGACACAACCCGCATCAAGATCGCCCCCATATCAGTTCCCTTTTTCTGTTTCTGTTTTTCTGTTTATCAGTTCTGAGTTCACCACAATAAAAATCTTTGAAGGGCTGAATGCTTTTGAGACAAATTCCCTCACCGGTACAGGCTGTGAATAGGATGAAAAAGGATGACAGCAGAAGAACGAATCATAAAGCTGACCCTAAGTGAAGAAAAACAAAAATCTAAGGAGATGCCTATCCCCTGAAAAGGCAAAGTGGGGGGGCGGGGGAAGAAACCCAGGAAATCTATTGACTTAAAATGACAAGAGTGGGGAAAACAGGCTCCATCATCATTTTATAGCTCTGTCTATTGTCTAAAACCAAAAGGAGCCCTTTCATTCCCATGTTCATGCGTGTCAAAACTATATATTAAACACCTCCGGTCTGAGAGGCCGTGTTGGGTGTCTTTGTCAGGTGAAGAAAGAGAAGAAGGCTGGTACACCTTCCCAGGAATTCTCACTGAAGAAAACATCTGGATTTTTTACATCTCTTGTGCAAAACAAACAAAGATTTCATTAAGTGATGTATATTGTTTTCCAAGGAAGAAACCTGCAGAGACAAAAACAAATAAGCAAATAATTGAAACAAAAATATGATAAACCCCCAAATTCTTCCAGTGCTAATTTACTTGTTATCATGGTTCTCTACAAAGGCAGAGATCACTAATTACAGGTTTTTCCAGAATTCACATTTCACGTCAAGATCATCCAATCCAAACAGTGTACGGAAAGCCTAGGGCCTTCTTCACTTTGCCCCCTACCCCACCCTACACACACGCCCCCATCTAAATGATACCCTTGGAAAGAAACCTACACATCTCATTTGTCTATATTTTGCTTCCTCCCTCGCCTCCCGGTAACCAAATGTGAGTTGTTCTCTAACTGCACTGGAGAATCAGAATTTATTGTACATATGTTTGTGTTCCACTTAATAAAAAAACCTATATTTTAAGATAAACTTTGTTAGTAATTCATGAGGTAAGTGACTATTTATGCTAATCAGGCAGAAATATATTCTCAAGCATAATGCATTACATAAATTTGAATGTAAAATGTTCAATTATGAAGTAAATACAGGTAATGCAAATAATAAATTACCTCTAATAAAAATTATAAAAGATGTGCCTTGAAAGAGAGAGCGGCTTTAACTTACAACTGTGAATTGCTTAAAGAGAAAAGAATTAATAAATGCTGAATTACTCTGATGATTATTTAGCACATAATTCACCTATTCATAACGACTCCTAGTAATCAGACTGTTGTTTCACATCCTCCAACATGAGGCAAGACTGTTTCCTCAGCAATTTTGCCCTTATCAGATTATCTCGTCTGATTCTATTAATTTTCTTCCATGAATCTGCTAACAGTGATTTGTGATTTACTTACCCTGCTAACTGAAGACTGTTAAAAGGATTTATCTAACACTGGACCTAAGAACAGTGTACGCCTTATCGTTCAGTTACTCTGAAGAACTCTTTCTCAAATCAATTTAGTTGGTTTCATAGTGAAATTTAGTGGACACTGGTTAGTTCTGCCCCATAAAATCAGCCCCTAAACAAAGAGTCCAGACACCATACCTGATGCATCCCATTCTATTCAGATTATGGATGTCTGATTCCAACATGATATATTTGAGTTGCTATAACTCACAATCGGGGAAAATATATTCCTTTAAGCTTTTAATCTTTGTAATTTGGACATGAACAGGGGTTTTGTTTTTCATTTTTGCATGAAGTCATTATGTATGTACTGACGTGAAACTATAATTGTGTTTCTGATGTTACTGTGTCACAATATTCTATGCGATGTAACCCATGTCCTCCTCCCCCTCACAAATCTCCTATAAATATTCATTGCTTTCAAAAACTTTAATACTACTGGTCCGAATTGGTCAATAATGACAAATGCATGGTTTCTAAATTACTGTATATTGTTCTACAGAGATTACTAGAGTATATATAGCAAGGGGATGTTAAGCAGTAAGAAAACACAGTTCACATTGTATTTGGATTAGATTGGCTTGGATAGAAGTGAAACAAACAATGTTAGCAAAGAAGTCTAAAGACATGTGGCCCACTGTAATTGTACAGAATCAAAAACCTGAATAGTACTCATTAAAATGAGAGAGCTCAATTGTTATAAAAGAAATGCTGCTAACAGAGAACTGTAAATGTTTAGACACCCCTGTGAATCACTAAATAATAATGTAAAAAGGATAAAAATGAGAATTAAGTTATAAGCCTGAGAGCATTACTGCTACACATCTAAAAAAATAATTCTGATCCTCTCTTTTTTTTTTCCAAGAGAAAATGGGCGACTATAAAAGACCTTGCAATAAGAGAAATAAAAATACCATGTCTTCACAGCAGTGTACATAAATAAACCATAAAAATGTGCAGATAATAATATATTTAGCTGCCCAAACATGGGCATTTAATTTCTAGAAATGATATATAACAATGTAACAATTAGATACTCAGCCATGAATGTGTATGGCACAGTCTTCATCATTAGCAAACTTTGTGTATAAAATATTATTTATTATTTATTATAATACTGCTTTCAGAGGCAATGATCATACCTTACAGCTTTTAACACAAATATGATGCAAAAGGATTAAAAGTATATCATAAACAAACAATAAATTCTTTCTAAATACACTTAAATTCATATTTTACATGAAAAATATAAACTTCCTACATTTGTGACTACTGACTTTTAAAAAGACCTAGAAAACTATTGTTACGGGCAATGTTAAATGACATAATGCTTATGTAATGGAAAGTGTGGATTTTCCTCTAAATAAACTATAATCCCTTAACTTCATTACTAGGGAAAATATTGTTAAAGAGAAGGAAAGCAAGGGAATTCTGCTAGGTTGCATAAATATTGACATAATCTTCACTCTTTCTTCCCCAAACTGGTAATAGACATAGTTTATTCCACCCAACAAAATGCTCTTATAAGACCAAAACTACCCTTATTAACAACTTCTCTGCAGTCACGATGAAAAGAAACACTACTTGTCTGAAAAATACCGACAGCGCTGCCCTTTTCAGATTAGGGTGTGCCTACGAATCTTTTGGGAAGTCTTCCATTAAGGATTCCTGGGTTTGCTGAAACTGAAGTCTACTAGGATCAGAGAAATTAACACAGGTCTAATATGGTGCAAGGAACGAGTGAGAGACACCTGAGGTTATAAATAGCAAAGCATGCTGCGGGGTGGGGAAGACCATTCTGAAGTGCAATGTTCAAGACGCTGGCTTAATATATGACTAAGTGTCAGAAGTCAGGTTTTCTGAGAATTACTTTCCAGATAAACAACTTTATAGCACTGCACTTAATCTTACTTACTAGAGACATCTCATTTATCACTGAATTACAAGTAACTTTAATCCTATTGATATTGCCATAAAGCCCGTTGAAAATCCATCCTGGCACTTTTAAAGGGTTTGGGGCCCTGTTACATGGGGATCCTCTTGCAAAGGTCTCAGCCAGAAATTACACCCCGAGGGTGTCTGTATCCCCTGGCCTCTTTGTCAACAATCAAGGAGAAGAGGAGGGGCAAAAATGATCTCTGCATCTGCCAGCACTTTCTTCGGCCCCTTTCCTATAGGGTCGGGTTCTCCCACTTCAGTCAAACTAACTTTGTGTGTCTCTTTCCTCCTCCCACACTGGGTAACCAGCTGCTTTTCACTTCATCGACAAAACTGGACACGGATCAATTTCAACTGACCTTTGCCGAAAGGTGGCGCTGTTGAGGTAAAAACCAACTCGCTCCAACAATAGTTTCCACTCTTCGATCCTTTTGCAGGCTTTTCAGAATTTTTTTTTTTTTTTAATGCACCCTCCTAGCGTCTCCCCCTTCTCATAAAGTAAAATAAATACGATTAAAAACACCAAATGCATTTCATTAATTGAAGGAATCAACAGTCCCAACTTCTAAGCAGACGGGCTGGTCTTCCAAAGGCTGGGTCGGTTTCAGGAGCTTTCTCTCCAAATAAATCTCTGCTTCTTCGACTTGCCTATCGCTTTAAAATCTTAGAAACAGAGTTAGTTGTTGGTTTCCTTCTTTTTTCTTTTTCTTTTTTATTTCTTTTTTGCATAAACTTTTAGAGAATCAATCTAGAAATTTGAACTACTTATTAGCATTTGCAACTGGGGGTGGGGGGAGCAGCCTCCCCCACCCCACCCCCCACTCTGCGTTTCCGGACTAGTTCCAGAAACCGCGGTTTAAAATTTAACCCTTCGAGGGTAGCTGGTGAGGGCTGGGGTATTGTTTTTCCCCCTTGCTCCCTGCCACGATCAAGTCCGAAATAATTAAAGGAAACGTAAAAGTGCAAAGGGCGCGCCTGACCCTGATAAACAGAGGTCAGATTTCGTAAGGGGACGGGTGAGTGTGAGTGTGTGTGTGTTTGTGTGTGTGTGTGTAAGAGAGAGAGAGAGCGAGCGCGCAATATGAGTCTCAAAGGCCAAACTCCGGCCAGTCAGGAGCCGGAAGGCTGAGCCCGGCTGACCTGACTTTGAGCTTCCCCGGAGTTATCTCGCATAGGCGCTCGCTCTGTCCAAGGGCACGCGACGCCAGCGGGCAGCCGGTCTCCGTGAAGAATGGCCTCTAAACAACTTATTTTACCTCGTTGTAAAGAGAGGGATAAAATGGGCTTTCCCTCTCCACGGATGCCCAGCCTTCTGGGCAGGCGCATGGCCGGGCGGCGCCCAGCCCGCAGCCCCGATCCGGACACCCCACTGCATCCCTCCCTTCCCGGTCCCTTCCCCGCACGGGCGCCCGAGAGACGGACAAAGAGTTGGGGCCAAGTTTGAGCGCCGGGCACGGCCAGGCTCAGGGAAGGAAGGTCCCCGGCAGACACCTGGGTACCAGAGTTGGTGCGAGGAGGAAAAGCTGGGAGGCGAATTCACAATCCTGGGGGTGGAGGGCAGGCAGGGGAGGGGAATCAGGCCAATCCCAGCCGAGTGAGCCCCCAGCGAGCTGGGGCTCCGGATGGGAGGCCTGTCTCGCGCTCCAAAGAAAAGCAAACCGCCCTCCCAGGTCCGCCCGGATTGCCGAAGCCCCTCTGGAAAAACTCCTTCCCCTCTTACACCAAACTTTGCGCCGGGCCTCGTTCCCTCCCGGGTAGGCAGCGGCGCAGGAAGGGTTAAGCCAGCCCGTCCCAGCTGACAGTCAGCTGATTGGGCCCTGATTGACAGCTCCGAAAAGTTTCCTTGTTTCTATACTATTATGCTAATCGCGGCCGCTCTCGCCGCCTCCCATTGGCCCGGAGTGCCAGTCAATTTCTCATTTGGACCTGACGTCACGAGTGCTATAAAACTCAGCAATTGCTTTAAACTCTTCTTGCTGGATCAGAGGCTTTAAAATCTTTTTTCATCTTCTAGCTGTAGCTCGGGCTGCTTGTCGGCTTGGCCTCCCCCTCCCCCCTTTGCTCTCTGCCTCGTCTTTCCCCAGGACTTCGCTATTTTGCTTTTTTAAAAAAAGGCAAGAAAGAACTAAACTCCCCCCTCCCTCTCCTCCAGTCGGGCTGCACCTCTGCCTTGCACTTTGCACAGAGGTAGAGAGCGCGCGAGGGAGAGAGAGGAAAGAAAAAAAATAATAAAGAGAGCCAAGCAGAAGAGGAGGCGAGAAGCATGAAGTGTTAACTCCCCCGTGCCAAGGCCCGCGCCGCCCGGACAGACGCCCGCCGCGCCTCCAGCCCCGAGCGGACGCCGCGCGCGCCCTGCCTGCAGCCCGGGCCGGCGAGGCGAGCCCTTCCTTATGCAAAGCGCGCAGCGGAGCGGCGAGCGGGGGACGCCGCGCACCGGGCCGGGCTCCTCCAGCTTCGCCGCCGCAGCCACCACCGCCGCCACCGCAGCTCGCGGAGGATCTTCCCGAGCCTGAAGCCGCCGGCTCGGCGCGCAAGGAGGCGAGCGAGCAAGGAGGGGCCGGGGCGAGCGAGGGAGCACATTGGCGTGAGCAGGGGGGAGGGAGGGCGGGCGCGGGGGGCGCGGGCAGGGCGGGGGGGTGTGTGTGTGAGCGCGCTCGGAGGTTTCGGGCCAGCCACCGCCGCGCAAGCTAGAAGCGCCCCAGCCCGGCAAGCTGGCTCACCCGCTGGCCACCCAGCACAGCCCGCTGGCCCCTCTCCTGCAGCCCATCTGGCGGAGCGGCGGCGGCGGCGGCGGCGGCGGCAGGAGAATGGCATCAGAACTGGCAATGAGCAACTCCGACCTGCCCACCAGTCCCCTGGCCATGGAATATGTTAATGACTTCGATCTGATGAAGTTTGAAGTGAAAAAGGAACCGGTGGAGACCGACCGCATCATCAGCCAGTGCGGCCGTCTCATCGCCGGGGGCTCGCTGTCCTCCACCCCCATGAGCACGCCGTGCAGCTCGGTGCCCCCTTCCCCCAGCTTCTCGGCGCCCAGCCCGGGCTCGGGCAGCGAGCAGAAGGCGCACCTGGAAGACTACTACTGGATGACCGGCTACCCGCAGCAGCTGAACCCCGAGGCGCTGGGCTTCAGCCCCGAGGACGCGGTCGAGGCGCTCATCAGCAACAGCCACCAGCTCCAGGGCGGCTTCGATGGCTACGCGCGCGGGGCGCAGCAGCTGGCCGCGGCGGCCGGGGCCGGTGCCGGCGCCTCCTTGGGCGGCAGCGGCGAGGAGATGGGCCCCGCCGCCGCCGTGGTGTCCGCCGTGATCGCCGCGGCCGCCGCGCAGAGCGGCGCGGGCCCGCACTACCACCACCACCACCACCACGCCGCCGGCCACCACCACCACCCGACGGCCGGCGCGCCCGGCGCCGCGGGCAGCGCGGCCGCCTCGGCCGGTGGCGCTGGGGGCGCGGGCGGCGGTGGCCCGGCCAGCGCTGGGGGCGGCGGCGGCGGCGGCGGCGGCGGAGGCGGCGGGGGCGCGGCGGGGGCGGGGGGCGCCCTGCACCCGCACCACGCCGCCGGCGGCCTGCACTTCGACGACCGCTTCTCCGACGAGCAGCTGGTGACCATGTCTGTGCGCGAGCTGAACCGGCAGCTGCGCGGGGTCAGCAAGGAGGAGGTGATCCGGCTGAAGCAGAAGAGGCGGACCCTGAAAAACCGCGGCTATGCCCAGTCCTGCCGCTTCAAGAGGGTGCAGCAGAGACACGTCCTGGAGTCGGAGAAGAACCAGCTGCTGCAGCAAGTCGACCACCTCAAGCAGGAGATCTCCAGGCTGGTGCGCGAGAGGGACGCGTACAAGGAGAAATACGAGAAGTTGGTGAGCAGCGGCTTCCGAGAAAACGGCTCGAGCAGCGACAACCCGTCCTCTCCCGAGTTTTTCATGTGAGTCTGACACGCGATTCCAGCTAGCCACCCTGATAAGTGCTCCGCGGGGGTCCGGCTCGGGTGTGGGCTTGCTAGTTCTAGAGCCATGCTCGCCACCACCTCACCACCCCCACCCCCACCGAGTTTGGCCCCCTTGGCCCCCTACACACACACAAACCCGCACGCACACACCACACACACACACACACACACACACACACCCCACACCCTGCTCGAGTTTGTGGTGGTGGTGGCTGTTTTAAACTGGGGAGGGAATGGGTGTCTGGCTCATGGATTGCCAATCTGAAATTCTCCATAACTTGCTAGCTTGTTTTTTTTTTTTTTTTACACCCCCCCGCCCCACCCCCGGACTTGCACAATGTTCAATGATCTCAGCAGAGTTCTTCATGTGAAACGTTGATCACCTTTGAAGCCTGCATCATTCACATATTTTTTCTTCTTCTTCCCCTTCAGTTCATGAACTGGTGTTCATTTTCTGTGTGTGTGTGTGTTTTATTTTGTTTGGATTTTTTTTTTTAATTTTACTTTTAGAGCTTGCTGTGTTGCCCACCTTTTTTCCAACCTCCACCCTCACTCCTTCTCAACCCATCTCTTCCGAGATGAAAGAAAAAAAAAAGCAAAGTTTTTTTTTCTTCTCCTGAGTTCTTCATGTGAGATTGAGCTTGCAAAGGAAAAAAAAATGTGAAATGTTATAGACTTGCAGCGTGCCGAGTTCCATCGGGTTTTTTTTTTAGCATTGTTATGCTAAAATAGAGAAAAAAATCCTCATGAACCTTCCACAATCAAGCCTGCATCAACCTTCTGGGTGTGACTTGTGAGTTTTGGCCTTGTGATGCCAAATCTGAGAGTTTAGTCTGCCATTAAAAAAACTCATTCTCATCTCATGCATTATTATGCTTGCTACTTTGTCTTAGCAACAATGAACTATAACTGTTTCAAAGACTTTATGGAAAAGAGACATTATATTAATAAAAAAAAAAAGCCTGCATGCTGGACATGTATGGTATAATTATTTTTTCCTTTTTTTTTCCTTTTGGCTTGGAAATGGACGTTCGAAGACTTATAGCATGGCATTCATACTTTTGTTTTATTGCCTCATGACTTTTTTGAGTTTAGAACAAAACAGTGCAACCGTAGAGCCTTCTTCCCATGAAATTTTGCATCTGCTCCAAAACTGCTTTGAGTTACTCAGAACTTCAACCTCCCAATGCACTGAAGGCATTCCTTGTCAAAGATACCAGAATGGGTTACACATTTAACCTGGCAAACATTGAAGAACTCTTAATGTTTTCTTTTTAATAAGAATGACGCCCCACTTTGGGGACTAAAATTGTGCTATTGCCGAGAAGCAGTCTAAAATTTATTTTTTAAAAAGAGAAACTGCCCCATTATTTTTGGTTTGTTTTATTTTTATTTTATATTTTTTGGCTTTTGGTCATTGTCAAATGTGGAATGCTCTGGGTTTCTAGTATATAATTTAATTCTAGTTTTTATAATCTGTTAGCCCAGTTAAAATGTATGCTACAGATAAAGGAATGTTATAGATAAATTTGAAAGAGTTAGGTCTGTTTAGCTGTAGATTTTTTAAACGATTGATGCACTAAATTGTTTACTATTGTGATGTTAAGGGGGGTAGAGTTTGCAAGGGGACTGTTTAAAAAAAGTAGCTTATACAGCATGTGCTTGCAACTTAAATATAAGTTGGGTATGTGTAGTCTTTGCTATACCACTGACTGTATTGAAAACCAAAGTATTAAGAGGGGAAACGCCCCTGTTTATATCTGTAGGGGTATTTTACATTCAAAAATGTATGTTTTTTTTTCTTTTCAAAATTAAAGTATTTGGGACTGAATTGCACTAAGATATAACCTGCAAGCATATAATACAAAAAAAAATTGCAAAACTGTTTAGAACGCTAATAAAATTTATGCAGTTATAAAAATGGCATTACTGCACAGTTTTAAGATGATGCAGATTTTTTTACAGTTGTATTGTGGTGCAGAACTGGATTTTCTGTAACTTAAAAAAAAATCCACAGTTTTAAAGGCAATAATCAGTAAATGTTATTTTCAGGGACTGACATCCTGTCTTTAAAAAGAAATGAAAAGTAAATCTTACCACAATAAATATAAAAAAATCTTGTCAGTTACTTTTCTTTTACATATTTTGCTGTGCAAAATTGTTTTATATCTTGAGTTACTAACTAACCACGCGTGTTGTTCCTATGTGCTTTTCTTTCATTTTCAATTCTGGTTATATCAAGAAAAGAATAATCTACAATAATAAACGGCATTTTTTTTTGATTCTGTACTCAGTTTCTTAGTGTACAGTTTAACTGGGCCCAACAACCTCGTTAAAAGTGTAAAATGCATCCTTTTCTCCAGTGGAAGGATTCCTGGAGGAATAGGGAGACAGTAATTCAGGGTGAAATTATAGGCTGTTTTTTGAAGTGAGGAGGCTGGCCCCATATACTGATTAGCAATATTTAATATAGATGTAAATTATGACCTCATTTTTTTCTCCCCAAAGTTTTCAGTTTTCAAATGAGTTGAGCCATAATTGCCCTTGGTAGGAAAAACAAAACAAAACAGTGGAACTAGGCTTCCTGAGCATGGCCCTACACTTCTGATCAGGAGCAAAGCCATCCATAGACAGAGGAGCCGGACAAATATGGCGCATCAGAGGTGGCTTGCGCACATATGCATTGAACGGTAAAGAGAAACAGCGCTTGCCTTTTCACTAAAGTTGACTATTTTTCCTTCTTCTCTTACACACCGAGATTTTCTTGTTAGCAAGGCCTGACAAGATTTAACATAAACATGACAAATCATAGTTGTTTGTTTTGTTTTGCTTTTCTCTTTAACACTGAAGATCATTTGTCTTAAATAGGAAAAAGAAAATCCACTCCTTACTTCCATATTTCCAAGTACATATCTGGTTTAAACTATGTTATCAAATCATATTTCACCGTGAATATTCAGTGGAGAACTTCTCTACCTGGATGAGCTAGTAATGATTTCAGATCATGCTATCCCCAGAAATAAAAGCAAAAAATAATACCTGTGTGGAATATAGGCTGTGCTTTGATTTACTGGTATTTACCCCAAAATAGGCTGTGTATGGGGGCTGACTTAAAGATCCCTTGGAAAGACTCAAAACTACCTTCACTAGTAGGACTCCTAAGCGCTGACCTATTTTTAAATGACACAAATTCATGAAACTAATGTTACAAATTCATGCAGTTTGCACTCTTAGTCATCTTCCCCTAGCACACCAATAGAATGTTAGACAAAGCCAGCACTGTTTTGAAAATACAGCCAAACACGATGACTTTTGTTTTGTTTTCTGCCGTTCTTAAAAGAAAAAAAGATAATATTGCAACTCTGACTGAAAGACTTATTTTTAAGAAAACAGGTTGTGTTTGGTGCTGCTAAGTTCTGGCCAGTTTATCATCTGGCCTTCCTGCCTATTTTTTACAAAACACGAAGACAGTGTGTAACCTCGACATTTTGACCTTCCTTTATGTGCTAGTTTAGACAGGCTCCTGAATCCACACTTAATTTTGCTTAACAAAAGTCTTAATAGTAAACCTCCCCTCATGAGCTTGAAGTCAAGTGTTCTTGACTTCAGATATTTCTTTCCTTTTTTTTTTTTTTTCCTCATCACAACTAAGAGATACACAAACTCTGAAGAAGCAGAAATGGAGAGAATGCTTTTAACAAAAAAGCATCTGATGAAAGATTTTAGGCAAACATTCTCAAAATAAGAGTGATATTCTGGATGTAGTTATTGCAGTTATCTCATGACAAATGAGGCCTGGATTGGAAGGAAAATATAGTTGTGTAGAATTAAGCATTTTGATAGGAATCTACAAGGTAGTTGAATATAATAAGCAGGTTTGGGCCCCCAAACTTTAGAAAATCAAATGCAAAGGTGCTGGCAAAAATGAGGTTTGAGTGGCTGGCTGTAAGAGAAGGTTAACTCCTAGTAAAAGGCATTTTTAGAAATAACAATTACTGAAAACTTTGAAGTATAGTGGGAGTAGCAAACAAATACATGTTTTTTTTTTCTTACAAAGAACTCCTAAATCCTGAGTAAGTGCCATTCATTACAATAAGTCTCTAAATTTAAAAAAAAAAAAATCATATGAGGAAATCTAGCTTTCCCCTTTACGCTGCGTTTGATCTTTGTCTAAATAGTGTTAAAATTCCTTTCATTCCAATTACAGAACTGAGCCCACTCGCAAGTTGGAGCCATCAGTGGGATACGCCACATTTTGGAAGCCCCAGCATCGTGTACTTACCAGTGTGTTCACAAAATGAAATTTGTGTGAGAGCTGTACATTAAAAAAAATCATCATTATTATTATTATTTGCAGTCATGGAGAACCACCTACCCCTGACTTCTGTTTAGTCTCCTTTTTAAATAAAAATTACTGTGTTAGAGAAGAAGGCTATTAAATGTAGTAGTTAACTATGCCTCTTGTCTGGGGGTTTCATAGAGACCGGTAGGAAAGCGCACTCCTGCTTTTCGATTTATGGTGTGTGCAAGTAAACAGGTGCATTGCTTTCAACCTGCCATACTAGTTTTAAAAATTCACTGAAATTACAAAGATACATATATATGCATATATATAATGGAAAGTTTCCCGGAATGCAACAATTAGCATTTTAAAATCATATATAGGCATGCACATTCTAAATAGTACTTTTTCATGCTTCATTGTTTCTCTGGCAGATAATTTTACTAAGAAGAAAAATAGATATTCGACTCCCCTTCCCTAAACAAATCCACGGGCAGAGGCTCCAGCGGAGCCGAGCCCCCTGGTTTTCTCGTAGGCCCTAGACGGTGTTGCATTTATCAGTGATGTCAAACGTGCTCATTTGTCAGACATAGCTGTAAATGAAAACAATGTGTGGCAAAATACAAAGTTAGTTAAATACACACCCTCTGTGTGATTTTTTGCTCCCTTTTCTTTTTTGCTCCTACTCAAAAAAAAAAAAATCACCTCCTTTACATTTCCCTGGCTTCTTGCATGTTTCCCTTTTCAAAAACCATGTAATAATTTTTTACAATGTATCTGACACATTAATATATTGACATCAAATAGGCAGACATTCTACTTTTGCCTGGCAAATAAATCTGCTACGGAGACATCATTTCCTCACTGTCTCAAAGCCATAACTACCTGGGAGTCTTTCAACACAGACCCCTCCGATGGGAAATGCTGTTTATTACTGAATGCAGGATGCTCACGCTCTGATCTTTTCTCCCTTGTGCCTTTACCCCAGTCATTTTTACTTAGCAACACCAATTCTAGATACTTCTGTTCTGAAGTAGAACCACCCCCTTGCCACACTGCCAGTTTTCCTGCTAAAAGCAGTGGACAGAAGACAGATCATGGTCACCCTCACAAACATGGCACACAGCTGTCTCGGTAGCTGCATTCCCAGCATGTCCTGGTCTAAATATCTAGAGTTGCCTATGACACGTTCAAAGGTTCCCAAGCACAGTACATTGGGAGGCTTTTGCTGCTGTGGCCGTTGTTTTCGTTTAGGCCAACTTACTTCCGTATTCACATACTCTTGGCTTTACGAAATACACTCCTCCAGTCTACTAGGCCAATCAATATATTTAAAAGTCTGATTGCCACATAAGTCTCTCTCTCTCTCTTTTTGTTTTTTGTTTGTTTGTTTTTTTCTGTTTTGGCTGCCGGTAGTTAAAGACTGAGATAGGTTGGAAGACTAAAATACAGGAGTACATGAGTGACAACCTTCAGCCGTCTGATTTCCATGCCGGTAAAACACACAACCAAGCTCTTCTTAGCGCTGCTAATATAAACATTCACTAAGAGGGAATAGGAAGTGAGATTTACCAGCTTCACTTTGCTGATTTGCAAGGTTCCCCACTACGATTCACTGTCATTTGATTTTTGAAAAATAATTTTGTCCGTCTCTTTGAAGAAATGTCTTAGTTCTTTTATTTTGTTTGTTTGGTTTTTTTTAGAGAAGTTTTATCTGCAGTGATAGGCTACAATTTTTATCTCCGCTGATTATTTGTCAGGATGCTGAATGAATAATTTGGTCCTGTGCCTTCCTTGTTGTTCTGAGGAAAATAAGAGAAACTTGGAAGTTTGTTTCACTCTTAGCCCATCCTAAATCTAAAAGAAGATGTCCCAGGTCCAGGCAGGCCATGTAGTAGTTATAAAGGAGGTGGTCCAGGTCCAGCCACCTCAATCAGGATTTGTTTGTTTTGAAGCATTTGCTTAAAAGCGGAGCAAGAGTCTTAACCCAACTTGCCATAACACTGCTTTTCTCGCTTTTGATGTAAATCTTCAAAATTCAGACATCAAACAGCCCCAGAAAAGGGGAATTCTCTCCAGGCATTGCTCCGCCCCAGCTCCTGAACAAACCCAGCTCTGTCTAGCATTTTTTTCCCTAGCGGGGGTAGGGGACAGGGTGAGAGAATTTCAGTCTCCCAGGCTGTCTCATGATTGTTAGGGCATAAAGAAACACAGTCCTGCCACAAATTGGGAGCATCTTTACCCTTTAGAGAGAAACAAAACAAAACTAAACAAACAAATCAAATTGCTTTGCATGAAGGCGTAGCAAATAAAATCTCGGGCTCCCTGTTCCCTGCACCATTTGTAGGAGGTGAGAAATGAGGGAAACAAGAGAAAGGGGAACTTTAAAAGCGGGAGGCCCAGAAATAATCCCTGTTACCAGTCTGAATTTCACTTGCTCCGTGGCTAACGTCAGACCTAGTGTGCATGTATGCCAGAAGTAAACTAGGCTCGGCTGTCCATTTCTTTAAAATATGTTCACATGTTTCCTTTTTGAAAACAATTTTGGGGACTAAACCCAAATGGAGAGATTTGAGGAAATCGTTAATGTCTTAACATTTGAGTATATTTATAAATGTATCAGTCTGTGATTCATAATGGTGACATTTTGGACCAGCCAGACATGTTGTACCAATATTTAAATGGTCACTGCAATAGTTTTATGACATCGTGACAGTATTTTATTGTTTAAATTCGAAGGCCCTCTGTGTGTTTTCCGTAAGTCTGCCCGAAGGAAAAAGGCTGAGATGGGAAGAGCAAACCAACGACGCACAGAAATAAGATCTTTCTATGAATTTTCATCAGAGTCGTACAGTTTTAAGAAACTCATAAAACACATTTTCCACGACTATGACTGGAATGCACAGTTCCTTACACAAATCGTAGCCTCTATTGAGCACCTCTTCTCTTGTTCAACACAATTCGTTTCCTTTTCCTTCCTTTTTACTAAATAACAGTTTTCCCTATAATTAGAACTGTGGATTGCAAAATCACATTCCTCTCTTCTACAGAGATGCACCTTAGATCTTTAGTTACAATTAGAAGGAGCATTAATTCAAGAAAGGAGGATGAAGGAGTCGTGTCTGCTGAGCTTTGGGAAAAAGAGTGGAAGGAGAGGAAGGAGTTTTCTGTATTTTCCCCTGCACTCCTCAACCTGCCCCTCACCCCTCAACCCAGGCCTTGGTGTGAGCTGCAGACCAGTGATTCGCATTCTGAATTTCTCTATTCTAAATATTCTGATTACCAGCCTTGACCGTTTCCAAGCTGAGATTCCAAAGAACTATTTTTTCCTTGTGGTTGGTCCTTTCCGTTAGGGAACAGGAGAAGCGATGAAACCTTATAGAACTGGATAGGAAGGAGAGAAAATCACTCTCCTTCCAGAATCCCCAACAAGGATTGTTGTAAAGGGAACACTGGCCTGAAAAATTAGGTCAGGAGTTCAGAGTCCCTTTTTGCAACCTATAGTTGCCCTGGTTCTCTATATGACCTCATCCACTTCTTGAGGCCTGTAGAAGTGCGTTTCTGACTTTTGTTGGAGGAATTCTGCAGAAGGAAAGCAGGCCGAGGATCCCAGGACAATAGGCAACCCCAAACTAGGCCCAGAGAGCAGAGGAGAGGAAGGGACCTGCCTGCAGAGGCTGGGAGAGTATGGCCCAGACTTTAACACAGGCCAACCTTGGCTTATGACCTCCAGTCACCAGGGGTCAGCTCCAGGTCATTCTCAGAGTCCCCCCAAAACCTCCCACCAAGAAGGATCTGTTTGCAGGGTGACTGACAAGCCGCTGACAGGTTGTGAGCTCTCCACAGAGTCCTAGAAACAACAGTGACGTCCTTAGCACCAGGGTCTGCACCCTTCCCACCTGACTCCTGTCCAATCCCAGTGTCCTCTCCATAATTTCTGACACCTTTTCCTTCCATGCCTGGTCATCCAGGGCCATGAAAGAGCCTCAAAAGTCACTGTCCTCAGGCCAACAAGTGGCAGAAGCTGAGATCTGGGACCCAATAAGTCACCTCCGCCCCACTTTAAGTGTAGACACAGACAGCGCTATGCAGAGGGTCCGGGGAGCATCACTGGAAGCTCAGCTGGAATCTTTAAAGCTGGCCAGAGCTTTTGGTGCAATGGTCTTGAAGCCTGGAATGAAGGAGATGTAGGCAGAGAGGATGCTGAGTTTGTCCCCTCTCCCATTTTCTAAGAACAACCCTCCCTCCATGCCCCCCCATCATCCCCCCCTCCGCCAACCTGGCCCGGGACAGGAACACCGCATCCCAGTCCTTTATGCATGGGTTCTGCGGGGCCCAATAGCCCTGGACATCACTGCCCGAGCCTGGTGGCTGCAGCTGCGTGGGGCTGGGTGTGCTCCCCACCCTCTGAGGTCCCCCGAGGGGCGTACAGTAGGTGCGCAGGGACTGGAGCCCAGACAGAGGGGGCGGGTCCCGAAGATTGCCTGAAGCTACCGAGTCCCTCAGTCCTGGGCCGGGCCTGCAGTCCCAGACCCGCGGCAGTGCCCAGGGAGCCGGTGCGCTCAGACGCCAGCAACGCAGCGCCCCTCGGAGATGCCCACGACGCCGCCCGGCGCCCGGGGGCGCTAATGACGGCCACACCCAGCGCGCCCCAGGGCCCCGCGCCCACCCAAGCTCCCGCACCCCTGCAGGAGCTCGGATTGTGTTCAAATTTGGTTTAAAAAGTCAAAAGGACTGCCCTAGCGCGAGCGAGCTCCGGGGGATATCAAAACTCCCCGGTGCGCCGCTCTCCTGGGTGGGCGGGCGCCTGGAGGGAGGGAGCAAGACTCGGTCCCGCAAGGCTCCGCCCTTCACCTTGAGACCCCCTCACTCCACCCGATCGCGGCCCCAGGAACCCTCTGTAAATAAGATCATCGGCTCCAGATCATTTGATTTTTCTTCTATTAGTTTTCCGGCCCATTTTCCAGATTTTTTTTCTTTTTTCTTTTTTTTTCCTGCTTCGGTTAGAGACAGAGTAAGAGGGAAAAAGAGAAAGGCAAGCGGGAAATCCAGATAGCATGTTTAAAAATCTTTATGGAAATCTCGATACGGTTTGGGGTTTCCGTGGTGTAGTTTGATGCACATTATAAAACAAAGTCAGTCAAGCAAACTTTATGAGGATTGCTCCAACAGCGCCAGGATGAGGGTCCTGCCTGCATTCTTGGATTTCATACAGTTCTAGACACATCTCAGGCATCCAGGAACTGTCTCAAGAGGACAGACTTTTAAAACCACTAATTTCAGAAAGCATCTTTTCCATGAGGGGCCTTTTTCTTAGAGGGACCCTCGGTTTGTGAGAATACTTAAGTTAGGCAAGTATCGTTACACCTTAAAAAAAATCTACTTTTTACTCTCTCCCTCTCTCTTAGGGAAGGATTTATTCATGCACAGATAGATACATTGAAACTAAAACAAACATGTCAGTATCTGAGATGCTTTTTACACTGTCAGATTTTTTATGTAAATCTTGTTTTTCATAGAAGGCGGAAAAACCCTCGGTAATCTTTCTAAGATTTTATCTGTTAAAAGGTGATGTTTGTGTCTTTCCATCTTCAGGCATTCACTCCAATATATTTTTTCATCTGGCTTAAAAAATTTATTTATTTATTTATTCATTTATTTTTTCCTGGGACCCTTTAACACATTAGGGAGGGGGCAAGCTATTAAAAGATAAATCTGGCCCGGTGTGGTGGCTCATGCTTGTAATCCCAGCACTGTGGGAGGCCCAGGTGAGCGGATCACCTGAGGTCAGGAGTTTGAGACCAGCCTGGCCAACCTGGTGAAACCCGGTCTCTACTAAAAATACATAAGTTAGCAGGACGTGGGGGCACGTGCCTGTAATCCCAGCTACTCAGGAGGCAGAGACAGGAGAATCGCTTGAACCTGGGAGGCAGGAGAATCACTTAAAACCTGGGAGGCGGAGGTTGCAGTAAGCCCAGATTGCGCCACTGCACTCAAGCCTGGGCAAAACAGCAAGACTGTATCTTAAAAAAAAAGAAAGAAAGAAAGAAAAGAGAAAAATCTACAGTTCCCACTTTATGAAATAAAAATGATCCGAAAGGCAGACTTCATCAGTCAACTCTGTCCTTTGGTAGACATGCGCAGAGCCTGGGCTGAAACTGCTGTCTTAGGGCAATCTTCCCACGTAAAAGGCAGGTAAGCTCCCTTTGCCAGACTTTCTGTGACTCGGAGCAGTGTGGAGACACATGCTGACAGCCTGCAACACGTTTTCAGGTTGCGATCCCCATGTAAATTTACTGCACTGTGCAGGTAATGAGCCCTTTTAAAATCTTCCCTGGAATATCAGTGCATGCTCCTGTACTATTTAAAGAACTCTTCAATTGTTAGGTAAACAGATCCAAGTGTAAGAGCTATGTGCTCGTAGACATGTGGCTTAGATTACTTCACTGCGGCCCAGCTCGAAAATCTCTCTTACCCCGATGTGAGACCTCCTTTTCCCCCACCATCTTTCCCCAGTAAGTGGTCTGAAAGAAGGTAATATGAACACAGAAACTGCAATGGCTTTTGGACGCTATTCAGGTGTGCAAATAGTATCTACCCCCCCCCCCCTTTTGAAAGTAAATGCTTTGATAACAGGGTGGTTTCCCCAGATGGCCAGAGAGTAGAGGTCATCTTGAAGAAAATGACACCAATGATCTAAAAAGGACATCTACTTTATGAGATTTCAGGCAAGATGCCAAATATCGCATTTAATGAGGCCTGTTTTTTTTCCTCCAAAAATAACGGAGACTATCAATGATATGGTCAGGAAGGCAAAGGGGGCATTTTGCAAAGCCTACGTCCAATTATTGCTCTGTAATAATTTTCTAAAATTGAAAAATGCCTCACAAGTATATGATCTCATGTAAATATTCCTTGCCGAAGCTTAACATATGTTTGCAACGTCCCCAAGGAATTACAAAAATATTCTCCCCACAATCTCTTAAGCTTTTAAACTCTATTCACTGGCGTTTCTAAAAGACTCTGTTGTTTCTAAAGATTAAAAAAAAAGTAATCCTATCGGGGAAGTTTTTTTTTAAAGAGATTAGCCATCTGAACTTCAAATGGAGAACAACTGATACTGATACACTTCCAGGTTTTATCACTTCAGTCTGTTTCTTGTTTCTTTCCTATTATTTTTTGCATAGAAATTATATATTTGGCAAAAAAAAATGTATACTAATACGTAAAGGCGAGTAGTTTCTACCTTAAGATTTGAAAAGCATTTCTATACAAAATGTGAATAAACGCATATAACGTGTTTAGGGCAACTTTGACAGATACAAGGGTAAGAAATGATTTATCCGAGTGCTGTGGGCATAGTCTTACCATTTAGATAAAGGGCATTTGAAGGAATTAGAGGGTTATGTGGAATGAAAATGTAAGTAAAGAAAGATTATATGTTCTGTTACAGCAGCCTAGAGAATTCAGCAGGTGCATGAGCATAGCTCATATTTGTTCGCACCAATTGTAAGGTAATCCAAATAAAAGTGTGGGGGATTAAAGAAAAATAACTGAATATCCATGTTGGAAAAAGAATTAGATTGACTTACTAGTTTATCGCCGTTATTGTACACAGATTTTCTGTGACCATGTTGAATTTTTTAAATTAGATTTTAAATATATTTTGACAGTCCGAACTTCTATATTGTGACTAGCTATAGGAAGAAATGACAGGTCTGCTTTGTTATTAAACTGCTGTCTGGAAAATATTGGACTCTGTACAGTAAATGATAATTATTTTGCCACTTACATTAGTACAGCTAATAGCAATAAGCGTTTTTTGAACCATAGAAAGCTAACTACTTTGAATTACTGTGCTTTGTTATTCACTGTGAAGCAAAAAGATTTTCTTTAAAGCAACCTCATTTTCATATCACCGTTCTAAGCACTCCCTGCTACTAATTTAAACAGGGCAGAAGTTAACAAATAAAGAGGCAGTATCTAAGCTGTTCTATTTGTTAAAAGAACATTTGCAGTTAAGGTCAGTGGTGCCAGCAGGATAGACAAAGCAACAGAGGAGGTGGGGGCAGATGGAAGAGAAGGAACCCTAGCACACACCGGCAGAAGCTGGGCCAGTGTGGTTCTCCCAGGGGCGGACAGCCTGAGAGTCCTTGAGAGAAGCCCAACAGAAATGATTCAAATCCTTCCCTTCTATGAACCCAGAATCTCTTGGCTCCCTTTGAACTCAGGACAGCTTCAAAGCTGATCCAGGCTGCCAACCAGTGGGTTATGGCTATCTCAGCCTCTCAGTTGAGAAACAGTAGTTCAGAGGGAGTGAACTTGTAACGCAGGCCATTCCCTTCCACGTCAACCCCTCCTCTGGCTTGACAGGGTTGAGGCCACCACCCAAAAGCAAATGGAACAAAATCACTCTTCTTTTGGTGTAATTCTGCCCTTTTGATAGATAGTTAGGCTGCCTGTAGCATACTGTTCTTGAAACATTCTTCGTGGTTATTAATTACCCTTTGTTTATTTTAATATATTTACTAAATCAGGTACCCAAGGGAATCCTCTACATCAGTGATGTGAAAAAATCCAGTTGCCTGAAGTCAAAGAGGTACATCTTGATTTTTGATTTGCATGTGCTTGAGTTTTTTTTTTTTTTTCCTTTTCTTTGTTTTTTTAAATGAAGGGAAAAGCAAGGAAGCAAACAAGGAATGCTGCTAACTTTTTAGGTGTGAAAAGTTCCTGTTTCATTAGTTTTAGTATTTGGGTTTCACGTGTCATGTAAATGGTGACACTAGGTGCCAAAGAGGAGGGATACATGCGATATATGTGAGAATCAGCATGCATTTATTTTTTCTGTGTTTATTTCATTATATCCATGTGTTATGTCAAGTTACTAATCCAGTTTGAGTAGATCTCAGATCTTCAGCTTTATCCAACGTGAGTCTACTGACATTCAAAGAGCTGCTTCTTCTACTTGAGTGTCAGATAATTTGGGTGAATCTGTGAAACTAGTATCCATCGCCCTTGGCCGGTTTTACCGGGGCCTCATAAACATTTCAAATTTACAGTCACTTATAATTCAGTTCTTGCTTACATTTGGACATTTTAGTGTAATTTCAAAGCACAGTGTGTCCCCACTTCTGCGTCCAAATGTGACTATGGATCCCCTCCCCACTTCAATACAAGGAAGAAGGGGAAGGAGGAGATGGGTGGGAAGCAGAAACCTGATTTTCATCTATTAAAATAATGGAATTGAGCTATTTAAATGGGTTTTCAATTACAAGTGTCCCAGCATGAATTTTATTATGAACCCTCTTCATTTGGAAAACTAGACCAACATTCTTACACCAATAATTACTTAGTGTGATAGTTTTATGTATTCTTATCACCTCTTATTGGCTAATGGTACATTTGATTTTTTTAATTAAAAATTGTGCTTGCTGAGAAATTTGCATGAAATATATTTTTTGGTTTTTAGTGAAACTGAGGGGGGCAAAAATCACACTTTCAAATTGCTGCTCTTTGCAAAGGAGGTACGTTAAGGATCCAGTGAGTTGAGAGTGTTGGAAAAACATAGCCTCATTTTTTCCCACTTTTTAAAAATAGTATCTGATTACTTACTTCTACACGGTGCTACCATGAGAGTCTTACTTTAAATTACTGGATTGTGAATATTTTGTTGTTTATTTTCTAGTCTTGGATGAAATTAATGTTTTCTTTAATAGCTCCCATACATAGTTTTAAACTCAGTGTATACATTTGGGGTTAATTTGTGTGTCTGAGTCTGTGCATGCAGTTCCGATGCTTTATTCCTTTATTGTCTCAGCCTTTATCATTACAATGTGAAAACCTCCTATTAAATATGATGATCTAGGTCCACTGGCAGGTTTCGTGACATTGAAACCATCCATTTTCAGCAAAGAGTTAATGAACTTGAAAGGCAAGGTTCACACTGGTCCTTACCCCCTGGTAATATTTCATATAAGGTTACTGGTGGGAAAGAAATCAAATTTCAGCTGTGAACATGATTGACAGGTGAGAGCAAGGAAGAGAAAGGCATTTGGTCAGATGGGGAATCTGGGGAGGAGAAGGACAATTCCTTGAAGTTACTCCGTGATATTAGATATTATAAGCTGATATATGAAAAGTTCAATACTTGGTACTCTTGGGGGAGTTACTTAGTTTATTTTCAGAATGTCACTTTGGTTAAGGGATTTCAGTCATGGAAGCCAAAACTGATGAACCACTAGCTTTTCTGCTCTCTGGCTAATTTCAACCATGTACAGCTTCATGGCTTATTTCTGACAATTTTCTAGGCTAGGATATAAAAACTAAATCATAAGCTATTTGGGGAGTCATTTAATTACCTTTTATGTAGTCTCAGAAGCATTCTAGATTATATTATGGTTCTTGGACATATTACAAAATATTCATCCCAAGTGGTATCTCAAAAAGATTAAAATCTCTATTTCAGTAGCATCCCTTGATCCTGACTAACATTTTTCATTAGGGCATGTTACAGCTTAACATACGCACATCAACCAACATGCATGCTGCGCCAAGACTGTGCCTTCTTAAAATAGGGCTTCTAACATGAAGATTAACATAGACAACAACTGCACACTCCTTGTATGCCTTTCACCCGATTTGGCTACCTGATGTAAATTTTTCCATGGTACCATCTTTGCCAGGGAAACACATGATGATGATGATGTTTTAACCTCGCGCTAAAGGTGGCTTTTGAATCTCCCTTTGAGGCTGTCTTCTATCTTGAGTTGTGACAAGGAGACAACACAACTAACTGTGGTTTGCACCAAAGTGGAGAGTTGGCGTTCAAAACATGTTCTTGCATGTTATGCGCTGAAAGACCGATCAGAACGTGGGGATGGACCTTAGCGTGCTCATGTCTAAGCTCTGCCCCTTTCAGATATTCCTGACACTGGCTAAGACCCATCCGGATGCAACCAGACCTTACAGAGTTGTCTCAGGGCAGGGCAGGTGGGACACTTACTTACCTAGGGGAGAGGCCCATTTGTAGCTTTCCTGTCACCTAAGGGAGAAACTGATGGAACTGGTATAAACAGCACTTCCTGGGCCTTAAGTACCCATCGATATTTTTTTTCTAGTCTTACAATCGGCAGATGGAGTGGACATCGTTTACCCTGATTACACCTAATCCGATGACATGAATTCAAACAGTTGTCAAACGTAAGGAAGGCTTTATGATTTTGTGAACTGGGGAAAAACAAAGCAAAACAAAAACAGTAAAAAGTACTCAGAAATCTTGTTTCTATCTTGCACGCCTGTCCTTCTGTGTTGCCCGTAATCATCCAGAAATAAAATGCAAATGTGGTTTCCTGATGCTGAGTGTTGGTGTGGGTGTCTTAGCGCAACGTGTATAGCTACTTCTTTCAAATGTAAAAGTAAAGAAGCCATAACCAAATTTCCCTTGCAGAACCCATCAACATATTTTAACAGAAATGGTGAACCACGTGGTGCCATACAAAAGACATGTGAAAACCAACACTGTGAGTTCTGATTTCTTGGTGCCTCTATTTGAAAAATCCAGGTGGCTGGTCTTGACCCCATCTTCACTGAAGGCCCCCCAGGGCTTCTAAATATTCGGTTTTAAGAGTAAATCCCCCACCCACAAGAAGGGAAGGAGAATGCTCTCTGCTGTAGATTTGGAGCAGAGACCCATCTATCCCAAATTCGACGAGTATGTCTTAAGCTAATTACATCAATATATCTGTTGGCACTGAGAAAATAAGGCCAAACAATTTCATTTAAAGCATTTTATTATTTGGATTTACCCTAAATTGTTTTTTTGTTATTGTTGCTTATTTGGATTATACTCCTCCCTAACTACCACATCACCCCCTTTCCATACAGCCTGGCTAACGTTTTTCTTTCTGTGGGCACTGGCCCACTACTGAGCCGATTTAATCAATTAATTATAGCAGAGCATGTGCAGCGTAACTAGCCTAATTATGCCATATAAACTTGTATTATTTTCAGTCAACTCTGGGGTACTATTGAAGGAGCCAACTTAAAGAAACATTAAGCATTTAGAAATAAAAAATAAAACGAAGGAATTTCTGCAAAAGTGCAGCACTCATTACTTACTTAAAACAAAATGATGCTTCTGTAGAGCTTTCATTCTAAAAGCACACGTTCAGTCACCTGCCAAAATCTCCGATTTACTGCCGCCGTTCACAGATGCCAATGTTTAAACTCCCTTCACCTGCTGCTTGCTGAATCTTTTATTTCCTCCATCCAAAAATTACTGTAAAGTTGTTGTTTTGTGTCTGCAGTTTTGGCTTCTCCTGACACCTAATGAAATTATCAGCAATAAATGAGCTAAAGCAGCAGGGTTGAGTTTTGTGGGTTTGTTTTCGGTCTCTATTTTGCACTCTTAGGAAAATGGCAGGACAACAGTAAGACAGTGGGAAAATTCAGCACGCCTCTGTTTTCTGTATCTATAGGAAATACAGTAAAATTATTAGCACTTATAAAATTTCACATAGGAACTAATACCAAATGGAAGGACATAGTGTCAGGTACTCAGTGGGAAAATCCAACCAGCTGAGAGATTTACAGGTATTGTCAATAGAGACAAGGTGGCCACCGAGCAGTGACCTCAGGTGTAAGCCTGCGGAATGACATTAACACGTAATTAACAATCCAGGGGTGCATTGTACAACTTAATCATCAGTACGGTGAGCCTGACAGTCCAAAAAGAGAGGTGAAGGCAGATTTTTGTCGGTAGGATTGTGTTTTCCCTCGGCAAGCATCATCTAATAATGTGTTTTTTTCACATGCAGTGGTGACGATTTCTTTTTAGTCCTCTCAGTCTATTGAAAAGCACAGTAAGTTCATTTGCTAGCAGGTAGGCAGTAGAGGTGAGAATTGAATTGATCTGAAATGCTCCGAGAAATTGACCCTGAGGTCGCTCTTCCTTTAAATTGGGTTCCACAGACAAAGTTTCTTTTCTTCTTCCCTGGCTCCTGGGTGCTGCCAGCAGCAGAGTTGAGTTGGGGTTTGTAATTATTTAAAGGGATTCTAACGCCAGGGTTGACTCCCCCCTCTGCAAAGTTAATCAAAATAGAGACCTTTTGTTGCCGGTGGTAGTTAATTAAAGGGCTGAGTCTATACTGCTGTGGTGTGCCTCTGGCTTGTTTATATTTTAAAATGAGGTTCATTCCTGATGAACAGGAAATGGGGGAGAAAGCGAACATGAGGGTCTCTTACTGGGCTGAACATTCTGAATAGCAGAATGGAATTTTCTGTTTAACTTTCATTACTTCTTTTCCTCTTCTCTCTCCTCTTTTTAATGGAGTGATTAGAATTCTTTTAAAAAAACTTAAGGTGCTTACTGTACATTTAATAGTGTTGAAATCAAGCACTGCATTTTAGAAGGCGTGTGAGTCTGCTGGAAGAGATGCTTGGCATCTCTCTTCTCTCAGCAGTAAGGGTAGCCAAGAGAGATCAGAAATTCCTTTACCCGTGTTGACCTATTTGACCCAAACTAAGAACTGCTTTCTCATTCTTTGCTCCAGTGGGTAGCACATACTTGAAGTTCTCTCCCAACGCTCAAAGGCTATTTTGTTTATTTGGTATTGGTTTTCTCCAGACTTCTTATTTTAAAATTTTTCTTCTATTTTTTTTTTTCTCCTTTTAAAGCCTGGAACAGTTTCTCACCATTACCTAGTAGAATGAAAATGAAAAGTGCACAGGCTACATGAGCTTTACCAAGCAGGTTCGGAGGTTTGAGGCTGCATCTGTCACAGTAGGGGAGGAGAAAGAATTTGTGATGGGGCCAGGATTTCTCTAAGCCGTGGAGCTGGGGCCACTCAGCTGCCCAGGTCTGAGGGATCCCAGCTGTTCTCCCTCCAAGCAGCGTCTGGAGACTCATCAGACCTTCGAAGCCCCCTGGCATCCCATTCTTTCCCCCGAGGTACTGTCTCTGCATCTTCGATGTTTTTCTAATCCAGCGGAACCACAGAATCAGAACTTCCAGAACTTCTGCTTTCAGCCTCTCCTCATCTTATTTGTCAGTGATAAAGTTGTTCATTGATGTGTCCTAGGCATTCTAGTCAGCATGTGCAGTTTGGGGGAACCGTGTTATTTAGACTGTTCCATCTGTTTGCTCTGATCTTTGATCACTTGGTAGCATCCTGACAAGACCCTAGTCTAAGGGCAACAAAGGCTATGGTCATGAAATAGCACATGACCTGTGCTACAAACCATCCCTGCAGATCTGTGGCCACATAATAGACCCAGTTCTCAAATCAGGCTGATAGGGTTAGTGTTGGAGTGTTTTGGTCCTGACCCTGGAAGAAAAATACAGGGTGCAACTTGGTCTCTGCCTGAGAGTGGGAGGTTTGACAGAGGCGTGGTGAAATGTCACTCTGTTCAAGAGAGGGGGGAAATAATAAGGAAGGGTTTCTTTTTATTTGTTTTCGTCCTATTTTGTTTGAGAGGGGTAATATTAGTAATAAAAAAAACATGCCATCGCTGTTGCTGAGAAATTTTATTTTCTCAAGTATTGGTAGGAGGCTGGGCTGGTGTGTGGTTCCTGCAAGATGTTTCTTTCTATCTTTACTCAACATGTCACAGTGCCATTCAGATATTCCCATCCTCTTCAGCATCATTTCCTTCCACACTAATAATAATAAAGGCACCTTCCCATGTTTGCCATGGTTAAACAATGACATTTTCACTTTAGGAAAGATGAGATCCTAGTGTGTGATTTCATTGTGAATTTGTCAGGAGTTATTTGTAGAGCTATTGAGAAGGCAGTGAGGCAGTTATTCGGAGAATGCATCTTTTTACTATTTCTTTGAAATTTAATTGGGATCAGGCCACTGTGACTCAAGGGTTCCTTTTATTGTTTCTTTTCTTTTCTTTCCCTTTTTCCTTTTTCTTTTGGTATTGCAAGCTGCAATAAAGTGACTTGTAATTTATAATCAAAGTTTGGTATCGGTAAACTAAACTGTAAAAACCGACTTTGGGGTTTTGCTCATAAAATAAATATTTGAAAAAATATAGTAATGAGGCTTGTATGGTAGAGGCAATGTCAGCACATATATATCTGTGTATATAAATATATATGTGTTTTGTTTCACAGATTGTTAAAGCTGGTCTTGAAAAAGCATCTTCTGAAACTGTGACTTTTTCTAACATCCAAGTACAAGGATACATTGATGGGATATAAGCACATTTTCTTTAATGAACTTCTAATTTGTTATTTAAACTCCATTCATAATTCACATTCCCTTACTTTTTCATGAAGGAGTATTATTTTTGCATCAAAGAGTCAGAGTATGCGCACTAGAATTCTCTGTCTGTAAGCTATAGGGCTCCTTAGCTTGGAAGACTTTTTTTTTCTTTCCCCCTAACAAGGAAGCTCATTTAGAAAGAAATGTTTATGTGAAGTGCTTGTCAGTTGGCATTTTTACTGGTTTGCTAACCCAAAGGTAAAATATAAAGCCATGTCTTTTCCTGGCTGGCTTGTTGTTACTGGAAGGGTCCCTCCCTTGTTAGCTTGATAAATAATTTTACTAGGGGGACTCTGCTGTATTTTTATGCTTGCTGTCTATTTTCTGCTTGCTGCAAATAAATTTCTGTACTCAGAGGGCCCTAAAGCTCCAAACACATGGTATTTTCCCATTTTGCTGCTGGTCGCCTGAAATATTTATTTCATGTAGTGTGTTTAATTAATTTTTTTAAAGGAAAAAGTAATTTGCGATTAATAGCAAGTGAAATTTATTTATCTATTTCTCAGGACCATTGGGTTTCAACTTGGACGGATGGCTTTTTAAAAGGCTTTGTGTGTCAAAGCTTCTCTAATATTTGTCAAATGGGAGATAAGTGTTATTTATTGGGGGAGTCTTGTAGTTTTCTCATTTTATATTTCCATGTCTGTTTTTTTCAAATTTAAATATTATCCTGTTAATATGAGAAATGAATAGAGCTATAGAATTCTATCTAGAAACAAAGCACTACATAATAAAATCTTTACATTTGAAAAATGATACATCGTGTGAAAGTAGAGAAGAAATTGATCATGAGTATCAATATAAATATCGGCATGCACCTGAGTCCTGGGCATTTAGCCTTTGGATTCATTAATACTGAAGAAAGCATGGTGTGACTCTCTGGGGCAAAATGGGTCCCTGGTATAAATCTTAAAAAAACTCACCCCAAAGCATACCAATAAAATAAAATAAAAATCAATGTATTCTGTAAATTACAAATACAGTGCACATAGCATATTATAGGTATACAATAACATGTTTAGCCAAGGAGTTAAATTTATAAATGCTGGTTTAAAAAAGTGATCATTTTAAATTAATGCCAGATTATCTCATTAATTGAAATATATATTTTTAAAACAGCTATTCTGCTTGTTATTTGCTATTTATTATGGGCTCATTAGTTCAGAAATTGGGAAATACTTTTACAAAGGTACCAAAGACATAAATTTGAAACCAGAATGCCAGCATATGTAACCAATGTCAAGGGTATTGAACAGACTGAGTCAGAGGTTACCCAGAGCTCAGTTTCTGCAAAGGTCACCAAAATGAAGAGGAAAATGTAGAAAAAGGGGTCGATGGAAGTTTTAAAATATACATGGAGATCCACAGTCAAGATTCAGAACATTTCATTTTTGGGGCATTGCACCATAATATTTAATCACAAAATTTTACTATAGATAGACTTTCATTTTTCTCTAACTCTACAACAGTGGAGACTATTATGAAAGTCAGATTTTAAAAATATGTACAGAAAAGTTAACATTTAGCATTTCTTCTGATCACTTGAGGGCTATTCCAGCATGTCAGGAGTTAGAGACAACTTCCGTGGAGCAGAAGACAGTGATGTTCCCGAAGCCCTGCCCTTTGGAGGTCACCCAAAACCTCCATGGGCTATGATGACAACAGCTACCATGCACCGAGTGTCTCCTGGACACCAGATCTATGCCATCTTTGACCTGTAACAATGAATAGAGAGGCAGATATTCTAATCTCCTTCACACAGATTAGGAGACTCAGGCACAAAGCAATTAAGGTATCAATTGACCCTTCACCACAGTCATGCAGATATTTCTAGATAGACACTATCTCGACCAGTTGATTCCCTCATTCCTCCTTAGTTAAGCAGCCCGTTTTTCACCTCAGCACATGTAGTAGGAGCCCAGGTGCCCTCCTCTCCGTCTTTGTCATCTTTTTCTCAGTAGGGTTGACTGAGGCCCAGAAGAAAATGCATATAATGTGATTAGTATCAAGGCTGGAGCTGTGGCTGCCAGTGGTCTTGATCCAAGACCCCTCCGGCTCTGAAAACAAATGATTCTGTGGTTTGATATTGGTAGGTAATGAGTGGCTTTTTTTCTACTGAAAAAGAGAGTGTCCTTTTATGACCATTTAAAAAACAATAGATGGCACATTTCGTTAATACCCTGTAATGTGTAAAGTATCAGGTGCACTGCTGGCACTCAGGAAATTACTGGATAGTGAAGATAAATCAGCATTAAATCACTCTAATAAAAGTCCCATTTAATAAAAAGTTATCAGCAAAATCTGTAGTAACACTAAAAAGGATACAAAGTTTCTGCATCTGTAAGATAGGAATAGCCCCTCAAAGGCATGTGTAGAGGACTAAATATGGTAATGTATGTAAAGCACCTGGATTAAATATGATAATGTATGTAAAGCACCTGGCACAGGGTAAACACTCTGCCATGCTTGGCCTTGGACAATATTATATGGAATAAAAATTTGACCTTGACACCTTGCAAGCCTTGGTTTGTTTTAGAATCACTTTGCCGTTATGATATTGGACGTTTCCCTCCTACACTTTAAGTTTTTCAAGATTGGAAAACTAAGAAAAACATACAACGTTAGTTTATAGCTGCCCTCCTCTGAAAAAAAAAAATAGCACTCCTCCTGAAAAATAAATAAAGTTGTGCTTAGGGAGTTTTGTGGTCAAACAATTTAGGAAAATTAAGGGTCAGAGAAAGTTAAACATTTAATCTTGCTATCATCCGCCTCAGAGGCTTTGTATACTAACATGCATGACGACCCTCCGTGGGGAAGGACCAGCTCAGGTGGTATATGGTATCTTTCAAACTTCCAAGAACATGGAACCAGTTTTTTAATCAATCGCCTGATGGAATTCACATTGTATGGGGCACTTTTGAAAAATGGTTGCCTAAAGTACTGGTCCTTTTTTTTTTTTTTTTTTTTTTTTTTTTAGTACCACAGGACTCTTTTATTAATCTCTCCCCATGAAACCATTATCTGAAAAATTCATTTGTCATTCTTTGTATTCATTTTATTAATCAGAAAAGCAAGAGCAGTGATACAATTCCATTGATGTATACTCAGAAGATAAGAAAACCTTATGAGGGTAACCCTATAGGTTTTTACAGTGGGGTAAAGGTCATTATTCCCATTAATAGTGGGAGTGGCTCATGAGTACCTTTACTGTGTTCATAGGCTCCCTGTGGGATTTCAGGACCCCGGTTTAGGACTCTCTGTTCTTGTAGAAAATCCAGGATCACTGATTAAATTGACCCAGACATTTGTGATGGAATGAGCCTTCCAAGGAAAGCAGAGGTAGTATAAGAATGTGTTAATTTCCTAGGGTCTTGGCCAGGGATTCTTTGGATATAAAAACTATGCTTTCAGGTTTCTGTTCCTTTGTTATAGGTATGAAGGTATCTATTAAGGATATAAAATAGAAGCTGGCTAGCGGGAAAAATTGGGGATGAAGGTACATTCTCTTTGTCCCACGTTCCTCCCTTTTCTCTTTTTGCACATCTGCTTTGTTCTACCTCCAGAAAGCAGGCAGGCCTTCTCTACTGTGCAGTACAAATTATTCCCACCATCACCCCTGGGTCCCACCCTAAACATGCCAGTTCCTTTGAAACCCTCAGCAGAGGTTGGCTAGAGTCTCTAAGCTCCAATTCTCAGAAAAGATAGCTGATTGGCTCCTCTTGGTCAGGTGTTCATCTCTTGTCCAGTCAGCAGTAGCTAAGAGTGAGTCCTCATGGCCCCTTGCCTGCTTCATTAGATTTTCTGAAAATGGGGTTATAGGAATTGTCAGAAAAGATAGCTGACTGTCTCCTCTTAGTCAGGTGTATATCTCTTGTTCAATCAGCAGTAGCCAAGGGTGGGCCTTCATGGTCAGCTGCCTGCTTTTCTGATAATGGGGTCATGGCATTGGGTAAGGCTTGGGCAATGACCACTTCACAATAGGGGAGAGGGAAACTTGTACTGAGATTCATGTGCACCCCTTTAGAAGAGAGGAGTGAGTAGGATTGGGGCATAAACGGGTCTCTGAATCTAAAGACTGGTTTGTGGGACTTTAAAAACATTGATGCCGTGCCTCAGACCACATGAATCAAGAACCTTTAGTGGCCGTTGGGGCTCAGACATCAGTATTAAAAAAAAAAAAAAAATTCCCAGTGATTCTGATGTACAATTAGGATTGAGAACTCCTAGTAGAAGAACCCCAGGGACACAGTTATCTACTGAAACCCAGAAAGGCAAGAAGCTGCTGGTGAATTTCCCATATTTTACTCTGAGTTTTACAACTCAGCATGTCTGAGGTCCAGTTTAAAATGGAAAGGGATGAACAGTTGCTTTGCATTTCCCCTGCTTCATCTGCCCTTCCTAGTTCTTCATTGACATCAATGCTATTCTTTATAAGCAAGCCCAAGGCAGTCAGGTAAGGTGCCCAGGGAAAGTGAGTTGAAGTTGGTGTCTAGAAGCCTCAGTTTGAAGCCAGACTTAGCCACTAAAGCAGCCATGTGACCTGGGTAGGTCACATTCCCCCGATTGCCCTGCTGAGTCTCACTCTTCTCTTTTGGAAAATGGGTCAATTGAGCTATGGTCAGAGGTCTTCCATGGGTCTCACGAAATCAGTGAAGTGATCAGTTCATCCCAGAGCCAGCACTTGAACTAAGAGAGATGCATAGACGATTTTGAGGTGTTAGAATGGCTCATTTTAACGGTGTTGATGGTGTTTTTAAAAACATTCTGCAGAGAAAAGAGAATAATGTATTTAGTTATCAAGTCACAAGGATGGAGGTATTCCCAAATTATTTGCACAGACTTCTGCAGATACCAATAAAATATTTATTTATTTGTCATCATCAGACACTTATTTACTGTGTGATTGGGGCTAAAGTAGAAACAGGACTGAGGGAAAATGGTGCTGGCTGGAATTAACCAAGATACTTGATCGCACACTGTCAGACTCATTGATTCTCCTCTAAAGCATAGTATTAAACCACACAAAAGTGGGCCTGCTCCAAAGGCACTCTTCACTCTGCCTTGTAAGACAATTACGTTTTAAATTTCTCATCTCCTCTTGGACGCTAAACTCTGTGAGCGTGAAGTTCACGCCTCATTTATTTTTGTGTCCAACACAGCCCTGTATCGGTGAGTAGCACATAGTAGCTGTCTCAGATCCTTTCCAGAATGCGGCACGGTATACCTGAATAAGCAATTAGGTACACAAACAGGCAAACGAACGGGAGATAAGAGCCTGGTAAAAGTTTGTGAAATGACCAAGATGACATCTTTGCAATCTGTCAAAATTAGAAGTTATTCTCTTAACTTTGTTCTAGGTTTTCAAAAGACCCCTAGCCTGACATTTCCTTGTCACTTTTGCAGACTAAGTTTCCTTTCCTGGACAGCCTGTTAAATGTAGTCTGCACTAGTGCTATTACTTAATGTTCTTCTTTGGACATATATTAGAAAGTTCGTCTTTTTTTCTCTGACTGGTTTGTTGTCAAAGTTATTAAGCTTTAATTATTTTAAGATTTCATTGAACAAATATCTATTGTGTATTACCTATACAGTAGAAAATGAACATGGTGCTGAGGATATAGAAACAAATAAAACGCATTCTTGCTTTCAAGATTTATTATTGATTAAGACAGTTAAAAACATAAATGCTGGTCCTGTTTGATCAATGCTTTCCAGAAGATATGGGGGAAGAAAGGGCGGGGAATTTTTCAAACATGGGTTTATGAGGTGAACAGGAGGGGTGTAACCATTTTGTAAACACCATGCATAAAAACAAAAGCTTCAAAAGTATCAAAAGCAACCTAGATTTTTAATCTGGGATATGGAAGATTTTCCTTAGCCTGATGTAAAACCCAAATGCTGTAAAGCAAAGGCTCGGTAAGTTTGATGACATAAGCATTTAAAACTTATGCAGAGCAAAAGCACAACAAAACAAAAACACAACAAAAATATGAAAACACTAAGTGGGGAAAGTTGCAACCACAAGATAGTCAAAAACCTAATTTCCTTAATATAAATAGCTCCTGGAAATCCATAAGAAGATAAATGACCTAATAGGAAAATGTCCAGAGAAGAATGGACAGTTTTTGGGGAAAAAAAATACACATGAATGGCCAATAACATTATGAAACAATGTTCAACCTTCCTCACAACCACATAATAATGATATTTTCTTTTGGCTAGAACATAGAATGATTGGCAGTCTCCATACACCATTGTGAGCATTTAAATTGGGTAACCTCTTAAGCAGCTAATATTTATAGCATCTTATAGCACAGACTATTCACAGACATAACACCTTTTTATACACATTTCATGTTTGGGAATTTTAATTCAATACAGCACTTTGGATATAGCTGGAATAAACAGTGTGTTTATGTGTGTGAGTTGGGGAGGAAGGATTGCCTCGGACACAAGCCAAGATGGGTAGACAGGGCGCAGATCAAGAAGAAATTCGAAGGTCAGGCCAAATAAGGCGTGAAAACAGGAGGCTGAAACTCAAGAGAGGAATGAACTAAAGTGGTCAGTGCCTGGCATTTGGCATGTTTCCCTCCTCTGAAGCCACTTCTGCCTAGAATTCATTTTTCAAATGCAAAACATTTTCAAATGTGAAACCGTCCAGGTAGCCCCTCCTCCTGATCAACCTGAATTTGCTCTGAGCTCTCCACCAGATAAAAGAGACGTATGTGCGTTAATTGAATTAAGGCCGGTATTGTTCATTGAGCTGTGGCAGCGGTTCCTCTGTTCTAGGATTTTTCTGTATCATCTGCATTGTCACAGCCAAAAGTGTTGGGGGAAGAAAGGGAGGGGCATTTTTCAAAGAACTACATGGGGATTTGGTCACGTGCCTGCCATTAACATCAATCGCAGATGCAGGGCAAAAATGCCTGGCACGTCCCTCCACACACCTCTTTGAAAAACGGCCCCTGTGGTGTTGCTACCAGACTCCCCTCCACCGATACAGGATTTGGGGGCTTTGAAGTTGGTTGTGGAAATTTCACTGTTTTCTTTGACTCCAGCAAATTGCTCCAAAATGCTACAAATGTAAAAAAGACTGAAAAAGCTTTAGCAGCAGCTTAGAGGTGGAATCCCCTTAAGCCATTGACAGAAAAATGTGTTTCTTCTTTCAGTTTTTAATTTGTGAGTTATATCTTAAAATACACCAATGCAGTCATAGTCTTTTCTTAGGAGAAGGAAAATGAAGAGTGAGTCAGGCAGGGGCAGGGGCTGGCAAAGAAAGGGGGAGATTTTGCAGTTCTAATTCTTTGACCTTGTTGCACTTGGGGGAAGTCCTGGAAGCAGGGACAAAACTTCCTGCAAAGAAATGATGTAAAACATGTTTTGTTCAACGTGGCTGAAAAGCATTTCCAGCATGGGTCCAGTTGGAGCTCCTTCGTGAATCTAGATTTGACTGGGTTAAGAGAAGCTGGTGATGCCAAGGCTGGAAACCTTGTAGACCTGTAGATCTATCCTGCCTGAACCTAGGAGAGCAGAGGATAGAGAGATTTGAACCCACTACGTTTGGCCTACAGGATGCAGTTCTTGGCATGCTTAAAATTTTGCCTTAACAGTTTCCCATTTTATGGGGAAGTACTGGGCTTTGGTGCATTTGTAAAAAAAAAAAAAAAAAAAAAAAATTCCGCTGAGATGTTTTTTTCTTGTAGTATGCTAATACTGCACCAGGCTAGAAAGAATTATGGAGTGGTGGAAATGACCACTAGAAGCTCCCTGGGCTTCAGTTACCACCTCCATAAATTTAGGGATTTGGCATGAATCAGACGTTTTCATACCGGTTTTATTTTGTTTTGTTTCTGCAGAGGAGCCGTTTTGGAAAATGAAAGTGTATCTGGGATCACTATGTAAAAGAGAAGTTGGAAGCCACTGAGGGTGGAGCTGATTCTTCAAGTTCTTAGACCTTCCTCCCTCCCGCTCATCCCCCTGGGACACTAAGTTCTATGCAGCCAAATTTGAATATCTATGAGATGTACTTCTCTCTAAGGAAATGTCAGCTCAGACAGTCTTGGATGTAGCAAAGGATCACTTTTTTTTTTTTTTTAACTGGAAATGTGGGGATTCCTCAGGGTGGAGCAAACTACACAGTCATCAGTGCCAGACCTTTCTAGCTTTGTGACTTTGGGAAAGTCACTTTCCCTCTATAGACGCTTGGTTTCCTCACCTTTCAGATGAGAATGCTAGAACAGATCTGATGGAATTCTTATACAGGTTAAATGAAGGAACCCAGGCGGCATCTGTTAAGTGCCAATACCAGCTGGCTGCTCTTTTCCTCCTTACGCTCAGCATTTAGCACAGAAACTCGCACAGAACATATTCCCAGTAAATGTTTGCTGGATTGACTGTCAGTAGTATGCCCATAGGCATGGGCTCAGAAGGACCAGTTGTATTGTATCTTCTCAATTCCACATCTGGGGACTTTACACTGGTAGCATGAAATTGGCCATCGTGGGAATATTTGCAGAAGGGAATACAAATGCTGTAAAATCAGAGCCCGTTTCCTTATCCTGACCCACCCATAGAGCCAGTTGTTAAACACCTAGCGGCACACCATTGCGTGAGCTTCCCAGATGAACGATTTCAACACAGGAGTATCAAATGTATATCTGCTATTGCTAGTCTGGTGGTAAGCACAAACTAAGCAGAGAAGTTAGAGATGGCTGTGGGCTGGAGATGTCAAAGAAAGATCTTGGAAAATGGAGAGGTTATGGATACCCAGGAAGAAGTGATAGGATGCTCCAGGGCTATAGGGAATAGGATAGGAGGGAACATGGCTGGGTTAATAAGGAAATGGCTTTGGAATCTGAAAGACTGGGGAGAAGATAGGCCAGCAAAGAGCTGAGGAGGGATGGGGGGATAACAGGACATTTTGGAAGGCCAGGGCTGGAGGGAGGGGTTAGATTAGGCAGAGCCCAGAAGGATGCTTAGGTAGTGTTAGAAAGAAAGGTAAATCTTATTTCCATCCAAAGCAATAATTCCTTTACCTTGCAGATATGTCCAACAGCATGAAAAGCATCAACCTGTCAATTTAATGGCTTTCTTAACCTTTTGAGCTGGTGTAGAGTCTAAATAAATAGCTTCCAAACAGCTGAAGAAATTTAGATAAATCAATGGAAGAAAGATCCAAAAAAAAAAAAAAAAAAAGAACAAAGACAGGAGTGGGGCTTTGGGGGCTGTGGTTTGAAGCTGACAGCAAAGGATCCCACCACCTGGTCTTTGCTGCATCCCTCCCGGATTCCAGCTGATGGATCATGAAGCCAACGTCAATTGTTTGTATTTAACTTGTTTTACTTTGACCCCTGCCTCCCTAAGAGCCGGGGACAGCTCCCTCTAGGTTGGTGGTTCCTAACATTGGTCACTTGTGAAAATCATCTGAAAAGCTTTTCAAATACAAATGCCTATTCCCCAGCCCAGATCAATTAAATAATCCTGGGGTGGTACCCAGGCATCAATAATTTTTTCAAAGCTCCCTGGGTGACTGTACTGTGTAGCTAAGGCTAAGAAGCACTGTTCTAAGGCACGAGTTCTAAACTTCAGTGAACATCAGAATCACACATTGCATGGCCTCACCCCGAGTTTCCGATTCAGGCAGTCTGAGTGTAGAGCCTGAGAATTACGTTTCAAACCTGTTTCCAGGTGATATTGGAACAGGGACCACATTTGAGCACTTGAGAACCTCTGCCTTCAGTAACTAAAGCAGGATTTGGAAAACAATCTGATAGAGGAGTTAAAGACCACATCCCATCCCCAGCTCTGCAGCTGCCATCCAGAGAAACTCACCTGTTTAAAGCAATGGGTCTCAACTGGAGGATGCTGCTCCTCCAGGGACATTTGGCAATGTCTGAAGGCATTTTTGGTTGCCAAGACTCAAGGCAGGGGGGCCACTGGCCTCCAGTGAGGTTGAGACGAGGGATAATGCTAAACATTCTACAATGCACAGGGAAGACCCTCCCACAAAGCGTTATCCGACCCTCGATGTCAATTATGCTGGGACTGAGAAACTCTGGTTTAAACTCTCTGAGGCTGTTTGGCTTCCTAGGTGAAGTGGGAATAGTGAGACCTGTCTTTCTAGATTGTTGCTACGAATGAATGAGATCCTGCAGGGACTTAGGCAGGAAGTGCTCAGTACATGGTAGACATGCTTAACCTTCTAGCTGACTAATTTAGTGACATAAACTTGCATGAGGGGGCTTAACCTCTTTGGATCTGTTCTTCTCATCTGTAAAATGGGCACAGTAACAGACTCAGTGTTCTGAAGAATGCTTGTAAGGATTAAAGGAGATAATCTACGTAAAGCCCCTAGAAGTGCTCAGTAAACATGATCTATTATTGCCATTTCTGTTAGATGTTTACACAGGCCTTGATTCTGAAGGTTGTCTTGAAGGGTTCAAGATGCTCACTTACTACTTCTCAATTTGTAGGTCCACTAAAAGGTGGAAAGGCAGCAAATTTCTAGTTTTCAGGTGGCAAGGACTCAGGAACAGCAGCAAAAATAACAGCAACTATTTAGTATTGCAGGCCAGATCCAAGACTCAGAAACCGGATGATATCTCCAACAGTGCTCAAGTGCATGTGGCCACTAAAAAACCTGATGTTTAATTTTTACCTCATGTTTCTAGCCTCAGTGTATGCCTGTTTTAATGAGAATTTGGTGAAGTGAAATGTTGAGAAGATAAAAGACCTTCAGACTCACCTACCATGAGGTAGACATGTCTCAAGGCAATAAATGAATTAGGAAGGCTCCCTACAGGCCTTCCCATTTTCCAGATAGAACAGGAATTTGAACCCAGGTCTGTCTGATTCCAACACCTGGGCTCTTAATAAGCCTGTGGGTCATCTTGTGAGTTACAACAGGAACCCAGTGGAAGACACCAGGGACCATTAGGGGCCATCCACAGACACCCATCCCTGCCAGACTTCCTTTGCAGAGCTTCCAGCTCCTATCTGAACTACAGCCGCAGAGGTAAAATGCCCTTTCTCTAATCTGCATGCAAAATGGATTTTAGCGACTGGATTTTATTGAGAAACAGACTCCCTCTTCCCCCACCCCCAACATTTGAAAACATATTGTCCTCTTTACTGTAGTTCATTTTGCTTTCCGAGGTGATTAATGAATTAAAGATGCAGCTTATTTATTCTTTTGCCTGATTATCATTCTGTAATAAATCTAAGCTCTGGAGTCTGTCGATACAAGAAGGCCAACCTGCCTCTTTGGAAAATAAAGATTTGTACATTAAGCTTAACTTTCAGCTCTGCGACGCAGGAGAAAATTCACCTTTAGAGCCTTATAAAAATAAATAGGGAACTCAAAGAGACATTAGCTGGCAGGTGGAAGATTCCATTTCTGAGGACTAGAAGGTATTTTGCACACATCTCCCTAGACATAGGAAAGCCTGTTGCCCTGTAGATGGGATTTACTTATTGGAAATGCAGATCACTGAGCTGCTCATGGAGGCGATGGTAGGCAGGGAGGAGATACCCAGCAAGGCCTTGTGCCAAGCCCAGTGGGGAGAGGCCATGCTTCACCTTCTGAAGCCCTCACTTTATTTAATTCTCATTAAATTTGACCCAGATCAGGACAGGAAAAATATACAAACAGACAAAACTAGTTTGCTAATATCATTGGTCATTTTTTTTACTTACTTTTTTTAAAAAAGAAAAAGCAAAAAGATAAAACAAAAAAATCCCTTGCCTTGTGGCTTCTATGGATCCGTTTCTCAGTTGATTTGACAGTATGTGGATGTATCTGTGTATGTGTATAATCAAACTAAGGTAGTAATCAAAACTCAGATTGAATGAGTGACCCCTCTAGCTAATATTTGCATTTTTTTTTTTCTGAGGTGGAGTCTTGCTCTTGTCACCCAGGCTACAGTGCAATGGCACGATCTTGGCTCACTGCAACCTCTGTCTCCTGGGTTCAAGCGATTCTCCTGCCTCAGCCTCCCAAGTAGCTGGGATTACAAGCTCCTGCCACAATGCCTGTCTAATTTTTGTATTTTTAGTAGAGACAGGGTTTCGCCATGTTGGCCAGGCTGGTCTCGAACTCCTGACCTTGTGATCTGCCTGCCTTAGCCTCCCAAAGTGCTGGCATTACAGGCGTGAGCCACCATGCCCCACCTAATGTTTGCATCTCAATTGTAGGTAGTCTTTCTTTATATGCATTTACTTCATCCCAGACAGCCAAAAGATTACCTTCCAGGACTCTATAAAATGCCCTAAGAGGTATTCAAGATTCTATCCAAGTCCATTTTTCTGGAAAGAGGGTCCCTACATCCATCAGAGCCTCAAAAGCTTCAGCAGCCAAAGAGGATTTGGAAATCAAACCACAGGGTTCCAAAGGCCTTTTCCCTCCGGGTGAGAGTCCCATTTCCATGAAGTGTGGAAGGAGTCGGGAACTGGAGGTTCCTTAGGGCCCTGCACATCTCACCAAGATGAAGGATTCAGGCCAAGTAGACTCCAGTTCAGGGTTCATCCACTAACTCAGGCTGGGGGATGGGGGACATTACACTTTGCTCTTGAACCTTGGCTTCTTCCCCCAAGATCCACACTTGTGGCGTGGTCAGGAGGGCCAAATGGCCACGAGGGTGCAGAGTGAAAGGAATGCATGTCCAGGATCAACCCTCCAGAGATGGTTGGTTTGGTTAGCACTGAAAGGTGGGCAAGATGCTCCCATGGGCCCTTCCTTCCCAGAAGCACCATCACTCCGTCAGCTCAGCACGGATCCACTGGGCCATCAACAGGGAGGACTGGGGGTCTTGCAGTACAGTCCCCACTCCCTGCTGTGAATCCCAGCCCAGGCCCCTCCGACCATTCCCTCAGCTCTTACAGCCTTTTGTAAGACCCTAAGATTAATCTGTCCCACATTGGTCTAAAAGTGCCACAAAGATGAAACTGTGTCCTATATTGATGCATGGGGATTGTCTTTGTATCTCTAATGGCAGAGTGTTGGCAATTAATTGGTCCTTACAGATATATGGATATGTACATTTCTTTAAAAAAAAGAAACTGATGATCTACAGAGATGTTGTTCTGGATGCAGATCAGAATTACCTGTGAGTTGGTTGGGTTTTGTTTGGTTGCGTTTGTTTGTTTTTAATACACAAACCTAGACCTAAGAGCCAGGAGGATCAGAGTGGCCCAGGGTCTATCAGTGCAGGGTGAATTGTGCATGGCCTAGAGTCTGCCAGACTTGATGTCCAATCCTTGTCCTGTCAGTTTCTAGCTGTGTGACTTGAAGCAAGAGACTGTCTCTTTCTGAACTTCAGTTTCCTCATCTATCAAGTGGGAGAAAATACTGCCTACCTCGGAATATTTCAGAATAGTGCTCTCAGTATAGGGTTTTCAACATCCCTGAGCCTGCTAAGTTTATCAGTCCATTCTTATACTAATAAACACATACCTGGGACTGGGTAATTTATAAAGGAAAGAAGTTTAGTTGACTCAGAGTTCAGCATGGCTGGAGAGGCGTCAGGAAACTTACAATTATGGCAGAAGGGGAAGCAACATGAAGGCGGGAAGGAGAAGTGCTGAGCGAAGGGAAAAGAGCCCCTTATAACAGCATCAGATCTCATGAGAACTCACTATCACAAGAACAGCATGGAGGTAACCACCCCCATGATTCAGTCACCTCCCAACTGGTCCCCCCCCCCACAACACGTGAAGATTGTGGGACCTACAGTTCAAGGTGAGATTTGGGTGGGGACACAGCGAAACCATATCACTGAGTGAAAGGGAGGTAAGGGAGAGTTGTGATATCATAGTCCCAGGTCAGCAGACCTTTTCTGTAAATGGCCAGGTAGTCAATCATTTAGGTTTCAAGGGCCACATGATCTCTGCTGCAGCTGCTCAACCCTGCCATCGACAATATGTAAATGAATGCCCCTGGTTGTGTTTCAATAAAGCTTCTTTTTTCCACAAAAACAGGTAATTGGGCCGGGTTCAACTCCCATAGACCCAGCTTGCAGAGGCAACGTAGAGGATTGTAACTGGGTATTTTGGGTCTTTGGTAGCAGAAAATTTGGCTCTGAATGGTGTGAACACCCTGGGACTAGTTATCTCCCGTAAGAAGTCCAAGGGTAGGTGCCCTTGCAAAGCTGTTTATTTCCACAGCTGAATGATGTCAGGGCCCGGACTCTTGCCCTCTCCCAGCTCCACCATTCTCAAGCTTCAGATGTAAGACATGTGTAAGGTTCGAGGTACCACATTTTTTACACCAGCCCACCCAAAACCAGAGGCAGAGAGTGTGCAGCCCTTTATTCCTTCGTAAGAGCAAGGAATGTTTTGCAGAAGTCGCTTCCCCACATAGTTAATAGGCTGCAATTGTCAGGCGTCCATCCCTCTGTCAATGGTTGGCCTTGGTTATGCAATTAACCATTACAGGTTTGGACTGGTCAAGGTTCACCCCACACATGCTCCACAGGGCTGGGGATCTGCCAGATTTCCCCACAGCCACACTGTCTGGGCAGACCTGAATAAAATCCTGACTTTCATTAACAAAGAAGATGGGTGGGTCGGACCACTGTGGGCTGCCACAGGGTGCTCCATGCCCCGAGAGTTGTCACATGGACAAAAGAAGGCGCTGTGGGTGACAGTACTTTGTAAACAGTGCGGCTTCTTCAGGATGTGCCCAGTGGAAGTCTTCTTCCATCAGGGAAGTTATCAGGCTCAAAGATGTATTATTTCTAAGTAAACCAGTGTGCCCAGTTCATAGCTACTTCCCCCTTGCCTATCTCTGGGTCCCCAGTTGACACTGTTGACCTTATTCGGCTATAAACTGATTCCTCACTTTTCTTCCCCATAATTCTTCTTTCCTTCTCCCCCGCAACTAGAAGAAAGAAACTTCTAGGTAACAAATGCAAAAAAGAAGTCTTCCAGCAAGGCAGGCACACTTCCTAGGACCAAGAAATACTCCTTCCGTCTTCTCCTGAAACAAAACAAAACAAAAAATTGCTAAGGTAAAGAGGAGGAACGCTGCCCTGCCAGGACTTTGCATTTAATTATGTAGTGAAAGCCACTTAGCAGAAATCCCAGGAGGCCTGAAGGGGCGGCAGTGGCCATGGGGGAGGGAATCTGTTGAAAGCAGGGTCTGCTCCACTTGAAATGCATCCCACCTGCCTGAAAGGTCTCTCTTTTTTCCTTTGAAATACGTGGAATTATGAACTAGATTAAGAATAAACTTCAAACCTAAGCTAATAGTTTGAGGCTGGCTTTCCCAACATCCAAAAATGATCACAGGTGATCCTGTCCTGAGGAGTTTGGATGATACTTTTTGGATGTGAAATTAAAAAGGAGTAGAAGGCTTTTTACTTCTCAACCAGAATTGCTAGGTGAGTGTAAGGAATCAGATATGAAAACTCCCTGAGAACATCTCAGTGGTCACACGTGTGTGTGTTTGTGTGTGTGTGTGTGTGTGTGTGTGTTTGCTAGCTAATTATTAAGACATCTATAGCTGTCCAATAAGAAATATAATGTAAGCCACATTTTAAATCTTAAATTTTGTAACAGCCTCATTTAAAAAAGTAAAGAGAAACAGCTAAAATGATTTTTAATATTATTTTAAATGCCATAAATCAAAAGTATTATGATATCAATGCATACTCATTATAAAAAATGTATTACTGAGATATTTCACAAATCTTTTTTTTTTTTTGGTGCCAAGTCTTTAAAATTTGATGTATATCTCAATTTGGATTCTAAATGTTCAATAAGGTTAAAGTGAAATGGAGTTTGACCACAACAATAAAGATGTACTTAACAGAAAGAAACAATATTTTCACTGCTTCAGTTTTTAAATTTAAACACAAAGTAGTTAGAGTCAAACAAAATTAATAATTTAGTTCTAGAGACACACTGGCCACATTGCCAGTGTTCTGTAACCACACATGGGCAGCGGCTGTCACATGAGACGATGCACTAAGCTCTAGAGTTTTCAGAGTTACTTGAGTTATCCAGTTGAAAACCTTTACCTGCCAGATTGAGGTTTAGCTTTGGTGTCTGGAAAGTCCAGTGCTTTATGGGTACAGCCTTCAGCCCGTACGATAAATCCTCCTGAGCGTAAGTTCTGCTGTCTGTTTCCATAGTATAACCACCTAGTGCAAGCCTAGATGTAACACTGACTTGATATTTGCTGAACGGATGAATGGACAGGAGGAGGCACAAATGAACCTGCTGACCAGTAGACACATTTGAATTTGAAATTGAGGCCTGAAGGATTTTTGCTTTTGTTTTGTTTGAATTTGATTTGGATCTGAAAAAGAAGGGAAAGATCTACTCTGTTTTCTGGACCTGGGGAGGGGCCTGAATCCAGGCAGGCAAGTATGACGGTCTCATAACCAGACCCACTTCCTGGGTGGGATGATGTCTCCTCTTCATCTTCCACTTGTTTTCCTAGGAGTGAGTACAATACTGAGTTGGAGCCCTGGACAACAGCTTTGTGGTGAGTGGGTGGCCTTCTCCAAAGCATGGGGGATTAAGAATGAGGATTAGAGAGATCTTGGCACTTCAGCCTGGAGTCCGAGGTCTACAGATGTTGAGAAATTTGTGTTCTTAGGTCTGTGTTCAGGGACAAGGCTGAAAGACCTTCTGTGGTGTTAGTTGGCAGCCAGGGTGTAGATGATGTAAAGAAATGTTTTGTGGTCTGGTTAGACAATGGGCCTTTAAGCCTACAAAATGTATTTTTCCCAAGGGTAATAACTATATCTCTGACTCCTATAGGTCCTGGAGCTGGTGAGGGAGTTCACTTGCCATTTCCTTATCCTTCCATCCATTTATTCATTCACGGGTCACATCATCTATGAAGAAACTATTGTTTAAGGCAGTGAGATGCTGGGACTATCAATGGGAACAAAACAAACCTTGTCCATGTCTTTGTACTGCTTCACAATTCGTTGGTGTAGATGAGCTTTACACAAGTAATTCATTACAATTATGCCAAGTACCGTAAAGACTGGGAACAGAATGGTGTGACTAGACGTGGTCTGAATATTACATGTTTTAAGTTGAATATTTAGGGATGAGCAGGATTATGTCTTGAGAAGTTAAGGGAATAGGGATGGAAAGGGGGAATGTTTTCCAAGTAGAGCAAGGAATGTGTTAGAACGCTGAAGACCAACAAGAGGTAATAGCTGCCCAGTGGTTTTGAGCTTGCAAACATAAGTGATTGTGAGCCTGGGGACAAACGGCTCATGTTGAACCAGAGATACTGTTGTGTCTACTCTTGGCTCGCTTGTACCCAGCTGAGTGCCCTGCAATACTTCAGGTGCTCAACAAATATTTTCTGTATAAATGAAGGCAAATAGTTACTCTTGGTTAATCCTAGCTTTGGAGGTCATTCCTGTCAAACATCCAAACACACCGTCTCCTCTCTTCTCAGTCCATTGAGTTTCATTCGGAAGTGTGTGGATAATTCTTCTAATTTTTATTTGGCTTTGAAGACCATTTTTTCTTCTTCTCCTCAAGACATTGTAGGGGCAGTGGAGATTCCTGCTCCCTTTCCTGAAGGTTCCAGTGTAAAATGTTTCCTTTGTAGGGACATGGATGAAGCTGGAAACCCTCATTCTCAGCAAACTATCGCAAGGACAAAAAACCAAACACTGCATGTTCTCACTCGTAGGTGGGAATTTAACAATGAGAACACGTGGGCACAGGAAGGGGAACATCACACACCGGGGACTGTTTTGGGGTGAGGGGAGGGGGGAGGGATAGCATTAGGAGATATACCTAATGGTAAATGACGAGTTAATGGGTGCAGCACACCAACATGGCACATGTATACATATGTAACTAACCTGCACGTTGTGCACATGTACCCTAAAACTTAAAGTATATATAAAAAAAAAAAAGAAAGAAAACTTCAAACTAGGAAGAGAGGGAAATTTTATCACTTAATAAAGGACATCTAGGAAAAAAAAATGTTTAAAATACACCAGCAATAGGCAGATGAACAAGAGAAAAGCATACAAATTCTGTTAATGTGTAAGGGGCATCATGTGGAAGAGAAATGTGTGCCCATGAGCCCAGTGTGACCCAGAAGATTTCATCACATGTGGAATTTGATATGTCAGAGAGCCAGTTAAAGATACAGGTCTTGGGATGAAAGCAAAGACTTAGACTAAAAATCTAAGTTTTGCAGCTGTAGACGGCAGGACAGCATTGAGGTAGCAGAGTGGATGAAATCCCCTAGGCAAGGATGGGTAGAGCAAACCTTGAATGCAGTTGAGAACCAAAAAGACCTACATGGCTGTTGAATTTCTCCAAAACAGTTAGGTAGTCCTGCTCTGTGTGTTCCCCCTATTTCCCGCCACACCTCGTCACTGAAGGGCGTCCTTCACAGGGGAGTTGGGAGGGTAGTGGAGGTGACCTAGGGATTATGAAAACGTGAATGGGCTTTCAGAAGAATAGGCAGTGGCCTCTCTGGATGAGTAGCCAATTTCCAGTGACTTCTAGGCTCATTCCTGTTGTGTGTTAATCTTCCCAGATAGATATAAAAATTCCTCAGGAGGATTTTCATGACAGTGAGTATCTTATGGAAAATGTGCATTTAGTTAGGTAAGGGAGATTCAGAAAGAAAAAAAAAAGACCTTCTGTGCATTTGCTATTTCTCAAATGCCTTTAGCTTGAAGTAGTCAGCAAACCATTGCATCATATTTTGGACTGATAGTTCCTGGGATCCTTCAACAGCTTCCACAATTGCATACAGTTGTAGAAAAACAAAATAGTTCAGGTTTTTTTTTTTTCAGCTTGCTTTTTGTTCGTTCGTATGTTTCCTTTTCAACATTGTATTTGTTCAACTTAATTTGAAATGTCCAGATGGAGGCTTACACAGGCTTCCTGTCTCTTCGCGTTCATCTCAAATCCTTTTCACTTCATGATTTAACCAATAATGTCTCCAAAGTAATATGTGACATGGAATTTCATTTAAGAATACTGTTGGTGGCCAGGTACAGTGGTGCACCTGGCCCAGGTGCACCTGTAGTCCCAGTACTTTGGGAAGCCGAGGCAGGAGAATTGCTTGAGGCCAGGGGTTCAAGATCAGCCTGGGCAAAGTAGCAAGACCCCATCTCTACAAAAATAGTTCTAAAAATAATCAGCCACACATGGTGGCCCATGCCTGTAGTCCCAGCTACTCAGAAGGCTAAAGCAGGAGGATTGCTTGAGCCCCAGAGGTTCACAGCTGCAGCGAACTGTGATTGTGTCACTGCACTCCAGCCTAGATGACAGAGCCAGACCCTGTCTCAAAAAAGGTGACATAGATATAGGAGAGAAACACAACACAACACAAATAAAACCAAAGCAGCAGTGTTATGGTAGGAGAACTTTCAAGCATCCATGCTTTGTTTTATCCCATCTGCCAACCAGATAGCTAAACAATAAATTGATAGAATCAAGAGGAGGGAAAGAAAAATTAGAGTGAAATATAGCATCATCAGCATTTTTCATTTCCGTTGGCTTCTCCAATTTAAAAATGGAATCATGCTTAACATCTTAATTACAGATAGTAATGTACAGCAGTTTTTTTTTTATGAACATCTAGTAATTTACTCTTGAAGTAAATTATAGTCAGTTTGTCTGCAGTGACAAGTCAATAAAACAGTGGAAGCCTCAAGCTTTTCAATCACCTAATATTTGTTTCCTGGCTTTGCTAGTAGAACGGAAGGCAGAGAAACAGGTAGGGATGTGCGCCTCTTGGGGAGGAACCTGTAGCTTTTGAAACCTGCCACTCGAAGACTTCCCCTCTGGAAGACCCAGTTTATTTTTCACCAGTTGTCATGCCTTTAGAATTTACATAGAGATACACATTGTTGAGGACCATGAATAACTGGGGCCTTTTCGTTCTTGCAATGTGGGTGATCGGGCTGATTCAAGTGGTAAACCAAACTGCTGTCTGCTTCTAACAGTGGTTCATTCTAATGAAGAATGTTAAGTGTGTGCACAAACCATCATTTGCTGGAACCCAAGGGCCTCCACAGCCATCTTCTTGATGGTGCAAGCCGGTTACTAGCTAAGCCCGCCCAAACCACGGCCAGTGTCCTCAGGCTCAACACTGGTGTACAACAAGCTGTACTGTAGTTTCAGAAACGGCAATTAGATCAATGTCAACAGCTCACAAACAAACACACAGCCACCAGGCGAGATTGAAAAGACACATCCTAGGTAAGGGGTTTTGTAGTGTTTCTGTTGGTTCAGAAAAGAAATGCATGTGCCCAGGCAAGAATAAACAAATTCTGTGAATAATTTGTTTGACTTGAGAGAAAGGAAGCCTGAGGGTTAGCCTGTGATCATCTCTCAAAGTCAAATACCTTCCAAAGAATCAGGAGCCCCTATTATAATCAAATGAGAACTAGGCTAAAGATCCTAGATCCACAGGGAAAATTGTTTTGTTTTGTCTTCCCAAAGAAAGCCACTGGACTCTTGAATTTAACCCTAGCTGGGTAGTAAGGCTTAGAAAGGCATGGAGTATCTGCATCACTCAACGGTGTATCCTCAGGGCCTGGGACTGAGTTCCAACTATGAATGAAAATGCCCATTCTGTGTTGCTTCCAGGGGCACAGCTATCCTCATACTCCCCTCTCTTTGTGTTATGGAGCTGATTCCCGAAAAGTCTGATGCCAATCTTCCCTTCTCTCTTAAGTGAGAAAATAAACAATAATATAAATCAGTGCCAATATTGCTTTTTAATTTTAGCTCCAGGAAGTAGAGGACTGAACTATGATCATTTGAAATGACAAATCTGATTAATGTAATTAGCCAAAGCAAAGGATATGCGACTTTAAGCCATGATATTTCTTTGACAGTGGGTTGATGGACCAGCCTCTCTTCCTTCCCTCTCTCCCTCTTTGCCTCCCTCCCTTCCTTCTTTCTTCTTTCTCTTTATAGTTCATAGTTTCCAATTCACTTTTTCAACATGGCATAGCTCAAGTATAAATGCACACATTTCTCTTTCACACTCTTTCCGGCTGTTTCCAACAATCCTCGTGCTAATAAAATGGCCCCCCACAGGCAGGAAAAACCCAAGACCCACTCTCTCCAATTGTGAGATACTTCAGCTGTGATGGTCTCCTGTTGGTTTGCTCAATTCAGTGATCAGTTTCCAGGACAGGTGTCACATTCTGAAATGTGAAGGTGCATGAGAGAAGCTGGTGTGCTTCCCCTGAACCATTTTCTTGGTGGCTGCCTCAGACATTCACTGCCCTTCCCTGAAGCACCCATCAGGCCTTGGCTTAAATGTCACTTCCCTCAGGAGTCCTTCTCTTAGTGCCCAATGAAGTTTTGAGCCATGGATTTAAGGACCTTTAGCACCCACATGTCTCCTTCATAATGCTCAACTTATTGGGATGCATCTGTGTTTCTCATCTTATATCTTTGCCCATCAGAGAGCACTCAGCATACAGTAGGCACTTAACACATATGAGTTGAATAAATGAAAAATTGCACATGAACTTTGTCTTTGGAATCATAACTAGCATTACTGGAGGTTAATCATGTTTAGGTATGACACAGGTCATCCCACTTAATCTTTGCAACACTCTGAGGGTTGGCTGCTATTAGTATCTCTATTGAGCAGAGGAGGAAGCTGAGTCTTTAGGGCTGTAACACGCCCAAGGCCACGTAAGTAGTAAACGGCAGGGCTGAAGTACAAATTGTAGACTAGAACAAATGCCCACAACCAAAACAATCTTAGTTTCTTTGTGCTCTGCATTTGGGCTGACTCTATTGGGGGATCTATTTCTTCTTGCTCATGGCCAGAGCTGTTTTTGCTTCCCCTCTACACCTGAAAGTCTGGAAAATTCTGTGACAGGATCATTGGCAAAGAGAAGCTTATTTTCTCCTCTTCCACCCTCAAACTGCTGATCTTGACCATTGTCTAATTTTCTCCTCCAAAAACAGAAACTTCGGGAAATTACCTTGGCAAGAAAGTCTTTCTTAGCTCTCCCCCAGCAGCCCAAGTGTAGATGTAGCTGGCACTAGCAATGGAATTGAATAAAAAAAACTACACTTGCTGAAGTCTGTTGAAAGGAGTGTTGGCTGAGAAGAGCTTGTACGTGAGCTGGGTGCTGTGGTGCTGTGGTGCGAGCCTGTAGTTGCAGCTACCTGGGAGGATCACTTGAGCCTGGGAGTTTAAGTGTAGCCTGGGCAACATAGCAAGCCCCTGTCTCTTGATTTTTTTTTTTTTTAAAGCTTGTTGTATGTTGTATGTATACAAGGATGGTAGAAACTCGTAACAGAAATAATCAGCAAAGCTGGTACTTATTGATCACATTTCTCATACCAAGCACTATTATAAGCTTTTCATATATGTTGTGTCCTTACAATGACTCTATGGTGTGGTTATTACTAATTATCCTCATTGTTCAGATGTGTAAATTGAGGCATAGATAGATTACCTAACTTACCCATGGCATAGAGAGATTATCTAACTTACCCAAGAGATTATCTAATTTACCCACGTAGCTGAAATGTAAGTCTAATTGTGTTTGATTTAAGATGAAGAATAAGAGAGAGACATTTTTTAAAGGCTGCCCAAGGATCTACTCTCCTTGCTCAACCCTTGTCCCCATAATTTGTGTTATATATTCAATTTCATCAGAAAATACCACCAACAAATTCTTGGGTCCAATCCTTTTAACACAGAGGTCCTATAATGTCTCAGCTTACAGTCTCCTTCTGCAGGGTTATTATTGTGGGTTCAGGCAACAATGGCCAGGGACCGTGAAAAGCAGAAACCCAATACAACTCTCTTTCTACAGTCAACATGCTAAACCAGATCATGGCAAACCTGTGGACTTTCAGGGTATGCCTTGAGGAGGGAGCTTGAGCTAAGTGGTAAAAGCTGGGTAGGAATCTACTGGGTATTCAAAGGGAAATGAAGACATTTCAAAAAAGATGGAGTAGCATGATTAAAAGCATGAGGAAGTAAGTGGTATTTGATATTATTGACTGGATGATATAATAAGCTTAGAGACAGTGGTATGCTGACATCTGCTTGTAATATCTTATACAATCAGATTGTCAAATTTTCAGGAATTTTGCAAGCTGATTATTAAACAGCCATTATTTAAAATTAAATTATATAAAATTACAACTAAATATATTATAAACAAATCATCACTAAACTAAACTAAACAAACTAAACTAAACTAAACTAACAAAACAAACTAAACATCACTAAACTAAACGAAATCATCACTTCCTAGTGATTTTACTGTATTTTATTGTTTATGCCCTTGCAGTTATCTACATCTATGTTATCTGTTTCGTAGAAATACCATTAACAGGTTTATATCCCTATCCCAAATTCTTGAGACCCTCAAAGTTATCTATATCTGTGTTATCTGTTTGGTAGAAATACTATTAATGGGTTCATATCCCTTATCCCAAATTCTTGAGATCAGAAGTGTCTTGGATTTAGAGTTTTTCAGAGTTTGGAATATTTGCATTATATTTATTGACTGAGTATCCCTAATCTGAAAATCAGAAATCTGAAATGCTCCAATGAGCATTTCCTTTCAGCATCATGTTGGTGTGCAAACACTTCAGTTTTGGAGCATTTTGGACTTCAAATTTTTGGATTAGGGATACCCGACCTGTATTAGTGTGGTATTGCAGGTATCTTTCCACTGTGTAGTTAATAATTTTACATTGGTAGCTTAAAGTCAGCTGTGGTGAAGGCATTTACGCTACAGAAATTGGCAAATACTAAAAATCGGTGCTTTTTTCCTGTCAAAGACTTGCCTATTAAACATTTACCAGTACACCATGGCTCAGAGGTGAGAAGGGATCAGGTATCAAAAGACATTGAATGCATTCCTGACACTTCAAACTGTAAAGTCTAGAGTATTGGTTCTTGTATTAGCTCATGTTCCTGAAAAACCAGAGCCTATGGCCTGCATGAAGCAGTAGTTATTTACTGGGAATTGCAATCCCAGGGCAGCATGAGTTAGGGCACAGAGAGATGAGAGAGGAGGATGGAAGCAAATACAAAGTGATGCAGTACCAAGCTGGCCACTGCTTCACAGCTCACAGTAGACACTGCCAGTTGTTCATTTCCAGACAGAGCCTTAGGTCAGCCTGCCAGAGGGAGGAGCAGGGAGGAAGTGTATCTGCCAGCTCCCTTCCATCCCATCTCCTCTTAATCAAAAGTTCTTCCCACCAGTTCTTCACCAGACTGAACTCACTCACATTTCTGGGCTGTAGGCTCAGAGGAAGCCAGATTCCAGCCTGCCCTGCAGTGGAGCACTTTGTGTGTATCAGAAAGTAGTGAGAGATGCCAGGGCTCTGATGGTAGAAACAGGAAAAATCACGCAGAATCAGTTTCCACCCCAGAGAGAGGTAGACAGAGAGGCCATGAGAAACTGAGGGGTCACACGTGATGCCCATACAATTTTCAAACTTAAGGGTACAAAAATCTTATTTGTGGGAGCTTCCCCGAAGGTCATTTTTCTGGGCTCATCTTGAGAATTCTGGGCCTTTAGAACTGGGGTTGGAGTCAGGGATTGTCTTTTCTCATGAGCATCCTGGGAGACTGAGTAATGGGGTCACTGGGCCGCATCAGTAGAGACAAAGGGGCCCTCACTTGTTTGCAAATGTCCTCATCCACCTGTGTTGTCTTCCTGTCTTCTGTCTTGTTACATGCTCTTTTCTAAAATCCCATTTAGATTCCTAGAATTCTGATCAAGTACTGTCCGTTTGCAGCTTTTCCTATGGCTTTCAAATTCTCTTGAGTCTTTTCCTCTGTCTCAGCATCTCTGATGTAGCCCACGTTTTTCTACCTTTCTAATAAATGAGGATCTGGGAGATTAGGAAGAAAGACTCTAGAGACCAGCAGACATGGATATGGAACCCTCAACTTGATCACTTGTCTTTCAGATCCTCAGTTTCCTCATCTGTAAATTAGGGATTTTACTTCCTACCTCTTGGGCTGTTTGGAGGATCTCATTAGGAAACCCTTCTACTGCAATCTGTGTAGTTGCTAGCTCATAGTAAGTGAACAGCACTTTAGAATCAATCATTCATTCTTGGTTTGGTGGTTTTGTTTGTTTGTTTGTTTGTTTGTTTGTTTGTTTGTTTTTGAGAGGCAGTCTTACTCTGTCACCCAGCATGGAGTCCAGTGGCATGATCTCAGCTCACTGCAAACTCTGCCTCCTGGGTTCAAGCAATTCTCCTGCCTCAGCCTCCCGAGTAGCTGGGATTACAGGTGTGCACCACCACACCTGGATAATTTTTGTATTTTTAGTAGAGATGGAGTTTCACCATATTTGCCAGGCTGGTCTCGAGCTCTTGACCTCAAATGATCCACCCGCCTCGGCCTCCCAAAGTGCTGGGATTACAGGCATGAGCCACCACACACAGCCCTGGTGGTTATTTTTAAGTAGTGATGAGAGTGTTAAGAAATGACTATCTACTCCCTGGAAGAGAACTGTAGAACCGTGATGTTTTTCTGCCATGCTAGACGCCCTTTCAAGAAGACAGAGGAAAGAACACTGAGAACTTCCAGCCTTCCCCTGGGCTTTCTTTGAGGCTCTGGCATTTTTGGGAGCGAGCTTGTACCTGGCAGCTTTCTGACCAGGCTGACTTCAGCCAGACCAGTGCACAGGCTCCGGGTGAGATGACAGACTGTGTTGTGGAGGCAATATGCTGAGGCATCTCTTTGACAAAGGTGCTTTCTGAGCACAAACTGACTCCACGCTGTCTGCCTAAGCCTCCCCCAAAAGCAGGCATCTGTAACAGGAGAGGCATAAGGTTCCAGGAGCCTCCAGGGCTGCCTCACACCAGCCCCTCCTCTATGGGTCTCTGTCTCTGGGCCAGGGGTCCAGAGAGACCAGGCTCCATTGGAAGCCACTCAGCCAACTGCTGTGAATGCAGATTTCTCTGCCATGATGGAGAGGTGGCAATGGCCAAGGCCTTCCCTGGAGTTGCTGTGCCTTGAGGAACGGCTGCCATTCTCAAAAGAGACCCAGAGCTGTTGCCGAGGCAGAGCATCAGCATGACAGCTGGCATTTTTTGTGCACCTGCTGTGTGCCGGGCACATTCTCTTCTTCACTTAATCCTCTCAACTCTGCCAAGTTGGGGATATTAATAACCCATTTTGCAGGTGAGGAAATTAAGGTTCAAAGATCACACAACCTGGAAATTTAGACCCCAATTTGCCTATATCCCAAAGTTCCATGTTTTTTCAATTTTACCTCAGGGAAGTGTGAGGCCCTGGTCACAGCTTCCTGCTATTGCCGCCAAGTTGAACTGATGTGGCAAAATGGTGTCTGGTAGATTGGGATTGCAATGGCATTAGAATCATAGCTCTGGTCTCTCATGTGTCAACATTTACCAAGCCTTAGCTTTGCACCAGCCTTGAAGGTAAGTACTGTGAACATAACCACAAGGAGAAAAAAATGCCCCTCCCAGAAATTAGTCTGGTGGTAGCAAATCCAGTGGGAAGAACCCAGAACCAGCTGCCCAGCAAGGCCGGCTATGGTTAGTGAAGACAAATCATGAGAGCCAAGATCCTGTCCTGAACACCGAGGGGCCCAAGGGGGAGGGGAGCTAATTTTTGAGGAATTGAGAAAAGTGTTACAAAAGAAGTGAGACTTAAAATGAGACTTACGAAAAGATAAAGAATTCTCTTAGTAGCCAGAGATGGAAAATAGGTTTAAGAAGGGAGAACAGGTGGCTTATACCTGTAATTGTGTCACTTTGGAAGGCCGACATGGGAGGATTGCTTGAGACCAGGAGTTCAAGACCAGCTGGGGCAATATAGCAAGATCTCATCTCTACAGAACAAATAAACAATTAAGCTGGATGTGGTGGTGCACACCAGTAGTCCAGCTACTGGGAAGGCTGGACGATTGCTTGAGCCCAGGAGTTCGAGGCTTCGGTGAGCCATGGTTGCTGAACTGCACTCCAATCTGGGTGACACAGCAAGACACTGACTGAAAAAAAAAAAGAAGAGAGAGCAGCAGATGCCAAGGTTCAGAAGAACAAGGCAGCAGGATCATCTTCCCAGGAAGAGCCAGCATTTCCCGTTGTCCTGAGAGAAGGGTGCCACAGAATGACTGCTTGGAAGAGGGCAGGGGGGTCTTGGGGCGGTTAGGTTTCAGGTCTTTATACCAAGCTAAGGAGTTTGTGTTTTATCCTCCAAACATTTTGAAGGAGTATCTTCCTTAGAATGTCTATATATTAAAAAAAAATCACAGCTGTGTCGAAGCAGGAGGCAGAATTAGGTAAGGCCAGGCCCAGTCCTCTAATGCCAGGGATTGGCAGGAAATTTCCATAGAGGGCCAGAGAGCAGATATTTCTGTTTTCAGGCTATACTGTCTCTGTTGCAGCTACTCAAGCTACTCAGCTACTCTGCCATTATGGTGTGAAGCATCCGTGGATGATAGATAAATGAATGGGCATAGCATTTATTTATGGACGCTAAAATTTGAACTTTATCTAATTTTCATGTGTCATTAAATACTATTCTTTTGACTTCAAAAAAATTGAAATGTAAAATAATTTTGAGCTCCTGGGCTGCACAAGAACAAACAGTGGGGATTTGACCCAAGTGGTCCCTAAAAGACAGTTATACAATCCAGGGAGGCACAGCTTCAGGAAGGGAAATGAGGGATTTAATTTCTGTTTCAAAAGGTCCTGGAGACAGAAAGGGCCACGTCTTTCTCACTTGTAATTGTTAGGGCCAGTTTGGGAATCTCATCAAAAAGGAGAGAGTGGGACTCAAGCTTGGTTATGCCTGTATTGCTTCCATAAATTACCCACAGGGCATGCGCTTCTGCCATGAAAACAATTCAAGAAGGAAAGTGAAAGACTCCATATCAGAGAATGGCTACAAGGGAACCTGTTTCAAAACCAGAAATGATGCCTTGGGTGCCTCTTCCTGCTTGGCTTTCTGATGGAGAGGAGCATTGATGCTAGGTACAGTCTGACTCCAGTGGGGAGTCTGACTCCTTAGGGAATCTGGTGGGAGATCCAGCACCTTTAAGGTTGTCCCTTCCTTGGGTGACCCCTCTTTGAATGGCAGAGGTGTAGTCTTAGGTACAGTAGTTCCTCAAGGAAGGAGACTAGGGTGAGGTCCTTGTCAACATTTTGTGGTTCCCAGTGTGTAGCTTCCAGAAAGAACCTGTGCATAGTAGGTGTTTGCTGCTCCCCATGCGGGGGATCTCTGCTGTCTGTGAGGCCACGGGGGCCTCCAAAGGAACCACGGTCCTGGCTATGGTGGAAAGAGTCTGCAGTGGCCCCATATGCTGTGGTTCTGGGGGAGAGCTCAGTCTGGAGAGGTATTTCGTGAGCCATCTGTGCCAATCTCCCTGGGGGTCCTCTGGGTTCCTCTTCCCTTTACAATAACCTGGTTGGGAACCTACATACAGAACAAATCTTTTATGTGTGCCTGAAATTTCAGGAGACTCTTCCTCTAGCCACAGATTAGATGGTGCAAAATCCTACCATACCCAAACTAGGCAAATTCTACCCAGCAATAACAGGCGGTGAGATGGACAAAGGCAGTGAGTGAGATATCATGAGGCTCTACCTCCTTACAAGCATGAGGATGATCCTGTCTGCCAGGTGGCCCTTGACTTCATTTTCTCTCCTTTTTGCATGACAATGCTCAGCTAGCTTCTGTTGTAGTCTGAAGAGCATCTGTCCCAATGGGTCACATGGTGAGCTGTTTCAATGTGAGGTTTCGCAGGTTTTACTGACTGGAAGAGTCAAAGACCTGGGAGTGATGGAGACTCAGCTGACTTGACCCATTTTGCAACTCATGGTGGACCAAGAGTTGAGAGTTTCTGTCTTTAGGGGTGTGTCTGTCTGTCTGTCTCTCTCTCTCTCCTTTCCCCCTAAGCTTTATGCAGGGGTGTCCTCTTTCCTAATCCCCCCTGAAGATCTTCATTATCTACTCTCTTTTCCTCCCTTTTCTCCTTACACACCATTTCTTTCATTCTAATATTAAAGTTCATTTTGGTAAATGGTCACCCATTCATCAAGCCAGGGGGGTTATTAAACACTAGGGAGAGTACTGGGCTCTGCAGATGCCCTGGGGGAACAAAAGGGCTCAGAGTTTTCAGGATTTGGAGAGAGCAGTATGAGCTTGAGGAAAAGCTAGAGTGGCTGGAATACAGAGATGGAAGTAAAACATTAGTGACAGAAAGAAGCTTCTCCTGCCTCAGTTTATACTGCCACCAAGGCTAGATAGATTGTCTTTGTGTAGTATCTCAGTTAATTGGTGCTTAAACTCCTGAAATGGAACAATTTAGGAGGTCTGCTTTCCAGTCATTTTTAGGCATCCTTTTTGACTTCCTTTATTTACGGAATGATCACTTCATAAGGTGCCATTATGGAAATGGCATTCCATCCCTAGATTCAATCTGTAGGGTGATGGTCTTTAACTCTCTGGGTTAGTAGAAATCAGGACTGCTAGGAGGAGGAGACTCAGCTTCCCTTCCAGGGCGCTTTTTTAGATGCTGCAAGATGACCCACATTGGTGTCAGGCTTCGGACAGACAAAATGGAACCAACGGGGATCATTTTCAAGTGAGTGTCTATCCGAAAGGGAGGTTTCCACACTGAGGACATGGCCAGTGTAATTGAAGCTGGGCTTCACTGGCCATGCCAAGGGCCAGGCAGAGAATCGATTCAGTTCAGTCTCTTGCTGAAACCACACAAGTTCTTCACCTTGAATTTGACATTAATGACCTGCAGTTGTTGAGGAACGTACAGCTCTAGCTTGCCTTCACAGACAGTATCTTGTGGCTTTCTTAAAGGATAGTGGCTGTGCTGCAGGGTGTTCTATCCCAGCCTGGAGTGGAGCTGATGTTAGGTGTTCTGACCTTGTATCATTTCCCCAGCTGGAAACAAGGCATTCTTCATAGCGTCGACCTCATGGGGCTGTTCTGCTCAATGAGCTGATGTATCACTCAGCACTCTGCACTATGTTGGGCACGCCATGACTGCTCAGGAAATGCCACTGGACACTCTTGCAGTTGTTCCTGTTGCTCGTCACCATCATCCTTTGAAACAGATCCCATTAACTATATGTATGCACTTTGCATACATTAGCTCATTTAATCCTTGCAACTATCCTTCAAAGGAGGTAATGATATCCTTGTTTTACAGATGAAGAAACCAGGCTGGAACAGTGTTTGTCTGGAGTAAGGGGGAGAGTAACGATGTCTTAAAAAAATAATAATACATGCTAATGTAGAAGATGTCATCATCCCAGAGGTGCACAGAATAACTAGCTAGTGAATATCCTTCTTTTATTTTTTGTGTAAGTGTGTGTAGAGGCTTAAGGAGCAGAGGCAAGAAGAGAAGACTTACCCTCTCTGCCATGCTTCAGGTTACCTTCTGGTGTGTCTGCCACTCTCTCTGGGACTCAGGGTCTTTTTCTATGTAGTGTCTTGCCATGAGTCCATGAGTATGGTGGGTAGGTATCTGCTGGGCAGGTATTCAATGGGCACTGCCTCCCTGGGGAAGTCTGCAGGGAAGCTCTGAAGAAGGCAGAAGGAACAGAGCTCCATGGATCCATCCACAAAATAAAACAAGGGTTTTCAGAAAAACACAAGACTCTTCATCATCAATGCCATCTATGCAGCCATGGAGTAACTAATGGTCATCAACGGTATCATGCTAGAACACTTTCTTGTAGAATTGTTTCATAGTGTATCTTTAAATCCAGAGATTGAAGACCAACTAACCAATGTGTTTCTCCCACATATAAAGCTGTTTTTTCCTTGTTATATCTTAAGCTTCTTTTCTCTCTGAATCTGAGGTATGAGTAATTCATTACACAATTGGATTTTATGGTTTGTTTATGCTGATTCCAATTACAGAATAAATGACTACCTAAAGCTTTAAAAAAACTAATGAAAAAACAGACATCAATCAAGAACATTTATGAATAAAGACTTTAAACATCCGTACTTAGAAATATATATGATATTTAGAAATAGATCTGAAAAGACTTATGTAATGTGTTTTAATCAAATCTTGAAGAGAAATTGACCAATAAATCAAATCTTGAAAAGAAATTGACCAATAAATCAAATTTGGAAAGAAAGTGACAGATAAATCAAATCTAAAAAAGAAAACAACCACTATATCAAACCATGATATGTTTATTAAAACAACAGATCTCAGTTTTTTGTGTGTGTGAACCTGTTTCTTTGCTGAGCCCATGTATTAGAAATATATTTAGGAAACAGCCTTCCTATACCATCGATGCTATTCTCTCTCTCTCTCTCTCTCTCTATCTCTCTCTCTCTCTCTCACACACACACACACACACACGCACACACACACACAAGGAGATAGTTTGCAGACGAAAGCAGTGAGTTTGCTACAGAGGAGACAGAGGAGAAAAAAGATCAATTGTAGACAAATATCCAGTATTGGACTTATTTTCATGTGATGTCTGGGATTTATGCTATATGGTGGCTTATATATAAAGCATTCTTATGACACAGGCCTTTAAAGACTTCAGATCCAAGGTAGACCTAATGAATCTTAATCTTTCACAGTGAATTGGGTTACATCAATTCCAGAGGGAACTATTTGTTGCATCTATATAGCAATATACAGGATAGGATATTGCAATTGCTTTACGATTAACTTTTAGGGGTTTCTACAAAGGTTTTTTTTTAGTATATTTTTAAGATCAAGTCAAGTGTGTCAGGGGTTGGCTGTGTGTGTGTATAAATTTGGATGCTTGTATAGACCTAGAATACAGGTTAAACATTCAAATGATCTTTCAATTAACTGATTGTATGTGTGTGTGTGAATGTGTGTGTACAGGTTCGGGGGATGTAGATACATGGAGGTGTCTGTGGGTACGTGTGTGTATGTGTGTACAGGCGAATGTGTATAGGAGTATGTGTGTGTGTGTATGTGCGTGTGTAGATACAGTAGTGTGTATGGGTATATGTATAGGAATGTGAGTGTGTGTAGGGGTGTGTGTAGGGGTGTGCATGGAGGGATGTGTGTTTGTGTATCTGTTTGGAGTAGAGGATGTTTCCATGTCACCAAGTCCATCCCTGCACCGTCTGTCTCATTGCCTCCCCCAACAGTGCTAGATACGTCTGATTTCAGAAAGGAACTTTTCAAAGAAAAAGCTTCAAACTCGTACGCATGTCCTGTGACCATGTCTGGCACTTACCAACACAGAGGTGAATTAAAATGTTCTGTCATCACCCCCAAATTTGCACTTTCAATTGTCACATAGTATATCCTAATATTTGGCTTAGAAAATGATGTTCACTGTATTTAGATTCCTCCTTAATTAGTTTCCAATTCATAAACATGTCATATAAGTCCATCCTCCCACTGTAATTTCCAATAATTATATTAATAATTGGTCAGTTGTTGGGTTAAACTCTTTATGTGCCTTTTCTCTTTGGGTCACACATATGCACACGAGGCAGGGGCTCTTATTTTTCCCATTTATAGAGGCGGAAACTGAGTCAGAAAAAGAAAGCAAGCTCCCTGTCTTGCTTGACTAGACCATGTTGCACCTGATAACAGCAATCACATAAGAGATAGAGTTTAGAGCCAACTTCTTCCTTCTTCAAAGAATGAGTTAATCTGTCCTGATGTAAGCCAACTTATTTTTCTTAACCCCATAATAATCTTATATGAAATGGAATAGGTGTAGCTGTGGGAAATTTCCATAAAGATGAACGCTTCTGCTTTCCACGTTGAAAACCATCTTATCACTTCCTACATTTTCAAAATTGTCAAAACTTTCTATCTCTTCTCCCAGCCCAAGTCACTCATTCATAAAAAGTGGCATAAATTAGGTTATATGACTGGAAAGTTTATTCCCTAAAACTAGTTTCAGGATGGAGTCTATAATATCCCACTCTGAAAAAAAAAAATTCTCTTATTGATTTTGATTTTCATTTGGGTTACCAATCAATAGTGTTTAAATTAAGATGACTGGGGTTATTTTATAAGGTGGACATAGATCTGTTCTCACAATGATAGAACTTTTTTGTCCTTTATCCAATAAAATCAAGTTTTAAAGTTCATCCCATCTCTTTAACCTTTTGATGATGTTGGTAACACTCATACCACATTTTGTTTATTTTTTCCAATGTAGTGATATATTTTATTTTATAATTTATTATTTATTTTTAATGGACAAAAATGTATATATTTATGGTGTATAATGTTTTAAAGTATGTTTACACTGTGAAATAGCTAATTAATTAGATTAATTAAATCAAGCAAATTAAAATATGCATTACCCCACATACTTATTTTTTTCTTGGTAGTGAAAACACTTAAAATCTACTCTCTAAGCAAGTTTGAAGTATACATTGTTATTAACTATAGTGACCAGGTTGTATAATGAATTTCTTGGACTTATTCCTCCTCTCTAATTGAAATTTTATGTCCTTTGAAAAACATCTCCCCCACTCCCCATCCCCTGGCTTCTGGTAACCACCGTACTACTCTCTGCTTCTATGGGCATCCATATTTTAAAATAGCTTACATAGAAATACTTTGAATTTTAGTATTGAGATCAAAGATAGACCAAAAAATAAGATGCCTCTGTGGGGGGGTGGGGGTTGCAGTGATACTTACAAAAATTTCTGGTAAATTTTGTAATGTCCACGATTTTCTATTGAAATCTTTTTTTTTTTTTCCAATGGCTTGTGAAAAACTGGAATTCTGCATGGGGTCCATCTTCATAGGCATGCAATGTGTGCAGTTGTACTCATGCTCAAATGGGTGCCACACTTGATTTAACATTCTGCTGTCCCCTTGAATCTCTTGATACTTTTTGAACAAGGAACCTTGCATTGTCGTTTTGCATGGGCCCCCTCAGTTCTGCAGCATGTCCAGTTCTGCATTCCCCACCTTTCACTCAGTACACAGACACTGTGTATGTTCTCCAAGCTTGATTTGCGGGAAGTTGAGGTCCAAAACAATGTCCTGTGTCTGAGTCTACTTTGTAATGCATGTTCTGCCCTTTCTCACTTTTTTTTCCTCCACATTATTTAAGGATATAATTTAGAACCATGGAGGGAAAGATTCTGAGATCATCTATTTAATATTCCAGGAGTTAAGAAGGAAAACAAACAACAGAAATGCATGCTGAGTGTCTTCTTGGAAAGTGGTGAAGGACACCATCCTGGCCTGAGGGAGCCAGTGGTCCCTGACCCAAGATTGCTTGAGTTCATAGAGAACCACCTCAAGCCCCATGAGGCTTAACTTAGCAATGGCCAAACATGAAAGTCCTGTCTAAGGATCAGTCCCTCGTTATTAGGTTAGCACCTCTTTCTGTGATTTCAGTTTTACCAAACATGAATGAATGTAAGTAAGGTGCCATATCAATACATAAAATAATATTTTAGTATTTTGTCTGTTGCTACTGACATTTTTTTTTTTTTTTTTTGAGACAGAGCCTTGCTCTGTCGCCCAGGCTGGAGTGCAGTGGTGCAATCTCAGCTTACTGTGAGGTCCGCCTCCTGGGTTCACGCCATTCTCCTGCTCAGCCTCCCGAGTAGCTGGGACTACAGGTACCTGCCACCACGCCTGGCTAATTTTTTGTATTTTTAGTAGAGACGGGGTTTCACCATGTTATCCACGATGGTCTCGATCTCCTGACCTTGTGATCCACCCAACTCGGTCTCTCAAAGTGCTGGGGTTACAGGCATGAGCCACCATGCCCGGCTGCTATTTACATTTTTATAGGAAAAAAATAATGATGGAATATTATTTAGGGAAATAAAATTTTGAAATCACTCAAAATACCTCCATCTCTACATCAGTGCTGTCCAGTAAAACTTTCTCTGCTGATGGACTCTTCTAGATCTGTGTTGTGCAATGCAGTAGCCATCTGCCATGTGTGATGACCGAGCACTTGAAATGAGTCTAGTGTGTCAGGAACTGAAGGCTTAGTTCTATTTAATTTTAATTAATTTAAATCTAAATAGCCATATGTAGCTAGTTCCTACTGTGTTGAACTGTAAATTTAATAGTTGCTCCTCTTATTTTAGTGTATATTCTTTGATTCTCTGTGCAAACTTTCCCCCCCACGGTTGACCATATCATACCACTTGTTGGGGTAGCTTTTTAAAACTTAATTTTACAAACATTTTCCCGTTTTTAGTCTAGCATTCAAAGATGGGGGTGTCTCTTGGTGTCTGTCTCTCTACCTTGGTACAAGAAAAGAGGGCCTGGGCCAGGTGCGGTGGTTCACGCCTGTAATCCCTGCACTTTGGGAGGCCGAGGCGGGTGGATCACGAGGTCTGGAGATGGAGACCATCTTGGCTAAAACGATGAAACCCCGTCTCTGCTAAAAATATAAAAAATTAGCCGGGCGCGGTGGTAGGCGCCTGTAGTCCCAGCTACTGGGCAGGCTGACGCAGGAGAATGCCGTGAACCCCGGAGGCGGAGCTTGCAGTGAGCCGAGATTGCACCACTGCACTCCAGCCTGGGCGACAGAGCGAGACTCCGTCTCAGAAAAAAAAAAAAGAAAAAAAAAAAAAGAAAAAGAAAAGAGGGCCTGGAAATTGTTCAGCTGTAAACATCGCATTGACCCTTGGCCACCGTTGAGGAGCACCATATTATGTTACCCAGAACGTGGGGCATTGAGACAAAGGAAAGGAATTTTGTGACTGAGCGCGTCTGTCCTGCCCGCAAAGGCTTTGGAAAGGTGGGACTGCCCGCCATCTTGAGAACATCCAGACATTTGTTGAACATCCGCTAGGTGTCCACCACATGCTCTTTGTGTAAGTGGCTCTTGTCATCTTGGCAGAAAGCCTCTACTGTAGGCACCATTCCCATTTTGTGTATGAGATAAGTGGGAAGGAGGCACTTGACCAGGGTCATGGTGTCTGACCGGGATTGATCCCCAGTTCTCCCTGGCTTAAAATCCCATTCTAGCTACACTCTTGCCTGTCTCCAAGATACTGGGGAATCATATGGACAGACCCAGCTAGCATGGATCGCGCCTACCTTTGTCTCTTATCCTTTTAAATGCCTGAGAAAAATCTGCTTTTATTACTATGTTATCACTCTTCATGATGTTACCACGAATGTTCCCACTTTGTCTAGTGAAATGCAAAACTCAAAATGATGTGGTTCTGCTTTTAAAAGGCTTAACATTTACTGTTTTTTATTGTTTATGTGATTGTGAGAGAGAGATGGAGAGAGAAAACATAACTGCACATACACACACGTGTGCATGCACACACATATGCAATCCTGTAAGGTCACACAATGGGATAATTTCTTTACTATTATAGGTCAGATGTGCTAGCTTATGATATAAAAACCACCCAGAGTCTAACTTATGTGGAAACCAACTGCCTTGACACTCCTTTCTTAAAGTCTATCATGATCTACTAGCCATGGTCACTGAAGATTAACCAAGGCCAGGAGCAGTTCAGTGAATTGCTATGGGGTTGAGGTATGAGTCCCAAAGGGGAAGGAAGCTAACCCCTCCCAGTCCAGGAAACCCAGCTTGCCCATCAGTGCACGAGCCCCAGAAAGTCCAAGCTTGCAAGATTCTCCAGGCCAAGAGCGGCTTTGCTAAGGTCATCAGATCTGGCCACTGTACCCAGAGTGGAGACCTCTGATTGGAGGGGAAGGAAGAGCAGTTCCCTCTTTCTTTCCCTGCTTCCTTTTGTTATCCAAGGGCCTCAGAGATGTCTGGGGGGTGGCTGGGGGTAGTGTGATTTGAAACTCCGCCATAGGCCATGTCCCTGGGGCCACTGACCCCTGTTGCTTGGGAGACACCAGCCTGGAAGCTGGCCTTGACTCTATCTAATCCAACAGGCACTTACTCACCACGTGGCATGGTCCAAAAATAACACGCACCAGGGGGGCCTTGGGGACACCAGACCTAGCTAGCGAGAGGCCACCACTGGCTGAGAACCGCTTTCCTGTTTGCGTTCCTGCCCGGAGGCTTCGTGGAGCTCGCTTGGACTTCCTGTTTCCTCCTCCTTCCAAAGTTCCCATTCGCTCCCCTCTTCAGCTGCACAGGACTTGCTCCAGGAGCCCCGTGTCCCAGCAAGGATGGTCACCTGCCGCTGAATTGTCATTAGCAGTTGGAGGAAATTGTCACCAAAGACTGAAACGCTTGGAGTCAGGAGAACTGGGACCAACCAGCTTAGCTTTTTATTCCAAAGCCTATCTCATGCCTTGAGGAAACTGAGCAAATGCCACAATCTGAACCTGTTTTTTAATCATTCAAAACCCTAGTAGTAACCGGGCTTGTTGGCTCATGTCTGTAATCCCAGCACTTTGGGAGGCTGAGGATGGTGGATCGCTTGAGGTGAGGTGTTCAAGGCCAGTCTGGCCAACATGGTAAAACCCCGTCTCTAGTAAAAATACAAAAATTAGCTGGGCGTGGTGGTGCCTGCCTTTAATCCCAGCTACTGAAGACGCTGAGGCAGGAGAATCTCTTGAACCCGGAGGTGGAGGTTGCAGTGAGCTAAGATTGCACTCCAGCCTGGGCAGCAGACTGGAACACCATCTCAAAAAAAAAAAAAAAAAAAACTAAAAAAACCCTAGTAGCTTAGCTGGTAACAAGGGCCCTGGTAGAACCTTGTCTGAATTAGGGTCTCGTCTTTCACCAGCTGTATGAACTTGGCCATATTACGTATTGTCCTAAGCCTCAGTTTCCTTATCCTTAAAAGGAGAACAGCTCCTGTGTAGCAGCATTTATTATTTTTTTTTTTTTTCTGGTGGTTTGGGAAGCAGGTACTACTGTGCCTAGAGTCCCTGCCAGGGACTGACGCAGGCTCCTTCAGCCCTGCGCATGACTGCCTCACTCAACAAGGGTTTGGGTTACGGGTACAAATATTTTCTGCACGAACAGGTGCATAGTCTGACAGTTGTGAGAGGACTTTTGGAGGTGATGAGACAGAATAATTCCAACCAAGATGATTTCCCTTAAATCTGGAATGTGTGGTTGCTGTAAACGCATGAGGTGGCTTAGAGTACGATAGCAGTCGTTGAAGAAGCAGCAGTAGTAACAGTAATGGTAAAAGTAATTGTGATAGCAATAATTATAGCACTATTAGATTAGTATAGTAGTGGTAATATCAGTAGCAGCAGCTCTAGTAGTAACAGGAATAGTGATAGCAGTAATCGTGTCAATAGTAGTAATGGTAGCAACAGCAGTAGTAACCGTAGTAGTGTGATGTAGTGCTAAAAATAGCAGTTGTAGTAACCGTAGTAAATAGTAGTAGTGATAGTACTAGCGGTAATAGCAATAGTAGTAGTGGTGATAATCGTATTAATGGTAAAAGTACAGTAGTAGCAGTAAAGAGTAATAATTAACCTAGATTGTGCACTGCAGATGCCGCTAAATTTTTTACAGACCAACTCCTTTACTTTTCCCAAATAACCCTAAGATAGCTGTTTTCCCCACATGTCAGAGAAGAGGGTGAGTCCTGATGCTCATATTTGGATACTGAATTGTTTATTTCCAGCCTGTGCCACGCAAAATTCGATCTACATTGTCAACCTCATTAGACCTTCACAAGGTCATCTGCCATCTCCCCGGCATGCACCGGGAAGCAGACACCCAGCAAAGTGGTCTGGCTTCCCACAGAGGTTCCTAGCCAGTTGACCATGCCAATGAGCATTGTTGACCATGAGCAGGGTGGGGTGCTGATGGGAGAGGAAGCCCCTGTGATGGACCCAGTCCTCCAGCTGGCTTCGTCTGAGCTGGCCAGTGAGTCTTTTGGTGCGTGGATGCCCTTGTCTTCAGAGTAACTGATCTCGCTGGGAGGCTGAGTGGTTGAAGCGTTGGAATCAGGTTTGTTTGGTTCTCATGGTTCTTCTGGGAGCCAGTGACACCAGAGCGCAGGGACTTCAGGGAAGCAGAGTTACTGAGCTCTCATGCCCTAACTGCAATCTCGATGTGTCTGGAGATGGCCTCCCTGGGGATTACAAGGAGGTGCTGTGTTCCATCTAGTTGGCCAGCTTTTTCTCAGAGTCTTCATCACGTAACCTGTCTGATAATCCCACCTCATTCCTTTACAGCCTCTGGTCCTCCACCTGCCTCGGTGGCTGCATGCTCCTGTGGTGACCTCTTGGGGATCCTTTTGGCCCTGACTCTACCACTGCAGTCTCAATTCTTCCCCTTAGCAGGGACAGCTCACAAATGAGGCTCCTCCCAGCAGTGGGCTTCAGGAGAGACTCACCTGGCTATGTTTGCTTAAAATTTATATATATATTTTTTTGTTACAGAAATCATCTCATACTTACAGTAAAGGATATAGGAAAAGCTAAAAATCACTCATAATTTCATCAGAGAAAAAAATCACCATTTTTACCTCGGAGAATCTTTTTGCAATGGATTTTCAATGCACACATGCCTCAGAGTGTCTGACATGATTGTGATCATGTGGCATTTAGAAAGGCATGCATCTTGCATTTTTCCGTTTAGCACTAGGCTATGTGTAATTAACATTATCCAAAGCTGCAGAATATTATACTTTATGAATGAAACTATTTAATTATCAAACTATTATTGGATGTTTAGATTGTCTCCATTTTTCCTGTTATAGATAACACTATATTGAACATCTTTATAAATCTTAGTCTGAATCTCTGATTATATCTTTATTATAAATGTTCACGAAAAATTGTTATAGTTAATTTTAAAACTTTCTTTTCTTTCTTTCTCTTTTGTTTTGTTTTGTTTTGAGGTGGAGTCTCGCTCTGTCACACTGGCTGGAGTGCAGTGGCGCGATCTCGGCTCACTGCAACCTCCACCTCCTGGGTTCGAGTGATTCTCTTGCCTCAGCCCCCTCTAGTAGTTGGGATTACAGGTGCATGCCACCAAGCCCGGCCAATTTCTGTAATTTTAGCAGATACAGGGTTTTACCATGTTGGCCAGGCTGGTTTAAACTCCTGCCCTCAGGTTATCCACCCGGCTCGGCCTCCCGAAGTGCTGGGATTACAGGCATGAGCCACCACACCTGGCCTAATTTTAAAACTTAATGCATATAATAAGATTGCTTTCCAGAAAGACTGAATTAGTTTATACTACCACAAATACCACAGGAGATACCCAGTTTCACTGTAACTACCTTATTAGAATTATTCATTTTACAAAACTTTCTTTCATAGTCAAGCAAAATAATGTCTTTGTATTCATCTTTGTCTACTCTTGAACATTTTTCTGTATTTTTATTTATGGCCGTTTTTGTTCCTCCTTCCATGAATTGTCTGTTCTTTTCCTTTTCTACCTCATCTTGTTTTTCAAGAGTGTTTGTATTTTCCTGGGTGATTTCTTTTTCTTTCTTTCTTTCTTTCTTTCTTTCTTTCTTTCTTTTCTTTTCTTTTCTTTTCTTTTCTTTCTTTCTTTCCTTCTTTCTTTCGAGACAGAGTCATGCTCTGTCACCCAGGCTGTAGCGTAGTGGTGTGATCTCAGCTCACTGCAACCTCCACCTCCTTGGTTCAAGTGATTCTCCTGCCTCAGCCTCCTGAGTAGCTGGGACCACAAGCATGTGCCACCATGTTCCCAGGTGATTTCTCCCAGCAATTTATATCTCCCAGCAATATATAATGGAACAATATTTGTGATAAAATTTCTTCCATGTTTATCTCTGGCCTTTTAATTATAGTTATATTTTTACATGTATAATATTTAGTTTGTAAATAAAGTGTAGTCAGGTTTAATATTCTTTCTTTGCTTTAGTGTTTGAAAAGATTCCATAAGCATCAGTTAATTCTTCCCCCATACTTTCTTCATTTTTATGGTTTTTATATCGGACATTTAAATATTCAGTGCATTTAGAATTTATTTGGGTATTTCACATCAGATGCTGGCTTAATTATTTTTGTATAAATCACCAGTTTTCTAACAGTGTTTGTCAAAAGAAGCCTTCCTTTCTCTAATGGTTTGTATATGCATCTTGTACTGTGCTTTAATTTTACACACACAGAAACGTTTCAGGGCTATTTTACTTCATTCATCTATTTATTTGTTGATTCTTAAAATAGGACAGAACTCTTTTTTATAGTTTTATGATAAATTTAATATCTGCTATAGTGATCATTCTTCTCATTCTTCTTTTTCAAAATTGTTTTTGAAGTGAAAAGGAAAAATAATGCCTTTTAATTTTCTTTCTTGGTGCAGTATGTAGAATAGATTTCACACTCTGCACTCTGCAGCCAGACAGATAAAGACTCAAATTCTGACTTTTTAGATCATTAATTATAGAACAAAGTTATTTTATCCACTTGAGATTCAGTTTACGCGTCTGTGAAATGGGGTTAAATAGTATCCATGTCACATGCATACCATGAGAACCTACATCAAGCCAGGAATTCAGGGCCTGAAATATAGAAGGTGCTCAATCAACGGCGACTGTCATTCTGAGGTTCAGAGGTTTCACATTCTATCTGTGACCTCGTCTGGTGAGTAAAAAAGATAACAGCTGTCTCATTGGCACCCAGGGCCCCTGGGTTTGAATTTTGCTGCTTTGACATTTCAAGGTGGTGGATCTCATGGCATCTGAAGTATTTCTAGGAGCCATCTGTTCTGAAGTTCATGTGCAGCAATCAGCAACCTGTTCCTAATTGAAAAAGACTGATGGGGTAAAGAGCCACAGAGCGGAATTCTAGGCAAAGTAACATCCTCCTATAGCCAGGTTCGGTCAGGAACATAGGCATGAGTCTAGGCTTGAAGACTCAGCCGCACGAACTTAGAGCTGTGTGGCTTTGAATGGGTCACTCAACCTTAATGCCTTCAGCTGTAAAATGGGCATTGCAATAGTGCCTCCCTTTTGGAATTCTTGTGAAACATATACATGATTGAGAACATAAAACACTCATCAAAATACCTGGTACTGCAAGTACTCGATGACTATTAGAGGCTAATGATGATGATGCTTTCATCAGTATCAATGTGTATTTGGATATACTTTTGTTGCAGCCTCACAAAGGAAAACCAGGAAACTTCGAGGTTGGAACAGGATGTTCGAGTGTGACTCTGTGCTATCTCAAAGCAGATATGAACTGAGAATAGATTCACCAAATGACCCACTTTATCATTCAATAAAATGTGCTGATCTGGCAGTTGAGTATGTAGTCTTCCCAGGATCTCACAGACGTGCAGACATTGTGAGCTTCTGGGTACATGTGCACCCACACATACACACACACAAACACACTGTACAGATGCCTGATGCATGTGTCTAAGCCTATGGTATACATAAAAGGTCTCTCTACTGACACTATCATGAAATAGTCATCCCTCAGTATCTGTGAGGTAATTGGTTCCTGGACCCCCCTCCCATACCAAAATCCATGAATGGTCAAGTCTCTTACTTAAAATGGTGTAGTAGGATTTGCATATAACTTACACACATCTTCAGATATACTTTAAATTTTCTCTAGATTACTTATAATAACTAATACAATGTAAATGCTATGTAAACGGGTGTTACTCTGTACTATTTAGGGAATAATGACAGGGAAAAAAAGTTCTCTATGTGTTTAGTACAGACACAATGATCCTTTTTAAAATTTTTTCTCAATATTTTCTTTTATATTTTTTCAAGACGGAGTCTAGCACCATGGCCCAGGCTGGAGTGCAATGGTGTGATCTGGGCTCACTGCAACCTCTGCCTCCCAAGTTCAAGCGATTCTCCTGCCTCAGCCTACCAAGTAGCTGAGACTACAGGTGTGCACCACCATGCCTTGCTATTTTTGTACTTTTAGTAGAGATGGGGTTTCACCATATTAGCCAGGCTGGTCTTGAACTCCTGACCTCAAGTGATCTGCCCACCTCGGCCTCCCCAAGTGCTGGGATTACAGGCATGAGCCACCATGCCCAGCCCTAATTTTTCTCAATATTTTCAATTCCCATTTGGTTGGATCCATGGGTGGGGAGCCCACAAATATGGAAGGCTGACTGCATGTGCCTTTTGTTGTTGCTGTTGTTGACTGGCAGAAATTTGCAGTGAATTCCATGTTCTAAAATTTCATGGACTCTGCCTGGGCCAAAGTTTTATGAAAAGTAGGTTGACTACCAGTTTTGGTAAGTACCGCCTTATATCTATATCATGTTGAGTATAGCACTAGGATCATGAAGTCTCATAGCTAGAGAAAGGGTTTATCTGTCTGGTTAAGTATTTACTGAGCACCTATTGTCTGCATAGCATGCAGAACCAAACATAATTGGACATAATCCTGATTCTATAAATACTGCCAACTGTGGGAGAAAAGAAAATAAGTGGATGATGAATACGCAACTCTGTCCTTGACTTCATGGCGGTATCACATATAGCTAAACTATTGCTTCTAAAGCTGAACTAAAGTAGCAATGCAGCCGGGTGTGGTGGCTCATGCCTGTAATCCCAGCACTTTGGGAGGCCAAGGCGGGGAGGTTAGGAGTTCAAGATTAGCCTTGCCAACACTGTGAAACCCTTTCTCTTAGCTGGGCATGGTGGCACGTGCCTGTAGTCCCAGCTACTCAGGAGGCTGAGGACTCCTACTCAGGAGAACTGCTTGAACCCAGGAGGCAGAAGTTGCAGTGACCGAGATGTCACCATTGCACTCCAGCCTGGGCGACAAGAGCAAAACTCTGTCTCGGAAAAAAAAAAAAAAAAAAGAAGAAGCAATGCTTGATGCTATCTTCAGTCCTTTATGAATAATGCATATTATAGACAAGTGGGAAAAATGGTGTTAATACTTTCTAATATTTCCTTTCCTTCCTGGATCCAAAGATATTTTCACACACCTCTTGACCACTCAGCACGGTACTGTAATTTGCCATGACCCATAAAACAAGCAGAAGTGGCAAGTGTGATTTCTGGGTGGAAGCACTGAAAAGTTAGTACATGATTGCCTAAGGTCTCTTCCCCTGCTCTGGAAAATAAGGAAGCTACATGTTAAGATGATAGTATCAGAAAACCGAGGCGCCATCCACAGCCAGTCTCTGAGTAACTCTACAGTGTGAAAAGCAATGTCTACATCTGTCTCTAGGGACTTGCAATAGAAATTCAGCGTGAATAAGAAGTAAACCTCTGTCAGTTAAAGCCACTGAGATTTGTGGGTGGTTCGTTAGAGAGCTTCACCTTTCCTGGCGAATTCAAAATGCAGAATTGATAAATTGACTTTGTCCTAAGTAAGTCAATGAAGGTTTCACCAAAGAAGGTCAAAATCTTTGAGCAGGATTTTGATGTAAGAGCAGTTTACCTAATCCTCAAAGGAAGCTTACAAAGGAGGGGATATTTTTGTTGTTATCATCATCACCAACAAATGAGAAAAGTAAAACTGAAGCTGAGAAAGATGAAGCGGTTGGCCCACACTGTCCAGAGAGGAACCTGGGATCAAATTTTGGATGTTTCTTTCCAAATCTGCTTTCTTTCTTCTAGTTCTAGACCCTTACAGTCAGTACACTGAAGAGGGTGTGCCTGACAACTGGTCACAGTTTTCTTTTCTTTCTTTCTTTTTTTTAAATTATACTTTAAGTTCTAGGGTACATGTGCACAACATGCAGATTTGTTACATATGTATACATGTGCCATGTTGGTGTGCTGTACCCATTAACTCGTTATTTACATTAGGTATTTCTCCTAACGCTATCCCTCCTCCCTCCCCCCATCCCATGACAGGCCCCGGTGTGTGATGTTCCCCACCCTGTGTCCAAGGTAGGTGGTACTGGCAGTATTCTGTAAATCACAGGTTTGGTGGATAAAAGGATATCGCATGTAATTCATCAACACTCACCTGTATGTGAGTGCTTAGCTTTGGGGCATTGCATTCCAGGACAGCTTTCTGACACTATTTTTGGAGTGAGACTCAAGTCTTTTAAATTCAGATGCCCAGCTGGCCTAAGTCCTGTATTCCCAAGAATAAAACCACATGGTAATGCGGTGAGGTAGAAGGAGACACAGGAGGAAGAACCAAGAGTGTGCGTGACACCTAACTTTATTTTAAGTAACAGAAAAAATAATAAATGACATTTGGATTCTGTTTTCATTGAAAGGTGTAAACCAAATTTACAGTCTACTTCAAAGGTAAGGAAGAAGTCTCCTTGGATGTTCACAAGCTGTACTTCTGAATAGCCAATGTTAGGCCAGTTGCCTAGGCAAGTAGATTCTGATCTCTTTCCTCAAGGGATTGTAGTTTACAATATAAGCAGAGTCAAAGGGCTCTTGTAAGATGAGCTTGTAGTATGGGGACAGTGAGGCCTTCAGGTGAGCTGAGGGGAGCATGAACAGGAGGGCATGAATTTCCCAGGCTTTCCTTGCCCTCTGTTGTCTCTGGGCACCCTGGATCTTGCCACTACCTTGCTTAGTGCACTGACATTAAGCAGTTATTGTTTTGATGGCAACAGAGGAGGGAGAATGTTATTTTCAAAGGAAGGACATCACTGGATAAGAAAATTCATCTCTCCACATCCTCACACGCAGAGCTAATCGGCTGGGAGGTGGCACAGAGGTCACTGGGAGGTGGCGGAGAGGTCACTGGTATTGAAATAAAGGTGACGGGAAGTCAGGAATGGATCTCTGTTATTTTCCCCCCTAGCAGACTTTCTCCTTCAGTTTCTGGAATTCCTACCTCCGGACAAAAGTTTGGGTTATGAACCAGATGGACAATGAGGGGATCTGAACAGATGTCATACTTTCCATTCCCCCTCCCCCTGCCGTCTTCCTCTGTCTTCCTCCCTCTCACTCAACCAGAGGACGAAAGTAAAATTCAGAGTAAGATTCCAGTGGTTGTGAATGACCACACTACCCTTCTTATTGGGGTTTAGAGCAGCAAGCTGTAGTATTAATATAAGGAATATTTTTATAGTCCAAGAATTTACCTTTCTATTTTTGACTCAGTTGTATATAAAATAGAAAAGGAGTGGGGTGGGTGGAAACCTCTTCTGACTGACCCTTGGATCTGGAAAAGTGATATGTAAAGGCAGAGAAATACAAAACAGGTCTGAGACCATCCCTCTGCCCCCTTTAAAAAATATGAGCAACTCTTATGTTGATAAGAAGAGTAGAGCCCTTTAAGGCATAGATAAATAATTTCTTGGCTAATGTTCTTGATCCATGGCTACAGACTAACTTTTATTTAAAGAGGCCAGTGAAGACATAGATAAATATAGAGAGAAAAGAGAGAAACTAAGACACTAAGTTACCCCGAAGGGCATTCCTGTATTAGTCATCGTATAAAAATTATATGTACCACAGAATATCTATTTTTAGAGGCCAGGAGGTTATGTGAAGCAGGTCAGATGTCGGCAAAGACCCAAGGCCAGCTTGCAGCAATGATATTGGATATTTGGATATTTGTTTTCTTTATTTTAACTGTGCAAAGCTGGCACTGACCGCATGGATATGTTGGGCACTTGGGGAGGGCGAGACAAGGTCCATGTGCTCCTTCAAAGATATCTGAGGTACTCAGTGATTCTTTTGTGTTATTTTTATCTATCTTCTAGGCCTGGCACTACACAAACACACATGTATCTGCACTCACGCATGCACGCGCACACACACTCACACACGAATGCTTTATGACGCATATTTCATATCTTCATGCCTGACAGAGGCCGCCCCCATTTCTCCTAATGAATTGATTAGAATACTTTATTTCAATACTTTATTTGTTTCTTACCAGTTAAATCTTGTCTGAGTTTATAGAAGCCAGATAATTTGTGGCCTCTCTCCGGAGTCGAGAACAGTCCATTTGGCTACTGAGCAGTTGACCACCTATCAGATTGAATGATTGGAGCTGAGATAAACTGCACTGAAATGTACCAGCTTCTTACTCACTGCACATTTGTTTCACTTTTTTTCTTTTATGTAGTGAAACTCATCTAAGCTGCTTCTCTAGAACCAACTCTCTTATTTGCATAAAATATTTGTCTCCCAGTGGCTACGGATGATGCTGTTGGACATGGGAGAATGGCTTCCTGTTTGTTCTCAACCCTCCTGCCTTGGTTCTTCTCAAACCAGAGTGGGGGCCATGTCTCTACTCCACACTCCATCCAAGAAATTGGAGAACCATGCACTACTGGGGTCAGTTTGCCAGACTTAGCAAATAAAGTCACAAGATGCCCAGTTCAATTTGAAATTTAGATAAATGACAAATATATTTTAGTATAAGTCAATCCCGTGCAATATAGGAACCTACTCATGCTAACAATTCTTATTGGTTATCTGAAATTCAAACTGGACTGGGTATTCCCTATTGTTTCTGGCAACCCTATGCTGGGGCATGTTCCTAAGAGGAGTTCCCACGGTCCCCAGACCATCCAAACCCCGCTTTGGACCACTAAGCACAGTTAATAGGATAGGACATTGTGCCTTCTAGATCTCACTGATGCCTATTTTCTAATCTTTTCAAGCAGGGGTCCCCAACCCCCAGGCCACAGACCAGTACCAGTCTGTGGCCTCTTAGGAACCAGGTCACACAGCAGAAAGAGTGATGAGTGCGTGGGTGAAGCTTCGTCTGTGTTTACAGCCACTCCCCATCATTCACATGACTGCCTGAGTGCTGCCTCCTGCTATATCAGTGGTGGCATTAAGATTCTTATAGGAGTACAAACTCTACTGTGAACTGCGTATGCAAGGGATCTAGGTTGTGCCCTCCTTATGAGAATCTAATGCCTGATGATCTGTCACAGTCTCCCATCAACCCCAGATGGGACCATCTGGTGGCAAGAAAACAAGCTTAGCTCTCCCACTGTTTCTACATTATGGTGAGTTGTATAATTAATTCATTATATATTATAATTTAATAATAATAAAATGCACAATAATGTAATGTGTTTGAATCATCTGGAAAACATCCCCACCCCACTCCCAGTCCATGGAAAAATTGTCTTTTATGAAACTAGTCCCTGGTGTTAGAAAGGATGGGGAGTGCTGCTCTAGAGAACTTAAAGATTCCCAGATTTTTAGAGAGATGAGATGCAGAGGATAGAGGTTATCTCATCTTAACTCCACTGCCTTTCTTTTATTTAATCCTATGAAGTTAGGAAGACCTGGACTTTACCCCTTTGAACCACCTAGGCAAGGGTATGCTTATACAAGCTCTAGCAACAGAATTAAAATGTCTCATGTTAGTCCCTGATTTTCATCTAGAAAGTTAAGAGTACATACTTTAACACCATTGACCTTTCAAATAGCTGATAAGGCCGGATATTTAGGAAATTAGAGCTTGGGGAATGGCGACATTACCCAGAAACTTACTGGCAGGCAAGTCTAGGGCAAGTCTCCTGGTTTCCTTCCCTTTGGGCCTCTCCCCACCCAGGGCCATCTCCCTAAAAGACACAGGATCTGGCTGGCTCAAGAGTCCTTTCTGGCTACAGAGAAGTGGCTCACAAGTAATCATTTCCATTCCTTCCACCCATAGACCTGCCGTTTTACTATCTCCAGGATAACAATTAAGCAAAGAGATATCTATGACTGATTTTGAAAGGATACAATAAACCACAATTGATCGTTAATTTTATTATTATAAAAACAATCCATTAGAGAAAGTTCACAATATTCAAAAAACATGATGATAAAAATAATAAGCACTCAGTCATACTTTCAATAATTAGATAAACTCTTCTTAACATTTTGGTGTTTATGTTGTATCTTTGTTTTGAGGCACAAATATATATATTCATTCCTATTTATGTAAATGCCTGGAAACACACTTAAAATGAATAATGTCCTTAAATATTTTATGCTGATTTTTTATTTAGTGTGTTCCACATACATTTTCCAAAAACAAAAATAAAATTTTTTTCCCCTGAGAAAAAAATGGAGTAAAACTGCTTCCCAATATTTACATCTCTTTCCTTCAGTCTATCAGGGTGCTCTGAATTTGAAGTAGGCACTTTGGGACCCTGATGTGTTGGGACAGCTGAATGCATGACTATGGATGTAGGTCCACCCCCCAGCCCATTTGAACCACTCCTGAGACCACGGAAAACCCAGTAGTCTGTTGTGTCATGGTTTCCCTAAGAAATGGGAATCTTCAGGTGTGTTCTCAAGCTAGAAGAAATGTAAAGATAAACAGGACCTTAAAATAAATTGTTATGGGATATCTTCAAGGTTGTACACTCCAAAAATACGTAGTAATACTAATTCACTTGTTTGGCCCTCACTTGGGGCTAATGGGGAGATCTTATATTTGTTCTGTCTCTTTGATAGAAAAATTACTCTCCTGACACTTGATAAACAAACCTTGCATCATCCTCTATTGAAAATTAAGTTAAAATAACATTTTTTTTTTTTTTGAGATGGAGTTTCACTCTTGTTGCCCAGGCTGGAGCACAGTAGTGTAGTCTCGGATCACTGCAACCTCCGCCTCCCAGGTTCAAGCGATTCTCCTGCCTCAGCCTTCTGAGTAGCTGGGATTACAGGTGTGCACCACCACATCTGGCTAATTTTTGTATTTTTAGTAGAGATGGGGTTTCACCACATTGGCCAGGCTGGTTTTGAGCTCCTGACCTGAAGTAATCCACTCGCCTCGGCCTCCCAAAGTACTGGGATTACAGGCGTGAGCCACCGCGCCCAGCCTAAAATAATATTTATTGCATGCTTTGTATCCATACTTCCAACTATGAATTCAGACATTTATTGAATGTCAAACACCTGCTGACACGTATCCATAAATTGTTCCTTTTAACTCTTCCAAAACACCCTCTGAGATATTATTAAGATTGGCATTGTTGTTGTTATTATTAGTGCCCCTATTAAAAATATTTTGAAATAATTATAGATTCACAGGAAGTTACTAAAATAGTATGTAGATTTCAGAATATGCTTCACCCAACTTTCTCTATGGCGGATGTGTTCCTTTAATTTTTCTGTTTGTTTGCTTGTTTATTAATACACAAGGTACTGAAACTCTGAATAGCTACATAGTTTGCCAACTTCCAGCTAGAGAGGGGTAGAGACTGGGGTCAAACTGGATCCATCTGACTCCAAAGTATAATCTCCCTCCCCTGGTTTTTGGCGCATGGGAAGGTGTAACTGATGAGTGAGAGACCAGCTGGAGTTTGGAAACTCTTCTGGGACCATGAGTTCCAGTGTGTAATTTCCCACATCCCAATCTGCTTCAGGAGGCCACTGATGTAGCTAGCAATCAGTCCTGCAGTAGTTTTATGTTCAGGTGGGAGAAAAGCTTGGGTTGACTTACTTAGACTACAGATAAGAACAAAAGTAGAAGCTCCTGACAGCTCGAGCTCCTTTTGCTGGCACCAAGCTCTGTTCTTACAAAGAACAGTGTGGAGCTGGAGGAGACCCTATAAATATGCAAATGTAGGGAAATCTTGCACCGGGTCATCAACTGCCTAGATGGGACGAAAGGGAAGGCACATTACTGCAGGTAGCCAGCTCCAAGAAATCTCCACATTTCTGAGAATCTCTGAGTAGTTAGTGATTGTAAATAAAGAAGCCAAAGACAGCCAATTTCATTTTCAGGGTTTTGGATTACTCTGTGAGAAGTGCATATATAAGCAAATGCATTCAATAATAGCCCTAATATAGTAAGAAGCTTTCCACTGGCTTCTCTCTTGCCTTTCTTTTTTTTTTTTTCTCCCTTCGAATTGATATCTCTCAAAGCCTTAAGTCAAACTGTGTTTTATTAAGAGAATGGGTTATTTGAGATATGGTTGTGACATTCACCAGGGCTGAGCCTAGCTGTCGTTCTGCCAAGATCCTTCATGCTGAATCTGGATTTCAGTAAAGAGAGAGCCATGCCTTGCTCAGTTTTTCTTGGCTTGGATGATTCTGCTCAGTTCCTACCCAAGTGGCAGGGGTTTTGCCAAGAGCAGGATGATTTCCTGGCCCCTGGGACAGTGTCTGTTGATAGTGTGGGTGGTTCACAGAAGCTAGATGCATCCAGCCACATGAGCTCGGCCTTTTTCTTCATGAATGTGATTCTAGAACATCATACCATTGCTACTGGGACTGCCATGAGAGGGGACAAAGGGCTGCAGGCACCTTGGAGTTAGACATGGCCAAGAAACTAAAGAGGGCAGAAGAAGCTCTTGGAATATGAGATCCCTGGCAACTTGAACTGAATCCTTAAATTCACTCCATGCTTCTTTTTGAGACAGAGTCACGCTCTGTTGCCCAGGCTGGCATGCAATGGCATAATCTAGGCTCACTGCAACCTCCACCTCCCAGGTTCAAGTGATTCTCCTGCTCAGCCTCCTGAGTAGCTGGGATTACAGGTGCGCACCAACACGCCCGGCTAATTTTTTGCATTTTTAGTAGAGATGGGGTTTTGCCATGTTGGCCAGGCTGGTCTTAAACTCCTGGCCTCAAGTGATCCACCCACCCCGGCCTCCCAAAGTGGTGGGATTACAGGTGTGAGCCACCATGCCAAGCCACTCCATGCTTTAAAACCATCATCCTCTTGTCTGTTTTTCTTGAACCAACATGTTGCTGGTACCATCTTATGAAAAGAACTTTCTCAGTAGCTCTTCCAGATTTCCTGACAATATTCACTTCTTCAAACTGAAGTGAACTTCCTACACATCACCACCCCACACCCTCACAAGCTTCACTAAGAAGTGGTTTTATGATTGTAAGGTGATGGGACCCCCCCCTTAATGATTGTATCATCACCTTAATGATTGTAAGGTGATGGGACTTCCCTAAGAAGTGGTTTTAATGATTGTAAGGTGGTGGTGGAATGGAAGGCCCCCAGATCTCCCATTTTGTAATGTCACCAAATGTTGGCATAAGAAAAGGAATGTGGTAGAAATTTAGTCTCTTTCTTTTCTCTAGTGGGAATTTATCCTCTGGGCCCACAGGAAGAAAAATAGTATTTTCTAGCTCTTCTGACTTGAGATGCCAGGAAGCTGAATGATTTTTGTCACTTGGGGAGTTGATTGCTTTCTTTTTGAGGTTATTTAGATTCACTTAAGCAAGGTAAGAAGGCAAGCTTAGAGCTATATTTGGAGACAATGAAGGAGATGAAACCCTATATCAAAGAAAACAGGCAGCACTGATATTTTGTGGTCAATTGTAATTTGGGGGAAACTTTAGGGGACGAAGACCAATCTAGTACAGATCCAAAAATGTGGTCTGTCCCTGGAAATAGGCAAGTTCACTAAACCACAAATGACACACAGCTATATCCAAGTGAATGGAGCTGTAAAGCCAGGTTCCCCCACAGCACTGGTGTGTTGGAGTTAGTTTGTAGCAGCTCCCAAGAGGCCCCTGTCAAATTTTCAGAAATTCTATGAGTCATTCTTAAAAACAGCCATTATTAAAAATTAAATTATATAACTTTACAATCAAATCAATTCTATTTGAAAATAAAATTCCCCCTTTCTATTTTTATTTATAAAAGTAGAAGACAGTTATTTTACTACCTTCTACTATTATCTATATCTTATTATTTGCATGTATCGTAATATTGAATGTATCCCATTTATCTCTTCCTAACTCCACGTTTGGTGACTTCAAAAGTAGCTTGAAATTGTCCATGGTGGGAGTATTTTCACCACAGAAATGAACAAATGCTACGGATCAGGGTTACCCCTTACCACAGTGTTTTGTTTTGTTTTTTGTTGTTGTTGTTTTGTTTTGTTTTTTGCCCCGGAAAGCCTGTTGTAAAACATTTACCAGCATACCGCTAACCTGTAAGACCTATCTCCTGATAGTTAAAACCAGGTGCTAGACTTCCAGAGTCAGGGAGACATGTCTATGCATATTGTCTAGGGAAGTGGTCCCTAACCCCCAGCCACTGACCTTTAAGGAACCGGGCTGCACAGCAGGAAGTAAGCAGCAGCAAAGCTTCACGTGTATATACAGCCACTCCCCATCACTCCCATTACCGCCAGAGCTCTGCCTCCCGTCAAATCAGCAGCAGCATCAGATTCTCATAGGTGCACGAACCCTATTATGAGCTGTGCATGTGAGGAATCTAGGTTGTGGTCTCCTTATGAGAATCTAACTAATGCCTGATAATCTGAGGTGGAATAGTTTCATCCTGAAATCCTCCCCTCAACACCCATCCATGGAAAAATTGTCTTCCACAAAACCGGCTCCTGGTGCCAAAAAGATTGGGGACTGCTGGTCTAACGCCATTTCTCAGAACCGACAGTTGGTGTGAATCTCTTCACATTTGAAACAAGAGGCAGGAAGATTCATGGGGGTCCATGGGAACTGAATGATGTTAATTCATATCATTTCACCTTATTCTTACTCGTAAATTAAGAGCCTTTCCTGCCACTTACTGTCTGTCATACAGAAGGTTGGCTGGTTAAGGTAAGGAAGCTGATGTCCTCACGTCTCCAAGAATCTTCTCTTAAGGCCTCTAGGGCTTTGACTTATAGAGCAGGGATGTTAGTAACTGTATTCTTTCTCGCGAATTCTTGCCTCTTTCTTGGTACATTGCACTCTTCATGAAACCTGAAGTTACTACTAGAAAGGACATCTTCCTCTTAATATAATGATTTTGTGAGAAATACGTTAAATTTTCCTAGAATGCCATTTGTAGATATAATCATTACATGAAAAATGTAGAAAAAAAATCTTAGCAGGCTTTAAACACCAGGTGTGTTTTTGTTTAAATGAAGGGGATTCAAATGTACATCATTAAAAACCATTAGCAATAAAAAGTACGCAGCGTACATTAAAGGATTAATTTTTCCACTTGAAGGGGATCTTAAGGGTTTAACATGGCTTACTCTTTTTCCTCTCTCTCCTAGAATAATGTAGATGTGCTTTATTTTGCTTGCCCTTCTAAATTGATCAAATTGCTGTCAATATTTGGAAGAAGAATTAGAAAAAAAGTTCAACATACTATGTCTTTGTTTGATCCTCTAGAAACAAGACCACTCTGTCCCCTCCGAGCGCATGGCCGTGGACAGAGCCGTGCTTTAATTTCTGTTGTCTTGCCAAGTCAGAAAGGAATTCACTGTTCTCAAGGTCTCTGGACTATCACTTTACCCAAAACATCCATCCCAGGCATTGGGGGAGGCAGAGAAGCTGTGCATAGCTATTTATTTTAAGTGCCTGATTAAAATTTCATGAAAACAGGAAGTCAGGGGAAAAGAATAGATTGCAAGAGCGATGAAATCCGGGGCTTTGTAATTTTTAGCTCACAGGGAAAAAAAAAGCGTTAAATCGTAAGGAAGGTATATTTTCAGAATCGTGCTGTGGCCACTAATGGCATATTTTGTCACTGGCTGGGGAGCTGGTGGACTAAGAATGGGTCCAATTTTTTAAATCTTATTACACAGTTTTGCACTCATTTAGAAATTGTCACCTTAAAGTAACCTAATGCTGCTCTACTTAAAGCAAACCTCACGTGGCTGTATCTGTGTGCGTGTTGGCCACATTGTCTCCTATTTAAGCAGATATAAATGTTGTCCTGACACAGTTGAACAGCACAGAATCTGTCTGCCCCATAAGTTGATGTTGCCTAAGTACTTAATCTTATCTAATTCCCATATCCAATGGGATAAAGAATTTTGGGGAAAGAAAGTAATGACATATTTTATTGCTAGATGATAACAGAATGATTTCTATATTTGGCCAGTGAAAAATAATGTGTTTCTCCAAAGAAGTAGCTGTCGAGGAAAACCAGAATTCTAAACAAAACAAAATAAGAAACACACACTCAAACTAAAAAATGTATAATGCAACCAAGTGCAATGATGGAGGAACCTATGAAGGGTAAAACACTCTTGTTCTGCTGCTGTTCCTAGAAACCTCAAAATTGCTGATGAATGTTGGATAGCCAACTTTAACCTTTGGGATCTCATGCCGAGCTCCCATTTGGCTGACCAGACAGGAATAATTGCAACAGGCTAATGGTTAGATAAGTTTCATTTGCCAGTTGCAAATAAATCCCCATCTACAAAACCCAGCCTCAAAGTCCAGTCCCAGAGGAAGGCGTTATCCTTAAGAGAGATGGGTCACAGTGGAGCAGGCAATCTGAGCAAGAAGGTATTGCATAGCCCCCGGCTAATGCAGCAAATTAACTCCCCCTGCGGAAGGGTTAAGTCGTTTAGATCTCTTTCCAGGCCTCCTGCTCTCCCGTTGAAACTGACCCGAACAGGGATCAGAGGGTTTATCAAAGAGGAAAAGCAACCAGGGATGCTGATGGGCGCAGTTGGATGCCAGTGAGTCCCTTCAAAAGCTCCTCAAATCCCCCAGGGCCTGAGTAAGCTTGAGTATCTGGGGAAACCCAGATATCTCCGGGAGAGGTGTGTGTGTCTATTTATACTGGATGGCTTGGGGTAATTTCATGCCGATGATCACAGGATCATGACAACTATATTATTCCAAGATAGTGGGGAAGAAAAGAAATAAGCCACAATAAACTTTGCAGATTCCCTCTACATTGAAAGAATGATCATCTAATTGAGGCTGTTATTGACCTAATGAATTCATTTCTGTGGAACTGAATCTATCCATAGGCTTTGCTGGATAACGATGCGCATGATTTTAGGACTTAGCACTTGAAGGATGTATATGGCATTGCACGAGTTATTTAATCTCTGCATCTCAGCTTCCCCTTCTGTAAAATGGAGCTTCTAACATTTGTTAAGGTCACTACTGAGCACCTTTGTGACCACTGTCTCCAGAATCAGCTTATCTCGCCTTGCAATTCTTCGTGTACTCATCTGTCTTCTTCACTAAACTCTTGAGGCAGCCAGCATCTCTCATTTACCTGTCCAGTTGTATCACTCAGCAAAGTGTCTGGCTGCAGTTGGTGTTCAGCAGTAAATATTTTAGAATGAGTGAACAAATGAATGAACCCACGCTTATAGATTGTTATGAAAATAGAAATAAGTAACATGTGTGAAAGTTATTTTAAGACTTCTAGAGCTTCAACATAACCTCATTTCCTATACTGAAGTCTGGTCTAGTACACAGAAAAGTCCTCTGTAGTCTCCCTCCCTTCAGTGGGAGAAGAATCCATTCTGTTCACCCTAGAGAATTAGTTACAGAAGGATATGCCCTCCTTTGCTATGGTAGAGAATTCCTGTTAGAACAATCATGGCTAGAAGATGAGTCAAACAGATGCCCCTTTGGTTTTGCCACATGGAAATTCTTATGTTCTCATATCATAACAATATCTGCTATCAAACAGTATTGACCAACGGATCAGAAAAAGCTCAAGATGGAAAAACCATTAGATGCCAGGAGAGAAATACCTAGAGGGTAAAATTTTTATGATGACTCTTATGCTATTATCATGAAGTAAATCCTCAAAATTGTCTTTCCGTCATTCTGCCTTTCTCCCTGTGCGGGGTAAGATTTTGAGGTGGAAAGACATCATGTCTCTTCTCTGGAATTTGAAATCTAAGCATGATGTTCTCAGGGATATGCCAGCACTGTGAGTTCTCCAACTGCATGGTGTTCATGAAACAAGTTTCTCCAAGGAGCTCCGAGCATTTACAGCCTTAATCCATTAAATGTTTAATCCTTAAAACATTCGTGATATTAGATGACTTTTGCCCAAAGCCCCAGCAAGCAAGCCATCGTTGGATTGATCTCAATCCAGGAAGCCTCTTTTATTTAATCATGGGCTTCTCTGTACTCCCAGAGCACTTTACTGGGACCCTGCATGCAACATTCAGGTTGCTTTGCCTTTGGATGCATGAACTGTGCATGCATTTGTCTCCCTGGCTTGAGTGTAAACTCCCAAAGAGCAGGGGCAAAATTAGGAAGGCTGTTGACATGCTTACCCTGTGCCGGCTACAGGATAGTCACCCTATGTCTATTGAACTGATCAGCTGTATTTTTGAGTTGATAGTTATTCCTTCAACTTGTGCACACAAGTGGTGAGGACTCTGCAAACACAACTCCTTTAGCAGCTCTGTTGGGGGTGGTGGGGCGTGGGGAAGGTACAGGCCACCATTTGCAGGCTGGTTTCTCATCTGTGTCATGGAGTCACTGAGGAACTGCCTTGCATAGGCAGGAAGACTCATGTAAAAAGAGAAATGTGGCTTCTATCCCAGGGGAGCTGAGAGCTCAATGGAGATCAAACAGCACTGGAACAGTGGAGAGTCTGGGCTGAAGTTCCCTTGATCTCAACCCAGGCTCTCCTTCTAAGTAGCTGTGTGTTCTTGAGCAAGATGCTCAACCCCTCTGAATCTCATGGTTTCTCTGTCCACCCCAGGATGCTGTCTCTATCCCCCTACACACCTCAGATTCTCCGCCTGTGTGCTTGCTACACTCTGAGCTGACACCTCTTTCTTCACAGTGACTCCATTTTCTTGCAATTGCCATTTTCCTGGCTGTTTCTTCAATGAGAAGTCGATCTCCTTGGAGGCAGGGACTACATATTATTTATCTTTATTTCCCCAGAGCCCAGCATTGTTTCTGGAAAATTAAGATGATGATTCTAATATTTATTACATAGGATTGTGAGATAGAAATATATTTATTAGAGTGCTTAGTATGGTGTCTTTTTCACATAGAAAGCACGCATTATAATTTATTCAGTAACTGTTTGAAATGAGCTGTCCTATTGAAATCAGTGGTATTACCCCATTTTATAGATGGGAAAACTGAGTCTCGGAGACAAAAGCAAGTGGGAGGTTCTTGCACTGGAAAGATGTGGCTGCGTGATGCGTGGACTTTGTTGGTGGTGAGTTTGCAGAGGGTGAGAGAATTTTTTCTTCTAAGAGATGTTGACTATGTAGAAGAAGGAGGGTCTTGTTCAGGGAGATGGGGAAACTGCTGGCTGCAAGCCTTCAGCCTTAGAATTCCGAAGTCCACCACAGGAAGAACCCAGAGATCCTGTACGAAATGCGTCCTGAGGATTAATGGTGGGCTGAATGCTGAGTGCGAACTTTTCCCTTTCCTCATCTGCATTTGAGAGATCTTTATTTTTCCTTTTTAAAGATCAATGTGCTATATTTCTTTTTTCTGAAGGAACATCCATTAAACCAACAGTGGTTGAAACTGAGGACAATTCCCCATCATATAATTAACCCCCTTGGGGTGCCATTAAGATCCAATGATATGTTGCGATTCTATTAACGAAAAGTAAATAGGGAAAGTATGTACTGTGGAGCTTGGGTTTAGAATTCCCAGTCACTTGAGCATAAGATGTTCACTTTAACTGCCTGTGCTCCTTGCCCTCCTCAACAACGTCTAAGCGCTTTCGATGCATTCTTGCTTTACTTCATTATTTTATTGAATTCTCCAGGAATGTATGATACAGTGGTTAGGAAAAGAAATTCTAATATAGCCAGGCTCCAGCATTACTAACAGAATGATCTTGGGTAAGTTACTTGAACTCTCTGAGCCTCAGTTTATTCATCTAAAATATGGTGATGGTAACTCCTTCTTTCTAGGGGTGTTGTAGGACGGAAGTAGGGTAAGCAAATGAAGCACTTAGCAGGGTCCCAGGCACATGGTGAATACCCTTCCCTTGCCAATGCCAATGTTCATCAGGAGCAATAACAACCTTCCCAGCAGTTGGGTGCCCTGGGTGTCCTGCTCTTGCTTTCAGGTGCAGAAATACACTCTAGCAGGTAGACTAATGTGGCCCAAGACCACCCAAGCACAGGGTTGGGACAGAAACCAGATCTGATTTGCCCCAAAGCCAGTGCTTTTTTTCTCTCTGTCTCTCTAGCACTGCCAGAACAGCATTTGCTTTCAAGTTGGCCACCATTTTGTGGTAGGGGCACCAACTAGACAGTAAATAAGAGAAGCCATATTTATTTATGTACTACTTATCCAGATTTCAGAACCCTGGGGGACGCATGCAAGCACACACACACACACGCACACACACACAGAGAGATAGAGAAGAGAGGCTAGGGTGTGGGGAATGAGGTTAGGACCACGAGAGCCCTTTGTGTGCCATGGGGCCAGCTCCTGGTGATGAGAAGGAGGTCATATGGCTGCAGAGGAGATGGGAAATGTACGTGGTAGGGAAGCAGGGCCAGACACTGAAGGGTCTCTTAGGCAACGGTGAGAACTTCACCATTTTACTTCATGGAAGGATAGAAGGGCTCGAACCAGGAGTGCCAGTTGATCTGAATTATATAAGATGGCCCCAGCTGCTAAGAAGAGCTGGCATTGGAAGACATGAGCAGCTGGCAAGAGGGGATGTCAGAAGCAGAGTTAGCAGGCGCCTGCTGAATGGTTGAGCCATTCATATTCAGAACTCAGAAGAGGCCCTAGTCTTTGCAATACCTATGCGAACCTTTTGACCCAACGTGTGTCAGCACACGCTTGGGGTATTTACTCAATGCAGTTCCAGCATCCCCTCCTGCCCAACTCCACCTGCACAGACAGAGTTCCCTTCCAGAGGGAGAAGGTCTTGCATTGACAAACATGCGCTGTCCCGGATGGAGGACACATGGCCGTGCCAGGAGGGCCAAGGCAGGATGGGCGAGCAGTCAACAGGGTCCAGGACTCTACCTTTTTTCCCCACATGGTGACAGATCACAGGACCACAGCTGGCTACCTGCGCTGTGAACACAGGGTTCAGAGGACGCTCAGCGTCACACCGGCCCATGAGTTAGGACAGGAAGTGCAAACCAGTACAATTACAGCAGTGAAAACCACAGGCAGGATACTTGGGTATACGAGAGCAGTGTCGCCTGGCTTGGACTCCTGCCAGGCCACCCGGGCTACAGTCCCTTCTGGTCTCCAAGGGCCAGTGGATGGTTACCGATGACAAGCGATAAGGAACTGGGTTTTGTACTGCAGCAGAAAGGGAGGGACAGAGAGTGGTAAGGGAGGCCAGAACATGCTGCTTCGTGCTTGAAGGTGGAAACTAAGGGCTCCTGGCAGCAGCTCTCCCTGGAAACGTGTTCTGGGTTAGAGACTCCCCGTAGCATTCTATTTAGACAAAGCAAGAGGCAGACCGTAGATGTTCTCTCCATCATGGGCAGAGCTGACCTAACCTCTGGGAGTTGCAATTGCATAGCATGCCTTTCTTCACAGCTGGAATGCATTATACCCCATCTCATGGGGTTCCATTATCTTCAGAGATCTCTGAGGTGGTCACATGGCTGTTTCTGGGTATCCCGAGCTCAGAGTAACAGCTCCAGGTTTGGGGGCTTGGACAAGTCAGTGAACCTCTGTGGTTCTCCATGTACAAAGGAGAGGATCTCTGCCACAGTGATGTTGTGAGGATCAACCAAGATAATAGGCAGGAGGAACTTTGGAAAGTGAAATATAATTGCAAGGCATTAGTAATATTATTATTACACTAAGACATGTGATAGATGCATGGCTCTTCCATTCCTAGGAGCTTATAGTTCTTGTGTAAGTAATAGAGTTAATAATGCTAGCTAAGATTTATAAAGCTTATTTACTTATTTATTTATTTTTTGAGACAGAGTTTCACTCTTGTCACCCAGACTGGACTGCAGTGGCATGATCTTGGCTCATGGCAACCTCCGCCTCCTGGGTTCAAGCAATTCTCCTGCCTCAGCCTCCCGAGTGGCTGGGATTATGGGCATGCGCCACCAAGCCTGGCTAATTTTTGTATTTTTAGTAGAGATGGGGTTTCTCCATGAGGTCTTGAACTTCCGACCTGAGGTATAAAGCACTTATTATATGCCAGGCACTGTTTTCAATGTTTTACATATATTAACTTTATCCTCACGATAACTTTACTATGTAAAGTGTTATCAGCATTTCACAGATGTGGAAACTGAGGCACCAAGGGGCCAAGTAACTTTCCCAAAGTCAGATAGCTGGTCACAGTTGGTGCTAGGATCACATCCAAAGCAGCTGACTGCAGAGCCTGTGTTTCCCTACTCCTCCTCCACGTAGCCTGTTGAGTGAGAAGATCTACCAGTGGTTTTCAGGATTCCCCATGAGAGTTCTACAAGATGTATCTGTCTAGATTCAGAGCTTGTGTTGTTAATGACTTCTCCAGCCAGCCAGGGAGCTCACTGTTGAGATGCCCAGAGAAGGACACCAAAATTCCCAGGCAAGCCATCGAATGGCTTCCCAAGGAGCAGGCAAGATGTCTTTGCCAGTATCATGCACTGGCACAGGTTCTAGGTTCATGTTCCTTGGGTGAAACCTCAGGTCCCCCACTTTCTAGCAATGTGACATTGGGCAAATGATTTATCCTCTCAAAATCTCTACTTCTTCACCTGCCAAATGGGAGATACTGTGGGCTGTGTCATAGCACGGTTGAGAGAATGTAATAAACTAATGTCTACAAAGGTTAATAGGATGCCCGGCATCAAGTGAGTGCTAATCCATTTTCATATATATGATTAACTAGTAGCACAACGAGGAAAAGCAACTACTGTTGAGTTTCCAGACAAAAGAAGCAGAGCTGTAGGTCTTGGCAAAAAGACCCTGCCCTTGGTCCACTATTGTGGGTATGTTTTCAGAGCTCCAACTTTGTAGTTAAAGGCTGACTAAGCCAAAAGCGGTGGCTCATGCCTGTAATTCCAGCACTTTGGGAGGCCGAGGCGGGTGGAACACTTGAGGTCAGAAGTTTGAGACCAGCCTGGCCAACATGGTGAAACCCTGTCTCTACTAAAAATACAAAAATTAGCCGGGCATGATGGCGGGTGCCTGTAATCCCTGTGACTTGGAAGGCTGAGGCAGGAGAATCACTGGAACCCAGGAGGCAGAGATTGCAGTGAGCCAAGATCCTGCCATCGCACTCCAGTCTGGGTAATAGAGCGAGACTCCATCTCAAAAAAAAAAAAAAAAAAAAAAAAGACTAAACAGTCCACTCAAAACCTCACTCTGGGAAAGGAGCTCCAAGACTTGAGGGTTAACTGGATTTGAAAGACTGGAATGATCACTTATTTGAACTTTATTTGTTGTTTAAATTATTGAGAATATGTTTGCTGCCAGGTTACTCTGGGTAAGCAGCCCAAGTTAAGAAAATAAATTATGTAATTAAGTGAAACAGCACAATGACAAAGTGTGTGAGCAAGCCATCGGCATGTCTGTCTGTCTTATTATTAGGCAATCGTTTGTCTCCACATGTTTCCCACATCAGTACTCTCTGGTGCTGCTAGGCTGAAGCCAGGTGGGAATGGTTGGTCTTTGGGCTTTTTCCTCTAACAGAGGAAATCAGGCCCAGGTAGGCTCAGAGCCAAGGAATGAAGATTAGAACTCAGACCTCAGTGGTGATAGAATCTACAGTATAAACTAAAAGATAAACACCTGGCTGGTACCAGCTGATGCCAGATAGCTAAAACAGACAGCCAAGACAAAAGAGCAGTGTGCTATGGTCCTGGAGAAAAAAAAAATAAAAAAACTTGGGGTTCCATTCACAGATCCTAGAAGATTCAGTGTGGAAACTGCCTTAGAAAGCCTCTGGTTCAGAGGTTCTCAACCTTTTCCTAGCCATGCAAAATTTTGTTTAAAGAAATCGTATGAAAAAGCAACAACAATGTAGTTGAAGGTCTAGCTGCTTTAAGATTAAGAAAAGAACTTGGCCCTGAGACGTTAGCTCTGTCTTTCCTTGTTCTTTAGTAGATTCCATGGAACCTCTAGAGCTCCAGGGTACACAGTCTGGGAAACACCAGATAGTGGAGAAGATCTTGGAAAATGAGCCCAGGGCTTGAATCACTTTTCTCATTTACCAAATGGTAATAATAAAATTGCCATCTTCAGAGACACATTCCATGAGCACATCACAGATGAGTTAATCCACAGGAAGGGATTAGCAGTGTCTAGCACAGAGTAAACATTTGACAAATGTCAACTAAAATCATCATGTATTATATTAATTATTACTACATCTATTACTAGCTTTGGGACCTTAGACAATTTACTTAACATCTCTGAGCCTCATTCATCCTCTCTGAGCCTGGGATAATAATACTCACCTTTGCCTTGTTCTAAGGAAATTTTAAACAAAGAAGGTTTGTAAATCATTTATCATAGCACACAGCAGTTTTCCCCTTCGCCATGGGAAGTTGAGCTAAAGCCGATATTCCTTCTAGGCATCCTTAGAACAGAATAGGTGACAACTCTTAAATTTTAAAATGTAAGTCTTGGGGGAATTTATTCATTCAGTAACATTGTAAAAAATAGCCCTAAATCCCGATGCTGGACCCTCAGTGGACATCTGTTTTCTGTGATGGGCCCAGCTTGGACCTGTTCGAGGGTCTTACTTCTATGCGCTTCTCAGGCAGGGAAGGTCCCAGTGGCTCTGCCTTGCTGGCTTTCGGCCCCAGAATCGAATAGAGGTGGGAGTGGGGGAGAATTGCTGGAGAGCTGGAATCATGGGATAGGAGCCACTTGAGCCAGGAGCTTCATCTCTCTGGTCCTCATTTACCTTAGCTTGAGGCACTGCAAAAAAAAAAAAAAAAAAAAAGGCTTAATTTTTGTCCAAGTAACATGTGCAGTGTGGGTTAGCAAGAGGGGCTATGCCCATTGTCACTGTCACTCAGACTCCATATGATGGAGGCTCCATCTCAACCTATGTTTCTGTGATCAGTGAGGCTGATAGAATGTAGTGATTCCATCACTGGATCTCAGACCTCCTTCCTGGAGGCAACTTATGTGACTGCCACTCACATCTCTTCCTGGTCAAGGCAGGTCTCACGTTCATGCCCAAGTGTAGCAAGGGCAGGAAGCACGGCCCAGCCTCTTATCTGGGAGGAGGAGAGTTGTAAATACAGACGCTTCTCAACTTAAGATGGGGCTATAGCTTTATAAACCATGCACTGAAAATGTCATCAGTCAAAAATGCATTTAATTCACCTAACCTACCTAGCATCCTAGCCTAGCCTCGCTTACTTAAAATGTGCTCAGAACACTTACGTTAGCCTACAGTTGGGCAAAATCATCAAACGCAAAGTCTGTTTTGTAATAAAGTGTTGAATAACTTAGGAAATTCATTGACTACTGTACTGAAAGTGAAAAACAGAATGTTTGTATGGGTATTCAAAGTACAGTTTCTACTGAATGTGTGTCACTTTCACACCGTAGTAAAGTCAAAAATTCCATAAGTGGAACCATCAAAAGTTGGGCACCATCTGTATTTTGATGAGTGGCACTAATCGCCAGCATAGACAATTATCAGGGACTACTAGGAGTAAGGGTCAGCAGCGTTGAAGTCTAAGTGGATGACAATGACAATGGCGAAAAATAACAGGTGCCATTTATTGAACACAGTGAAGTCTGTGTCAGGCCATAATGTTACCTGTGTCATCTCATTTGATCCTTACACCTGGATGAGGTAGACATTTTTTCTGTCCCCCATTTACAAAGGTGTGAGCGGAGGTTTGAAGAGATGAAGTCTTTGTCAGCCAGTATGAAGCATCTTTCATGCTCACTTGAGCACGGTAATGGTGGCAAGTTAATGAAGGAGACATCAAGTCAGAGCCCAGAGAGAGTCCTAGGGTCCTAGTGGAAGAAAAGGGCTTGCGAAGAGAAAAATACCTATTGCAACCATGAGGTCTGTTGGAGAGAAGCGCAGGAGAATTTACACCAAACATACTTTTATCTGGCTTCCAAGCCGCTATCAGTGAACTTCGTTGGCTAAATCCAGCCAGCATCCAGAAAACAATGGAGTCCCTGATTGATAGAGGCCGCCTACGACAGCCTCCCAGGGCACAGAATTGGATAGAGAAGGATGGAGATTGGGTCTGTAGAGGTAGACAGGGACTATCCATAGGAGTTATAGATCTTAGTTTCAAACCGAGATTTTTCTGCCACTACAGCCTAAATTTTCAGTCATTCTGCTGGAAGAAACTGGTGGTGTGGCTACCATGCAGGGAAATGCTTAGGAAAATCAAAGCTCTGGGTCATAAGCTGATACAGTCTTCAATTCTCAACTGACAAGGAATTTGGGATGTCCCCCTTTGGAATCATGTATATATACTATATTTGCACCCATTCTGTGAATATTTCCATATTATTTGTAGGAAAGCTCATCTTTACAAAGCTATTATTTATGAAACCATACCTGTAAACCACTCCCCCACCAAAACAAAAGACAAAAACCCAGCAATCAATTTTTAAAAGAATTCTGCTACACATTTGAATGATAGGTAATGGGAAGTCTGACAAGCTGCGCGTTCAAGGTCCCTTCCCAGCGACTCCACTATGAATAGACAATGAGAACACATTTGCTTTTCTCCAACAAGCCGGAAGAGCTTATTTCCCCCGTGCAATGAAAAGTTCTATGAATTGGGCCAGAAAGCTTGACTGTGATTTATCTGAAAACAACTGTTAAACATTTCAGAAATTAAACTTACTAAAATGTAGGGGAAGGAGGGATAAAATAGACACTGAGAACAGATATTAAATGTTCCTCTTTTGTGGTGAGGGGAAGGGTGGGGGGAAGGTGTTCTTTTTATTGATTCCATTCTTTCCTTTGATGAGGATTTATTGTCGTGCTTTTGAATTGCATCGGAGATATTCAGTGCCGAAAAGACTGGAGTTTTCACATCCAGGAAAGTTTGCATGGGACACAGCCTACCCGGTGGAAAAGACAGCCTTCACTGGGTTGGAAAAGCAATACTATTAGGTAGTATATATGGAACGTGTCCTACACACCAGGTTCTCAGCTAAGCGCTTTTAAACATATGTTTCATTTATTTCCCACAGCAGGCTCATGAGCTCAATAAGCTCAACAAGCTTATTGTTTCCATTTTATGGATTAGGAAACAGAGGGACAGGGAGATTAAGTAACTTGCCTGAGATTCCGCAACTGGTCAAAGGTAAAACTAGAATTCCTTTCTCAAGCTGTTTGACTTCAGAAACACTGCTCACAACCACTTTGCTAGATTCCCTCCCATGTATTTGCCTTCAACTGCACAGTTACTTCCAAAATGCTGTTTCATTGACCGTCTGCTGTGCTCCAGGAGCAGCTTAGGAAGTTAGCACGTCTATTATCTCAAATCCTCATGACAGCTCCATAAGGTGATTCTCTTTCATTGTTCTCATGCTCCAGTTGGGGAACTTGACATTCTGCAAGGTTTTGTGACACGCTTTTGGCCACATAGCTAGTCAGTTGCAGAACTAGAATTAAAAATCATGTTTCTGTGGCTGTAAAACCTGTTCCGTCTACTGCGACAGGCTGCCTCTAAGCTACTGCTGAGTTGAGTATCTGGCTGTTGATGCCTGGAGCAAGGGGCTGTCGCCCGGGCTATAGGGCTTTGGTCTGTCCTCCACCCTGGTGAGGACCAGTGTGAGAGTGTGAGCTTGCACACCCACATGCACACGTGCATTTATGCTCACAGCATTGCTGCTGGTGCTTACAGGCAACTTTATGCACAGTGGGAAAAGGTGAAAAGGCACTCCCTCTGGGCAGACCTAGCTCTGTGGTCACATGAGTTGAGCAGTCAGCACCTTTGTGTTGCAACTCAGCCCCTCTCTCGCGCTGCTTGACATCTGCAGCCACCTGGATGGATGCGTGTGCCTATACAGGTATACAGCACGTGTGGAATGTCTTCGGCGCTGTGCTGCCCACGGCCCTGGGCTCTGCGAGACCCATCCTGGAAACACACCTACATCCATCCTTAACCCTTGGAAGAGTGAAATCAATACCAGCAAACCCACATTTTTTCCTGCCACAAAACCTGACTCACGCACATCTGTTACTTTATTACGTCTTTACCATTATTTTCTTCACATTTGAATATGGATGATCTGGGAGCTATTAAACAGTTGTTTTCATAAACGGCACACCCTCACCTTCCTAGGATTCATAATGAGCTCCCCAACTGCCGGGCAGAAGGAGGTTTCTTCTCAGAAGAGAGTCAGCTCAGATGGTGAGCTGGGGGTCCAGGTGGAGCCGCCATTTCTCCCCTAATAGGACACCTGGAGATGGGCCTGGATTCTGAAACCCAAGCTGATCACATCTGCTCCATGGAATGTGGAACCCACTGCACCGCTGGCCTAGGAGTGGACCCCCAACCCTCAAAGCTCATGTGCAGATGGGCAAAGCTGGAAGGTTCATTTTCTTCAACCAGAGACCAGTACCCTGAGCTGGCTTGAAAATGGTCTGGATACTGGCTTCGTGGAGAAACGACTGAGAAATTGAAAGGGGCTCTGCCTTAAAATAAAGAGTCTGGGAGGCCCACCTGTACTGAAGGTGAAGCTTTGCCTGTTCTTTGTGCCTCTAGCTTAGATCCAAGGGTAGAGGATGAAAGATCTGTCTTTCAAGATAAAGAAAAACATTGTCATTCAAAGAGCTATGGGATTATGAAGCAGGCTGTCTCTACAGGTAGTGAGTTCGCCATCACAGGGAATAATCAAAAAGAATCCATAACAAGGAATATTGGAGAAGAAGTTCGTGCACTGGGTGTCAGGTTAGAGAGATCACTTCTCAACTCTGTCCCCTGAGATGTTGAATATATAACAGAGCAGCAGTCTGGCCAATCTGTGACTGGTATTTTGCTGCAGCTAATCAAGGTGGCTTATGTTTGCAGACCGAAGCAGAGGTAAATATGTAGAATTTATTACCATGAGCTCTGAAGCTAGATGGAGATGAATTCCAATGTTGGTTCTAGTGTGAGATGTGTGACCCTGGGCAAGTTTATTGATTTTCTCTAAGCCTCAGTTTCATCCTCTGTAAGCTGGGACTCACCTATCTCACAGGAAATTTTGCAGGCCCAATGGGCTACTGAATGCCGATTGGTGAGCACTCAATAAATGGCAGAGATATATGTACCATACATATTATCTTAAGTGCCAGGATCAGGCTGCTGGGAAGCCAGTAACATGCTTCTTGTGCATGTAACACCGCACACATCTCTCTCCTGGCTCTAAATGCATTCTACGTCTCCCTTATTTTTGAAATTAAAATTTGTTAAATGCAGCAATGTTTTTATTGTCAGTTAAGATGATAAAACTTTCCTGGGCAGTCTGGCCTTTTCAGAAATAAAGACCTGAATTTGTTAGTATTTCTATTCAAATTTTGGACTCTCATATAAGTAAACCATTCCCTCTCTCTCTTTCTCTCTCTCTTAAATCACATACACACAAATACTAGTATTTTAAAAAATACATTCTCTTGGCTATGAGAATGACGTGTTGGGGGATCTTTTCTTTCCTTTTCTTTTCTTTTTTTTTGAAAAGGAAACTCCTTTTCGGGGTTGGCATGACATTAATAAAAATAATAAGGGAGAAGGTTTGGAGAGAAAAGGTAAATAAGGCAATTCATACATCATCTGCAGGAGACACAGAAGTAAGGCAGAGAAAAATCACCACCCCGCCATTGTGCGCGGGGAGATTCTCATGAGTCAGCTCATTTGCTGCTTTCTGGCCTCCCAGCTGCCGCTGCAGTGGGGTTGACTATATCTTCTAGGTGCAGGGGGCCAGGTTTGGAACCCACTCACAATTAGCTGGGCTTCTTTTCTGCAACCAGTGCTGATAGAAGCATCTCTTCACATATAGCAACTTAAAATTCAAAAGAATCCCTCTCTGTCCCAACCACACATATAGACACACAAATGCACACTTGCACACACTTGGACAGTGGTGACCTTCAGGGCCTGCATGCAGAAATGACCAGCTACCCAATGTGTGGGGCCCAACACAAAATGAAAATGTGGAGCTTCTTGTTCAAAAATTATTAAAATGTCAAGACAGCTACAGCAGAGCATTCGATGTGTATGTCCCCTTTGAGGGCACAGGTCACAGGCCCATGAAGCTGTCCCTATTGTGTGCTTGTTTAGGTCACAAGTCTTCTGGGTATGACAGTAAATAGATCCCAGGGTGGCTTTCCATTGTCCCTTTGATGAGCAACTGCCTTAAAAGTGTGTGCAATGGAAGGAAACAGAACCTTCCATTCTGGAACCCAAACTCTGCCTCTATTCTGGAACCCAAACTGTGTCTCCATCCCAGAACATCTCGAAAGAAGCAGAGGCTGTTCTGAAGGGTGGGGTGATAGTCCCCAGACTGCGGGGAGATACCACACCTCCAGGACCAGTTAGAAAACATTAATAAAACCTCAGAATTAGACAGCTTTACAATCAGAGGATTCTCGAGAAACAGTCTCTCTTCTAGTGTCCTCATTTTCCAAATGAGAGCAATGAAGAAGCCAAGAGGAGGCAAATATATGTTCAATAAAAATAGGCAATATTTATTGAGCCCTTTTGCTGTGGGCCAATGTGCTTCTAAGCACTATATTTGCCTTTAACTCACAATCCATACAGGGGATAAACACAGTTGTTGTACCCATTTTATGGAGGAAGAAACTGAGGCTTAAAGTTCGGTAGCCGTCCTGCAATCGCCGAGCTAGTAAATGGCAGAGTTTCTTACAAACCTGATTCCAGTGACTTTGTAACTGTTCTGCCATGTCCAAAGCGATTTAGGAAGAGTCCCTGCTTCCTACGGCAAACTCAGGATACCCTCCGCTATCCTTCAGCGGTGAGTCCCTTCCCTGGGGTTTTCTGATATTCCCTTTCAACCCAGTTGCTCCATGAATTCTGGATGTGGCTCTCTCTGACAAGTTAATTCTCACCAGTAGACACAGAAGAGGCATTGATAAGAAGAGGCTCATCAGAGCCTAAGAAACAAAATAAGTTTGGTGCTTTTGTGGATAACAGTGGAGTGATATCAAAACCAGGCCTAAAAGAGCACGCATCCCCAGAGAAATTGAGGGAGAGGCAATGCCATGCCAGGCCCTGGGCCCCCACTGTGAATGAATTACACGCTCAGGCCAAGGTAACGCAGGCCTTGGCCAATATCCCCAGGTCTTTCCTGCCCTGTGCTGGCCCAGACCCGGCCCTCTCCAGCCAGGAATGGGAAGGCGGGTGGGAGGCGGGAGAGGTCTGCATCAGAGTTGGTCTCAGAGCCCCAGCAGGGCCTCGTGTTCCATCCAGCAAGGGCCCCGCTGCCAACATCCTTGCCAGCCAAGCTGTGTAAACATTCGAGCTCTTCTGGCAAAAGCTGACGGCAGAGAGGGAAGAGACAAAGGCTTCTCCTCCCAGGACTGGATGTGGGGAATGTGCCCCGCTTCTTGTGGCTTCCTTCCTCACTGCCTCCTCCTTCCTGGGCTGTGCATCACAACCAGGGCCTAGAGGGCTTTGTTAGAGACCAGCATGGTTCACGTCTCCACTTCTCCTTTTCAAAGAGAAGTCCTATTTTTATTCTGCTTCTGCTTAGAATGCCAAGGGTTTGCTACCACGCCTCGGAGATGGTTTCACCAAGGCAGCAAAAAAGTCAAGTAACTTCAGCAGTGCAACCTACGTGTGTCCAGGGTAAAAGCCCCAAAGGAGATAAACAGAGATATAAATATGAAGACTAGAGCAGTAGCTATCATGAATTATAGTTATTATTTTTTAATTGAGGTGAAATTCACTTAACATATAATTATCTGGTTTAAAGTATACAATTTGTTGGCCTTTAGCACTTTCAGTGCCAGGCAGACATCACCTCTATACAGTTCCAAAACATTTCCCCCCATTCCAAAGGAAGCCTCATACCCATTAAGAGTCACGCCCCATTCCCTCTCCCCGAGCCTTGGGAACTGTTAATCTACTGTCTGTCTCTATGGATTTGCCTCTTCTCGACATTTCAGATAAATAGAAACCTATGAGACATGCCCTTTCTGGTGTGTCTTCTTTCAATTACCATAATGTTTTTGAGGTCCATGCAAGTTTTTGGTTTTTGTGCAAGATTTTCCTTTATGTAGTCTGTGCTATATGTAATTTACTTTAAGTCAGTATAGGGTAGGAAAGTGGGCTCTGGTAGGATGGTAGCTGTTGAGCCCTGGCTGGAAACGGCATATTCAGCCGGAAGAGCTGGGGAGCCTTTGGTGCAAAGCAGGTGCCAAGAACGCACTGGAGAGGGAAGCAGAAGCAGTACTGCTGAGCAGCGCCCTGGGACTGGCAACAGCAGGAGTTGCTACACTCTAGGCATGAAGGGGCAAGGCTAGGAAGGAGTGACCTACACCCAGGAGGAGAGAGGCCCATGGAGAAAGCAGTTCAGTGGAGACCCCACAGAGAGGGAAGGAGTCAGGGAAATGAATACTCAGTTTCACTCTGCTGCCTACCTCCTGCGAACACTCCCCATTGGCCAAGTCCAACAAGAAGCCAGAAGACCTGAGAGGTGCTCAGCCAATCCAGACACCACGCGGCCTCCCTGGGTGAGGCAGATTTGAGCAAGGGAGCACAGTGGATCTGGAAGGGCAGAATTATCCCCTGCACAGTGGCTCAGGGTTTGCAATGAATGACTCCCCGCTCCTTCCAAGGGTTGCTCCCATGCTGCGCCTTCTTCCTTCCCCGTGGTGGAGACTCTTCTTCCATCCCTTTTTCCTGCTGCAAATCTAGTCCTCACGTCCATGTCTCCTGCTCTGCTCTGATCCACCATCCTCTCACACTGCAGGACTGCGGCCATCACCAAATAGGCCCTTTCCCCCACTTAAAAAGAATGAGATTTTCATGAAACCCAAGTCTAATGCTTTCAGGTAATAACAATTAGGTATTTTATATATTTTTATAATGGATGCATACAAACTCCAACAGAAGAAAATGCTTATGAGTACTAGAGAAAATGGGATATTTGGCAACCCTTATTGCAGTGACTTACATGCTTATCAGTTCATTTACGAGATTTCCCAAACACATGTTGAGTAGAAAAGTAGGATGCGGCCGGGCGCGGTGGCTCACGCCTGTAATACCAGCACTTTGGGAGACCGAGGCGGATGGATCACGAGGTCAGGAGATCGAGACCATCCTGGCTAACATAGTGAAACCCCATCTCTACTAAAAATACAAAAAAATTAGCCAGGCATGGTGGTGGGCGCCTGTAGTCCCAGCTACTCAGGAGGCTGAGGCAGGAGAATGGCATGAACCCAGGAGGCAGGGCTTGCAGTGAGCCGAGATCATGCCACTGCACTCCAGCCTGGGCAACAGAGTGAGACTCTGTCTCAAAAAAAATAAAAAAGTAAGATGCAAGGGCTGGGCTTGGTGGCTCACGCCTGTAATCCCAGCACTTTGGGAGGCCAAGGCAGGCGGATCACAATGTCAGGAGATCAAGACCATCCTCGCTGACACAATGAAACCTGGTCTCCACTAAAAAAGTACAAAAAAATTAGCCAGGCATGGTGGTGGGCACCTGTAATCCCAGCTACTTGGGAGGCTGAGGCAAGAGAATGGCATGAACCCGGGAGGCAGAGCTTGCAGTGGGCCGAGATCACGCCCCTGCACTCCAGCCTGGGCGAGAGAGTAAAACTCCATCTCAAAAAAAAAAAAAAAAAGACGCAGAAAAGTTAATTAAGCATGGTTTATTTTTAAATAACACTAGTGGTACACACAAACAGCAGAGGTTGACAGATAGGAAGAAAGATAGATATTATTCTAGATTTTATTTATAAGAGCAGTCTTAGGTTTACAGAAGGAATGAGCACAAAGTACCCAGGAGTTCCTATACACCCCTCTAAGTCCAGTGCTGGCATTTCTTTGGTTTCAACCCTTTATTTTTGTCCATTCCCACTAAAAATAAAATCCAAATTTCTTATCATAGCCTTTGGGGCTCTTTCTGACCTGGCCCCATCTTGAGTCTACTCCCCATCTCTCTTCTTCACTCCTTCAGTGGCAGCATCATTGGTTCTCTTGCTGTTTCATCACCCAGTGAGACCCTGAACAGCTCACAGACCCATGCCCCTCTAGGTGCACCATGCACACAGCATGAGTGTTGCCTCAACACAGTTCCATCCAGCCCCTCCTGTGAAAAGTAAAATACTGCCTCTGGGTCTTGGCCTTCCTCTCTGGCCCCTCTTCTTGGTTCTACACTTCACCGTCTTCCTTTTTATCTACCAGCCCTGGTTTCAGGTCTTCCCCACATTCTCTCTGCTATGCATGATTCCAGTTCCCATGCAGGAGAGCCTCACCCTTTATGGGTGCTGGGCTGGGGATCTTCAGCTGCTGCTTTGCTTGCCAAAGACGCTAAGAGATATTGGTCATGGGCACACACTCTGAGGTTGAGCCACTCTCTGTTCAAACCCTGAGTCCTTCCCCCAGGAAATAAAAAAATCATGGGCAAAGGAACCCAAGGCCTTGGACTTTGCCGAGCCTCAGCTTCCTTAGCATTAAAATGAGGCTACAGAAGGCATCCATTTCAGATGTATGTCCTGGAAATGGAATACAAAGAAAGGACTTGGGACAATAGCTGGTTACAGAGTAAATATTCAGTTGATTTTACATTTTTAGACTATCATTAATCCAACTCCAAGAAATCTCTTTCTTATTGCATATTTCACTCTTGGGGATCAAATTATGCTGCTCAGTAGGAGAGACATCCTTCCTTATAGCCTGGGAAAAAATGACGACTTCTCCTCCCTCTTCTTTTCCTCCTCTCTTTCCTCCTTTTCTCCTTTCCCCTTCCCTTCTTTTGCTCCTTCTCTATTTTCTTTCTTTCTTTCTCTTTTCCTTCCTCTTCCTTCTATCCATTGTTCTTTGCGTTGGGTGTGCAGATTTTGTCTGCCATGTCCCAAGTTCTCCCGCATTCTGGTCACTGCCACGTGAATATCTCTTGCTTCTTTTCTCATGAGTGCATTTTTATCCCCAGCTCCCTATCCCCATGGCCTCCTGGCCTCAGGCCTTCCAGCCTTCCAAGGGACCGTTTGGCCACAGGAATGCAAGATGTAGACCCCAGTCGCCTCACCTTATTTGTCTTGCTGGCCACCTGGG